>NC_000018.10:27161206-27786206 GCF_000001405.40 Homo sapiens | reverse complement strand
GAGCATGAAAAGGTTTTATTTTTATTCAATCATCACTTTAAACCGTGTTCTGTTGACTCGCTCTTTTGTCCCCTGAGCTTGGGAACAGCAGTACATTCACTTTCAGTTATTAAAATCTGGATCAATCTGGCTCAGACCTCAAGTGTCATGCCTTCCTTAGCCAGTGCAGGGCTAAGCCCTGCCCTGACGTATCCTCACCTGCTGTCGGCAGTGGCGGGGAGGTCTGCTTTGTCACCTCCACGCCTCCCTTCCTCAGGGTCTTAAGCTTCTCTGGGGTGGGAGACACTGGGAGGAGACGAGAAGAAGGGAGCGATGGCAGGGATGGTTCTCTGTGTGTTCTTTTTGAGGTGGTATTCCATGCTGCTGTCCTCCAGAAGGCCCTCCACACTGCATAATTCCTGGGCGGGGTAGAGGAGAGCAGGGGGAGAGGAGGAAGTTCCCTCCAGATGTTCCAGAAAGTGTGAGGAAAGACTCACCTTTTAAGTGAACCTTAACTGGCAGGCAGAAGTCCAAGTATATTCTTGAAATCATTGGACTCTTATTGGGATCATCTTTTTATTTGGAATAGCAACCAAGAAAATAATTTTCTTTACTTAAACGCAGATTCTGGAGATACACTTTGGGCTACACAGCCAGCAATGTATTTGACTGCTTTTTTCTTCATCTCTGGCTATGAGGACTAAGGAAGGGAGTGACTTGTCGTGTAGGAACTCTCTCTTTGTGCCAGGGAGAAAATGGTCCTTTCTTCTGCTGTAAAGCACTCAAACAGGGAAAATCAAGAACTGGGTTTCTGATGATTGCCTCCTTACATTTCAGAATTTTCTCAAATTTGTGAATTTTTTTTTCATCTTTATTCTCTTTCTCTCTTTAAAAGCTAGTTTTGGCCAGTCACGGTGGCTCACACCCGTAATCCCAGAGCTTTGGGAGACCGAGGTGGATGGATCACCTGAGGTCAGGGGTTCAAGACCAGCCTGGCCAACATGATGAAACCCCGTCCTTACTAAAAATACAAAAAATTACCCAGCATGGTGATGCACCCCTGTAATCCCAGCTACTCGGGAGGCTGAGGCAGGAGAATCACTTGAGCCCGGGAGGCAGAGGTTGCAGTGAGCCAAGATCGCACCATTGCACTCCAGCCTGGGCAATAAAAGCAAAACTTCGTCTCAAAATAAAATAAAACAAAATAAAATAAAATAAAATAAAAGCTAGCTTTGCCTTTTTCTTATATGGACACAATTTCCTTCTACCTACCCTGCAACATCTTGCTGATTACTAAAGTTAACTCCAGGTGGGCTAAGGTCCCAGTGGAGTACAATCAAGTAGCCCTAGTGCCCTTCTGGGGCCCCTCCTAGCCCTGCTATGCTTTTAGGACTACAAGTCATCTCTCTGGGGCTGGATCCTGGTTTTCCTCTGAATTTAGCATTAACTGTGCTCAGCAATAGTTCCTACTGGTCCCAGTTGGGAACATCTTATTACCAACTGCTAGTTCTGCCTTGTCTTCATTGGAGGAGCAAATATTATGGCCAATGAGTGTTTTCATCATTTCTGTAGCTTTCCTTGCAACTGGAAGTGATTTTACTCTTTCAAGTTTAACACTTCCCTTGACCCGAGGACTGAGAGGAAGTTCTCAAGGAACTGGGCTGGAGAGTGCATGTGAGGCTGCCTCTCTGACACTTGATGGAACTTTTTAGGGCTTAGAAGGGGATTATATTTCACTGAGTCCTTTGCAGTTTAGGGCAATGGCTCTGAATTACAGAGCAGTGAGAGTTAAGATGTAATCCCCCATATCCCACAGAACTCTAACCCATCCCAAGTTCTCTTCCTGGGCTCCTGGGGGGTCTCAAAAACCTCTCAGATGGGCTCTTTTGCGCCTTTTATGTCATGCCCAAGGTGCTGGTGACGATAGAATAGTAAAATGTAGAGTGGTCTCTATGGTAAAAGTAATTTGTTTCTAGTCTCATGTAATTGTTATTACAACATTGTGATGCAAGGAGAGATACTGGAACTAACATTTACTCCGTGCCAAGCATGTACCAGGCACTTTACATATATCATTTTATTTAATGCTCTTAGGACTTTATGGAGGTTTATTCTCACTTTCCAGATGAGTAACCTACAGTTTGGAGATGTTAAGTGAATTGCCTAAAGACCACTAGTAAGTGGTGGCATCAGGATTCAAACTCAGTTTTATGAAACTCCTTCCACGATGCCCTCTCTAAAAACAGAAAGGGATCTAATAAGGCAGTTGTCAGGAATCCAGTCCTTGATTTGTCCCTGTTTAAGTGCTTCTTGAAGGCCTTTATTAATTTCCTAGGGTTCCTATCACAATGTACCGTAAACTGGGTGGCTTAAAACAGAAATGCATTGCTTCTCAGTTCTGGAGGCTAGAAGTCTGAAATCAAGGTGTTGGCAGGGCCATATTCCCCCTGAAACCTGTAAGATAATTTTTCCTTGCCTCTTTCAGCTTCTGGTGGTTAGTTGCTAATCTTTGGCATTCCTTGATTGGCAGCTGCTCATTCCAACCTGTGCTTTTGTTGTGACAAGACAAAACACACACAGTCCCTGTCCTCACATGGCCACTTTCTTCTGTAACAGCCACAATCATATTGGAGTAGGGGTCCACCCTTCTCCAGTATGACCTAATTTTAATTCACCTAATTACTTGTGCAACAGCTCTGTTTCCAAATACGGTCCATTCTGAGATACAAGCAGTTAGAACTTCAATATATCCTTTTTTTGGTGGGGGGCGGGGGTTGGAGACAGAATTCCACAAATAATAGTTCCTTTTGTGTACTGGGGCTGTATTAGACACAAGGACAATAACTTGATGGAAGTAATTATTCTTACCCAAAATAAATCTTTCACTCAAATTTGGCTCATTTTCTCTTTAGAGTACTCCATTTTAGAGTAATAATAATAATAACTAATTTTAATATGTAAAAATACTTTTCCACAGGAGTCCTAGTAGGAATTACAATGTTCACATTCTAGTACAAACTTTATAATTGAAACAATGTGTATTAGTCTGTTTTCATGCTGCTGATAAAGATATAAACAAGACTGGGTAATTTATAAAGAAAAAGAGGTGTAATGGACTCACAGTTCCATGTGGCTGGGGAGGCTTCACAATCATGGCAGAAGATGAAAGTCACGTCTTATGTGGCAGCAGGCAAGAGAGAATGAGAGCCAAGCAAAAGATGTTTCCCCTTATGAAACCATCAGATCTCCTGAGACTTATTCACTACCACGAGAACAGTATGAGGGAACTGCCCCCATGATTCAATTATCTCCCACTGTCTGCCTCCCACAACACATGGGCATTATGGGAGCTACAATTCAAGATGATATTTAGGTGGAGACACAGCCAAACCATATCACAACAGTTGACTTGACAACTCCATTCTCCTATGATTTTATGTATCACTTTGAAAGAGTCATATTCACATCTTGGATTTTCTATTAACCGTATCAGATGAATTCTTAATAAACTTGAGTATAGTCTTCAGCAATATTCTTGAAATGATGATTTATAGCTGGTACAATCAAACTCATGGCAAAGTAAAGAAAGGATTCAAATCTGTAGTTCCCACAGTTTGTTGTTTATACCTCTGCAGTGCTTTGTGTTTTTTTTTTCTTCTTCTTTTTTTTTTTTTTTTTTTTTTTGAGAAGGATCATCTTTCTTGAGCACACTCTTTGGGATTCTTGATCAGGAAGGCTCAAACTGGCAGTTAGTAAATTGTGTCTGCTATTCTTTTACTTTATTTTTCTACAATATTCGCATTGACCCAATTTAGCATTTTCTAAATTTTCTTTAAATGAGAATATGAGGGAGAAGACTCACATGGAAACTTCTTATCACATCTCTTGATTGTCCATTGAGATTTTATTTAAATCCACTTTCTATGACACAATGCTAGCTAAAACATGTTTTTTTTTCCCACAAATCATGCTATGGCATTCTCTATGTAAGAGAAAGGTTGTTGGTTATTGCCTTTTAAAATTCTGCTTTCCTCTAAACACATTGTATAAACTATCCCATGTGACTAGTTGCCATGTTGAGTTTGAAATTCCAGCTCACTAGAGAGGATCGTGTCTAATACACTTGGTTCACCTGTCACTCTCAATGAATATTTGATCATTGCACGCAGCTATACATTTTATACCTCCCATGCCTAACTACTTATTCCCATTTCTGTACAGAACCAGCTACAAACCCTTATTTCTAAAGATATTGCTGAAGACTATACTCAAGTTTATTAAGAATTTATCTGGTATGTTTAAAAGAAAACCCAAGATGTGAATATGACTCTTCCAAAGTGATGCATAAAATCTTTAAAACATTAAATTTAATTGATGGAACTACTTTAAACTAATAATTACCTACTGCTTTTTATTGTTACGTGTGTACTGCTTGTTCTCCTTCTCACCCTTATAGCATTGAAATCACTGGAAGCAGATGTAGGATATTTTACATCAAACCAATTTTATGACCCTTCTCTTCTCCCTGGTTTCAACCAAATCTTCTCCTAATGTGGGAATGGAGTATCACGATGCATTACAATATTCTCTCTAGGAACACTGGAAATGAAGATATTGACATTTAAATACTTTTAGGTGGTCTGAAGCAAGACTGCTATTTCCTGAAGAGGAAATCAAGAGAATGGCATAGAAATAAGAATTCTAGCATCCTAAGATTTTATATAATTTTATTACTTGCAGAACCACTGGAAATTCAATGTTTTCTTTTTTAACTATTGTCACTCCATGGCTATTTGTACTCTATGCAACACTGGGCCAGAATCCTGACATTGAGCCTCTGTATTTCTTTTATTCATCCAGCAGCCTCTAGAGAAAGTGAGGAGCATGAAGTGGTGATTGAGAGCACAGGCTCTGAAGCCATACTGCTGACCACCAATCATGTGACTTTGGGCCTCTGTTTCCCCTCTTGAGAATTACGTTGGGTCTGTGAAATTCTCAGAACTCTGCCTCTGTACACTTGTATACTCACTATACTAATTTGTTTTTCCTCTAACCTGGAGTTACTATTAGCTTTGTGATTTTGAGCAAATCCTTTAAACTTTCTTATGTGAAATGTGAATAATAAAACCTAACTAACCCACAAGCTTTTCATGGGGATTAAGCTAAATATTTTATATAGAAATTCATTGTGCATGTAGCTTATTTCTATTAACTATGCAGGTCCCATATATATATATACTTTCTTAGCATATTATTCAAGGCATCCTGGTGACCATAACAACTAATGTCTTCAAAGTCTCTTAAAACCCATAATTTTCTGAAAGTGATTTAGACATTGGGAGCATCTAGATCATTACAAATTGTTCCATATGTTGCTTGATATACTCCATATGTAATATTGCAGTATATGTAATATTGAAACATATCCAACTACTTTTTTATTGTAATTCAAGCCATAATCATTGAGTAGTAGCTTATCAAACCATAAAGTACCAAAGTATCTTGAGTAAAAATAAACCAAGTGGGAGAAAATGTTATGTGCCACCTTCTATCTCATCTTCCCAAGACTCATGGCTCATGAAAGCAGTTGCTGCTAGAAAAATAACAATTTTGCTATATAAATCCCAACCATGCTATGACTAAAAGTCTAGAGCTTTCAACTTAAAAGTATTGTACGTCATCGTGTCTTCATATTTTTACTGTGGGTGGGGAAGTAATAGAGTGAGTCAAAAGTATAGACTGAAGTTTTATCGAAAAGAAAAGGTTACACATTTTTTGCAGTTTTATTTGAGTTCATTACAACTACCTACATCCCTAGGGATAATATGGGGACATTGTTAAGACTTATTGACGGAGCTGATATCAAGTTTGGGAGGTAGTACTTTTTACCATTTATGAGTATAGTAATTTCAAAAGAGTGCTATAACCTTGTTTTGTGTTTCTAAGCAGCTTGACTCATTCAGTTTTTGGTTTCCTGGTTTATTATGTGATCATCATTCCATATGGTGCTGTTATCTTCCAGCTCATATTTTCATCAGCCAGAGCTAGCTTGTTGCCCATTTAATGATGCAGAAATTTAAATTCATGGATGGCAGTTTCAGATGTTAAAATACCATTGCAAATTTACCTAAGGAAAATGAGTAGAAGAGCATTTTTGAATTCAGAGCAAAATGGGTGTTCATGCTAAGGGAGAATTCTTGATCTCTTCAGTTCTCATACCACACAAAAATATCACCCAATTAGAGAATGCCGAAAGTAAAAAATTTAGGCTCCTTAGCTTACTATGAATTGAGTTGAAATAGGGAGAAATATATTTTAGCTCCAATCATGTGTGTGAAGTTTACTAAACTGCCATACGCCTCCATTTGTCAAAATGATTCATTTCAGAAAGAGAAAAAAAACATATTTTTCCACAGGTATCCCTGAGCTTGCCTTCATTTTTTTTTTAAGCCTCAAAGCTAAGTTCTGTTAGATCCATTCATAATTTCCATGCTTTAAACATCTGGCACATGCTAGATGGTCTCCTTACGTGTGGATGGCTGAATCCAGCACATGAGTTTAGATATTTCTGTAGGTTGATAACAGTCCAGCTCCTTATCAGCTGTGGCACTCAGAGTCACTGAACAAAATTCATAAAGTCCATGAATCTTGAAATAAGGAGCCTAGATAGAGATCTGGAGCCACATGACTGCTGCTCATTGTCTTTGAAGCAATTACCAAGCTGCATGGCTGTGAAAATTAGCATCTTCCACAGATAGAGGAAGGTTGCCCAGGTTTTTTTTTTTTTTTTTTTTTTTTTTGGTGGGATGGTGAGATATTCTGATGACTTCTCAGTGGATGCCTTTTCAGGAACAGGTGAATAGGGTTTCTGTAAATTGGTCTCCTAGCTTAGCTTTCTCATTACTTCTATCAGGGAATTAGTCTTCACACAGTAGGTTGCAATGCTTGCATATTTTAGTGTTTGTGGTGGTTCTTTTGTAGTAGTGAAAACAAATTCTTACTGCTTCATTGAACCTCACCTTCATCTGTTTAGGATAGCCAAGTAATACCAAACTTTCTGAAAAGAGGTGTTAGCCCTTGATGAAGTAGACTAGCCACTGAGTAAATGGAGAGTGTGTTTTCTTCTGAAGCTAATAGCCAACCTTGTTTACTTAAATGATTAGGTTTCAGATGCTTTACAATGGCTGTTTTCAAAAGTAAGTTGATGGTAAACAATAACAACAAAAAGCTCACATTCTGATTTAATTTGACTAGGCTATTGGGGCCATTCGTGGTTCTTTTCTGTTTTTATTGCACCCCTTACAGACAGCCCATGTCCTATACTAAGAATTTATAATTTTTATTCATGATACAGAAACATGCTCTAGGTATTTGCAGATGCTTAAATATTTTCCAACATATAAAATAATATGTGCTTATTTGTCTAAAATATTTTAAAAATCTGTGCATTTCTTGTCTTCTGGGGTATGTATACATAAGCAGGAAAAGTAGCATTGCCTGTCATTGGTCAGCTGTTATATCATCTGAAGGCTAAAATTAAATCTAATGGCTGGGAGAAGGAACTGGGTATCACGGTGCTTACTTTCTGCCTCTAGCACCAACTTGTGGAAGTTTCTGATATTGATCACAAATCTCTACTCCTCTCTCTGGATTTCAAACACATATCCCTCTCTTTGAAGGTTTAATTAAACCTGGGGAAGTCACTGGATGGTTGGCTTTAAGCCACTGAGCAAGGAAGAACACCATTTACCCACCAAACACCAAATGTCAAACGGCATTAATTTGCTCTCTCCCCCTTGCATCATTCTTTTCCCATCTAAATTTTAAAAACTTCTATTGAATTGAAGAAAGAAAAATGCTTCCTTTTTCACAAAATGTATGAGACTACTACTTGTGTATATGAATATAATTTGTTCCTCAAGGCCATGGTCTAACATCTTGGAGGGAATGTCTAAAGAATAAGTGGGACCAATATAAAGAATATGTTCATTTAGAATACAAGCAAATAATTTTGAGGGGAGGGTGTGGGAGCAATAATGGATTGAGAGCTCTGAGTGTGGGTTTTTCACAGCTTTGTGAGAACTGAATGCACAGTGACAAGGATCACATAGCAGTCTGTGATGATACTCTCCTTGTGCTCTGGGCAAGGGCATTTTATTTCATATATTATGTATAAACTCTCCGCTATGATGTCATGAAGTTCCTCCAAACAGAAATTAAGCAAAAAGAAATGCAAGGAGACAAGTTTACTTTTTTTTTTGGCTTGTTGCCTGCTGATATTCAGAGTCACATACTATCTGGATGGAGAGAGAGAAAAGGGCCCCTCACAGCAGTGGTGAGAAAGACTCTGCATTTGGTTTTTGAATGTTCCATTATGCGGTTGGTGTGCTTCACAGTCTTCACCCAAGCCCCATTCAGAATAGTTTCTCCTTCTACTCTTTTCGCAGTAAAAGGCAATCAGGAGATTTTGTATTTCCAGAAGTGTACATGAGTAAAGACTACTTTGTTGTCATCTTTCTGGTTAAATGTGTGAACCTGATTCAGCAGCATATTCTCAAATATCTCAGTATCATTTGGGACGTATGTCTGAAGGCCTCCCCACTGAATTCTCCGTGAGCATAGACTTATTTCAGGTTTGCAGATCATTGCATAGGCTTCCTCCAACTGCCAAAGTTCACACTAACTTTCTTGTGCATTTTCAGTCATTTTCTTGTGAAAGATGTGCTTCTTTGCTTACTTCTAAGGTTTAAAATAACCAATTGTTTAAAAAACTCACCTTTTCTTGATCTTTGATTACTTCCTTTCCAAATCATCTCATGTGCTCTGTAATACTCTCAATTACTTTCTAGCCTCAAGGTTTCTTAATGATCCTTAAGTTCAATAGTTGTTATTCATACCAAAAAATCAAAACCTGTTTACATTAATTCTTCCATAACTAATTAGCTCATGTTTAAGTATGTAGTCAATACAGAATGATGTAGCTATGAAAGTGAGCAAGAGTGTGGCCAGAAAACACTCTCTACTTAGGAGCTACCCAACATGCCATTATGTTGGGATGTTACTGTAGCCCATGGTCAGCCTCTCTATTTTGTTGTGCATGTTGTATAGACTTGGAGAGGAAGACGGATGCTAATCAAAATGATATCAAAGTATATACACCATAATAAGTGTTTAGATTGGGGTTATATTTTTATATATTTTATATTTTTATATTGTTTTCCATGAAGAAGATGAGTATAAGGTACCAGAATGTCTGGGAAGTGGACTTAACCTGAGTTGTTTGGGAGTGCAGTGGAGAAGGCAGCTTTGAGGGATATTTCACTAAGTCTGTCTTGAACTTGTTGAATCCATCTCTATAGATTACATCACTATGTGAACCAAGAAGTTTATGTCTTTTATGGAATTTGATAAACAAGGTCAGCTTCACATTCCTGGTCTTGATGCTCTGTTTTTGAGGCTGACTATCCTTTTCTTCACACAATTTTTCTCCAAATTGGTTACAGTTATGTTCCTGCTTTCAAGGTGATAAGAAAAAGCTTCCAAATCGACTTTTCCTCTATTATATTCAGGTATTTCTAGTTTCTTGAGAGACAAATTTAAAGATAACCTCCTGGTTTACTCCTACAAAGGCAAATTCCATCCATTTCGCATGGATTTTACTAGTTTACTTACTAATTCTCAATTCCTAGTTGGGTAGCTGACCTTTTCTTGACATCTCTGTGGGCCACTAACATATAGCAAAATACTTATTGTCATGATACTTTCATGATCTGCAGACTGACAAAGCGTGTATGCCTTTCAACCAACTTCTCCATGCATAGTACGTTAGAAAACAAAACAAAACAAAAATGCTAGTATTTAATGCAAATACTTCACAGTAGGGAAACTGAGGAGTGAGTAAAGAAGCCCAGCTAAATTATATAAATCGATCACAAATCATTAATCAAATAAACTTGCATTTTATGAAAATTATTTCCAATGCATCCTAACTGCTAACCATGAAATAGGAATCTACACTGACAAGAAATTCACCGTTTCATGGAATAATCTATTGTATGTTGGGATGACTCTAAGCTGTCAGAAAGTCCTTCACTCTTATTGAGGTTATTGGTAAAAGTTTGATTATTTTATTATGAGAGCAGTTTTCCATGCTTCTCATAATCATTGTTCTCTTCCTCTCACCACTTAAACATTTTCCAGTGTTTTTAGATATTAATGTCTAGAATTGAACAAATGTATGGATTTGGTCTGGAGGGACTGTCTTTTAATTTTAAAACTCTGATGATTTTTATTGCCCACATCACACTATTGGCTCAAAACAAGATTGTGATAAAGTAAAACCCAAAGTATTTTTTATAAATCCTGATGACAAATGATGTCTCCGCATTCTGTGATAACACAAAAACTCCCTTTGATTCTAAGTGCAGAAATTTTCATGTCTCCTCGTTTAATGACATTTTGTTGTAAGGGTTTGGTCTTTCAACCCTTCAAGGACCCGATGAATTCTTATTTCATCATGCAGTGTATTTATTCGGTATAACGTAATCAGAAAGATTAAAACAAAACAAACATCCAGACCTTCTGTATCTCCATATAAGACATGGATAAAAATATTATATTTTAAAAAACCAACTAGAAGATATTATATCATTACTTAGGGTTGTATTTTATTAATTCATTCACTAATTTATCGAAAAATTCACAGAAGCCTAGTGCATGCCAGGTATTGGGTTGGGCCTTAGAGATACTCAGTGAATAAACAAAGAAGGTCTTAGCCTTGATGCAGCTGATATTGTAGTGGGAGTGATGGAAAATAAACAGAATCTAATAGGTAATAAACAGAGGGATAGGATATAGAGTGACAGGGTTGATTAGGTGGCTGCGTAATTTGAAGACAATGTCTGCATAGGTGACATTTAAACTAATGCCTACAGTTTCATAAGGATCTGACTATTGGAAGAGCTAGGTGAAGAGCATCCCAGACAGATGGGAGCAGCAAATGCAAGCAGCAAAGAATGAGTGTGGCCTGGTTAAGGATAGAGTCATCGGCATGAGTGGAACTTGGTGAACAGGAGAGAAGTAGGTGGAGCAGATCACGGAGGACATTGTGGATCATCACGTAGAGATCAGGTTTCTTTTTTACTTTCCGGATTGCCAATAGCTTTTCTTCAGTTAGTAAACAAGCCATCGAACTGTACTATTATCCAACCCACATTTCACCATGCTGTTATAAGAATGTCATGAGACACTCTGTCAGATATGTTAGCAAAATTTTGGTTTACTGTATAGAATATTTTCCTTTGCAAAATTCAAAACAAGCAACTGGGTTAGCTTGTTTGTTCAGTTTTTCTAGACCACATGTTGATGGATCCATTGTAGAATTTTATCAGATATTAGAACCAAGTCGAGCAATACATAATTTATAGCATTTACAGTTTTAAAATTTGGGTCAAGATTTTCCCTATCTTCAGTCTATTTAAATTTTTCCCATTTTTCCTTATTGGACAAAGATGATCATAAATGGTTCTTGGTAACCTACAAGATGGTTTAATATTAAGCAATATGATTTACTTTGTTTGGAGCAACTAGGTTCCTTTTTCCTTTCCACAAGTATAGCAGGATTCGCTCTGGTTCATTATGGCTTAAGTGTGGAGGCCCTTTTCCTTAATAAATAAGGGGACAGCAGAATAGCACTTACATGGCTCTGTTCCTTCTCTGTCACCTGGCAACTTTACTTCTTGTGTCTCCATAGGTGGGCTACCATGCCCAGGTCAACCCTTTGTCTCTATACCTTGCTTTAAGCATGGCTAACATATGATACCAAACAAGAGTCCTTTTTAAAATAGCAGCTAGCATTTTTTGTCAGATATATTTTACTTAAACAAACAGAATTTGTAAATTAATTCTGCTGTCAGCAGAGAGCCCTTTGTTTGCTTCTGCAGACAACAACAGCCCACGATGTAGAGAAATTAAAAAGGAGAGAAAAGATATTGCATTGCCTTTTCAAAATTAGAAGAGGTGGGGAAGGGAGCCATCTAAATCCATGGAGTCTATCTCAAATGTGACCACAGGCACTAGAACCTACTTTGCTATCACTGTTAACTTTCTAGTTGTGGGTACTATACAAAAGTGCATACTCTTTCTTACCTTTTGGTTTATATGAGTGAAGGAAATCTTCAATACAAATATTAGATTTGAATGTTTAAGGTAGCTCATAGAAAGCTTAAGAATGAAGATGATCATAATAAGTCTCTTAAATTATCTCACCCCCAGTTCTCTCCGCAGTAAAGATAACAGGTAAGAAAGATCATCTCTGAGGCTCCTTCCAGCTATAATACTGTATGACTGTAAAAAAATGTTCTTCCTCTTGAATGGAAAGTTTCATGTTCTTTGTGGTAATTTAAGCAGAGCTAAGATTTACTTTTTCTATTTTGCAACAATTTTATGTGCAACTTTTACATAAGCTGTTAGAAAATTATATCAATTTTTCCTTGGATTTTTAAAGAACTCTAGAAATACATTCCATGTATCAGTTAATATCCCCTCTCTGCCATGTGAGCCAACATTATGTTGGATGTTTAAAGTGGCCAAAACTTAGGTCCTAGGTCATTTTCCAAATTGAACAATTTTTATCATACCACATGGAGTTTCTTGTAGCCAAATACTGTTTGTGAGAAGACATTTATTAAATCTTCTGTTTTTCCCAGTTTGAATAAACAATGCATTTTATCACAGCAACTTACAATATGTGATTTTAAGCCTTGTAAAATATCAGGAACATCTTTGAAGAAAGAGTGCTAACCCCTTTTTAGATGTTGATTTCCTCTTTAAGTTGAAATAACCTCATTTTAGCCAGAAACTTTATCCAGAAATTGCCACCAACATCAGTTCCAGGGAAACTTCATATAATCTTCTAATCTAGAGACTTAGAAAGAAAAAACAGTCATAGAACATGTATCGTATTTGCCAGACATGAAAGGTGAAAGTATTTCTTTCAATGACATTTTCTTTCAGCCTGCTCAATTTTATGGGATATTTGGCTAAACATCATTTGCCACCCAGGCTATTCCTAATATGGAACAAATATTAAGATTAAATTTCCTAAAAAATATTCACTTTTTATAAATTGTACCAAGGCATGAAGAACAGGTATGAGAGAGAGAAGTTAAATATTGTGCTAGGCTGTATTCTTATTTGAGAGTGAAAAGGGGGGATGGAGAAGACAGAGATATGTTGAAACTTATTTCCTCTTTTTCTTTATTATATTCATCACATCCCATCTTTATCTCAGTTTATGGATACTTGTTTCTTATTAGTCTCAATAAATCAACTTCTATACTGTCTTTGAATACTGAAAAGTAATCTGCAGGTGTTTCATAAATCTTGACCACAGAACCTGATTCCTGATGATCAAGTGATGCTGAAATGGGATATAAAGATTATTTCAATACATTTAATTAAATAAGTTGATCAATGCATTAACTCCACTAATTGTTTAGAATGCAAATCAAAGTTCGCACAGACTCAGATCTGTGCTTTCACTCCTAGGAACAGGTAAAGGAAAGGGAGAAAGTTGTCTTTTTCTTTCTTATTCTTCATTAAAAACAGAATGGGGAATATATAAAATTCTATTAAAAAGCAGAGGTGCGACACACACATTGGTTTCTGGTGTGCAATAACATGCACTGGGCTTCTCCAAGTGTGGATGCACATGCAAACATCATTATATGTCTTTGTGTGTTCATACATATGCCATCACCACCATGACCACTCTGAAGCGCTTTTTATGACCACATTTCCTCCAAGGCGGGTAAAAATGCTGAAAAATGGGAGAAGAATGTGGGCCCTAACGTTAAGCCCACAGCATTTCCTATTCTAACACAGACACACGTTGTTGAACTTTCTCCTCTTTAGCTGGCTGTGAACACAATGTGCTATTTGTTATTCTCCTTAATTCCCCAAGAAGTAAAAAGAGATGCCCTTGGCCAGTTTAATAGGGAACAATCCACATCTGTTAAGAAAGACTAGTTAGGAGTGTTTCTTGCATGCCATCAGTCTCTGCACGCTGCCAAAATGTAACATCCCTGGCACCATTCTGAATGAAGGGTGGGCCACCATCCCTTTGGGGCCACAGTCTATAATTCTAATAGGGAAGTGATTCTTTTCTTTCTGATAAATGAAACTATTTTATACGTTTTTTCAATGTGAACTGATGCTTCTTCTTTACCATCTCACATTTAATTGTTGTGAAAACTTATCTCAAGGATTCTTCATATCTAATTTTCACATTTTCTCCCAGAAAGCATTTGTTGTGGGCAGGTGCTTTTGAACATGTTACTTATTTCCTTCTTTTTATCCAGAAACAGTTAGTGTTATTCTTATTGGGGGAATCAGTGTTACATTTTTGTGGTATGACAGTGTGGTATGTTGCCAAAGTGAGAAACTTCAGGGTCATGTAATGTAGCTGTGTAGCACTCTCTGGTATTCCTGCTAGTGCCTGTGAAGTTCTGATGGGAGTTGTGATGAACACACCCAGCAGCAAAGAAGGCTATGAATAAAATGGGTTCCTGAAAAGTCTTCTGAACATGGCATGTTTCCCATGATTTTCTACAATTATAAAAAGTCCAGTCCTGGTCAAATAATATGACATATTCTAAAACGAATAATTATAAAAGGCATGACTATAAATGCAACACAATGCTTGCTTTCTCTTCTCTCTATTGTATAGCATAGAAGAAAATGTGACATTAGAGGCTTCTGTTCTTTAACGAGGGAGAAGTCAAATAACATACAAGACTCAGTGGAAATATTTCAGACTGGGAAACAAGAGACACCTTGTAAGGAAGAAAGAAGGGTAGTTCCTCCTGGAGATGCCAGCTTTGACATATTCTTGAGTTGATGGCATGTTGACATCACAGTAGCTACAGCAGAGATGACCAATGCAGGATATCATTTTATCAAATAATAAAGAATTAACCCTAAGGGATCAGCATTAAGCAAATCAGGAATGATGGCAAGAAAATCCTCAAAAAGCCTGAGATTTCTAGTTTCTCTTGGCTAAATAAATCATATGCATATTAACAAATGAATAAATGATAGCTATTATCCGCCATAGGAATAAAGGATA
The DNA here is from genome assembly GCF_000001405.40 of Homo sapiens. NCBI lineage: Eukaryota > Metazoa > Chordata > Mammalia > Primates > Hominidae > Homo > Homo sapiens. The sequence goes on along the minus strand of NC_000018.10, from coordinate 27,771,100 downwards.
TAACTAGGAGACTCATTAGGAAACATGGGGTCACTGTCCTAAATAAGGACAGTTACTCTCAAACCTGCCTGCATATGAAAATCACCCAAGAAGGACAGCTTTACAAATGTTGGGGCTGTAAACCTCACCTCTAGAATTACTGATTTGGGAGGTCTATGTAGATGCTCAAGAACCTGTATTTATAAAAGTTATAAAAGTTCTTCCCATCTGGACTCTGACGGGAAGAAAGGTTAAAGAAACTCTCCTCTATGGCAGCAGGGTGACAGAGGAAAGGGACTCAGCTTGGAGAGGTACCAATTCTCCCTATTATTCTGTAGAAGGTCCCTTTGGTACCCTTTCCTTGGGCATATACCAAAAACAGAATCAGAGGTGATTCTACGAAATCCTGCAAAAACTAGACTTTCTTTCTGTGTTTATGAATGCAAAGAAAATATTTCAACAGCCAAACAAAACAAAGTCAAAAGGAAACTAAAAGCCTTAAGATTTATGCATATTTTTGAAGACAGAGTGGCTTTACTTGGTTGAATTATCTAATTATTATTAGATGTGTTTTTTTTACTTTGCATGCATAGAAGTAATTTTTATTCCAAAATAACAATACAAATTGCAAACATTATAAATTATAAATATACAAGCAGATCTAAATGGGGTTAAGAGTTCCGATGCGCAAGTGCTTTGGGTATAATTGGGAGGTGATTAATTTTCTACCAAGTCTTAGCAGGTATCTGCGACTGCTACTTTATCATCTCCCTATGTGGAATGTGAAGGCTATTGAAGCCCATTGTATAGAACAAGACCTCTCTTTTGTAAGGAAGGAGAAATAAAAGAAGGAAATGGTAAGGATAATTTCTCTCATCCAAGTGCATCTTGCTCTTCCCTGCAGTCTAATCATATAAATCTTAAACATGTTGCCCTCTACGACTTTCTCATATTTGAGGTTTGAAAATGTTGCACCCACCCTGGTCCAATAAAACAAATAAATAAAAACCAGGGCACAATGCAATGGGGGGAGAAGGAGCTATGAAAAGTAGACACTGGCGAGGTGCTCTGGAATAGAAAGTATTTTCTTGCTGCTGCTGGAGAGCCACAAATATATCAAGGAGGAATAACTCACAAATATAGAAGGACATGCTTTAAACTTGATTATTTTAAGTCCTAATTCAAAATTATAATATTTTTAGATCATAGTTCTTTCTTAGGTAAAAGAGAGACTCTGTTGCCTAATGGAAGGTTCAAAAGAGGGAAAAAGAAGTAATTGCTTTGCTGAGTTTTGAATACTTAGAAAATGCTAAGTTTTGGTGTTCTGAACTGTTGCTCTAAAGCTGAAAATTACAGGAACTGATTCTAACTAGGAAGTACCTGGTTAAAATTGCTGCTGGGTTTGTGTGAGTTTATTTTTAGTCAATAATAAAGGACAGTTTCACATTAATATAGGCTGACATTGGTCCTTTAACTTTCTTTTTTTGGTAAAAACTGAAATAAAATCCTATCTCATCTTAATTGTTTGGTTGAGATTATAAATACAGCATAAAAACAAAGAATTCCTGTTCTACTTAAAGCATTATGCACAGGCATAGATTTTTGCACATTCCTTAACTAGTGCCATGTACATGCTACCATTTTGCATTCTTAGTGCTTCTGCTAAGAATAAATGGTAATTGAATGAAGAATGAAGGCTGTTAGGTGGCCTGGGTTTACTGGAGAAACTTAAAGACCAGTGACTCAGAGAAGCAGGTGGCAGGGAACAGGAAGTAGCCTCACCAGCTGTATGAGAGGTGGGTGGTGGAGGCGTCTATCCAGAGCTAAACTCCAAAGCAGAACCCCAGGGGATGGACATTCAGGACTTCCTTCTATGTAGGCAGACACAACTGTGCTTATAAAGGAAAGCTCCCTCCTCTTGTGCAAATTTTGAGAGTGGGAAAGCTACAGATACCCAGGAAAGCCTGCCTGCCTCTTCTATTTTTTCCAAGCTCAGCTCCCTTTTTGGTAGTAACTATACTGCTGGAGGATGCCCCTGTTAGCTTGTCCTGCTGTCCCCAGTCCACAGTCATTGCTTTGTGCATAGCAGAAGCAGCCCTGGGAATCTAAGACCTTCCTCTGTCATGGTGAGGAGAGAGGGAGGGAGGGAGGAAGGTGGGAGATGGGTTGAGGAGAGAGATGTGATTCTTGATCTGGAACTAGAATTGGAAAGAGCGAAGCATGATTCACTCTAGAGTCAATGATGGCTGGGAGCGGTGGCTCACGCCTGTAATCTCAACACTCTGGGAGGCTGAGGCTGGCAGATTGCTTAAGCACAGGAGTTCGGACTGGTCTGAGCAACAGGGTGAAACCCCGTCTCTACAAAAAATACAAAAAATTAGCCATGTGTGGGGGTGCACACCTGTAGTTCCAGGAGGCTGAGGAAGGAGGATCCTGGAGCCCAGGAGGTCGAAGCTGCAGTGAGCTGTGATTGTACCACTGCACTCCAGCCTGGGTGACAGAGTGAGACCCTGTCTCTAAAAAAAGAAGAAAAGAGTCAATGACACCCTCCTCACCTCAGAGTTCCAGGTGCTGTGTTAAGCACTGGGGACACACAGTAAACTTGGCAAAGACAGTCCTTGCCCTCATGGAGCTTACAGATTGCTTTTGTGCAGAAAAGTTAAGCTGGAGTCTCAGTTTAGTGACTTAATCTATGTAAAGCTGGCCCAATAATGACAATGCCACATTGTGTTGCACAAATGTATACAAAGCATCTAGTCCAGTGCCTGGCTCATAGCAAACAACCAGTAAATGTTTTCTTTCTCTTTTCCTCTTCCTTCCTACTGAGACTGAAACTTAATAGTCTATGTAGAAACTTGAAAAACAATAGACAGATGGTCAGCGGCAGATTCCTTGTACAAATACTCAGCACTCCAACACCTTTCTCAGCTGGCACCCCTCCTTTATTCCATCACATGTTTCCTTTTGGTAATGATTTCATTTATCCTCCAGGGTTGTCCTTGATGTTCTTTTTAACCTAATTTCACCCACATACCATATGCTGGAGGGTGTTGGTATAGAGGAGAGGCGCTGAGATTTGTTCTGTATCCTGCACCTGCCTGGAGCTGGACCTGCCTATATATAGATAGAAATGTGCAGTAGGAATCTCTGAAATGTCAAGCCAAAGACAGGCAGGTCCCTTTGCTCTGTTGGGGAGTGTGCAGAATGGTAGCGATGGACTGGCATGGAAATGCTTTTAAATCCCCGAGCACAGATGGAGGGACTCCGGTCCTTCTCTTCCCATCTATGTTCATCTTGAGGTGTGCAAGCTTCTAAGGGGTAGGTCCAAAGCAAGTTTGGCAGGTACTAAGGGGTCCCTAGCTGCCTTTATGATTGAGTGTAGGGGCTTTGGTCTACTGACTTGGTTCAAAACTACTCTCCACCTTGTACAAGCTGTGCTACCTGCAGCAAGCCCATAATTAATGGGAGCCTATGTAGTCTAATTTTAAAAATGGAATGCAAATCATAACCATCTCACATAATAATGCTCAGCTCAATAAATAAATGTCCAGCTTCACTTTTTCTTTTACTTAGGCCAAAAGCTTTGGTGTCACCCATAATTTCTTTTTTTCTGTCCTACTCCATCCTAGCTATCAACATCTCCTGTTGACTCTATCTTCAAAATAAATGAAGAGTCCAAACCCAACCACGTTCCTCACATCCTTGTGTTTGTAGGGAGTCTTTTCTGAGCGGCCTGTCCCGGCCACTGTGTATTATGTCCACCTGTCTTTCCCTTTCTCCCAGGTTGTATCGTTCATTGGGCTTTTTTCCATTCAATGTAATGTATATTTCTATTTTCTGTCTCCCTGTTATGGTCTGAATGTTTGTGTTGCCCCAAATATATATGTTAAAATCTTAACCCCCAAAACGAGGTTGGGTATTAGGAGGTGGGGCCTTTAGGAGGCTCTGCCCTGTTGAATGAGATTAGTGCCCTTATAAAAGAAGTCCACGGGAGATTGTCCAACCTTCTGTCATCTGAGGTTAGAGTTAAAAGATGACAGTCTAGGACGCAGGTGCTCACCAGACACTGAGTGTGCCAGCACCTTGATCTCAGAGTTCTCAGCTTCTAGAACTATCAGCATAAACTCCTGTTGTTGTTTATAAGCTATGTAGTTAATGATATTTTGATACAGCAGCCTGAATGGACTCACACACCCTAACTAGATGATAAATTCCATGATGATAGGGTTTTGTATATTTTGTTCGCTGCTGTATCCTTGTCAACGAGTGCATTGTTTAGCACAAAATTGTTCTTGTGAGGATCTATGTCAAGTAAAGAATTTAGCCCTTCGATTAAGCCAGAAAATATATGTAAATCATTTAGCACAGTACGTTTGTGTTTTTCCTTAGGCATTTTGAATCATAGGGAGCTTTTCTTTTGATGCCATTCAGCAGCTACACAAGTCAACTTGAGATTCTAGGACATTGCTCTGCAAGAATCTCCCAAAGGACAAGTTGCTAAATCCCTTTTAGAAGGAAAAAATAATATCAAGCTTACTGTGTCAAAAACAATGTACAAAGCTTGCATATAAAGTTATGATGGTGACATTGCTTCTCTACAGCAGTGGTTCTGGATGCCTGGTTGCAAATCATAAGCATCAGAATAATCTGGGATGCATTTTAAAGTGTAGATACCCAGGATTCAAGCCTCATTCTCTGCTGGAGAACTACTTTGTAGCCATGCTTTGTGCATTGCTCTTGTTAGAGCATTTGCATCATCATCATCATCATCAACAGTGTCATCAACAGCAGCAGCAGCCCATATCACCATCTGTCAGAGGCATCTACTGAGTGTCCAGTAAATGGTCCAGGGGGCCAGATGTTGGACCAAGACAAATCACACAATCCTTGTACCAGCTATCATCTAAGATGCATAGATTGATTGAACACTTAGGTACTGGCCAAATCAAAATAAAAATGCTAAACCTCCACCTAAACATGAGATCAGGTATTTTAATATCATGAGCAGATTCAGATGGTTGGGGTATTGGGTGTGTACATATTCTGCTTCTCTGTGTTAAGAAAAAAGAAGATAATAGACCTTTAGCTAGGTTTGTCTAGCATGAAGAGGCAAAGGGTCATGATGGAAGATTAGAAACTTTTATTTTTGTCAAATTCAGCTTGATTATGCTTCTAGTTTCACCTCATAAGCATAGATCCACATGCGAAGTTCTTCATTTCAAAGAAGAATGCAGAACAGTATGGTTTTAAATGTATAAATTACCCAAATGTGCAGAATTTGTATTTAATTCACAAAATATAATATGTTCTGTCTCCCTATAACTCCTGGAACCCAACATGGTTGACTTGTATAATTCATTTCATTTTAGTGATAGAAAAGAATGAACATTATTAATTTCTACTTTTGCCTAGGACTTAGAGTTCAAAAACTTTTCATTGCATGAATGAAACATAAGAAGGAAGAGTACTGTCAAATTGCAACTTGATATTTTAATTTACTAAAACTTACCAGGAGTTACCTAGGTGAATATAGGCCTCAGCTAAGGTCATTAAAATCCATAGTCCCAAGCAAGACTTATAGTCACAACTACCGTGGATTCCGTTTTTTGATGATTAAATAAAATAAAATATGATTGTTGAAAACAGTAAACTGCTTTTCCAAGAATAAGTTTAAGTGAATATGTGTTATTTGAGTAATTTCTAATAAAAGAATCTAATCTGAGAAGCGAAAGATTGAATTGCTTTTACACTTTTGCTAAATATATTAAGCCAGGGTAATATATTACCTCCACTCACCTATATCAGAAGCACTGTGCTTGTTACACACTTCCAGGATGGAATCTAAACCATGCACTTAAAACCTTCTTATTTCAAATTCATGAAATATAACTATCATATTCTCTTTTCATCATCAGTTCAAACTCAGCTGTATATGATAGTGACTGATAAATTCTTTTATCTGTCACAGTCTTGTGGGAGTCCCTACCTGATTCCCTGGGGTATTTGGATCCTCTGACAATGAATTCTAATAATTTGATCTGAAAGGAATGGATATATGTATAGTGTTTTGTTAGCTGAACATAAGAATGACCCACAAATTTTGTGGATCTCTTTTCTTTATTCCTATGCCACGTGATTAAAATTTTAAAAAGTTTATGACCCCCAAGTAAGGATAGCTTCAGCATTCCTTTCTGGATGGGTTAAGGAGCAGTGCTATGGTTGAAAAGGAGGGAGAATTGTCCTAAAACTGCATTTAAATAGCACATACATGTTTTTTACTTAGTATATATGTTAATAGACAATCAAAAGTGTAAAGTTTTTCAATGATGGTGTTATCCACATCTTACATAAGATTGAGAAAACATGAACTGTCAATCCATATCAAAAAGTTAAATCACCAAGTGTGGTGGAGGCTGGCCCATGGAGATTATAGGGAGCTAGAACCTTGTAAGTCACAATTTGTTGCTGTGATTACTCTTGAAAAATACTGAAACAAATCAGAGCAAAAACATACCTACATTACTTAACTTGGTAAATATTAGTTGACGTGCTGATGGTTGGGGCTTTCTGGTAGAACCAGGTACTATCATTGGCAGAAAGGGAACTAGGGGGTGGTGTCTGGCATAGGGACTAGTGTATGATCCTCACCTTTCTTTGCTTGGGGAACTATAGGCAAAACAAAAAGAGCCAAAATTTGGTATCTTTCTCAATGTGGCACGTGGGTCTTGTTTCCACAGCATTTCCTACATCTTTTGGTTTGAGTATGTATTAACAAAATGTCCTGCCAATAGGAATTCTTGAAAATTGTTGATAAGACCCCCACCTCGGGATGTTCAGAAGAGCAACTGTTCCATCTGCTCCTTTGAGTGGAATGATTAAGTCATTTCATGGAGTGAGGATTTTTATTTCATGGGGATTTACTCATTCCTGAATAGCTTTTTTTTTTTCCTGAGACACAGTTAAATTTATGAATCACAGAAGTCTTTCTAAATACCTCTTCCTTACAAACATATAATGGTCTGTTAGTGAGGAATTTGTTTTTGAGAATGTAAGTTCTGAGATTGTTTTACAGCATACTATGTTTAGATTTGATTATAATGAGGTCCCTTGGCCAATATGGTTGTCTGAGAACACTAATCAGAGCTTTCACTGACACTGTTGTAGTGGTGTAGAGAACACAGAAATGAACCACACATGCATGTACATGCCTGAAAATGTGAAATCATTGAATAGCAGAATATAAGGAAGGATCTAAATTGTTACAGAGTTGAACCACTGGGGTGTATATGTATCAGTGGGTCAATACTCTAAATTAATATCATTTTAGAATTTAGCATTGTACCAATTAGAAATGAGAAATCTGATGCTTCCACATCAGATTAGTGGAAATCAGATTAAGAGATGAATGGAAATCAATGATTTCCATTAATGTCTTCATTGTTAGAATTGTGTGACTTATATAAGCATAGAAAAATTAATTCAGTTATTTAGCTTAAGTCATATTTGATGGCCTTTTGGGGAACTACCTAATGATTCAAGAATCTTAGTACATTCTCTGGCCAAAAAAGTTACAGCCCAAGTGCCAATGTTAACAATATCAGTGGAACAATGGGTAAAATACTTCAGACTTCTTGAAGCATGATGTTTATGCCCAAGCTTACTCCCAACTAAAGTGGGGACTTCTTGGATTTTAGAGTCAGTTTTATCTATCACATATCTATCACATTTTGTGAATGGTATATTTTATTGCAAATTTTGTTTTTCAATGCTATTAGATAATTTTGGCTTACTTAGCAATATGTCATTTATTAAAAAATAAAACACATTTTTTTCATTTCTCACCATATTGTGATCCTGTAATACTGTTTTTCATATTGGAAAAATAAGACTTTCTGTTCATCAAACTCTTGAAGATATGTGTCAGCAAGAGATTATTCTCTGAACCATGAAGAAAGATGTCAAAATTCACACCATTGCCTAATTAAGCATTTTCTCCAAACATATTCCCCAAAGCTCTACAGTGTTTGTAAATTGTCTGTTACATATTAATAGGAGAACACATAGAAATTAACTCTTTAACATAATTATAATTATGATAAATATGGGGGATATAATTATAAAAATATCATTATTTTAGTTTCTCAGTGAAGTCGTGTTCCTAATACAAATATTAACTGCTACAAGGCAAAAGTATACCTTGAAAGGAATACTTAATAAACACATGAGGAAGGGAAAGGGCAACAGTTTCATTATTATACTGTGTATATTTTGAAGTTTGAAAAGTAAACCATATTTTAAATGCCATAGACTAGCTTATAATTTAAAGAAACTGAAAATCAAAGAATATAGTGAAACATTTTTCTGTATAATATGAGTACCATTTCTATTATTCTAAATTATCTGTGATTTTCTATTTATTTTTTATTTTTTGGTATTCTTATGTCTTGTATTTGAGTTCTCTTCAAAGCCCGGCATACTTGTGGGCATGTATTTTAAAATTAAATATAGTATTTAGCTTAATAGGATGCAAAATACTGTTTAGTATACCTGTACTGTTGCTATAGAGTCCAAGTCTTTAAAAAATGGTAATTTCTTGGAGTTAATTACCCTTTACATTGATAATCATTATACTGAAAAAAGCTATTAAGCTTATATTAGGAAAACAATAGATACTCAAAAGCTTGTGAGTTTAGGACCAGAAATGTATTATGAGGACCCGAAGGCTAAAAGAAGCACAGGAGGATAGGACAAAGGTCTGAGCTGCAGATTACTTAATCCTCAAATGACTCTATTTACACAAAGGGAATTTTGTGGAAATCATTAGGGGCTTGGTGGTTGCTTTCTAAGCTATGAAGATACTCGAACCTGAAAATCTCCTCCTGTAACTTTCTCCTTCACTTGACACTCTTGAAAGGAATGTCTGGTATGACAGAAAAAGGCAATGAGCTGACTGTAATTATCTTTTAAATCGGAATAGACTCTGCTTCCCTAAGCTTGTAATTGACCTTTTTAATATTCTTTTACTGTGCAAGAGGCTTCACGAATTTCTTGTTATCCTCCCCAACTTTAGCCTGTTAGTTTACTATGCTGTTTAATTACTGTGTATTTGCTATAGAACCTAGAGTAAATAAATATGTACAATCACATAATTAAATTAGAATCTGCAATTATGATGTTATTGTGATACATAACTTTCTATTAAGCTTTATCAAATGAATTGTCCCAAGCATATACATTATGTTCAAAATCTCAATAGATGACTCCTCCAATTTGTTCTTTTTCAAAACAATTGAATGATTACTATACTTTCTGTGTTTACAGGAAATGACCGTGTATGTAATTTGTAAGTGAGTTGTATGTGTTCTCATTGGCTCCCTCTGGAATTCTACATGGTGAATGTTCAGCTCTGGCAATTTGTAGAGTAGAATGGTCAAAAGAATATGGTGGATGGTGCTGCAAGTGACAGCTCAGCTGTGTGACAGACCTCCTGGGGAATAATAAGGGGTAGATTTATCAGGATATTAATGAAGGCAAACTCAAGATGTGCGAACACCTTCAACCCTGGGGGAGGGCCCCACCATGGTCTTAGCATAGTTACAGAGTCAGTAAAATTTCCTATCTCTTTCCAGTTGGACTTTCCTCCCATTACCTCTTCTCACATTGGGTGGTATTGGGTGGCTACAAGTTATCTTTGATATCTGGCTAAGGCATAATTGAACTGAGAATACATTTGTTGGGTTTGATGGGACATATTTGTATGGTTTTTAGTCACTTCTATATAGAAGTAAAAGAGTGTTAACTGTCCTGGCACAGCAATGACTTCCTGGATACTCCCACTGTCCTTTGTGCTAACTGAGCGGGCACCTTGACCCAAAGGGGTCAGGTGATTTGAAAAGATGTTTCGGAATGTTTCAATAAAATAAAATTTATTAGACTCAAATTTAGATTAAAAATACATAAAACTGAAACAAAGTCATCAAAGTGATGAAATCAATAGAAATTATGCTAACATTGGCATATAATTATAACCAGAATTTTTCAGAGCATCGCAAAAGCAATAGTTGAGAGGGAGTGATAAATTTCTAATGGAAGTAGTGTATAGGTTCTTGGATTGAACCATATGCCTGAATAATATGAGCACATTGGGCAAATATTAAAATTTCTTGATGATTTAATGTAAAATACTAATAATATAGCAACAATAATAAAATACATATTATACCTTTATATTGAGGTTATCAGTGACAAACTGGTTAATGAATATCATCAATGTAAAAAACACTTAAATTAGTCACAGTGAAAAAAACCCTCACAATGCTTAAAAATAAAAAGATTCATTTTTCAAATTTGATGTCTATCATGAAATATACTTATTAACAATGATGTCTACCATGAAATATACTTATTAACAATGATTTGAGACGTTTAAAGTTAAAGTTTATAAACTGTCAATAATACAAAACTTTTATCAATCAAGGTAGAACAAATGTCATGAAACTATAGTCTACATTTTTGTATGGTCCATGTGCTAAGAATGATCTGCATTTTTAGATTACTGGGGGAGAAACAGATATATGACATGTGCAAATTATATACAATTCAAAATTCAGGGTCCATAAATAAGTTTTATTGGAACACAGTCATGCTCATTCATTTACGTATTGTCTGTTGCTGCTTTTGTGCTACGACGACAGGGATTAAGTAGCTACAACAGCGACTGTATAGTCCTTTAGGCATACAATATTCACTATGTAACCCTTTATAGAACAAGTTGGCCAGAGTCTGATGGCAGAGCAAAGACTGAATTTTCTCCATAATAAATGATATTATCAAAATGTTTGTTACAGGCCGGGCACGGTGGCTCACGCCTGTAAACCCAGCTCCTTGGGAGGCTGAGGTGGGCGGATTGCCTGAGTTCAGGAGTTTGAGACCAGCCTGGGCAACATGGCGAAACCCTGTCTTTACTAAAAATACAATTAGCCAGGTGTGGTGGCACATGCTTGTAGTCCCAGCTACTGGGGAGGCTGAGGCACAAGAATCACTTGAACCCAGGAGGCAGAGGTTGCAGTGAGCTGATATTGGGCCACTACACTACAGCCTGGGCGACAGAGTAAGACTCTGTCTCCAAAAAACAAACAAACAAAAACACAACTTTGTTATATAAAGAGGTGATTAATGAGTATCAGCCAAATTATGTAAGAAAAAGAATATGACAGTATTGAAACAGCTAATTTCATAAGCATAACTTGTTATCCTTTTAGATTTTATATTTGTAATATTTATCTGCCTTTTCAAACTTTTCTCATTCTAAAAATTCACTTTCATGTCTAATTTTGTATTTGTAGTTTTGTCTTTTTCTTAAACATCACCCTCCTAAATTATTTAAGTTCTAGGTCCAACAAAACTGGATGCACCACTTTATTATAAACTACACTTTCTGACTGAACTGTAGCTTGAATGCAGTTTTCATGCTACGTGTCTGTCCTATTTATAAACATCACACATTAGATTGAAATTAGTTTTCAGAAGGCAAACAAGCATCGAGGGTGAAATTTTAAAAAAGAATTCTGCTAAATGTTTTACCTCATTAGAACTTGACCCCCTGCTAAAACTTTCTCAAATATTGTTCCTAAACAGTGGAAACTACTGGTTTGAGTCTTGGAATGGCACATTATTGCTCAGAGGGATTTTTATGATTAGGTTTAAAATGGAAATGCCAACAGGTCTAATTATGGTACTGCTGTAGAGGGTATAGCACATTAACATTATTGCATGAAAAATATCAATCTGCTCTGGGAATATATTGAGCACCTTTAATATTTTCATTTGCATTTACAAAAACTCACATTTAAATTTTTCATGAAAGCTAAATAAGATTTGGCTGAGAAATGCCCTCTCAAGATCTTTTAGTTTGAAATTCCTTACTTTAGAAAAGATGATAAGAGAATTAGAAGAATTATGATTATTGATACAAATCAAATGGGCTTGTCATTCTTCACTACGGTTCTCCAGAGTTATCATACTTGACGCATTTTTCTGGGGGGCAAATAGTGTTATAATGGGCTGAACATTCAATTTAGGCATGTAAGAGAAATGCAGCCACAGATATTTAAATGACTCAGGATAGTGCTGTAATAAAGCTAGATGGAGCCGTTGGCTAAGATATCTTGGGCCAAGTTGTTTTCTTTTTCCTTTTTTAAAAGTCAATACATATGGCAGAAAACAATTGTTATATAAGTAGACTCTTCTTGTATCTGCTAAAATTTTGATTCTGTGCTACCATAGAAAGTATTCTCATCTGAGCTTTAGTCTTCTCCAAGACACAAGGTGGTTATGAACATCTTGGACTGGCCCATTGCTACTGACAAAGACTCTGCTTGACCAAACTCTAGCATGGCTTCTAGAAGCTTAAGGCCATGTCCCTAGGATGACCCAGGCATCCCCCCTCCTACAATGTTCACCTGAAAAAGTTTGCAATTGTCAATTATTTCCCTGTTCTTTGAGATATAAATGTTCTACCACACAAAAGTGGCTCCTCAAAGTCTGGGAGCCATCTCTTTGAAATGCAAACATCCCAGGAGGTAAGCCCTACTCTTCTCTCTGAGTCCCCATGGGAGGGAAAGCGTGGGCATCTTGCTCTAGCTCTCACCACTTACTCCTGTCATAAAGATACAAAAAGTTTGTTTCTCCTACAGACAAATGCCAATTAGCAAACTCAGATGGCCTGGTCAATTGCCCTCTCACTCCTTGCTCTTTCATGCTTATACGCTGGTTTCTCTCCTATATTGCAATAGTTATTACTGAACAAAATCTGTCTTTACCACTTGTAACTAATGTCTGGCTTTATCTCTGACACTGCGTTAATTCAAATGTGCTAATGATGATTCTGTATAACTTTTTATTTCTTAAGAGTCATAGCAAGAAGGGACTCAGAGCCCATTTTTTTCCACTCTCTCTGTCTTACAACAAAGACATTGAAGCTTAAAAAGATTATTGACGCATGAGCCAGTAACTGTGGAGCTGAGATTAGAAGACAGTGTTTCTGACCCTCCCCTCATGCTCTTTCCATTGCCAAGTCCATGGTTTTGGTGCAGAATTTTACTCACTACAAAATCACTTTTATGCTAGAAGGAGGGATATGGTCCTGATAAATTCTTTAAAATAGCTTCTGAGATTTTTTTTAAAAGCTTTATTTTAAAATTTAAGTGCACAGTTTTACAGAGAGTATATGAAACAAGACCTATACTTATGCTAAACAACAAAAATAATTTGAAATTTCTTAAATTAGGTAATGAAATTCAAGAATTTTATCAATATAATGTTCACTGAATTAGAGATTCCTCCCCCACATCCACTGGGCCAACACTTAGGGCCAAGGTGAAGATTTAGCTCAAAATTATAGCGAATGTTAGAGTGTATTAGAACTCTTTTGATGCATAACTAATTTCAGAGCTAAAACGCAGTTGTTCTGTTTTCTCATGTATTTTTTCTTTTATGGCTTTTATATCCCTTCAGAATAAGACTTAGTTTTGACGTACTTAGCATCAGCAGTGGGACAGATCTAAAATTCTTTGCTTCTCTTAAATCCATTATAAATATGAGTAAGCAAACTAAGTTAAGTTACCAAAAAAGACCTTTAGGGAAAAAAGAAAAGAAATAAGAAAATGAGCTTTTAAAATAGAGATGTCTGCACTTTTATTCTTACTCTAAATATGTGAAAATAGCAAATAATAGTCTACTAGGCAATGTATGCCATTCACTGCATCTAACTGTGCTTTAAACAACTCTGTCTTGGCCATACAGTGCATTTCTGCAGGCATGGGAGTGATTAGGAAGAAAATGGTACAATTGCAGTGAAAGGCAAAAACCAGCTGTTCTAATGGTTTAGAATTGAGATCAATGATGACACAGTTCAATTACAGCATTAGTTCCTGATGTCAGAGAGGGGTTAAAAATGGATCATAATGATTCTTTAGTAGATAAATTTGGAGCAATTAGGGTTCTGAAAATGTCTCTTTATGTAACAAACAAACAAAAAAATTGCTCTTAAATGATCTGCGCTGCAGAACCTGTCTCTTTTGCATGACAGAAGCTAATCTACTGCTTCTCAATGTGGACTTAATCAAATGAGCTTCTAAACCCCAAATCTCAAGTAAGGACAGACTAGATTTTAAGTTAGTCCAAACTACAAGCATTTTAAAAGGTTAGTAAGTAAACATATAATGGGGGGAAAAAAAAAAACAACCAAAGGTAAACTTCATTAAATAACCTAGTACAGTTTCTTGCACGCAGTAGGCATTACACGAATGCTTGTTGAATTAAATTTTTTATTTCTTTCTTAGATATGCCTGAAGTATACAAACTAGCTAAATGTCAGTCATGTCAAACAATTATTGTAGGTCAACTGTATTATCTCCAAATATTACCAATTATCTTTTGTTTGATACAAACGTAAGTGGAATAAGTTTAACTGAAATAAACCAACACAATTTTTATTATAGATTTGGTGGGCTAAAACTTATTTTCTAAACCCAAATCTGCAGCTTGTTGCTGAGTTCCTAGCCTGGTAGTAGTGCTGAAGCCAAAACAGTTATCACCTTTCTGCTATGTCTACTGCTAGAATTATTGAACTGACATCCTTACTGCTTCATTTCAATCCATAGATAAATTTTAGGGAGAAAATTTAAAACTAACTTGGTTGTTTTTTGAGTTGCACAAATGAATATAAAGAAGCTTTGAATTACAGGCATTTCATACAAATTAGCAAAGCTTTCATCTTACTACTGTGAAGCATATCTAGACCCTGAATATGCAAAAAGAAAAACGATGTTATATTTCCTTGTTCTTCCCTTTGCATTAATCTGGTCATTTAGTTCTCTGTGTTTCTTACTCTCTTGCTTCTTTTGGATCTTTGTTTCTGTGCAGTTTCATTCTACCAGTTTTTCATAGAATTTAAATTAATGTCAATATGGAGCAAGCATAAAGGAAGAACACAGATTTCTTGTAGAGTTATTGTTTGTTGATGCTATATGTCACGTAAAATTCTCTGCATTTTCTCTACCAGGTATAGGAGTTTTCTCTTGCTCTTAAAAGCTTTGAAATCGTCGGGTACGGTGGCTCATGCCTGTAATCCCAGCACTTTGGGAGGCCGAGGTGGGTGGATCACGAGGTCAAGAGTTCGAGACCAGCCTGACCAACATGGTGAAACCCCATCTCTACTAAAATACAAAAATTAGCTGGGTACACGCCTGTAATCCCAGCTACTCAGGAAGCTGAAGCAGGAGAACTGCTTGAACCCAAGAGGTGGAAGTTGCAGTGAGCTGAGATTGCACCACTGCACTCCAGCCTGGGTGACACAGTGAGACTCCATCTCAAAAAAAAAAAAAAAATTTTGAAACCATAGATATCATTGTATTGCAATGGCAGAGGTAAATAAGCAGAACTTATATCTAATGATGAACTTAATGTTTCTGACACGTTCATAATCTTATTGTAGACACAACAATACTTGGAGGTAGACATTATTACTCTTTGTTTACAGAAGAGGAAACTGAGGCTCAGAAAATTTAAGTTGCTCATTTTTGCACAGTTGATATTTTACAGTTGGCTGGACAACTTAAAGAGGTAAAGTAGGGGTAGCTTTCATAAATTTTAAACACTAATGATATGCTAAGAACAAAAAACAGATTCCTAATGCTTTGACATTTACAGAATATTTCAAGAGAAAAAACATTTAATTTTAAGAAAACATTTTTTCTATGAATTTTATTTTCAAAGGGTTTTAGAAAGGTTATGCATTGTCAGTCTCCCTGTATTTATAACAAACACATGCATCTAGCCTATTTTTAAAGACTATATTGTTACTACTTGAGTTATTCCTGAGATTGAGTTTATATACAGCCAGAGGATCTCAGTTCTTCCTTAGGGCCTGGTTCACCCTTAGTATATAATGTAATGATGTGAATTTCAGAGCCAAGGTACATTGCAACCAAATATTGTGAAATTTAATGGACTAACTCAGATTTGTCTTTTATCTTCAGAATTTTCAAAAGTGTAAATTTCCTTTTTCAAGATTTGGAACCAACCCAAATGCCCATCAATGCCTGACTGGATAAATAAAATGTGGCACATATACTCCATGAAATACTATGCAGCCATAAAAAACAATGAGTTCATGTCCTTTGCAGGGACATGGATGAAGCTGGAAACCATCATTCTCAGCAAACTAACACAAGAACAGAAAACTAAACACCACATATTCTCCCTCATAAGTGGGAGTTGAACAATTAGAACACATGGATACGGGGAGGGGAACGTCACACACCAGGGCCCGTCGGGGGGTTGGGGGCAAGGGGAGGGATAGCATTAGGAGAAATACCTAATGTAGGTGACGGGTTGATGGGAGCAGCAAATCACCATGGCACGTGTATACTTATGTAACAAACCTGCATGTTCTGCATATGTATCTCAGAACTTAAAGTATAATTAAAAAAAAAGAAAAACATGACAAAGATGCCTCCACCTGCACTCTTACGATTCAATATTATAGCTGTCAGGCAAGACAAAAATTAACATGTGATCATTTACCAAGGGGGGCTTAATTTTTTACCTGTGAGTTTAAGGCTACTTTCTAACATAAGTAAAACTGGTCCTTTTAGTTAATTTTAGTTTCTGTATCTACAGTCATACATGAAAATTTCCCGTGTTAGACTCACAATACTTTGAACGTTTTACTGCTTTTCGGTTGTCAAGAGTAAAGGAGAAAGTCATTTAGATTTATGGTGATTATTATAACTATGATTTGGGGACAGGCGCACAATATAGGATGTATGATGTTAGTTCAGTTAAGCAATCACTTAGAGGGAAGCTGGTATGTTCCAGGTACTATGCTAGGAGATAGAGCTATAAAAATGGAAAAGACGTATTTCCTGCTCTCAAAGATCTCTCAAGGTAGTGGAGTGTTAGATGTACTAAAATAGTAAGAGTCAAATGAGCGGAGAGGGAATTTAAGAGGAACATTGATACCTAACATGGTGGCATATGGCCCATCAGCCTTTCCGACCTTGCTCTCCAGGTGTTCCTCCAGAGCTGTGGACTCTTCCTCATAAACTCTGGATACTTTAAAAAGGACATGGATGTCGGCAGGAGTTACATGAAAATGCTTCAGTGACATTTTGGTTGCTCAGCTCCCCAAGGCTAAAGTAATGATTCTTTTTGTCTGGGAAATCTTCCCTCTTCAGCCATCCTTGTAGCTTCATATAGAGAAAGAAGAGGAACTGTCAGATCAATTAGATCAACAGGGTAGTATTTCGCTGTCAAATCAACTTCATACCTTTGTGCTACAAAGCAATTCCTTGACTGGCCCAGGAGAGTCCATGAGCAGAGATGACTGGATCTCCCTACAGTGTTCTTTCTCACATCTGGCTCCATTTTCTTTGAGAGGCCATACTGTGAGCCAGTGTATGAGAAGAGAAGGAGGGATTGGATTGATGAAGGAGCTGGATTCCATGCATTAACGCACATGGGTCTGCCCACCAGCCTGGCAGCAATTCCACCCAAATCACCTTGCTATGATAGGTTATGACCTCTATAGCATCTACAGATATAGATATAAAATCCATATAGGATCTCAGAGCAAGCTTTGAAGAGTAAGGGATAAAATGAATAACACAATCAATACAAAAACACTAATAGAGGGTCTCAGAGCCACATTCTAAGATTAATGGAGGAAATAAACAAAGCAATAGATGGAAAATATTTGCTCTGTTGTCTAGCTTTTTACACCCATCATTTTCCAGGTCTTTCTCTTTATCCTGCCGACACGTTTGACAGATATAACATTTATCTAAGTATGAAACAGCTGTCTGTGAGGATATAACACCCTCACCTCCCACATTATACCACCAAAGATGCAGCTCATATTCCTAAGGGAAGCTGAATTTGAAGAGACAGAGTGTGTGTGCCACCCCCATGATTTTCTATGGGACACAGGGACGTGCAGAATCCTAGAAATGTGTCAGCTAAATAGTCTGGTTGAACACGCTGACTGAGAGTCTGGGTAGCACAAGTGGTTAGTTAGCTCAGTAACTCAGCTGAAAGGAAGTATGTGAGCTGATGATGCAAATAATATTTGCTTCAATTATAGCAGCTATCTCAGTACTAGTCAATTTTAGTAGTTCAGGTAATAATGTCTTTTGAATATACCAATTGTATGCCTTGAGTTTCCTTCTCCTTTTCCCTTCTTTTAGATCCTAGTCCAGTTAGAATCCTCTCCTGTGGCAGCATGGGCTCCAGAGGTTAAATAACAATTAAACTCCATCTCATCCTTCTCAGAATGTCTTGCTATTCTGAGAAACTATAGATGGTTCTTCCAAGTTGATCAAATATAATCCCAGTGGAAAGCTACTAGAATTGTGAGTTCAGCCTTTATCATAAGCGGTTTCTCTGTCTTTATAGCAATAGTGTATATAAAAAAATCCCTGTTGCATTTCCCATATGTATGATTCAATAGGAATTGAGTAGACTCTGTAAGGGAGAGTTGTCTTGAAATCTTTTGAATTAGATATGATCCAAAAATCAATGTAGTAACACGGGTTTATTCCACTGGAACATCTCTGTGCACTATAAATTCTTTGAGGCAGAAACCCTGCCTTATAAATCTTTGAACCCCCCACAGAGTCTGGTACCCTACTTTTAACAGGAAAGATTCTCAATAAATAATTGCTGGTAAAACATATATGCTTTTGAAGCAATGTTTTCTTACTTTGAAGAATGAGTTATTTCGGTAATTTTAGAAGAGTGAAACACGATACTTATTTTATTATAATCTCTTGCACCAACTGCTTCAAATTAGTTTCATCAGCATCTTTTAAAAAATGTTTGTAAAAAACCATTAATAAATCCAGCCTCAAACTTCCCTTCAGAATTAATGCAATCTGTTTGGGGAAGATAAGAATGAGGATATTTTGCAATTTGTAAAGTGAAAACTCACTCAATCTGGATTTGACCCTTGTCAACCATATACACACTGATTCTTCTTATATCCTAGAATAAAATTATTAAAGATAGAACTGCTGTGTCGTCTAACGTGAAGAAGTTTGTCACGTGCATTCCTCCTCACCCACGGAAGTCTTTATTTCTGAAATGATTGAATTATAATACTTTTCTTCTCCCTCCTGCTATCTAATGCAGTTTTACCTCCTTTGTATGTCTTAATGTTACTGAAAATTCTGTTTATGTGTGTGAGTTGAATTTTTTTTTTTTGAGATGGAGTTTCACTCTTGTTTCCCAGGTTGCAGTGCAATGGCATGATCTCAGCTCACTGCAACCTCCGCCTCCTGGGTTCAAGTGATTCTCCTGTCTCAGCCTCCCGATTAGCTGGGATTATAGGCATATGCCACCACGCCCAGCTAATTTTGTATTTTTAGTAGAGACGGGGTTTCTCCATGTTGGTCAGCCTGGTGTCGAACTCCTGAGCTCAGGTGATCTACCCGCCTCGGCCTCCCAATGTGTTGGGATTACAGGTGTGAGCCACCGCACTTGGCCAGATTTTTTAAAATTATTGAAAATACACTTCTGTGATGCTGTGGTAGCAATGCTATCACATTCTGACATTTGGCTTTTCCCTTTCTCTATGTTTTTCCCTTTACTATAATCCCAATTTCTTAACTAGATGAAAGTTCAGTAGTTTAGGATTAAAGCCAGTGCTTTAACCTAGACCATTAACCTGGTGAAGATGAAGGAACAATTGAAGTAACTTCTTCTCTCTCTCTTCTATAGGAGATTGCCCCCCACACACACACATGCACACACACATACGTGTAATATGTCATGCCCCATCTTCTTCAACCTAACAGTAATTTGGGATTCCCCATCTGATGGGCGCTCACACAATGATCTCTTTCATATACAGGGTGGTAATTTCACTCTAAACACTTCAATTATTTATAAATGGATCTCAGAGACAGCAACTAGCAGCTGGGCTATAGAAGCAGCTCTGACTGAGGCGTGGCCAATAGAACCACATGTCACTTTAAACAGTGTTATTAATATTTATGTGACTTGATCAGCTAGTTTAGATGCAGGTCTTCCCTGGGCTGTGTGGAAGAAGCCTTCCTATTTTTGCTCGCCTGTAATTATAGACTGATTCTTTTCTTTGTCAAACTTGAGGGGTAATCGAAGGTCAGGTTCCTGGGATGAAAAGTGTGCCAAACACATCCAAGTCATAACGCTTTCACCACTCTTCCATCAGCAATTTGGAGTCAATTAAAACTTAGGTCTGGAAGTAGAAGATCTAGAAGCCCAAACTGTCAATCTTGGACAAAGATTCTGGTTTTAACTTTTAACAGGGTGAAATTGATTATGTAAACTGCACTAAAAAATCTGGCATAAGGTAAACTACCAAAACAGATTAAGATATTCAGGTAAATGAATTTACAGCTTTAAAAGAGAAATACATGCATTGATACATAGCTACAGATATAGATAGATACGCATGTGGTAGATCATCAGTGTACCTAAAGGGCACTGCTGCACACTTTGGGTCTCGCTTGCTTCCTGAAAAATGTCGTCTTTGCTCTCAAGGACAATATATTTGTATTACAATCTAAAGCAGGATCCTTCCTGCTCCATAATCTATTCATGAAAAAGCATATGGCATTGGTTTCTGAGAGCTCCATAATTTCTCAAGTCAAATACAAATGTTGAAAAAGTCCAATTCTAGTCCTGATGAAACAATGGTGATTCCTTTGGAAAAGATGATGCACATTTGGTTCAGAATCTGTCTTCTGCATTTCCTATCTGGTGATGTCCCTGACAATGGTGGCTCATCAGCTCAATGCTGGCAACCTTGAGCCTGTGGGGTGACAACCATTAGAGGGCAGCACAGTTACATTTTCTTAGCCGTGAACCTGAGGAAACAGACGATGCATGCATTCCTTGCACGATTCTTCATGATTGAGGTAATGGTCTCAGCCACAAGGCATTTTTTCTCCCTCCCCATTTGGCCTGATTGACAGTAGAAGCTTATAGTAACAAAGGAAGCTGTATCAGTAAAATGTCAGTGGAGGAACAGAATTTAACTTTTGTGTAAAGTTATATTTCCTTATATTAAAATGACTCCGTTTAGTACCTTATTCTTTCTTAACCAGACAACAGTTGACCTTTCTGATATAGTTTTCTCATTATCGTTTGTCCCTTTGTGAGTGTGTGTGTGTGTGTGTGTGTGTGTGTGTGTGTGTGTGTGTAGTTTAGAAATTTTAAGCAAACAAATTATTTCCCACCTAAAAAAGTCCAAATTCCCAAATCTTCCATGACCCAGCACTATAGCAAAAAGAGCAATTGTGAAAAGATAGGTTTAAACACTTAAGAACTAATGACCTGAAATAATGACAAATCACCTTGTATGTTATCTCATTTGTTAGCAATGGACGTCTTAGCTATAGCTGCCAGGGAGATGAGCTCTGGGTAAATAATCCATAATTACAGTAGAGTAGATGAAGATTGATTGATAAAGGGAAGTTTTTATCCTTTGGGATCAAAGAACTTTTCCTTTGACTTTGCTGATGAATTAATTGTTACAGGATAAAAAAACACAGACAGTGTAGCATGCTGCACAATTAAAATACTCTCTACCTGAGAACTTAACTCAGTAGATCAAAGACTGTCTCAGGAGTAGGAATGAACTCAGCAGCTGAAAGGGTGGAGCACAGAGCACAGTAGTGCCCCGGAACCCAGAGTGACCCAGGAGTGCTCATTCCACAGGCCAGTGGGCCGGAAACTGGAGTAATGAGATAATCAGCTCAGTCTTTAAACAACCAAAGCCAACATTTTCCCCAATTCTTGCTCTTTTCCCTTCCTTTACTCTGACCACCCAAGGATCTACTTTCTGCTGAGGCGAGGCTTGACAGAAATAATTCAAGATGCTGAATTTGAAAACAGAAACAAATTTTACATGTAGAAAGATAAAAAGAATCAAGTTGAGCTGGAGAGTGGTTGCAGATAATTAGCATGTATGCAGGTTCCTCACACTGAACATAGACGGGTATTTGCTTCCCTTTTTTATGGAGTGGGAATAAGAGGTAATAGGTGGGGAGTTTTGACTGGGTGCCGGAGGCTTGAATATATACCACCAAGGGAAATATAAAAGGTCAAAGAAATATTCAGTGCACATTCTAGAGATTGAATAAAAGCTTGTATTACTGAATTAACTTTTTAATCAACCAATCTGTTAGTCAAGGCCAATGTTCTCATTTTTTTCCTACTTACTTTGACATCATTTTTGACTCAAATACTAAGAGCTTTGGCAGAATTGTGCTTTAGGGAGCTTGACAGACAGTGAAAAACAGAAACACAGACACATGCACACATGCACAACTTGACTCACTGTGATTTTCACTGCCACTTTCAATCAGCACCACTATTTTTAATCATTAGGTTGCATAGTCTATGATCTTAAAGCAGATTATACCTTTGCATTACTCTACATTAACAGCACCATGATTTATGCTAATAGGTCTGATTAACTGGGTAGGGTAGCCTATGTCTGAACACAAGGTCAGGTGCATTCAAGTGATGCCAGACATCCGAGCACAATTCTTAGGGGTGGGAAGTTTGGCTATGATGTGTGACAGTGATGAGTGACTTAGGAGGAAGAGAGGGAGGGTTTGGTGAGCAGCTTGGGTATCACAGCACTGTCCCAAGACTCTTTTTACCAAGCAAGCCACAGATTTGTGCCTACGTGGGAATAATGCTACACACCTCATCCATTGCATCATTTATAACACTTACTGTTTGCTTTTCTTTCCCATTAGACTAAAATCTATTTGTGGCCAGAGGCAATATATTAGTTTTCTAGGGCTGTCATAACAAATACCACAAACTGGGTGGCTTAAACACAAACATTTGTTGTCAATTTTAGTGTCAATATTGGATGCTAGAAGTCTGAGATCAACATGGTAGCAGGGTTGGTTCCTTCTGAGGAGTGGGAAGAATAATCCATCCCATGCCTCTCCTCTAGCATCTTGTGGTTTGCTGGCAATCTTTGATGGTCTGGCTTTTAGAAGGATCGCTCCAATCTTAGCTTTGATCTTCATCTGGAGTTCTCCTTGTGTGTTTACATTGTCTTCCCTGTATGCATCTGTCCCCAAATTTCCACTTTTCATAAAGACACCAGTCATATTGGATTAGTGGCCCACCACTTCAATCTGGCCTCATCCTGATACAAGTAATGACATCTGCAATGACCTATTTCCAAGTAAGTTCACATTTTGAGGTACTGGGGTTTATGATTTCATGTGAGCTTTTTTGGGGGAGGATACAATTCAACCCATAACAGGCAGAACCATATTCAATATTGCATATTTAATTTATTTAAATATAGCCTTGCAGTTGGCCCTTTATCTGCTCAGAGTTAAACATAATATTATTTTAAAAGGTGTAATAGAAATACTTTTATGATGGTTTATGCATTTTTAAAATTTCTAATTGGAATAGTGTAATTTTCTAAATAATGTAGCTCTACACAGTGTAGGTCTTGGAATTAACATAACAACCAGTTGAGACAATCAGGGAATATTACTTTCCTTCCCCGTCTTCGACATAAGAGCGCTTTGGTAAATCCAAACCTCCATGGCATCCCCACCAAGCAGATTATAAGGCTTAATAATCCTCAGTATCACCAAGTTCTCTTTGTCTTTAAATCCCCTAGGCTTCAGATTAAGTTGCTTCCTTTTGTTTCTGCCTTCACGGAAACAAAGAACAGTTGGCCAATGTGTTCAGTAGAAGAACTTTTATCTACCTGGCAAACATTATTAGGTTTCCTCTTTACATTTTATCCACTAAATGATAATCTAACGTTCACATAGGTTCTATTTTCACTCTTCATTGTCTTTGTGGCTTTTGCAAAACTGCTCCAGGATCTTCTGACACTCTTAGTTATCTCGGTACTAGAGACCATTTCCAGGCAGGATGTAAGAAAATAAATTGATTGGAGTTCAAACAGCAAGATGAATACAGAACTTCAAACAGTGGGGTAATCACTTATATTTGGGACACATGTGCCATATACATTTGCCCAAGTAGAAAACATAATATTGATTACAAAGTGTGCATGTGGGGTGGATGTGCCAAAGCCATCCACAGAGGCACTCTGCTGGCTTCCTGTTTGCTGTTTTGTCTTTCATTCTTTTTTTTTTTTTTCAGATGGAGTCTCACTCTATCGCCAGGCTGGAGTGCAATGGCACGATCTCAGCTCACTGCAACCTCTGCCTCCTGGGTTCAAGTGATTATCCTGCCTCAGCTTCCTGAGTAGATGGGACTACAGGCACAAGTGACCACGCACAGCTAATTTTTGTATTTTTAATAGAGACGGGGTTTCACCATGTTGGCCAGGATGGTCTCGAGCTCTTGACCTCGTGATCTGCCCACCTCGGCCTCCCAAAGTGCTGGGATTATAGGTGTGAGCAACCACGTCCGGCCTTTGTCTTTCATTCTTATTTCCCCTCTGTCCAGTTATCATGGTCTCATTACTTGCTCACTTAATTTATTGTGTAACTGGATAGTCAGAAAACAAAAGCCTCCTTCCAGTATCTCATTCCCCACATGCAACCCTTGGAATGAGAGGGTCAGAGTTTCTAAAAGGCCATTCGGGTGGTGTATTAGTCAGGGTTCTCTAGACAAACAGAACTAATGGGATAGATGTATATATGAAGGAGAGTTTATTAGGAGAATTGACTCACACGATCACGAGGTGAAGTCCCATGATAGGCCGTCTGCAAGCTGCAGAACCAGGAAGCCAGTCCAAGTCCCAAAACATCAAAAGTAGAGAAGCCAGTAGTGCAGCCTTCAATCCGTGGCCAAAGGCCAGAAAGCCCCTGGCAAATCACTGGTGTAAGTCCAAGAGTCCAAAAGCTGAAGAACTTCTAGTCTGATGTTCGAGGGTAGGAAGCACCCAGCACAGTAGAAAGATGGAGGCCAGAAGACTTAGCCAGTCTATTCTTTCCACGTTTGTCTGCCTGCTTCTACCTGGCCGTGCTGACATCTGATTAGATGGTGCACACCCAGATTGAGGGTGGGTCTGCCTTTCCCAGTCAACTGACTCAAATGTTAATCTCTTTTGGCAACAAGCTCACAGACCACCTAGGAACAATAGTTTGCATCCTTCAGTCCAATCAAGTTGAAACTCAATATTAACCATCACAGGTGGGATCCTGAGAAATTGAACTGACAGAAGGGCATTAGAAGCCAATGTGTTTCAGGAGATTTGGGATATCCAGACACTAGGAAGAAGAAATGGGTTTATTGGTCTCAGGAGTAGCTGAGACCAGCCTCCAGTTACCCAGCTTCCATGTGAAAGTCCCTGAGAAGCTGAAGGTGGGGGTTGTAATAGGAATGGAGGTGGTGGTAGTGGGAACAAAACACTAAAATTTTTATCCTGGGGAGGTGAGGGAAATTTTCATGAAAGTAATACAGCCACCCATCTTCAAGCACAATGGATAAGAAAAGATGGGCTTTCTGCAGATATTCTGGACCATGTGTGCACCACAGGAAATGCAAACATTTGTGAGATTGGGAAAGACCAGTCTCAAAAATAGCTAAGATAGAACTTACTGCCATCCTAGTGGGATGTGGGATGGTTTCTTTATTCTTTATTCTCTTTCTTTTCTTTTCTTTTTTTTTTTTTTTTTCAGAGCCTCATTCTATTGCCTAGGCTGGAGTGCACTGGCATGATTATAGCTCACTGCAGCCTCAACTTCCCAGGCTCAAGGGAATCTCCCACCTCAGCCTCTTGAGTAGCTGGGACTACAAGTGTGTACCACCATGCCCAGCTAATTAAAAAAAAATTTTTTTTTCTAGAGATGAGGTCTTACTGTGTCGACAAGGCTGGTCTTGTACTCCTGGCCTCACATTTGAGAGGCCTCTTATGTTGGCCTCCCAAAGTGCTGGATTACAGGCATGAGCCACCATGTCTGGCCCCCACTACTGGGATGGTTTCTAAACATATAACATTTGATTTAGGAGAAAGGAGAAAGTAACTTTTCTTTTTCTTCTTCTTCTTTTTTTTTAACATCTAGCATTACAGGATAAAATTCATGTCTATTAGTCAGCGTTTTCTTTTCCATTACCATGGTTACCAATGATGATGATGATGATGATGATGATAATAGCTGGTATTCATCAAACTATTGCTGTGTAACAGACACTAAGCTAAATGCTTTACATGAATCAATTTCACTTTCACAGTAGTTACTATTATTAATCCCTTTTTACAGGTAGAAAATTGAGGCTGGAGAGTTTATGTAAATTCTTCATGTTTACAAAGCAATTAAACACAAGAGCTGCATGAACTTGCACTCTCCATTCACCTCACCCTGTTCTGATGAAACTCTATATGCTATGCTGCCTTTATATTGATCAAAGTGTTGACAAATGAATGAATATGCATCCAGAAGTAGGGCTGGACAATAATTTATCTCTTTTTTTCACCCTAACCCTTAATTTGTGATTCTTGATTAATGGATACTTAATGAATCGAAAGAGAATTGGAAACAATTTTGCAAAGAAAGGAGAAAATAGCTTTAAGATATATGAGAAGAGGGACACATCAAGAGATTGTTTTTGCTGATAAAGCAAGGTATCTGTATGTACATGCTGATAAATTATAGATTGCATTATAGCTCTTGTTATTCCTGTATCCCTCCCTCTTTTCTAAGACATCATGTAATTTTTTTCCTATTGCATTTCAGATTTCTGCATATTATACCAGGAACTCTTAACTCTGTGGTGGAATGAGCTGGTGAGGACTGCTCCCCACAAAGGAATAAAGCCAAAATTAAAATCTCTCTTTTTTATGTTTCTTTCTTTCTCTCTCTCTCTCAAACTTGACACAAGAAGAAAAATCACCAGGTGCCAGAAATGAAGTGGAAACTCACAAACAATGCCATTCTGATCTAGTAGAGGAGCAGTTAGTGAATATTTTCTGTAAAGGGCCAGATAGATACCTTAGGCTTTTGAGGCCATATGGTCTATGTTATAACTATTATAGCCCAGAAGTAACAGAAAATATGTATATGAATGAATGTAGCAGTGTAGCAATAAAATTTTATTTACAGAAATAGGCAGCGGGCCATAGAGTGCTGGCCACTGTAATAAAATATCAAAATCAACATAAGCTCCAGAGTAGGGTCAATGCCCACTGATATGGTTTGGCTCTGTGTCCCAACCCAAATCTCATCTCAAATTGTAATTCCCCACATGCTGAGGGAGGGACCTGGTGGGAGGTGACTGGATCATGGGGGTGGTTTTTCCCATGCTGTTCTCATGATAGTGAGGGAATTCTCACAAGATCTGACAGTTTAAAAGTTGCAGTTTCCGGGGAGGAGCCAAGATGGCCGAATAGGAACAGCTCCGGTCTACAGCTCCCAGCGTGACGACGCAGAAGACGGGTGATTTCTGCCTTTCCATCTGAGGTACCGGGTTCATCTCACTAGGGAGTGCCAGACAGTGGGCGCAGGTCAGTGGGTGCGCGCACCGTGCGCGAGCCGAAGCAGGGTGAGGCATTGCCTCACTCGGGAAGTGCAAGGGGTCAGGGAGTTCCCTTTCTGAGTCAAAGAAAGGGGTGATGGACTCACCTGGAAAATCGGGTCACTCCCACGCGAATATTGCGCTTTTCGGAACGGCTTAAAAAACGGCGCACCACGAGATTATATCCGGCACCTGGCTCAGAGGGTCCTACGCCCACGGAATCTCGCTGATTGCTAGCACAGCAGTCTGAGATCAAACTGCAAGGCGGCAGCGAGGCTGGGGGAGGGGCGCCCGCCATTGCCCAGGCTTGCTTAGGTAAACAAAGCAGCCGGGAAGCTCCAACTGGGTGGAGCCCACCACAGCTCAAGGAGGCCTGCCTGCCTCTATAGGCTCCACCTCTGGGGGCAGGGCACAGACAAACAAAAAGACAGCAGTAACCTCTGCAGACTTAAATGTCCCTGTCTGACAGCTTTGAAGGAGCAGTGGTTCTCCCAGCACGCAGCTGGAGATCTGAGAACGGGCAGACTGCCTCCTCAAGTGGGTCCCTGACCCCTGACCCCCGAGCAGCCCAACTGGGAGGCACCCCCCAGCAGGGGCACACTGACATCTCACACGGCAGGGTATTCCAACAGACCTGCAGCTGAGGGTCCTGTCTGTTAGAAGGAAAACTAACAAACAGAAAGGACATCCACACCAAAAACCCATCTGTACCTCACCATCATCAAAGACCAAAAGTAGATAAAACCACAAAGATGGGGAAAAACAGAACAGAAAAACGGGAATCTCTAAAACGCAGAGCGCCTCTCCTCCTCCAAAGGAACACAGTTCCTCACCAGCAACGGAACAAAGCTGGATGGAGAATGACTTTGACGAGCTGAGAGAAGAAGGCTTCAGACGATCAAATTACTCTGAGCTACGGGAGGACATTCAAACCAAAGGCAAAGAAGTTGAAAACTTTGAAAAAAATTTAGAAGAATGTATAACTAGAATAACCAATACAGAGAAGTGCTTAAAGGAGCTGATGGAGCTGAAAACCAAGGCTCGAGAACTACGTGAAGAATGCAGAAGCCTCAGGAGCCGATGCGATTAACTGGAAGAAAGGGTATCAGCAATGGAAGATGAGATGAATTAAATGAAGTGAGAAGGGAAGTTTAGAGAAAGAAGAATAAAAAGAAATGAGCAAAGCCTCCAAGAAATATGGGACTATGTGAAAAGACCAAATCAACGTCTGATTGGTGTACCTGAAAGTGATGGGGAGAATGGAACCAAGTTGGAAAACACTCTGCAGGATATTATCCCAGAGAACTTCCCCAATCTAGCAAGGCAGGCCAACGTTCAGATTCAGGAAATACAGAGAACGCCACAAAGATACTCCTCGAGAAGAGCAACTCCAAGACACATAATTGTCAGATTCACCAAAGTTGAAATGAAGGAAAAAATGTTAAGGGCAGCCAGAGAGAAAGGTCGGGTTACCCTCAAAGGGAAGCCCATCAGACTAACAGCGGATCTCTCGGCAGAAACCCTACAAGCCAGAAGAGAGTGGGGGCCAATATTCAACATTCTTAAAGAAAAGAATTTTCAACCCAGAATTTCATATCCAGCCAAACTAAGCTTCATAAGTGAAGGAGAAATAAAATACTTTACAGACAAGCAAATGCTGAGAGATTTTGTCACAACCAGGCATGCCCTAAAAGAGCTCCTGAAGGAAGCGCTAAACATGGAAAGGAACAACCGGTACCAGCCACTGCAAAATCATGCCAAAATGTAAAGACCATCGAGACTAGGAAGAAACTGCATCAACTAACGAGCAAAATAACCAGCTAACATCATAATGACAGGATCAAATTCACACATAACAATATTAACTTTAAATGTAAATGGACTAAATGCTCCAATTAAAAGACACAGACTGGCAAATTGGATAAAGAGTCAAGACCCATCAGAGTGCTGTATTCAGGAAACCCATCTCATGTGCAGAGACACACATAGGCTCAAAATAAAAGGATGGAGGAAGATCTACCAAGCCAATGGAAAACAAAAAAAGGCAGGGGTTGCAATCCTAGTCTCTGATAAAACAGACTTTAAACCAACAAAGATCAAAAGAGACAAAGAAGGCCATTACATAATGGTAAAGGGATCAATTCAACAGGAAGAGCTAACTATCCTAAATATATATGCACCCAATACAGGAGCACCCAGATTCATAAAGCAAGTCCTGAGTGACCTACAAAGAGACTTAGACTCCCACACATTAATAATGGGAGACTTTAACACCCCACTGTCAACATTAGACAGATCAACGAGACAGAAAGTCAACAAGGATACCCAGGAATTGAACTCAGTTCTGCACCAAGCGGACTTAATAGACATCTACAGAACTCTCCACCCCAAATCAACAGAATATACATTTTTTTCAGCACCACACCACACCTATTCCAAAATTGACCACATACTTGGAAGTAAAGCTCTCCTCAGCAAATGTAAAAGAACAGAGATTATAACAAACTATCTCTCAGACCACAGTGCAATCAAACTAGAACTCAAAATTAAGAATCTCACTCAAAACCGCTCAACTACATGGAAACTGAACAACCTGCTCCTGAATGACTACTGGATACATAACGAAATGAAGGCAGAAATAAAGATGTTCTTTGAAACCAACGAGAACAAAGACACAACATACCAGAATCTCTGGGATGCATTCAAAGCAGTGTGTAGAGGGAAATTTATAGCACTAAATGCCCACAAGAGAAAGCAGGAAAGATCCAAAATTGACACCCTAACATCACAATTAAAAGAACTAGAAAAGCAAGAGCAAACACATTCAAAAGCTAGCAGAAGGCAAGAAATAACTAAAATCAGAGCAGAACTGAAGGAAATAGAGACACAAAAAACCCTTCAAAAAATTAATGAATCCAGGAGCTGGTTTTTTGAAAGGATCAACAAAACTGATAGACCACTAGCAAGACTAATAAAGAAAAAAAGAGAGAAGAATCAAATAGACACAATAAAAAATGATAAAGGGGATATCACCACCAATCCCACAGAAATACAAACTACCATCAGAGAATACTACAAACACCTCTATGCAAATAAACTAGAAAATCTAGAAGAAATGGATAAATTCCTCGACACATACACTCTCCCAAGACTAAACCAGGAAGAAGTTGAATCTCTGAATAGACCAATAACAGGAGCTGAAATTGTGGCAATAATCAATAGTTTACCAACCAAAAAGAGTCCAGGACCAGATGGATTCACAGCTGAATTCTACCAGAGGTACAAGGAGGAACTGGTACCATTCCTTCTGAAACTATTCCAATCAATAGAAAAAGAGGGAATCCTCCCTAACTCATTTTATGAGGCCAGCATCATTCTGATACCAAAGCCGGGCAGAGACACAACCAAAAAAGAGAATTTTAGACCAATATCCTTGATGAACATTGATGCAAAAATCCTCAATAAAATACTGGCAAAACGAATCCAGCAGCACATCAAAAAGCTTATCCACCATGATCAAGTGGGCTTCATCCCTGGGATGCAAGGCTGGTTCAATATACACAAATCAATAAATGTAATCCAGCATATAAACAGAGCCAAAGACAAAAACCACATGATTATCTCAATAGATGCAGAAAAGGCCTTTGACAAAATTCAACAACTCTTCATGCTAAAAACTCTCAATAAATTAGGTATTGATGGGACATATTTCAAAATAATAAGAGCTATCTATGACAAACCCACAGCCAATATCATACTAAATGGGCAAAAACTAGAAGCATTCCCTTTGAAAACTGGCACAAGACAGGGATGCCCTCTCTCACCACTCCTATTCAACATAGTGTTGGAAGTTCTGGCCAGGGCAATTAGGCAGGAGAAGGAAATAAAGGGTATTCAATTAGGAAAAGAGGAAGTCAAATTGTCCCTGTTTGCAGATGGCATGATTGTATATCTAGAAAACCCCATTGTCTCAGCCCAAAATCTCCTTAAGGTGATAAGCAACTTCAGCAAAGTCTCAGGATACAAAATCAATGTACAAAAGTCACAAGCATTCTTATACACCAACAACAGACAAACAGCCAAATCATGAGTGAACTCCCATTCACAATTGCTTCAAAGAGAATAAAATACCTAGGAATCCAACTAACAAAGGATGTGAAGGACCTCTTCAAGGAGAACTACAAACCACTGCTCAAGGAAATAAAAGAGGATACAAACAAATGGAAGAGCATTCTATGCTCATGGGTAGGAAGAATCAATATCGTGAAAACGGCCATACTGCCCAAGGTTATTTACAGATTCAATGCCATCCCCATAAAGCTACCAATGCCTTTCTTCACAGAATTGGAAAAAACTACTTTAAAGTTCATATGGAACCAAAAAAGAGCCCACATTGCCAAGGCAATCCTAAGCCAAAAGAACGAAGCTGGAGGCATCACACTACCTGACTTCAAACTATACTTCAAGGCTACAGTAACCAAAACAGCATGGTACTGGTACCAAAACAGAGATATAGATCAATGGAACAGAACAGAGCCCTCAGAAATAACGCCGCTTATCTACAACTATCTGATCTTTGACAAACCTGAGAAAAACAAGCAATGGGGAAAGGATTCCCTATTTAATAAATGGTGCTGGGAAAACTGGCTAGCCATATGTAGAAAGCTGAAACTGGATCCCTTCCTTACACCTTATACAAAAATCAATTCAAGATGAATTAAAGACTTAAACATTAGACCTAAAACCGTAAAAACCCTAGAAGAAAACCTAGGCATCACCATTCAGGACATAGGCATGGGCAAGGACTTCATGTCCAAAACACCAAAAGCAATGACAACAAAAGACAAAATTGACAAATGGGATCTAATTAAACTAAAGAGCTTCTGCACAGCAAAAGAAACTACCATCAGAGTGAACAGGCAACCTACAGAATGGGAGAAAATTTTCGCAACCTACTCATCTGACAAAGGGCTAATATCCAGAATCTACAATGAACTCAAACAAATTTACAAGAAAAAAACAAACAACCCCATCAAAAAGTGGGCGAAGGACATGAACAGACACTTCTCAAAAGAAGACATGTATGCAGCCAAAAAACACATGAAAAAATGCTCATCATCACTGGCCATCAGAGAAATGCAAATCAAAACCACAATGAGATACCATCTCACACCAGTTAGAATGGCAATCATTAAAAAGTCAGGAAACAACAGGTGCTGGAGAGGATGTGGAGAAATAGGAACACTTTTACACTGTTGGTGGGACTGTAAACTAGTTCAACCGTTGTGGAAGTCAGTGTGGCGACTCCTCAGGGATCTAGAACTAGAAATACCATTTGACCCAGCCATCCCATTACTGGGTATATACCCAAAGGACTATAAATCATGCTGCGATAAAGACACATGCACACGTATGTTTATTGCGGCATTATTCACAACAGCAAAGACTTGGAACCAACCCAAATGTCCAACAATGATAGACTGGATTAAGAAAATGTGGCACATATACACCATGGAATACTATGCAGCCATAAAAAATGATGAGTTCATGTCCTTTGTAGGGACATGGATGAAATTGGAAATCATCATTCTCAGTAAACTATCGCAAGAACAAAAAACCAAACACCGCATATTCTCACTCATAGGTGGGAATTGAACAATGAGATCACATGGACACAGGAAGGGGAATATCACACTCTGGGGACTGTGGTGGGGTGGGGGGAGGGGGGAGGGATAGCATTGGGAGATATACCTAATGCTAGATGACGAGTTAGTGGGTGCAGCGCACCAGCATGGCACATGTATACATATGTAACTAACCTGCACAATGTGCACATGTACCCTAAAACTTAAAGTATAATAAAAATAAATAAATAAATAAATAATTTAAAAAAGTGGCAGTTTCCCCTGCCCTCTCTCTCTCTCCTGCCACCTTGCTTCTCCTTCGCCTTCTGCCGTGATTAAGTTTCCCGAGGCCTCCCCAGCCATGTGGAACTGTGGGTCAATTAAATCTCTTTCCTTATAAATTACCCAGTCTCAGGCAGTTCTTTACAGCAGTATAAAAATGGACTAATATGCCCACATGGGGATGGGATACTGAGCTTTGGGCCAAGATGAAGTCTGGAACAAGAACTGAGACAGTTGCCTAAATCTGAGTCATCTAAAGTCCTAAACCATTAAGTAAAAGAAAAACACATTTTTTTCTTTTTTCTTTTTTCTTTTTTTTTGAGACAGGGTCTTTCTCTGTCACCCAGGCTGGAGTGCAGTGGTGCATTCTCTGCTCACTGCAACCTCCACCTCCCAGACTCAAGCAGTCCTCCCACCTTAGCCTCCCGAGTAGCTGGAACTACAGGTGCACACCACCACACCCAGCTAATTTTTGTATTTTCTGTGGAGGTGGGGTTTCATCGTCTTGGCCAGGCTGCTCTCAAACTCCTGAGCTCAAGTGATGTGTCCACCTTGGCCTCCGACAGTGCTGGGATTACAATCAAGAGCCACTGTGCCTGGCCCTTTCTTTCTTTCTTTCTTTTTTCAATTGCATTGTTTTGTTTGAAAAATCAGTTCATTGCACAGGAAACAAAAGTACTTCACCCACTGGCCTAGGGAAACAGCAAAGAGGCTCTGGGTGACTGACACTCAAGGGCCTTGGTTGCAAACAATATTAATAACCTATACACTTCAAGCAGAAAAGAATATGAAAGAGCCCCAGAAAGCTGGAATCTGGAGCTCCCAGCCTGGTATAACGGCCAATCCACTATAGGATGTCACTGTGATCCTCAAAACTGGATGCCAGAAGCTCCACCTCTGTCTCTTCTCCTGGGGCCTCTGCTATCATGTTTGCCAGAATATTTATCCTTCTCTCACAGTGACTTCTTCCCTTCTCTCCTTCCGAGAGTCAAAATATCTCATTGTTGGAATCCTCACTACTGGGAGTCCAGAGATATGAATTTTCTTTTTCTACCTTGTAAAGGAGGAACTTTAAATGTGAGAAATTAATGCAATGTAAAAAGGTTTTTCAAAGATGTTGGTTAGCCACATATAATTAGACTCTATGAGGATGATGATTTTTGGTGTGTATCTGTGAGAAGTTTTAAAATTCAAAGATTTTGGTTAGCCACAAATAATTGGAATCTATTAGGATGATGATTTTTGGTGTGTGTCTGTGAGAAATTTTAAAATTCTAGCCTCTGCCACACTTGGGGGAGTGCTCTGTTATTCTTCTTAAGGAAAAAAAGGTATTTAAACTTTTAGCCCATGGGTAGAGGTAGAAAAACTCCCCAAGTGTCTAAATATGTCTTTTAGGTATTAATATATTTGAATTAATAAAAACTCTCCAATTGTCTAAATGTGTCCTTTAGGTATTAATATATTAATATATATGAATATTTGAATTCAAACAAGATCCACATCTTGCATTTGATTCCTTTTTAAGTCTCTCTCATTCTATAACCATCATCCCCTCTCACTTTTTTTTTCATTTCTTTGATTTGTTCTAGAAAGCACTTCACATAGGAATACTGTATTCTGGATTCTAGTGAGCATTTTCTTCCAATGTTCTTTAACTTGTTTATCTTCTATATTCCCTGTAAGTTGGTAGTATGATCTAGAGAATCATTTTATTCACATTCAGTTTTTGTTTAGATAAGAGCCCTCCATTCCTGCTGTGTTACAAAACAAGGCACAGAAGATCTGTCTCTTCCCCTTTCAGTAATGCCAAGATGAATTATTGGGTTCAGGTTGTCTTGGCTCATTCATCCATTATCAATTTACCAATCATCATTTCACATGATAGTTTTAATATTTATGACAATCATTGTCTATATCCATTATTTATTTCATTATGGGTTTCAAAATAGTGATTTTCTAAGTCTACAATTCTTTGTGCATTTTAAAGAACATTCTATCACCAATTATGTGAAATATAATTTGTACAGAAAGGCATGTCTTTGATTTATTTTATCATTTTCATAGTGATTTGGTGCTCTAGTGAACTCCTGTGATAACTGTTTTAGTCCACTTGGGCAGCTATAATGAAATACTTTAGACTGGTAGTTTATAAACAACAGAAACATATTAATCATGGTTCTGGAAGCTAAGAAATCCAAGGTTAAGATACTGGAAGATTCAGTATCTGTTGGGTGCTTACTCTCTGCTTCATAAATAATGGCTTGCTGCCTGCATCTTCACCAGGTGGAAAGAACAAAAGAGGATAGGAGCTCCCTTGAGCCTCTTTCATGAGAGCACTAATCCAATTCATAAGCATGGAACCCTGATGACATCATCACTTCCCAAAGGCTCCACCTCTTAATACTATCACATTGAAATCTGGTGAGACACACACACATTCAGACCATAGCAATGACCAGTGTGTGTGTTTTAAAACATTTTTCAGTGTTATTACAATTTAACGAATTTTTAATATTACTCTAAATGCATGGATTTCTAAAAAAGTATTTAATTTCCTTCAATATGTCTATTCTGCCTTTGCTCAAATTGTGCCAGCTTTTGACTGGTGAATACTCCTCTATGTTGGCCCCTATAATCTCGTTACTCTTTGATAGCTTCCTTGCTTGGTAGCCTACTAAGATATCTCCAGCTCATTTTGTACACTTTCTTTGCAAGACCTAGAATAAGGAATTTTTCCAAGAAGCTTTGGTTCTTTGTAGTGGAAAATGAAATTTAGGGTCTTGGGTGATGGCTAAGTTCATTGCTACTGGCACATCATTCCTTCTTGATGTTTTCAATGAACAGAGCAACAAAACTCAATTTTTGAAGGAAAAATAATGCATTTATATTGATATTTCTAATTTTAAAAATGTCTTTTTTGGTCGGGTGCGGTGGCTCATGCCTGTAATCCCAGCACTTTGGGAGGCCAAGGCAGGCGGATCACAAGGTCAGGAGATTGAGACCATCCTGGCCAACATGGTGAAACCCCATCTCTACTAAAATACAAAAAATTAGCCGGTTGTGGTGGCACATGCCTGTAGTCCCAACTACTTGGGAGGCTAGGCTGAGGCAGGGGAATCGCTTGAACCTGGGAGGTGGAGGTTGCAGTGAGCCAAGATAGCACCCCTGCACTCCAGCTTTGGTGACAGAGCAAGAGTCTGTCTCAAAAAAAAAAAAAAAAAAAAAAGAAGTCTTTTTTAAAGCTGAGAATTTTATGTATATTGTATTTTAGAAGATATTGAGTTTTCCCAGATAATTACAGTTGACCCAGGAAACAAACAAAAGGGAAGAGACAAGGGTATAGGAACTTAAGATTTTAGAATAGGAACCCCAGGGATTTGGAGCTTTTTCTTCTGAGGAAGAGACTTTACTAGCATCTCTGCAGTTGGCCTTACCAGGCCAACTGTAGCCTCCCAGGGGACACGCTGGTCCTTATGCCAGTGTCTCCAGTTACTTCATCCAAAGCTAGCATAAAATGTTATTAAAAATTAACAACTAAACGCTTTTGCCTATCTCATTTTCTTTCCCTAATAAGCATCTTGGTTTCATTGCCTTAAGGCTCAAGGAATTTTTTCTTGATCTTTAAAGTCCAGTAATTTTATTAGATAATGTTTTAGTGGGTCATCTGTTTTTTTCCAGATACCCATTGTGCCCTTTCAATAATCTTTTTTAAAAAATCTTTTTTGGTAAATTTTTCTTAATTTGAATATTTGTTCTGTATCATTCTTAGGTTTCCTCTTTAGGAGCCCCTTTATACATGTCAACGATGTTTGCCACTCTCTCAACTACTTCTTAACCTTTTTTTAATTCTAAATTTCTATCATTTTTATTTTCTACTTGTTTTAAAGTATTGTGTGTTGTCTCTGCTTCCTCATGTGTGAATTCTAGTTCAGGCTTCATTTCTGAAATACTTTTTTATTTTATTTCTAATTCATAGTTCTTACCTTATATCTAAGTTTTCTAATCCTAACTTGTTATGTTGGTTAATTTTTAAAATTACATTTTAAAATTTCTTTTTGCTTGTTTGAAATAGTTATAGTTTTCATCTGTTTAATGGCTATATATTTCTGGAATACTTTTAATATCTGTAGGGACATTCTACTCATTATTTATTTTATTTTTTGCATTTGACACAGTTCCGTTCATTGCTTATTTTTGTGTACTATTGGATTTACTGACCTTTTAGGAGGCCAGGTGGGTCAGGTTACCTTTGTTAGCTTCACAGATCTAAAACTTGTACTTGTTTTATCTTTGTCAGATGTTTATAAATTAAAAGCTCAGTAAATATGACTCTCTTTTCTGAGATATTCTACCTCCTTCCTCCTCTCCTACTTTAAGTTTCCCTTAACTTTTACTTTTATTTATTCTGACTTGCTTACTTTGGAGACAATTCCTACCAGTTTCTCCTAGGGTTTTTTTTTTCCCCCCCTCAAAGGGGGCCTTATTTGTTTAGTTACATGAGCCCATTTTCCCAGAGTGCCTGATCCTTCAGAGCCACACCTAATAATTACCTGTGAGTGTTCAAAACCCTTCCAATTTTATTTTGGCCTCTCACACTTCACAATAAATACCTATTGACAATTTAGGTATTCTCTGTTGACAGTCTTTTGTCAGTTTAGGGATTCTCCATTGACAGTTTATTGACAGTTTAAGGGTTCTCTATTAACAGTATTAACAGTTCAGATGTTTTCTCATTTTCAGGTCCAGCAGATATAGCTCATTGCTTTCCTCTGTTATCTTCTACATGGATGCTGATAGCATGTTTTGTTCACATATTCTTCTATTTTGTGGACTGTGGGAATGCTTTGTCACTTAATCTTATTGTAAATGTTGCCTGTGCATTTTTGGTTTTGTATTCCTAGTTGCTCTGTTCATTTTTCTGAGGGTACTCGGGAAGCATATTTACTTGTTCCTTATTTTTTACTTATATTACTGATGCTTTTCTCTTATGCTGAAATCTTGGTTCATAATGTCAAAAGATGAAGTTATAACAATTTAAAGAAATTAATTTGCTCTATTTGCAGCTCTAGAGTCAGGTAACACTTCATTTCATTACATAGAATAAGTGTTCCAATGAGCTGAGGAGAGGGGATTGGTTTTATAGACAGAAGAGGTGCTGAAGAAAGTAGACACAAAGAGCAAAAGGTAGATTGGTCATTTTAAAGTTATTTTCTTTGTAAGGCAGACACAGGGAAACAGAATAATAGAAAAATAACTGATTAGTTAACATCAGCTTACTTCAAGATAATTTTATTTTTCTTGGTGTGGATTAGCACAGAGGAAAGTTTATTATTATGTCGACTGACACTGGCCTGTTTGAGAAATTTGTCTATTATTTCTCTCTTCTGATTTCCCAGAAGGTCAGATAACAACTTACTTTTGGTTTGGTGAAATGAAACTTTAGTATAAGTGACTTCATTTTGGTTTTATTCTGATCTCTTGGGGCCTAGTGCAGGAGCTCAATCCAAAACAATGGGCTCTGATAATTTTTATTTAATAATAACAACATTGTGAAATAAACAACAGTGTTAAATAAACATTGTTATGTTGTATTTATTTATTTAAATCTACCTTTTGGTCTTTGTGTCCGCCTTCTTCAGCCCTTTTCTGTCTATGAAACCAATCCCTTCTGCTCAGCTCATTGGAACACTTATTCTATTTAATGAAATGGAGTGTTGCCTGGCTCTAGAACTGTCATTACTGTTAAATAACAACATTAACATATTACTTTATCTTGCCATATATTTACAGTAACTCCAAAGTAGTATATAACTACCATATTCAAAGTTTAAGATTTCCTTGCATTTATTATTTCTCTTAGAATTAGGGTGATCAGCTTGTTTTGGTTTACCTGGAACTTTCCTGGTTATAGCATTAAAAGTCCTGTGTCTTAGGAAACTCCTCAGTCCTACGTAAAACCTGGATGATTTATCAGTCTACATGTGCCAC
The DNA here is from genome assembly GCF_000001405.40 of Homo sapiens. Taxonomy (NCBI): domain Eukaryota; kingdom Metazoa; phylum Chordata; class Mammalia; order Primates; family Hominidae; genus Homo; species Homo sapiens. The sequence goes on along the minus strand of NC_000018.10, from coordinate 27,731,705 downwards.
TAGCCATATAGGGTCAAAATACTCTGTTTAATATTCACTTGGATTCATTTGGTTTTAAATATGGCATGCCAATTGTTAGGTAACTTGTTTTCTGGTTTTTACTTGTAGAGAATGCACACATTTTCAATTAAAGTAAAATATAGAAAAAAATGTTAAAAACGCTTCTATGATGAAGGGTCATTCACATTTTGTTCATAGCCTATGCACATTTTTTCTGTTGGTTTGTTGGTGTTTTTCTTCTCAATGTTTAGAAGCTCTTTGTATAGTAGGAATATTAACGCTTTGTGGCGTAAGTTGAAAATAGCTGATTTTGCAGTTTTTTAATTGGCTAGTGAAAGTTTTTATTTTTAATTTTTATATAATTTACTTTTGAATTTTGAGTCACAGTTCAAGAAGCTTTCCTTACTCTCAGTTTTTATGTAGGAATTTGTTCATTTTTTCACTAGTTCTTAGGTAACTTCCTTTTTTGCATTTGGATATCTAATTTTAAATTTTTATTAACATTTTAAATTGTTTTGTTAAAAACTCTTTAATTTTTTACACTCCTGATTATTTTTGAGAGTGGGATAAAATACTTCTACCTCCACTGTTGATTTATCAATATTTTATAGTATGTCCATTGATATCCGCTTCACTTCTTATGTGGTTAAGTTGCTAGGTGCATTAAGATCAAAAGTGTCAAAACTTTCTGGTGAAGAAATTGTCTTTTATGATTACATAATGATTCTCTTTATTACCTTGAAGTTTATTTTCAGTATAGCTAAAACAGACTTCTTTTCTACTTAGTATATTTTTTCTTTATACTCATGTCTTTAAATTTCAAATATATCTCTTATATGGCACATATAGCTGGATTTAAATGTTTTTAAATTAAACCTGAGAGACTCATTCAAATATCTAACACATATATTAAGATTTATCTATACCATATTATTATGCCTTTTCCATTTTACCAAGTTTCTTATTTTTGCCTTTCCCCCATTTTTTCTTCTCTTATGAATTCTATTTTCTTTGTTCCTCTTAATAATGAATCCATCTAATTTCATAGTCATCTGAATAGGGGTGTTAAAATAATAGCATTCCTATGCATTTCTAAATAAACATTCGCTATTTAATGTTTTTTGAGAGCTATTTGAGCCTTCTTTGTAGCACTGTCTGATGCACTAGTAGCTTAAGTAGAGGGAGTAAGGAAGAGATATAACATTTTCCTTTTGGTCGCACCTCTGATAGGATGGGGTAGAAGAAAAGGGAATGGGAAAGTGCAGTGAGCCTCAGCCCATCTGGATGAAGTTCTGGTCTTTTTATTGATTGGCTGGCTTTAAATACCATTTCAATTTATATGCACTCAGAGACTGGATGTGTCTCTAGTGTTCTACCCATTCAGTCCCACAAGGCCAGATTTGAGAATTGCTACCACTTCTGTAACTTCTAGGGTACTTATATGGTATTAATGGTCTCCTTCTCCACCCTGCAGACTGCTCTTTCACTCTCTCCAACTCTCTTTTCCTCTACTCAGTATTGGGAGAATCAGCAGGTCTACTGGCCAAGTTGAAGTCCCCAAGTGAATGAAATTCAAATTTCCCCATTCTTATAAATCATTCTACTATAAAGACACATGCATGCATCTGTTCATTGCAACACTATTCACAATAGCAAAGTTGTGGAATCAACCTAAATGTCCATTAATGATAGGCTGGAAAAGAAAATGTGGTACATAAACACCATGGAATACTATGCAGCCATAAAAAGCAATGCGATCATGTCTCTTGCAGTAACATGGATGGAGCTAGAGGCCATTATCCTTAGCAAACTAACACAGGAACAGAAAATCAAATACTGCAGTTTCTCACTTATAAGTGGGAGCTAAATGACAAGAACGCATAAATACATAAAGGGGAACAACACACACTGGGGCCTATTGGAGGGTGGAGGGTGGGAGGGACAGAATCAGGAAAAATAACTAATGGGTATTAGGCATAATATCCAGGTGATGAAATCTGTACAACAAACCCCCATGATGCAACTTTACCTATATGACAAACCTGCACATGTACCCCTGAACTTAAAAAAGTTTAAAAATTTTCCCCATTCTTGCCTGACTTAACTATTAATCTTTATGAGAAACTTCTCAGAACTTTACCCTGGTCCCATGCCTTAGAGGAAAAGAAAGACTCTCTTTCCTTGTTTCAAAATGAAAGGGAGAAAAGAACTCTTTCATGTGCATTGTACTTTCTACAAGGCTGATGAAAAATCCTTTTCCTCTTTCCAGGACTATTAAAATACCAAGTAGGGGTAAATATGGGAACTGGTAGTTCTAAGTGGGTGTGTGGCCACTTGTTTGAGGATAAGCTGTATCCTAATACCAGTGGCTCCATTATAATGTGTGTAGGGTGGTGTTAAGCACCATTTTGGAGGCTTTTTCTCCTTAGTTGCAGTAATGAGGTCCCAGGGGAAGTTTTACTTAGGATCCTATCATAATTGCTTAGATTTACCTACATTTGCCACTTTCTTTCATTGTTAGTTACTTCTCGAATCCATCCCCCTTTATCTTTCTGAGTTAATTTCTCTTTTCTTGAGGGATGCTCCCTAAGTGTTTCTTTGAGCTAAGTCTGCAAGTGATAAACCCTAAATTGTGAATGTGTCTATTTTGTTTGCATTCTTTAGTTTCATTTAGCTGGGTATAAAATTCTAGATTTTCTGTTATTTCTCTTCATCAGTTTGAAGATATTTATTTTCTTCTGGCATCTGTTATTGTTAATGATAAATCTGATGCCCAAATTTTCTTCTTCAATAAACAGTGATGTTTCCCTGTTTGGCCATAACTCCCCTTTTTCCTGGATAGAGGAAATGGTGAGTCATGTACTCCATGATTCACCATTAGGTTGTTTGTTAATATTTTCACTATATCTTTGATGTTCTGTAGTTTCATAATTCTGTATATGGATTTATTTATCTTTTGGGGACTCTCTTTGATTCTCCTTTCTGAAATCTCTTTCAAATATCTTTAAATTAAATGTTTTTCCCTAGAATTTCTATTTGGGACTTTTTTAGTTCCAGCAACTGGGAAAATTGTGCTATTAAAGTCCATCTCCTGCTACAAACCCATGAGAATATTGAAGCCAGGTACAGTGGTGCACATTCATGTTCCAGCTGCTTGGGAGGCTGAGGTGGGAGGATCACTTGAGACCAGGAGTTCAAGACCTGCCTGGGCAGCATAGTGAGTTCCTATCTCAAAAAAAAAATAGATAATATGTAATTATTTCATAACTAAGCTTGAAAGAAAGGAAAACCTTATGATAAGTGAAACTAAGAAGAATCCCAAAAACCAGAGCTATAAGCTTGTGAACTGTCCTGGGAGTGGGCAGGTATGTAATGGTCACAGCTGTAGGCTCCAGAACTTAGGAAGAAAGAGAATTTGGCCTTGGGCCCATGCAGAGAAACAATGAGATGGCACAAATGGAAGAAGAGTAAACGACATGGAAGATAAAATGAGAAAGTCCAAAAAGAAATTGAATAAGATGAGCAAAAGAGAGTGGCACCTGGGACTGGGAGCTGTTCCTCTGGCTCTTGACATAGGCACACACCTGCTTGGTGGATGGCCTGAGATGTGTCTACTTGAGAGTGGACCATGGGCCTATTTTTCAGGTGCAGAGGATGGGATAGGGGAGGAACAAGACTATTTTGCAGGCCAGGACTCAAGCACTGGGCTACTCAGCAGTGCTCTATGGGTCCAGGTGCATGCTCGTCAAAGGTGGCTGTTTCTCAGGCCCAGGACATGGCTGCATTGAGGCTGGGGAGGATAGAGGAAAGGTAGGGATAGGGAAAGATTTGTTAAAGGATACAAAATTACAGCTAGATAGCAGGAATAAATTCCAGTGTTCTGTAACATTGTAGGATGACTGTAGTTAATAACTATGTACAGTTTTAAATAGCTAGAAGGAGCATATTAAACATACCCAACACAAATAAATGAGAAATGTTTCTGAAGATAAATATGCTAATTACACTGATCTGATCACTATACATTCTATTTATGGAAACATCACTATGTAACCCATAAATATGTACAAGAGACAAGATTTATCTATTAAAAAAAAGAATAGCTGAGAATTTTCCAGATCTGAGAACTGAGTGAAGTATAGAGATTCCAGAATGGAAAAGTGAAATTAAACCATGAAGATGATGGTAGTTGCTGGCCATAACATATTTTTATGAAATACTAGGAGAAAAATAACTTTACTATCAGTTATACATTTACTGAACTTTTTCTTGTCACTTGACACAACCCAAGAAGAAACCAGTAAATTATTTGAATAAACGTATATTAATAGTGTTATTAAAGAGAAGATGCTAGTGTGCTGCCTGGCATATGCTTTTCTATGATAATTTTACCACCTACGTGCTTCAGAATACTCACAGAATTATTGATCTGGTTATATCTACAATACCAATTTTAATACCTCGCTATAAACATTGAGTAACTGGGGAAGACATCTGCAGCCAGGGGTTTGGTTGTTGATTGACCCATGGTTACTCTGAGCATATGACATCAGCTGTCAATTATGCTATTGTATTTGGATAAAAAGTACAAATTGTATACACACACACTATATATATGTGTGTGTATATATATAATATATATACATATATAATTATATATACACATATGTATAATTATATATATACGTATATATAATTTTATATATACGTATATATATACACACACACATATATATATAATTTTTGCAATTCAGGAAGCAGAGCACAAAATACCACTCAGTAGGGTAGGGGTGGGAGAACATTACTACTGTAGCTCACAATGCATCATTAAAATGGAAGGGTTTTTCTAAATGCAAAGCATTCTATAAAACTTTATTAAACCAACCAGTTGTGAAAACAAACAAACAAATGAATAAACAAGCAAACCAAAAGACAACAAAATAACAGTACAAGAGCAAACCAAGACATGGGAAGTCCCTGTGACTAATTCTCAAAAAGAGAAAGAACAGGAGCATTTGAGCAATAGGCACCCTAAGCTCGTTTCTTCCCCTTCATGGATGAGGAACTTGAGGTCCAGAGAGATGACGTGATCACTCAAGTCCCAGAAACGGGACAACAGCAGTGCATAATAGTGGAGAGAAGTCTTGTGAGACTCGAAATATTTTGTTCTACAAATGACATTTCGAGATGATCCAGCATGTCTTGTTCAGGCCATGGAGACAGTGGACTGAATGACAGCTGCCTCCCTGTTATTGTTACAGTTAGTTCTCCACATCCACAGGTTCTACATCCCAAATTCAACCAACTGTGAATCGAAAATATTTAGGAAAAATAAAACAATAAAAATAACAAAACAACAATGAAAACTAATACAAGTTTAAAAAACAATATGGTATAACAACTATTTGCATAGCGTTTACATTGTGTTAGGTATTATAGATAATCTAGAGATGATTTAAAGTAGATGGGGGGATGTGCATCGGTTATATGCAAATACCATGCCATTTGCAATAAGGGACTTGAACATCCATGAAATTTGGTATTTGTTAGGGGTCATGGAACCAATCCCCCATGGGTTGGAGGAATTGGAGGGATGACTGTTTGTGTTTCACGTTCCTACTCCACAGCAGAAGGAGTGAGGGGCATCAAGGCTCAGGGAGTCTGACAGATGGATACCACCAGCAGTCATGGAGGAAAGAGTAATGTTTCCTCAAGCAGAAGTTTTCTGATTTGGGCCTTGAGTGTCACACGTCTCAGCAAGGGGAGGTTAATCTTCCCTTCACTCTTCCCGCTTTGGTCTCATCTTCATCTCTCCCTGAACCTGCTCTCCTTGTGTGCTCTACCCTAGCCATCTTCTCTATTTATCACCCTGGCTCTAGTGGGGTCGTGGCATCGAGCTCTCCATGTCCATGATGATTAGCTGCCAAGGAAAATGAAGAAAATGAAAACAGAAATTACTTGAGGACTTTGCTGAACTCAATAAGCTCTTTAACCTTTTCCGGACCTCCCCAGTGCTCACAGAACAGTTCTTCTGACCTTTGAGACAGTGTTTTTGTCATCACTCAAGAGAGATGCCCAGCCTCCTGCTGACACCTTAGGGATGTGTTCCTGGCTTCCTGTCTGCCGTCTCCAGAGGCTGGTACGTTTGTCAAAAGGCGTGATGGTCAGTGCCTTCATTACACAGATTTGGTTTCAATGTGAGGCACAGTTAGCACCTCCATCTGCCATTTCTGCTGGTTACCTGCTTTACTGCCCCTTGAGCTTATTTCCTTCAATAAAAGATATATTGTTATGGCTGCCTCCAAAAGTCATGTTTTTGGGGCCATCTGTTTTATCTCTATAAATTAGATTCTGAAAAGATGAGGAAAAATCATATTGAAAAACTGTCCCTACCAAAAATTTTCATTCTGTTTAAATCAGGGTCCTCCAGGTCCATAGAATGAAAGAGATAATTTTAAAGTTTTTTCCTCTAGGTACTCCCCATTTCTCTCAGCATTTTTGGCTACTTGATACTTTGCAGCCAGTTTCTTATTAAAGATAACATATTCTGGCTGGGCGCCATGGCTCACACCTATAATCCAAGCCCTTTGGGAGACTGAGGAGGGTGGATCACCTGAGGTCAGGAGTTCGAGACCAGCCTGGCCAACATGGTGAAACCCTGTCTCTACTAAAAATACAAAAATTAGCCGAGTGTGGTGGTGGGCGCCTGTAATCCCAGTTACTCGGGGGGCTGAGGCAGGAGAGTCACTTGAACCAGGGAGGTGGAAGTTGAAGTGAGCAGAGATCACACCACTGCACTCCAGCCTGGGCGATAAGAGTGAGACTCTGTCTCAAAATAAATAAATAAATAAATAAATAAATAAATAACATAAGCTAAGCTTTTAACCTACATTCTTCATAGCTTTTTTTTATGTTTGCTGGAGAATACTATGAAACCGATTTAAAGAGAAAGAAAACATGAGATTTATGACATTTAATAATATTTATAAAACCATATCTATGTAAAATTACATGATGCATAGATAAAACAGTGTTAATACCTTACACTGAGCACATTCATGCCAACTTTCTTCACACGCTGCTTTACAGAAGAGAGAGAGAAACAGGAGGCAACCAAAACAATCAGGCATCACAAACCGCATGCAGGCTTCTCATCCTTATTCAGAGCACAACATCAACATTTATTTTTGCACTGTGGCAGGTTTCAACTGGCTGCTGAGAATGAGAAAATAGCTCAATAACCCAGGATTTTTACTCACCACAGAATTCAGTTCATAAGTCTGCAGGAAACTCTATATACCTTAGAGGATACATGCCTCTTAAAATTCTTGGGAAAGAGTTTGGGAGAGGTAGGGCTAAGGGAATTTGGGGATAGCCAAGAAATCGTCTCTAGGTGATTTCTGGTTAGAACAGCTTATCTGTGATAAGGCTTTATTTATTAGCAACCAATATTTCCTTGGGAAATATCTACATAAGTCCTTTCATTCTGGGAGAGACTGCTGCTTTTCCAAATAAGAGAGTTCTCCCTTACTCTCTGGGTCAAAGAGAGATGCATGATTCTCTAGTCTGGATGCTTCTTACCAACAGTAACCTGAGGCTTAGGTAAATGAGAGAGAGGAGCTGACAGCTCCCAACACTATTGCAAATGCAAAAGAACACTTTGAACAGAATTAAATTGTTTTCTAAAATAAATATCTTTTCCTCCTAAGAACACTATGATTATAATAAAACCGTCATATATCTGTGGACACTCCTAATATTTGCAGGCTTTTGTCATGGTGGGGGGAAAAGATGAATTTTCAGAACCATCACATAGCCATCATAATCTGAGGTGGGACACTAGGAGCAGTTGACTGTAAGAGCCACACAATTTATCATCCTTGCCATCCTACTCTTTGCAGCCGACTGAAAACAGGCACAGTGCTTGGAATGACTGAATTGAGTAAAGATGGGTAAAATTCCATGTTTTCCATATTTAGCTTTCAACATATTCCTATGCCTAAATTGGTATCAGCAAGGGAAGTTTTCCTGCTGAAAGAGATTGTTGTTCTTTAAGGCTTAAACTTTTTGTTACTTCCTTGGTATTCACACTGAATTTGTTTCGAAAAGGACTCTCGTTATTACTTTGCAGGGGCTTATTCATTACAGATCCAGTTCTGAGGTTCAGGAAGAGGTATTCGCAAATTGCTAACCATAATGCAAAACTAACCCCCCAAGAAGATGATTTTTTTCACAATTTCTATTTTATGATATAGGATTATGCTGATTTCATGAAAATTTTAAAAAGAAAATTCCTTCCTGCTGAGTAACACTGCTCAATAAAAACCCAGGAAAGATGAGGCTTCCTGATTAGACACTCAGATGAGGGCTCCCAGCACAGTGAAGAAGACTGAGCAGAAAAAAAAAAAATAAAGAAAATAAGTTTCTAAACAGTACTTGATGGGAATCCTTTTAGGGTTAAAGAATGTGACTTTTTTCTCTTTTCTGTTGGAGCTCATTGAAACACTAGTTAGACTTGTGGTAAATAAAATAACATTGTTCATTCAGGCCAAAAGACAAGTGCTCCTCCACAAGGTAAGAAGTTTCTCTTTCAATCAAAGTACTCAGAGAGTGCATAACATTTTGTCAGAGATGTTGTGAAGAGGTTGAATAGATGCCCTTTAAGATTCCTGAAAACTATATATAAAATTTATTAGTGTTTTCTTACTGTCAAGAGAGAAAGGAGAGGGAAATAATATTTTGGGGCATCTACTAAGTGGCAGTTGCCAATATAAAGCATATGGTTATCCACAGCTGGTGTTGGTGATTTTAATATAGTTTAAAAAGAGTAACAGCAAATTTCTTAAATTTATATATTTAAAAACATTTTTGGCTGGGTGCAGTGGCTCACGCCTGTAATCCCAGCATTTTGGGAGACCGAGGCGGGTGGATCACGAGGTCAGGAGTTCAAGACCAGCCCGGTCGACATGGTGAAACACCGTCTCCACTAAAAATACAAAAATCAACCCAGCATGGCGGTGTGCGCCTGTAGTACCAGCTACTTGGGAGGCTGAGGCAGGAGGATTGCTTGAACCTGGGAGGCAGAGGTGGCAGTGAGCCAAGATCATGCCACTGCACTCCAGCCCGGGGGACAGAGCGAGACTGTCTCAAAAAAAAGAACAAAAAACAAAAACATATTTTCACATGCACTGTTATTGGATTCTTCTATCAGCCAATGAGGTGGGAGGGCAGATGTCCCCATTCTCATTTTGTAGGTGGGGATATGCAGCAGAAAGCTGTGTGACTGGCTTCTCGCACACAGCTAGTCACTGAGGGTTTATCTAGGGCAAACGGTGACCAATAATCACAGTCCACTAGGTTGCCGACATCTGTAACAACTGCAAAAATAAGACGCTGGGTGAACCAATTCCCAGTATCTTTCTCACCTGTTTAATGAAGAGAAGTAATAACCATCCAATCTACTTTAAAGGTGTTTTGAACATAAACAAAAAACAGCCGGAAGAGAAGCAATGATTTTGATGTTTTTAAAATAACATGATGGGTGTGGGGGTGTAAGGTACAAGGGGTGTAACCATAACAGTAGCAACTCTGCAATAGTCTTTCCTTGTACATTTCAGTACGCCAATGCAGTCTCATTCACAATTTTAAAATTTCTATTTGTTGAATTTGTTCATTTGGCCTCTGCTGATTAAATTAAGATATCTCTGAGTATAGAAAGATAGAAAGGATAATTTTTAAAAGGTCACAGTTCTACAACAATTTACTAGTAATGTTGTAGATTTTTGCTTTGTCCTCTATATTCAATTTTTAGAAAATAGTTTAATTATATTATTTATAATTTAATAGTTTTCTGTTTTAAATATAAATTGCATAGTTTTTAAAAACCCAATTTTTAATGGCCATATATAATTTCATCAAAGAGATTAGCCATTTATTGATTAATAGGCCTTTAGGTTAAAAAATCATAATTAACATTTATTCGGCCCCTTCTATGTGCTAGACACACTTTAAATTAAAAGTGGATATTATTTTCCTTTTTTGTTTTTTTAATGAGAAAACAGCCTTAGGTGGGGCAAAGCCAGAATTTGCATTTTTCTAGTTGTTGGCGATCAGAATATGATACCTCAATATCTGGCACCTTGGCATACTGAGTACTTTAAGCCAAAGGAAACTGAGAAAACTGCAGAAGCAGAAGGTCTCTGACCTTCTCCTCCCTCCTCTCTCTTAGAGATCCTCATGTGACAGGTGTCTTGCGCTTTACCTATTGGAAAGCAATGACGAGGGAGGCACAGAGAAGAATCTGAACAAACAAGCCCCCCAGTTTATTACCATTAAGTTATGCCCTTTTTTGCCCAAATATATATTTTACGTGATCCTCTATTTCTCATCAGATCTAAGCATAAAAATATACAGTTGTCTCTGGGTCTTTGGGTCTTCATTTCTTCTTTTTTTTATTTTATTATTATTATACTTTAAGTTTTAGGGTACATGTGCACAACGTGCAGGTTTGTTACATATGTATACATGTGCCACGTTGGTGTGCTGCACCCATTAACTCGTCATTTAGCATTAGGTATATCTCCTAATGCTATCCCTCCCCCCTCCCCCCACCCCACAACAGTCCCCAGTGTGTGATGTTCCGCTTCCTGTGTCCATGTGTTCTCATTGTTCAATTCCCACCTATGAGTGAGAACATTTGGTGTTTGGTTTTTTGTCCTTGCGATAGTTTGCTGAGAATGATGGTTTCCAGCTTCATCCATGTCCCTACAAAGGACATGAACTCATCCTTTTTTATGGCTGCATAGTATTCCATGGTGTATATGTGCCACATTTTCTTAATCCAGCCTATCATTGTTGGACATTTGGGTTGGTTCCAAGTCTTTGCTATTGTGAATAGTGCCGCAATAAACATATGTGTGCATGTGTCTATATAGCAGCATGATTTATAATCCTTTGGGTCTTCATTTCTAAAGGCTCTCTGTTGTGTAGAATTTATAAAATGTATTAAATACATTTGTTATGCTTGTCCATTATTAACCTGTCTTTCGTTAGAGGAATATCAGCCAAAAACCTTGGAATGGGTGATGAGAAGATATTAATCACGCCCCTTCCCCACCACATAGCCCATGTCTATTGCAGTAACACGACTTTTAAAATAAAGCATTTGTCTTGTCTAAAACTAGTTGCACACACTATGGTAGTTTGAGAGTCAAAGAAATTGAGCATAAGTTTTTTTTTGTTTCTGTGACTGCATTCTATATATTTTCACTTAAAATTAGATCTAAGAACTAAGATTCCAAGAAAATAAGAAATTGCTTTGGTAACTCAAATGAAACAGGTTTAAAGTCTAAGAATATGTAGGGCAGGATCTGGCCTCAAGCAATTGATTGACATGTGGAGTTCAGTAGAGTTGGGTTCTCAATAGAGTACGGGATCCTATGAAAAGCTAGGACCTTCACTAACTTTATTTCCTCCTTGAACTCAAGGGTAGCTATAGGTTTCATAGTGTTTTTATTTATGATGTATTAGTGCTTCTAGGTCTAAAAGAGAAATGAAGGACAAAAGTTCTAACATGGAAAATGAACCAAGGAATGTATTCCCCAGAGGCTAATAAATGTACCTTTTTAAAAACATAGAAAAATTAGTTAATTTAAATGATCACATCTGTGATTCAAAATACATCTGGCCTTACAGAAAACAGCTGGGTACAGAAGCCAAGCTAGTGAAGGCTGAATACATTGTAGCAGAGAGATAATTGGTCTCAGAAGTAAAGATTTCCAAATGCGCAGCTATTCAACATTATTTCAAGGCGTGTCTCTGGAGGAAGATTGATCTTGACACGCCATTCTTCTTTCCGTGGTGTCCTCTGACTGTGCATGAAGACAATGACAGTTAGCAGGGGAGCTGGAGAGGAAAGCTCCTGGAGCATTTGCAGGAGAGTCATCTTATGGCAGACAGACTCAAGTCGATCAGGATGTGGACTCTGTTTCCGTCCACTGTCTTCAAAGCAAGCCCTGACTCTGAGTACAGAAGAAAGACCATTTGAAGAGGCATCAAATGGTCTGGGGAAAGGTTGAACATTCAGCTAGCCCTTCGTGCCAACAGTTTTAAATTTGCTGGCTTGGGATCCCTAGAAAATGGAGTGACTACTGTCAATGTTAGATTTTTGATGTTCCCAAGAGTGAGTTTTGTGCACTGAAAAGATTATTCAGAGGTAACTTTGATTTTAACTATTAATATTCACTTTAGTAAAGCCATTCACTTAAAACCTGAGGTCTTTTTTTAACATGCAAATCTCAATATTTTATGTATAACACTGGTAAATTTTTGTAGGGCCCTTGATTAATGTTTGGTAGTATTTACAAACTGAAATCATTAACCTCCTGTAAATATTTTAAGCTGCATGTATAAATTTAATATTACTGACTTCCTTTTTAAGTAGTCTGATTTAACAAACTTCCTCAAATTCTTAAATAATTATTATGTTTAATAAATTGCCTTCTGAATAAGGTGAATCTTAAGATCCTTTAAATCATTTGTTCGCAAAGTGTGGTTCCTGGACCAGCAGCATTAACATCATCTGGGATTTGTTAGAAATGCAAATTATCAGGCTCCATCCCAGATCTACTGAATAAGAAACTGGAGATTGGGCCTTAGCAAGCTATGTTTTAGCAAGCTTCCTAGGTGATTCTGATGTATGCTAAGGACTAGGGACCAATGAATTAATTGTTTCAATACTATACGCAGCCCAGGCTGAAGTGCAGTTGAGCAATCACAGCTCACTGCAGCCTCAACCTCCTGGGCTCTGGGATCCTTCCACCTTGACCTCCCGAGTCGCTGGGATTATGGACATGAGCCACCATTTCTGGCCCACTATAAGATTTCAAGTTAATTGCACAAGTCTAAATCAATCCCTTAATTACAAATTTTCTATCATAATCATGAGAATTATGTGTTGGAACATACCAATATGTCAAATCTCTTATGTGCTTTCAATACCTAATCTGATATGTATATCTCTGAATCTAACATAAATATGTAAATACTGAGAGGTATAATGTACTTAATTTTTTTCTTAAAAAATTTGCCCTCTAAGAAAACAATTGTGGTGTTGCCTATTAAAGGAATTAAATTCTAAACTGGCTCCTTAGCTCCAGGAGGCTGCTAATTGACCTGAGATTTTGTTGGGTGTAAGGTCTGGAACTGCTGACATGAAGGCTCCTTTTATAGTCACTGATCCATAGAACCCTACATTTAACAAGAGGTGTTTGGTCCCCTTGGCCAACTTGCTTGAGTGTGAGATAGATGCCTCATTCCTTGAATTTTTTTTTTTTTTTTTAGAGTGTAGTGTTCAGGCTGGGGTGCAGTGGTGCAGTCATAGCTCACTGCAGCCTCCAACTCCTGGGCTTAAGCAATCCTCCCGCCTCAGCATCTCAAAATGCTGGGATTATAGGAATCAGCCACTGTGCCTGGCTCATTTCTAGATTTTTAAGGGAAATTAGAGTCCACAGGCTTCACTCAACTAAACCACCTCCCTAGCTTTTGTTAATTAATTTATTACTTTCTTCTATTCTGAATTCATTTCTTGCTCTTCCTGTCAGGGTGACAACTGATCTCCATATTTAAATGACTTCTAGTAGAATTCACACAAAGCCGCATGACTCTTTTCCGTGCATGTCAAAGCTCTTTCCATGACAATGACATGGGACCTGTGAAACCTTATGCGCCTTACATGTGGTCAGTGAATCATAAGTATTTGGTTTTGTTCTTATAACTACAATTACTTTTCAGTTGAGTGGAGATGCAGATGTACTTATAAAATGTGGCACTTTCAAGTGTTACTGGTTTTATAGTAGTTTTTTGTTATTATGTATTATTTTCATCTCTGGGTGTTAAAAATTCAGCTGTATGTAAGTATTCACAAAATTGTTTTCTGTTAAGAGTCCTCTCTTGGAAACCACACTATAAGCAAATAAAAGGATAGGTACTCTATGTGAAGTGCATTTAGCCATTTGTCTTACTAATTATGATCCAAAAGCAACATATTTGCAGCCACAATGAAGCATGCAGTGCAGAGAGACTGCAAATATATGCATTTCTGTATGATATGCAGGCCTAAAGATGATACCGCTAACCTAGCATCATCAAGAGGATATATTTAGAATGGGTTTTCAAGTGAAGTATTGCAGATATAATTCTGGCTAGCTTGAGCACTTTCCTTTTTCTATTTATATGAACAAACTACTTATCAACACCTCCACTACTCACCACCATGGGACATCTCTTGCCAGGATTATTCCAATGGTTTTCGTGCATCTACCCTCACCATCTGCATCCCCACGTATACCCCTCCATCCATTTACACAGTCTCCATAGTGAGCCCATAAAGGCCTAAATCAGATTACGCCCCTCTTTGGCTCTAGATCCTCCAATGCCTTTCCATCTCATTCTGAGGAAGAGACATTCTTTACAATGGCCTCTGGGGCCCCCTGTGATGTGGCCTTCATTCTCTTTTCCGACCTCATTGCTGCTTCTCTCCTTCAGCCACACTGACCTCTTTTATAAACACACCAAACATATCTTGCTTTAGGGCCTTTGAATTTGTAATTCCTCTGCCTGATATGTTCCATCTTTGGTGTTCACATGAATTCTTAACTCATCTTCTTTAAGTCTTTTCTCAAATATTACTTCTTTGATAAGGCCTTCCCCATTTACCTAACTAAAATGGCAATGTTCACCTTTGCACTGCCTTCGCCTCCCACCCTTCCCCACTCCCTGCTCTCTCTTTTCTTCATGGTACTTACCAATTTAACTTACACTATTGTCTTCCTCTCCCTTGTAGAATGTATACTCTTTGAGGTCAAGGATTTTTACTTGTTGTTTTTCCCCCTCTGCTATATTCCCTATGCCTGAAATAGTGCCTGCACATGGTTAGCACTTAAATTAATAATGGTTGGGCCAGGTGTAGTGGCTCACGCCTATAATCCCAACATTCAGGGAGGCTGTGGCAGGCAAATCACTTGAGCCCAGGAGTTTGAGACCAGCCTGGGCAACATGGTGAAACACCGTCTCTACAAAAAAAAAAAAAAAATACAAAAATTGGCTGGGTGCAGTGGTTTATACCTGTAATCCCAGCGCTTTGGGAGGCCAAGGCGGGGGGATCATGAGGTCAGGAGCTCAAGACTAGCCTGGCCAACATGGTAAAACCCCATCTCTACTAAAAATACAAAAATTAGCTGGGCAGGGTGGCGGGCACCTGTAATCCCAGCTATTTGGGAGGTTGAGGCAGAAGAATCATTTGAACCCAGGAGGTGGAGGTTGCAGTGAGCTGAGATCATGCCATTGCACTCCAGCCTGGGTGACAGGGCTAGACTTTGTCTCAAAAAAGAAAAAATACAAAAATTAGTGAGCATGGTGATGCACGCCTATAGTCCGAGCTACTCAGGATGAGGCAGGAGGATCACTTGAGCCTTGGAGTTTGAGGCTGCAGTGAGCCGTAATTGCACCACTGCACTGCAGCATGGGCAGCAGAGAAAGACCCTGTCTCAAATAAATAAATAAGTGTAAAAAAAAATGGTTGAGTAAAATAAATACATAAAACCCGAGATAAAGAAGAAATCTGTTTATTATTTATCCCCACCATCTTTCATTGACAGTCCTATAATATAATACTACACATTGTGGGCATGGTCCTTGCTAAAGGATGGATGTGCTGTGAATGGTTATCATAGAGAGTGCCATAAGTGGCTGTCATAACAGAGACTCCCGCTTTCCAGACCTAGAGTGAGTCAAAAACAGGATGTGGTGTCAGAGCTTCATGTGACGGGGTGGATATAGCATCCTCCTATAACTCCCATCTGTAACCAGGGCTGAGAAGTTTTGAAAAATTCCTCCTTCTCTGGCCCTGTCTTCTCTCTGCCCTCCCACCCCTAACACCACCCTGGGTCCATCCTCAAGGCTGTAACATCAGAAGTAGGGAGGATGGGGCCTATCTCTCTGTTGCTTGTTTCCTCCTAGGAACATGAAAATCTAGTATTATGGGCTCAACTCCTTTATCTTATTTTAAAGGCAAGTTTAATAAATCAGAACATACTTCTGATTTGGATTTATAAGCCAGTGTAGGTCAAATGTATTTATTACATGTACCAGATACTGTCTACTGTTTTTTCAGCTCTGCACTGGCCCTTCTCCCTGCCACTGGATGTAGAAGTCAGAAGACTACATCTCCCAGACCTTCTTCGCCGGCTGGTTTCCTGGTATAAAATGCTTCCTGGCTTCTAATAAAAGGCCTTAGCAGGATATTGCAAAGATAAAGGGGGAAAAGCATACTGAAATGCTTCAGGCAGTAGCCTCTAGCATTCACAGCAATGGCAGCCACCTGAGGTGCTACCAGTGGGTATGAGTTCTAATGTCATTGTGGGAATGCAGCTCCCATTTTTCTGCTTAGGAGTGGTGTGGTTCCATCAGAACAGCAACTTGTGTGAGCCCACAAGATCCAGTCCAGGAGTGGTGGTGGCTTCCTGATCTTAGGGTAACAACCATTCTCTTGCTTTTTAAACACTCTTTCCTTCAACCTCAACAATTCCAACTCCTCTATAGCCAATGTCCTTTAAATATATAGCATGATCTCTCTCTTCCTGACTGATGCTGATTCACTCTCTGAATCCTAAACATATGATTTTGTCTCTCTTTTTCAAATGGATAAATCTTAACAATATGGTTATTATTCTCTAAAATCAGGAAATCACTCGAAAATCAGGAAATCACAAAGAAAACCTTAAGAAATATCTCATTTAAGAAGCAATGAGTTGTGGAAATAAACAAAGATCAACCAAAAGAGAACCAGCAAAGGCTACTTATTCAAGCTTGCTGTAACAAGGGAGTTAACCTCTGTAACTTGTGTTTTGGCAGAAACTCAAAGGCAGCCCAGAAGCAAAAAAGCTTTAAGAGTGGAAAAAAGGAAGGCTTCAGGTGTGCTCTGACTGGAGGCTATTGGCATGGGGAACCTGTAGGTGGGCTAATTAGAAGTGGGGCATACCATGTGGTTGATTAGGGATGCATATTTGGCTTTCATTGGTTGGTTCTAAGTTGGTAGAAGGATCAAAGCTTAGAGGAGGTCTCAGTTATTAATCAAGTCTTGGCCATTTTGGCCAATTGTTACAACGGTTATTGTTTGACTTCCTGCACTGTTATAGAGATAGCAGTCTGACTTTCTATGAGTCTAATATTTGTAGTTGACTGGCTTCCTAGGCTGCTTATTATAGATTAAGGGTTAATTTCTTGGGCAGATTGCTGCTGGTTGTGGGTCAGAGTTCTATTTTTACACATGGTCTGGCCATTGTTCATTTGTATATTCAGTCTCTCAGGGTTAATACTCTTGTGGCTGACCTTGGGGAAGTGTTGGGACTAGGTCAAGGCTATAAGGTTGGGTAAAAGGGAAGAACTATATGTCTTAGGACTTTTAAGCACTTTAAGTCAGATCATGAGCCACACAGCATAGTAAGGGTTGATATCAAAAGACAGATTTGATATTTCAGAATTGCCTGGTCCATCAGCCTTTTTTCTTGAGATCTGAACTCCTAAGTACAATTCAGAAAAATGTGGGGGTGAACTTCAAGTGCTAAATAAGTTGACAATTCATTTATTTTTCAGATAACCTCTCCACCCCGAATTATATTTTGAGGCGTTTGCACAGATTTTCCAGTATGCTTTGAGCAATGCTGCACACATTTTATCTCTTTGTTGATTTTGGTTTGAAAAAAAGCCTTGCAAGGAAGTCCCAAAGGAGAGTGAACAACTGCTTCAGCATGCAACTACATTGTATGGCTCTGTGGGTGTTCCTGTCTGTCTGGAATGGGGCCCCAGCAATGCTCTTTGCATGACGTAATTATAAATGAAAATACATCTGTGATGAGCATAAGCATTTCAGTCCATGCAATTGATCCTGCATTATGTCTCCTTCAGCTAAGAAGTCATGGTTTGTTAAAAATACAATATATTTTCTGCTAAAAATTTCATTGCTTATACAATGGATTTTCTATTTTGTAAAACCAGCTCTTGGATTTCTCATAAATGCACTTAGTACCATGGACACAAAAGGGGAAAAAGAGAACATGACAGAGATATTGCATAAACCCACTGGCTGTGGCACAAGACTAGAAGGAAATATAAACACAAAATCTGTTGTTTCTGGATTAATTCTGCAAAGCTAGCAAATAGCCCTTGCTTTGTTTTGTTTTCTTTTCTTTTATTTGTTTCTTTTTTTCCCTCTGTTTGTATCCTTAAATGATCTGGGTCATCCTCCACTTTGGGGAAAAAAACAACCTCTGAATCCAGGAACCTTCTCCTTTATTGACAAATTTTATTGATCCTTTAGAGTTTCTTTTGCTGGGCTGACTGCTGTTCTCAGCTAGTGTCTCTTGTGATGATGACATAGCACTGGCTCAAGTGTTTAAGTAGTCCTCACATTTTCCCCCCTTCTGGAAACAAAGAAAGGTTCCTGTCATTCGATATCTTTGAAGCAGAAGCAGGAGCTTCAAAGGAGACCCAGGAGAGTTGCAGGAACACAATTCCCCAGCTGCTTTCTGAATGATGCAGTTCATGTAAACTTATTCCAAAATCATTGGCATCCCCAGCGAAAGGCTCCATGAAATTTGCATCTGGAGGGGCAGGCCTTAAAGGAGTTAAATCTTTTTTTTGTTTGTTTAGTTTATGTTTGCTGGGAGTACGTGTTTTACACTGATTCCACAACCATGCCTTTGAGATGTCAAATAACCATAGGGACATTGAGATGCTCAACACATTCAGACACCTCTATATACAGGACATTAGGAATTATTAAGCATGTGTAGTGATTAACTTCTGGTGGGAAGATTCTGAAGTGTGCCTTTTTAGTTGGTGCTAAGCTCTATTTTTGCTAAGTGTGAAGTTAATAATTTTAGGGGCTTCTTTAGAACCATTTTACTGTGAGTTCCGATTCTTTATCCAAACTAGTTGTCCACATGAATCACATGATATAATGCATTTTTTCCTATAAGAAAACATTATTCATTACCCAGAAAAGCCCCCTCTAGTTTATATGGGTAGAGAAAGGGCTTTTCTTTTGACTGTTTAAGCCAGCCGTAAGCAGGATGCAACAGCAGGGTTTTTTTTTAAATTTAATTTGATTAAACCTTGTGATCTTCGGGTAAGCATGAAAGAGCAGTATTTTAGATTTTGGCTTTCGCTGTGACCTCTATAGTGATTCCTGCCCCTTTGCCTTCTGGCTCTCTCTCCATCTCTACCTCAAATAAAAAGGGATACTACAGTGTTGACACCCGGGGGCTCGACCTTCTTCAGAGGATGTGGCAGAATACTCAGGCTGCCAAATTCCTGATTATCAGAGAGGTCTTGCTGAAGACCAATTTAAACTGGAAAGCACATAAGCTTCATTGGGCTATTTCAAAGTTCATGCAGCTTTAGTGCTAATCCTCTTAACATATTAGGCCAGGTGGACTCACATAACCACAATGGCATTGCCATAAAGGCCTCTCCAACCTTTATTTACATTTCTCTGCATGGCAGAGTGCAAGTCAATTCATTCTCCTTTCTAGCTGCCTTCCTCAACATTATGACCTGCTCCAAGGTGATTCCAATTGTTTGGAGGCCAAATTGCTTAGGCTAACATATTAAAAGATTTTACGTTAACACTGCTTGCTCCAAACCATGAAACACTTGCAGTATGCTGGCTTAGTAATTCCTTTTTTTTTTCCTTCTCCTTCTCCAAAGGATAACATCTTGGCTGTGGACAAGGTAAGCATTTCCAGTATGAATGCTTAATGAAGATGAAGTCAGCATGCAGTATGCTGTTTATTTTGCTTTCTAATAAACCCATGTTCAGCAATAGCCTTACTACTGCTCTGACTTCTTGCAACAATTTTTCAGCTTCTTCTATACTCAGAGGAAATTTCTTTTGACATTACTCTCTTTATGATAAATTAATTACACAAAGCATGAAGAATTTAAGGTTGGGAAGAGATGTTGAGCTAAAAATAACCCCTAAGAACTTTTTTTTTTTTACCTCCAAATACCATATGCATGTTCATATATGATAGAAAGAATAAAGAAGAGTGAGCTCTGAGGTTATCTGAATAGATTTCAGATTCCTAATGGGTCTCAGATATCATGGCTACTGCCAGAAAAAATAAAAATCTGTCATTGGTATTATAAACTAAACATATTTGTGTCAGTAAAGAGTTAGGAACCAAAACAATTTTTTTTCTTAAATGTTGAAAGTCTAGAAATACTAGAAATACCTTTGAGTAAGAGGCATCAAAGGGAGTGAGCATAGGGCAGAGGAGGAAGTTTATGTTTCAGGCCTGGTTCGGTTGCAAGCTGGCTGTGTGACCTTGGGCAAGTCATTTTGCCCCTCTGGGTGAACTGTACTTTCTTACAAAATTTCCAGGTATAACTAGTATGACCCAAATGTGCCTTTTAGTTTAAAAACTGGATACTAACAGCATGACTAGATGAGCACTCACTGAGGACTTCTTATATTCCAGCCACTATGCTAGGTGCAGTCCATGTATGTTTTAGGATCCTCAACATTATCCAGAAAGATAGGTGTTATTACTTCCATTTTAAGTTGTGAAAATGAAGCTGGAGAATTATCTGCCCAAAGTCACACAGTTTGTAAATGTCAGAGCTGGGATTCACATTCAGGTTTATCTAGCTTCAAAGCCCTTGCTCTATTAACTATGCTATAGCTGCATCCTCACACTGGCAAAAAACTCTAGTGGGTTTTGATAAATACGGAGAAGTAGTCACAACCATCTATTTTCCCCTCCTCTTTCCCTCACGTATCATAAAGAATACTTGCTTTGTATGTCAAGGCAGATTGATGCTGGAGAAATAGAGAAATAAATTCTACATTTGTTCAGATTCAGAAGACAGCTTCTGGTAGAAAGAAAGGAGCCCAGGAATGGAAGGTGAAGTGTTGGAGTATGTGTCACTGTGTTAAAAAAAAAAAAAAAAACCCCGCTGATTTTTAAACCAGGGGAAAATAGAAACAAAATAAATGGAAAAGCAATCATTTTAAAATAAATTTAATATCTTGTCCAAAGAATGAAAGACTCCATATGTCATTGGAAAATCTTCCAGCCTCAAATAGGCACACCTCAAAAATATGATGTCTTGGAAATTTGGTGTTTTTGTTGAAAAAATAAAAGTAACAGTTACAGTGTTTCGAATGTATTTCCCTGTGTTTTCAGTCATGGGTCCTGATGCTGCTGGTACTCATAATAATTTTACCAGGTGGACAGATGGAATAATTGGTATATTTCTATCTAAAGATAGAAACCCTGTTATAAATAGATTGCAAGCTTGGAAGACCAGCTGACCTACCCCAGATGAAGCAATGGAAAGACCTTTGGCCTTGGAATTAGATGAGTTCCTGTCATAGATCTACAGTGTGTGATGGTGGGAAGACAGGAAGGTATTCAGCTTCCCTGAGTCTTGGTTTTTATGTCTGTAAAATGAGACTAGTAATATGTACCTCAAAGTGGAAGATTAAGTATGATAACTTATAAAAAAGAACTTAATGCAGTTGGTGACACCTGGGAGGAACTGAAAAATATAATCTATTTTTATCATCTCTTTGTATTTTACTCAAATCCCTCATTTCACAGTTGAGTTCAATTTGTCCTATGAGGTCGGTGCAAGCAGAAGAGCCATTTGTCATCTTTGTCATAATTATTTTACAAATGTCTATGGAAGTACAATGTGTACTTGAGCCTCAGACACATTCTCCCAACTCCAAAATGTTTTATAGATTCTGATATAATCTTATTTTCACATTTTTCATTTTCTCTGACTCCTAACATATCACTGGATTTAATATATGTGTGTATATTAAGAATATAATAATTATAGATTCTCAAAGGTTAACATGAAAGAAAAAAATCTTAAAGGCAGATAGAGAGAAGGGGTAGGTCACTTACAAAGGAAGCCCATCACGCTAACAGTGAGCATTTCAGCAGAATCCTTACAAGCCAAAAGAGATTGAGGAGATTTTCAGCATTCTTAAATAATTTCAACCAAGAATTTCATATCCTGCCAAACTAAGCTTCATAAGTGATGGTGAGATAAAATTCTTTTCAGACAAGCAAACACTAAGGGAAGTAGTTATTGCTAGGCCTGCCTTACAAGGCAGTCCCTAAGGGAGTTCTTGACATGGAAATGAAAGAAAGATACTTGTCACCACAAAAACACACTTAAGTACATAACCCACTGACACTATAAAGCAACTATACAATTAAGTCTACATAACAACTAGCCTACAACAAGATGACAGGATCAAATCTTCACATATGGATATTAACCTTGAATGTAAATGGGCCAAAGTCCCATTTAAAAGTCATAAAGTAGGAAATTGAATAAAGAAGCAAGATCCAGCTGTCTGCTGTCTTTAAGAGACCCATCTTACATGTAATGACATCAATAGGCTCAAAGTAAAGGGATAGAGAAAGATCTATCATGCAAATGGAAAACAAAAAAGAGCAAGAGTTGCTATTTTTATATTAGATAAAACAGACTTTACACCAACAATG
Organism: Homo sapiens; assembly: GCF_000001405.40. Classification (NCBI taxonomy): domain Eukaryota; kingdom Metazoa; phylum Chordata; class Mammalia; order Primates; family Hominidae; genus Homo; species Homo sapiens. Next base: position 27,709,119 of record NC_000018.10, on the reverse strand, counting down.
ATTTAAAAAAATGACAAAGAAGGGCATTACATAATGATAAAGGGTTAAACTCAACAAGAAGACTTTACTAAATATATACACATCCAACATCGGAGCACTCAAATTCACAAAACAAGTTTACAGAGACCTACAAAGAAACTTAGATAACTACACAATAATAGTGGGAGATTTTAACACCTCACTGACAGCGTTAGATCATTGTGGAAAAAAACTAAAAAAGATATTCTGGACTTAACACTTGACCAATTGGAACTAATGGACATCTATAGCATATTCCAACAAACAACAGAATATACATTCTTCTCATCTGCATATGGCACATACTTTAAGATCAACCACATGGTTGGCCATAAAGCCACTCTCAACAAATTTAAAACATCAAAATCATACCATCCACACTCTTAAACCACAGTGCAGTAAAAATAGAAATCAATTCAAAGATAAGCTCTCAAAATCATACAATTACATAAAAATTAAACAACCTGTTCCTGAATGACTTCTGGGTAAAGAATGAAATTAATTTACTAAAATTTTAAAATTTCTTTCTTTCTTTTTTGAGACAGAGTCTCACCCTGTCACCCAGGCTGGAGTGCAGTGGTGTGATCTCAGCTCACTGCAGCCTCCTTCTCCTGGGATCAAGTGATTCTTGTGTGTTGGCCTCCCAAGTAGCTGGGGCTACAGGTGCGTACCACCATTTTGGGCTAATTATAAAATTTTTGATAGAGACAGGGTTTCAACACATTGGCCAGGCTGGTCTTGAACACCTGACTCTAGTGATCTGCCTGCTTCAGCCTCCCAAAGTGCTGGGATTTATAGGCGTGAGCCACTGCGCCCAGCCAAAGTTTCATTTTATTAGTGAAATTTAAAAATTCTTTGAAATTAATGAAAACAGAGACACAACATACCAAAATCTTTGGGACAAAGCTAAAGCAGTGTTAAGAGGAAAGTTTATAGTGCTAACTACCTACATCAACAAGTTAGAAAGATCTCAAATTAACAACCTAACATCACACTGAAAGGAACTAGAAAATCAAAAGCAAACCAACCCCAAAACTAGCAGAAGAAAATAAATACCAAAATCAGAGCAGAACTGAATGAACTTGAGATGCAGAAATTCTACAAACGGTCAACGAACCAAAAAAATTGGTGTTTTAAGAGCATAAAAAAGATTTTTTTTATGCTAGCTAGATTAACAAAGAAAAAAAACAGATGATCCAAATAAGCACAATCAGAAATAAGAAAGATGATATTATAACTGACCCCCCCCAAAATAAAAAATGCCCTCGGAGCCTATTATAAAGACCTTTATGCACACAAACTAGAAAACCTAGAAGAAATGGATAAATTCCTGGAAACACACAATCTGTCAGGATTGGACCAAGAAGAAATTGAAACTCTGAAGAGACCAATAGCAAGCTCTGAAATTGAATCAGTAACAAAAACCTACCAACAAAAGCCCTAAATCAGATGGATTCACAGCCAAATTCTACCAAAGGTACAAAGAAGAGGTAGTACCGGTTCTACTGAAATTATTCTTCAAAAATCGAAGAGGAGGGACTCCTCTCTAATTCATTCTATGAAGCCAGCATCATTCTGATACCAAAAACTGGCAGAGATGCAACAAAAAAAGTTTAGGTGAAATACTTGCTGATCAAATCCAGCAGCATATCAAAAAGTTAATTCACCACAGTCAAGTAGGCTTTATTTCTATGATGCAAGGTTGTTTCAACATACATACACAAATCAAAAATGTGACTCACCACATAAACAGAATTAAAAACTAAAACCATGTGATCATCTCAATAGATGCAGAAAAGGCTTTTTCAACATGGCTTCAAGTTAAAAATGCTTAACAAATTAGGCATCAAAGGAACATACCTCAAAATAGCAAGAGACACTTATGACAAACTCAAAGGCACATAATACTGAATGGGCAAAATCTGGAAGCATTCTCCGAGGACCTTAAACAATTCAACAAGCAAAAAAACCAAATAACCCCATTTAAAAAATAGGCAAAGAACATGAACAGACAGTTTTCAAAAGAAGACATACATGTGTGGTCAAGAAATACCTGAAAAAATGCTCAACATCACTAATCATCAGAGAAAAGCAAATCAAAACCATAATAAGATATCATCTCACACCAACCAGTCAGGATAGCTATTATTAAAAAGGCAAAAAATAATAAATGCTGGTCAGGTTACAGAGAAAAGGGAATACTTATACATTGCTGGCAGGAATGTAAATTAGTTCAGCCATTGTGAAAAACAGTGTGGTAATTTCTCAAAGAACTTAGAACTACCATTTGAACCAGCAATGCCATTATGGCTTATGTACCCAAAGGAATATAAATCATTCTACCAAAAAGACACACGTACTCGTAAGTTCATCGCAGCACTATTCACAATAGTAAAGACATGAAATCAACCTAGATGCCCATCAATGGTAAGCCGAATAAAGAAAGTGTGGTACATATTTACCATTGAATACTACACAGCCATAAAAAGAATACAATTATGTCCTCTGCAGCAACATGGATGCAGCTTGAGGCTATCATCCTAAGAAGATTGACACAGGAATAGAAAATCAAATATCACATATTTTCACTTCTAAGTCGGAGCTAAACATTGAGTACACACAGACAGAAAGATGAGAACAATAGGCACTGGGGACTACTGGGGTGGGGAGGTTGGGAGGAAGGGGTAAAAACTGAAAAACTAACCATTGGGAGTATGCCCACCACCTGGATGATGTGTTCATTTGTACGCTAAACCCTAACGACATGCAATTTACCCATGTAACAAACCTGCACATGTAACCCCTTGAGTCTATATTAAAAGCTGAAAAAATTGATATAATAATTATAAAAATATAACAATTAAACACATTTACAATGTAGTTAGTTTTCTGGATTCAAATCCCATGTTCAACATCAGCAACTTGTATGATCTGGGGGAAGATATTAATACTTAACCTTCTAAAACTCATTTTTTCTCATTTGTAAAATTAGATTAACAATAGACCTAACTCATTATTGTGAGATAATACTTTTAAAGATCTTGGAAATAGCACCTGATAAACAATAAGCACTCAAAAAGTGCTAGCTGTCACTATTGTTGTTATTTTATCTTATTTAAAAATAATAGCTTATTACCCAGAATTTTCATAAGTATCTGAACATTGTGTCCATTTAACATATGTTCTTTCAATTTACCTCCACAACTTCATTTGCATTTATAGGTATCTAAGGACCATATGTACGGTTACTTAGTGTGTGGTTTAAAATATATTACATACATTTTATTATATCATACATTCTGTTCTGCTTAGCTTTTTATTCATCATTATGTTTCTGAGATTTATTTTTCATATATAAGTGGAAATTCATTTTTTTCTGAGTCTGTATTCCTTCATAGGCACATAACTTCTTTTTATGATTTCCCTTTGATGCCCATTTAGGTTGATGTAACCTTTTGCTTTTCCCACCAAAGCTATGATGAACATCTTTAAATATATTTCTTCATGTACCTATGTGAAGGTTTCTCAGGGATGTACACTTCGAAATAGAATGACTTAGTTGGAAGATGTGAGTGGTCTCAATTTCATTCAACACTGCCAGCTTGAGCATCTCTGCAAGTGCTCTTTTGCTATTCCAGGTTAAACTTAGAAGAAATTTCTTGTCATACAATTTCCCTGTTTTCCCATATGGGATGCCAGCCTCTTGTCGGATTGTAGGAATTCTTTATGTATCTTATACATGAATCCCTTGTTAGTTGTACATGTTGAGAAGCAATGTTGTGTTGCCATGATTAGCACAATGTTGAGCCAGACTACCATGGTTCAAGCTGGCTCCCCCATTCACTAGCTTTGTGACCTTAGCAAGTTCCTTGACCCCCTCGGAGGTGTGGTTTCCTCATATGTAAGACAGGGTACTAACAGAAGCCTCCCTCACAGAGAACTGCAGGACTGAATGAGTCAATGCATGTAAACTACCTAGCATGGAGCCTGGCACAGAGGGAGGCTTTAGTCATTTTTTTAGAAACATTTTTGTGTGTGTTTGTTTCTGCTCTAATTGTTTTACCCTACCCTTTGTTCTTTGGGTCAGGGACCACGACTCAGTAATTTTTGTTTCTGAGTGCTTAATAAACTGTCTGGCCTATATAGGGGGTGTTTGTTAAATGTTTATAGATTGAATGGATGGATGCTTCTGGTGTCATGTTTCCTCCCTCATTACTGAAGTCCCCTTTCACTCCCTTAAGATGGAGTTATAGGCCCCACGGAAAAACAGCTTACTTCCCTCTGCTTTATCAGTGATTAAATCAAGGAAGGGGCTCCCTTTGGGGATTTATGATAGCTTGGCTTCTGAGACATAGTTTTTATACATTTTAAATTTATCCTCAACAGAACTAGCTGCTTTCCACATTTTACAACTGTCTGCAAACTTAAAACATTTATTCCAAGTTCCATAATGCAGGTCAATTTTGAAGCTTAGAAGTCCCTGTGGTATATGAATGGAAAAATACCACTGATAAAAATTCTCTGAGTAAGGCCCAAGGAGCTCTGCCTAGAGCCTAGAAGGAACTATAGATGGATTTAAGATCAGAAGCCCCATCCCCGACTTACAGGTCAGTGTTTTTGTTTGTTTGTTTGTTTGTTTTTACCTTAAAATTTTAGAAATATTCAGATTATCTTAAGAACTGACCTTGAGTTTCAAGAGCCTCTGTACATATATTAAAAATATGTTTCCAACCATGGCAGTTTCCCCTAATTTGGCATGGAGCTCCAATTTTGAGAAGAATCAATAACGAATACAGCATAGAACAAAGGGTGAATGACTTAAAAGTATGCAGTTATGCAATTTAGAAGGGCTGAGAACATGGAAGGAAAAATGAAAATGAGCAGGCAAAAGAGAAATGACATTGAATGATAATACTGTTTTTATAACATATAAACATCTAGTAGGACCTTGTTCATAATTCATCTACTAAATATTACAAGTAAAACTGTGAGGATAAATGGAAAGGAAAGGAAGCTGTGTAACATTTTCTCTAAATATTGCCAAAGTAATCAAAAAGATATATAGTGACATATTTGCTATAGCTGTTAATGAGTAAATAAAAATTTATGATCACTTTATTAGTTCTTATCTAGGATTCTCATTAGTAAATTTTTATTTATTTTTCCTAATCTATGAAGTATAAGACTTTCCATGGAGCTGAGCCAGAAGAAACGGGAATATGATATAAAGGTTTCCTACGTCGTGATTTAATCTACCAGTAACTTTTGCTTTTTGTGACTCTAATTTCAACCAAGTTGCCTTACTGAATTTTGTCTAGCAATTTTTTAGCAAATGAGTGAAAATTAGATCTTAGCAACTAAAGAATTTCCTGCCTTGTTTCTCCTCCTCTAATTTCTTTCTGGCTCTTCTAGGTAAATCAAATTAATGTAGCCTGGGTATGACACTTGGATTGAACAGCAAAATCATGATTTTCATTGACTATTTCCAGCTGAGTTTCCTTCCTCCCTTGTTCTAGGCAAAATTGTGCAGTCCCAGAGCTCCTCTCATCCCTCAAATTTATAGGCCTTCTGAGGTTTATTAGTAACAAGTAAGGACTAAACTGGGAAGGCAGGAACTCTTCCCAGCCTTCTCCTACTTGCATTCACTCATTCATTCATTCTGCAAACAGTAATTAAGTACCAAGTGTAGGACACTTGCTTGGTGCTGGAGATGTAAAGATAAATAAAAGGTGGTCCTTTTATTCTATAAGGAACTGACAGTGAGTGGGAGACAATAAAAGTATTACTATATAGTGAGTTAAGTGCCTTGGTAGCTGTGGAAGAAGATCTGAGGAATCTCTCACTGATCCGGAGAGGGGAGAAGAGATAGAAGAGTCTTTGTGGGGGGAAGGAAGGAACCGAGTTTCCAAGAATGGATAGAGATTTGTCATTGGAGAGGTGGGCTAAGACCATTCTAGGCCTAGGGAGCTACAAAAACAATGGCTTAGAAGGATGTAACCCCATGTCTAGTTTGAGAAAATTAAAAATCGCTCACTAATGGAGGGGAGTGGAGACAAATGAGTCCAGGAGAGTTAGGAAAGGACTAACAAAGAAAGGGAATTGTTTGTCATACCCACTTACCTGGAGTTAATACTGGAGACAACAGGGAAGCACCCAGGCATTCTATGCAAGGGAGTAACATGGAAGGAAACCGGATGCAGAAGGGATTTTGTAGCGGCATGCTTGCAGAGAGGAAATAAGATGGGCACCTGTCAGGGGATTCAATGGGTAGGAGTAAGAAATAGTATGCAATGGAGCAGTGGCCTTGGAAATGGACAACTGACAAGAATGATAGTGAGAAGGTAGGGCTCCCCAATTTTAAGGACAGAAAGGGACTAAGGGCAAAGCGAAAATGGGGTTAAGGATGAAGGACAAGTCAGTCATGTTTCCTGGTTGGGACCTGAGTATCTAGATGGTGTCATTCTCAGCAAAAGAAAATTTAGGAGAAAGAAGGTATTTGGGAGGAGAGGAGAAATGAATTGCATTAGAGATGTTTTAAGTTTCAGGTGCAAGTGCTATCTGTAGGTTATCTAGGTACATTAGTATGTTGGCGGCATACACCCAAATACATCTGGACAATCTGATTTTACAGTGTGGTGTGATTACACCTTATACTAAGTAATAATACTATAACTCATATCTTGTTCAATGAGTGAGAAGCAAAATTGATCTCTTCTAAAGGGTCCTTTTCCCCTTCCGATTCCAGGAATCCCTATGTTCTTAATTAGATACTAGTACCCAGGTTCAAGTATGGGTGGATGGGAGGAAGTCTTTTTTTCACTGCACCTGGACCGTCGAGATAAACTGTAACTCAAGTGGTGCCCTTTGCCGAAGACTAGAAACCACAGCAAATAAGCCTGCCATAGAGATTTATTGCTTAGGGTGGGCCTGCCTATTCCCAAAACATCAGCTGGAAGCTAGTGACACACCTGTCTGAGAAGTTTGAGAGTGGGAATGAGACATTCCATTTACTGCCACTGCCTTATGTAAGGAGTCCTTTGTAGTGTTGTGATTATTCAGGAAAATGCCATGATAGAAATTGGCCTAGTTTCCCTTTGCAATTTATAACTCTTTAATACATCCTCCTCTCACTTCAGGCAAAGAACTCTGTCTGATGAACAGGACATTGTCTATGTTTAAAAGAGGCTTTTTCCAGTGGAGAAGTTCTGTATTTGCAGTGAAGAAATAGGTCCTAGAGTAAAAAAGTGTTGTGCCCATGGGTTGAGATCTGGGTCTGAAGTGCTGTGGCCAAGTTGCCCGCTCCTAAGTCCTCTATTCTGGATGTTACCACCAGTGCTAGATCAACTCCAAGCTCCAGGGCTATCAATTCTTTGGAGGAGGATAACCTCATATTCCAATAGATGCTCAGTCAAGAGTAGCTCATGACAAAGGCCAGAGCCATTGAGAGGAGAGTATGTTCAATCTGCTTCTATAGTCCCCTCTTCAAGGGTGTTATCTGACCCCACTTTCTCTCTGCCTAGAACGCTGGGTTGCTGTAAGTTCTGGGAGCCAGGACATCACCCACATTATCTTCCCCACTGATTCAGGGCTGTGGCTAGGCTACTGGGTGCTGACTTATATAGACCTAGGGCTCAAGAGGAAGATGGGGATAGAACATAGAAATCTTGAGTAAGGACATCTAGGGCAAGATTGCAGAGTAAGAAGCTATTGCAGAGTGGACTGATGTTTACAGAACAATAGGGATTGGAAGAGTAGGTAAGAGAAGAACAAAGAAGATGAGAAAAGATTGGTCAGAGGAGAAAAAGTTGTGCCAAGAGCCAATAGGGGGAGAGTTTAAAGAAAGGAGTGGCCTAGATTGAACGTCAAATGCCCAGGAATTTAAGTGAGACAAAGGCTAAAAAGTGTTTTCTTTTATACTTACTCTCCACAAGCAAAATGGAGCCTTGTGATTGTGTTCACTATAGATCCCTATTTGCATGGGCCAAAATAAAAGTGCACGTGTGAAATAAATATATATCTATATCTATATCTATAGATATATATCTGCCCCTGGTTCCCGACATAGAGCTCTTGAAACCCTTGTAGACAGGGACACTAGGAGAATCTTTCATTCTAATATTTGATATTTGACCCTAGTTCCAAACACAGAACTCCTAAGACCTATATAATTTCCTGAGTAATGGGAGCCTCTAACACACTGTTCCTAAATTCCTTAGGATTTCCTGGGCGATGGGAGCCTTTTATTCTAACGAGGTGACTCTTGTTGGGCTCCTGCATAGTGTCAGGGTGGGGGCTGATTGCCAGGGGAACCAACCATGTAATTAGAGGGATGGAATTTTCACCCCTACCCACCAACCTCTGGGGAGGGGAGAGGGGCTAAAGGTTGAGCTGATCATCATTTGCCAGTAATGTAATCAATCATGCTTATGTAATGAAGCCACGACAAAAACCCGAAAGGACAGGATTCAGAGAGATTTCAGGTTGTTCAGCATGTGGGAGTGCCTGGAGGGTGTCTGTGCCCAAAGAGGGCATGGAAGCTCTGCATCCCTTCTCACATGCCTTGCCCTATGCATCTCTTGCATCTGGCTAGTCATCTGTGACATATTCTATATTAATATAATCAACCCGTAAACATAAGTAAGTATTTTCCTGAGTTCTGTGAGCTCTCCAAGAAAATTAATCGAACCCAAGGAAGGAGGCTTGGGAATCCCAACTCATACCTCTCTCCTCATATGCATAGGTGACAATCTACAGCTTGCAATTGGTGGCTGAAGTGGAGGGCAGTCTTGCGGGACTGAGCCCTTAACCCACACGGTCTGACTTTACCTCCAGGGAGATAGTGTCAGAATTGAATTGGATTATAAGACAAGCAGTTGGTGCCTGCTGGAGAATTACTTGGTATGTGAAAGAAAATAAAACCCACATATCTGGCTTCAGAAGTGTTCTGTGTTGAATGTTGTGAGTGAGAGTAAAAATAATTCTATTTATTTCCCCCTATCTCTTACAGTATGTCAGAGGAAAGCATGAAGGAGTCTATCGTAAACATGCTGTAAGAGAACCCGGGCAGGACAGGGGCTCTGAGACACAGAGTAAAATAGGATCAGGGTAGAGGATAAGGCAATGTGGCAGGAACGTGTGAATTATAGAGGATGAAAATTATTCTTAGGACTTTGGGGGAGGTGAGAAGGAGTGATTGGGGAGTGGGGAGTGCTTTTTCTTCTTTCCTCCTGCCTGCCTCTGTCCCAGCTAATCCAGACCTCGCTAATACTAGTCAGGAGATGAGGTGGGAAGTGCTTGGGGATGAGGTTAAGGTGTAGCCAGAGAAAAAACTTGACTAAAAAGGAAAAAAACCAAGGAATGGGGGTAATCCCAAAAACTGTGGAGGGGACTGACAATGACTGCTTGGAAAGGATTAAAAATAAATAACAAGTTATAACATAAATAATTCCATCAATACTTCAACACCTTAACAGTTTTGATGTTTTTTAAAAGTTAAATTGACTAAATTCTCTTAGACACATCAATGACACACATTTAACCAACCACAATTATTCTAAAAAGAAAATTGAGAAAATGAGCCCATCTATATGGTTTTTTTTGTTTTCAATTATTTAAGGATTTATATTTATGTTGCCAAAACAGGCAGATAATGTAGTTAATTTAGTCAACCAGCCGGCCATTTTAGGAGGAAAATAGGGCTTTCAGACAAGTGGTGTTTCAGAATGCATGTCCCAAGCCCCAGCTGTTTGGCTGGAGTTTCTACTTTTTTATTTGTAATATTGGCATGAACAGATACGGCTCTTTAGGCCTGGGATAGAAATGGGAAAAAAAGGGCTGTTAAAATGTGAACAGTAGTTGAGGATTATAGCAAAAAAGATAATCCTACAATATCTTCTGCTGATACGGTGACTATTTCTAAAGAGCTTAATACTTCATTGTATGATTTCCCATAAAATCATAGAGATAGAGGAGATGCAGGTATGGGCAATATTTATACTCTAGATAAGTAGAAACTAGAGTCTCAATTTGTTACATGTTTAGAGCAATCCAGGCAACACATCCCAGGCAGGACCATAAATAAGGCCTGTGTTTTTCAAAATCCCACTCTATCCTTCATCCGTTATATTGCATGATCTCCATATCTTACGGAAGCAAATTTCCTCTAGTGGCAAGCCCCCTGTAGGTGCTAAGTGCTTATTTGTTGAAGATGGTGGTAATGATCAAGATAGATCAAGATAGCTGTTATCATCTGGAATGAACAAATGGTCAGTAGCCAAAGGGAACCCAAAGGCAGATGAGTGTTTGTAGAATTTTATTGTGAGTAATAATGTTGTGAATGGAAAAGTGAAGTGAGCATCTAAAGAAGGGAAATGTTGAAGGCAGGCCCATCCTCATTTCAGTTTAGTTAAGCTTAGGTTTTTATGACATTGAGATAAATGGGAGACTGTTTTAAAATAAGCTCTTCACAAAAAAGAAACATAAAGACAAGGAAGTGATGACAATTTTGACATAAAGCAACCGATAAAAACCCAAGTGGGAATACCCATTAAAATTGAGCATCTAGTATAACAACTGGCAGATGTGAGAGCTCTTTACCCTGATGTTATAAGGCAATGAATTAATGAATTTGCCAGCAATTCTTTTTCTAACAGTCACATAAGAAAACTTGAGGCAACACCAAAGGAATAAAGTGCTCATGATAACCAATTCACTTTGCGTCTAACTGATGGCAATGTAAACCCCTATAAAGCCAAGATTTTTATAATGTTGGCCTTAAGACTTCAATGATATATTTTGCTTCTCCCATCTACAAAATGAAACACAGCAGGGAAACTTTGGTTATGGACTTTCTGTCTATTACACATCATCTTACTTTTCTATCACACTTGACATTCTTTCTTTCCTAGCCCATTTTAGAAATAAAACCACTCAGAGTTGGAATTGACTTTCTACTTGAAGGGTAGCAGAATCTGGTCCAAATGTAGCACATTGTTAGCCAGACCTTTCTATTAAATTCTGCTTCCCTATAAAAGGTTTAATTGGTTGTACAACTTTGGGCAAGTGACAGAGGTTCTGGGTTTAAATTTCCTAGTTTAGGAGTTAGGTTCTTTCCAGGCTTAAAATTATATCATTTTTTATCTGTTTCATCTAGGCAGTGAATCATACACAAATTACTTTAGCATGAAATATTACAAATTCCATAAGAAATCAAGGAGAAATTACCATAGGGACATTCTTGAGAGCAGGGTATCTATAAGGGTACTTGCTGTGGGGCCTCAGCAAAGCAAGCAGAGGCAGGAGAAAAAAGTGAGGTGGATGCACTTCCAGGGCTGCTTAGTTCAGTGCTCTCTGCGGTGGAGTAGGTGGAGTAGTCAACTGCCTCCTCCTCAGCTGGGAGTGAGCCCAAGAGGCAGATTCTTATCCTGGGTCAATATTCTGAAAATGTGTTCTACAGAACATTATTGCAGAGATTTTTAATATGAATTACATTAAAGAGGGCTCTGTAGTAATATAAATTTGGGGACATGCTGGGTTATAGAAAATCAAACAGAATTCTTCCCAGGAAGGGCTTTCAGGGTCCTTGATGGACTAACACACATTGTGAAACTCCGTAAGGGGGATTTCACAGTGTTCAGTAGTTCCCAGGCTTATCTGAACACGAAACACTTATTTAATTTATTTTTTTTAATGGAGATTCTCAAGCGTTCAATTTTCTGATAAACATACTTTTGGAAACATTCTTGGTAGAAATCTGTGGCAAATTCAAATTCACTCCAGTGGGTCAGGGTGGGGGTTCAAGGGATTCCTTTGATGTAAAATCCTGGCATACATATTAATTAAACCTGTTTTTAATAAGCCCCCAATTTACAGATAACTGTGGGGGCAAAACCAGCTTCCAGAACTCTTATGTTGAGCTTCAACCTGTTTTTATTTTTTTAGATTTTCTTCATTTGCTTGATCTTACCTCCTAATTAAGGTTTAGTTGAATTTTGACTGAAAAAATATTTTTAAAATGTGCACCTATTCATGTTCTTTTCTCTGAGGTATTAATAATACATACTTTTTTTTATTCACACAGGATTTCAGAAAATATTTCATCATTAGCCTTTTATAAAGTTGATGAACTTTACAACTCACCTTTATTTAGTGGCAGCAAAATTCACCATTGATTTTTCTGGTTAATTTAATCACATTGAAGAGCCACCATACCCCATGTAATCCATAATGTATCAGGTTTCAAATTTCCAGTCATTCCAAACTAGGATCAAAATTTGAAAACAGACCAAAATGTATAATTGTGTATACATTTTAAAAAATTTTTATGATTTTTAAAATTCTTGAATGAGACAAAACTCCTTTTGAAGATTAACAAATCACATAAAAATAGAAAGATCTCCATGTTTTCCTTGTTCTTCCACTCCAACACAAAAGGGATTTTATAGTGCTATGCATTTGGGAAGAACAAGTTTAAAGAAAAGAAAGCAGAATCCCGACTGGAGGATTAATCTGTCACTACATAGACTGTCTCCCTCAGCCACCAGGCAGTAAAGAGTCATTTCTGTGTCCAAGAGGAGTTTAATATTGTTTTTTGTGTTTTTTTCACCTGCAAATACCCAATGGAAAAAAAGTCTGTAGATAGAAAAATGGCAAAGTGATTTGTATCAAGGTACTGTATATATTACGCATTCGACAAATACCTCTGATGATTTTTCAAATGTATTCAGTCTGATGGGTCCCCAGTAAAGTCTTACTCAGCATATTTCCAGTCATTTTGAAAGCCTCATGTAGGCCCAATGAAATCTTGGCTGACCAAGATTCATTTAATTTGATTTTATGAGAATATCATTAGGTGAGACCTATTTGGCACCCAGGCATTTCTCTACTCTGCCAAGATATAACATTCTTAACAAAAACAGAAACAAACAAACAAAAAACAAACAAAACAAAGCTCAAGAGCTGATTAGATTTACTGGCATTGCAGCCCATTACACAGTACTAATACTATATTGATCCTATCAGATGTAGAACCACCTATGCAAAATGATTTTCCCTAATAAAATGAAATAATTTTTGGGGAGTGGGGAGTGAGGCACAGTTGGCTGAACATTTGAGACCAGAGTATGGGAACAATGAATTACAATCAGAAAGTGAAGACTTAATTTCTTTACTATCTTTGAAAATATTTAAACTATTAATTCTGTATCCTTATACTTTTTGACCTTTGGGACCCTTGAATTCTCAGAAATGCTCAGGACCCCAAAAAGATTTTGTTTGTATGTAATTTTGTGTGTTATATGTATCCACATATACAGTGTTTGAAATTAAAACTGAGTCATTTTTAAAATGCAGCAGTGCACAAATACACGTGAGATTCATTAGCTGCCAGAGTGATGATGTCATCATACAGCTTCTGGAAAAGTCACTGTAAGTAACAGCCAGAGCAACCAGGTAAGAGAAAGAAATAAAAGGCATTGAAATAGGAGGAGAGGAAGTCAAACTATCCCTGTTTGCTGATGATGATACGGCTCCACTGAGTGGAGGAACATCAGGGTTCTTGGTCCTCGTGACAGTTTAGATAAAATGACACGGACACACATGGAGTGGTTTTAAAGAGCAGAGAATTTAATAGGCAAGAAGGGGCAAGAAGGAAGGGAGAAGGAAACAGCTCCCCGGTACAGAGACAGAGGGAGGGGGGCTCCAAAGCCGAGAGAGGGAACTCCAAGCGTGGTGGACACCAGCTAGGTATATATGCAGAGGCTGGAGGAGGTGATGTCTGGTCTGATTTGCATAGGGCTCAGGGGATTGGTTTGACCAGGCATGTCATTCACATAGCTCTGGAAAAGCTAGCCCTCCCACCCTAGCCTTTAAATATGCAAATGCAGGGCGCCATGATGTTCTAAGCATGTGGGAATACGTGGGGGTGGACATGTTGCCAGGAACATGTGGGGAAAGGGCAAGAAGGCCATGGGAATTGCCATGTTTGGGTGGACCCAGTTTCTAATGGCCTGCATTTGCATATCAAAGGTTACCGGCCTGGCTCTAAAAGCCGGGGCTTTCCTGCTAGACAAAAATCATTTCTGGAGCTGCTTTAAAAGAAACAACTTTCTAAGGACCCCTTTTCCTTTCTATCTGACTAAAATAATTTCTTAATAACTCCTACCACAATATGATTCGATACATAGAAAACCCCATAGTCTCTGCCCAAAAGCTCCTTGATCTGATGAACAACTTCAGCAAAGTTTCAGAATACAAAATCAATGTGTACAAATCAGTAGCATTCCTATACACCAACAACATAAAAATTGAGAGCCAAATTAAGATTGCAATCCTATTCACAATAGCCACAAAATAGAATTAAATATGTAGTCATACAGCTAACCAGGGGGCGAAAGATCTCTATAATAAGAATTACAAATCTGCTAAAAGAAACCAGAGATGACACAAACAAATGAAAAAACATTCCATGTTCATGGGTAGGAAAAATCAATGTTTTTAAAGTGGCCATACTGCCCAAAGCAGTTTATAGATTCAATGCTATTCCTATCAAACTAGAATGGCATTCTTCACAGAATTAGAAAAAACTATTTTAAAATTTATATGAAACCAAAAATGAGCCCAAATAGCCAAGACAATTCTAAGCAAAAGAAACAAAGCTAGAGTAATCACATTGCTTGACTTCAAACTCTACTACAAGGATACAGTAACTAAAACACCATGGTACTGGTACAAAAACAGACATATAGACCAATGTGACAGAACAGAGAGCCCAAAAATAATGCTGCACACCTCCAACCATCTGATCAACAAAGTTGAGAAAAACAAGCAATGGTGAAAGCACTCCCTATTCAATAAATGGTGCTGAGATAACTGGGTAGTCATATGCAGAAGATTGAAACTGAATCCCTTCCTTATACTATGTACAAAAATCAACTCAAGATGGATTAAAGACTGAAATGCAAAACCTGAAACTATAAAAACCCTGGAAGATAACCTAGGAAATGCCATTTTGGACATGGGACCTGGCAAAGATTTTATGATGAAGATGCCAAAAGCAATTACAACAAAAGCAAAAATGGACATTTCGAAGCTAATTAAACTAAACAGCTTCTGCACACCAAAAGAACTATCAACAGAGTAAAAAGACAACTTGCAGAATTAGAAAAAATATGTGCAAACTGTGCATCTGACAGAGGTCTAATATCCAGAATCTAAGGCAAAAGATTGGAAACCCCTGTGTCCAATCTTTTGGCATCCCTGGGCCACATTGGAAGAAGAGTATTCTTGGGCCGCACATAAAATACACTAATACTAACAATAGCTTTGAGCTAAAAAAAGAAAAAAAAATCACCAAAAAAGCTCATAATGTTTTAAGAAAGTTTACAAATTTGTGTTGGGTCACATTTAAGGCTGTCCTGGACCACATGTGCCCTGCGGGCCATGGGTTGAACAAGCTTGATTTATGAGGAACTTAAATAACAATAACAACAACAACAACAAAAACAAACATTAAAACATGGTCAAAGGACGTGAACAGACAGTTTTCAGAAGAAGACATACATGCAGCCAACAAGCTACATGAAAGAAAGCTCAATATCGCTAATCATTAGAGAAGTACAAATCAAAACCACAATGAGATACCATCTCACACCTGTCCGAATGACTAGGCAAAAAATAACAGATGCTGGTGAGGTTATGGAAAAGAGGGAACACTTATACACTGCTGGAGGGAAATGTAAATTAGTTCAGCCATTGCGGAAAGTAGTTTGAACATTTCTCAAAGAACTTAAAACAGAATTACCATTTGACCCAGCAATCCCATTATAGGGTATATACCCAGAGGAATATAAATTGTTCTACCATAAAGACACATACATGTTTATGTTCACTGCGGCACTATTCACAATAGTAAATGCCCATCAATGGTAGACTGGGTAAAGAATATGTGGTACATATACACCATGGAATACTACACAGCCTTAAAAAAGAATGAGATCATGTGCTTTGCAGCAACATAGGTGGATCTTGAGGCCATTATCCTGAGCAAACTAACATAATAACAGAAAACCAAATACCACATATTCTCACTTACGAGTGGGAGCCAAACACTGAGTACCCATGGACACAAAGAAGGGAACCACAGCCATGGGGACCTACTTCAGGGTGGAGGGTGAGAGGAGAGTGAGGATCAAAAAACTCCCTGTCAAGTACTATGCTTTTTACCTGCATGATTGAGTAATCTGTACACTAACCCCCCTGACATGCAATTTACATATATAACAATCCTATACATGATCTTCTGAAACTAAAATAAAAGTTAAAAAAAATACTCACTGTACACTGGTGAAAGAAAGGGAATAAAACAAGGAAACAAAATGTTTTAGTATTATTAAAATAGTTTTGCTTTATAGACCCCTGCAAGAGGGACACAGGGACCCCCAGGGGACTCTGGGTCACACTTTAGAAGTGCTGTATTAATTCATTAATTTAATAAATATTAACAAATAACTACTTTGTATAGGGAACAGAGAGAGACACTAGAGATATGTGGTTAACAGGACAAAGTCCTTGACCCTTTGATGCTTTTATTGCTCAAACAGAATGTAGTTCATAAGTTTCAAAATAAGTTTCTTGAAGGAGAGATCATGTTTTCCTTATAATTTGGCCTCAAAATTCTGTGGATGTACGTAGTAAATGCTCAATAAATGCCTGCACAATAAAAGGAATGTTCCAAGACTTACCTGAAATACTAAAATTTCTGTCCTTTATCACTGAACCTATGATTATGTACTATATCTGAAAATATGCCACATTACATCATTTTCAACTCTTATTCTGCTATTCCCCAAATAATGTAGCATAAGAAGAAAACTAGATTAGGAAAGCCCAAATCAAATGACATGACCAAAGAGACACAGAGATAAATTGATTGTTATTCAACTGTGTAGCATTATTCTCTGTGAATTTTTGAGTTCTAAAGATTCATGGTACAAAGAAATAGATATCCTCTTAGAATCAACTAAACCTGGGTTTAAATGCAGCCACACCTGAGTACAAGCTGTGGAGCCTTTGGAAAAAGTTTTACATCTCTGAGCCTGTTTCTTTCTCCTTTAAGAAGAAAACAAAATGAGGTTATTTTGAAAGCCAAATTATATAATGGATATACAATTTAGAACCTGGAAAAGATGATATAAATATTATGATTGTTAGTTTTAATCCTCACAATAATTGTCATTGACATTGACAGGGAGAGAATACAATAGAAAATAATTCCAAGGATATAGAGAAGGAAATGAGTTGGGTCCTCAATTCTTTGATGAATTTAACAGAAAGGGTTGAGATTGCAGAAGTAGAATCAGGAGAAATTCTGGGACTGGCTTGGTGGCTCATGCCTGTAATCCCAGCACTTCAGGAGACTGAGATGGGTGGATTATATGAGGTCAGGAGTTCGAGACCAGCCTGGTCAATATGGTGAAACCCCATCTCTACTAAAAATACAAAAAAATTAGTCAGGCATGGTGGCGCATCCCTGTAATCCCAACTGCTTGGGAGGCTGAAGCATGACAATTGCTTTAACCTGGGAGGCGGAGGTTACAGTGAACCGAGATCATGCCAGTGCACTCCAGCCTAGGTGACAGAGCAAGACTCTGTCTCAAAAAAAAAAAAAAAAATTCTGACGACAATGACAAGAGGAGGCAGCGGATGCCATAGATAGACATAAAATATGTGCCTCTGAGAAAGGTTCTTTTTTTTTTTTTTATTTTTTTGCATGCAGGCAGAAGTAAAGTGATTTTTAGAAAACACTGTAGAGGCCTAAGAGATCCCAAGACCATTTCATGCCCATTTATGGGTTAAATGTTCATTTAAATGGATCATTGTCTATCATAGATGAGAAGCCTCCTTCAAGCTTCATGGTTTCTTGGTAGTTCTGATAGTTATTTCAGAAAATTTTTTAGGTGATTATACACAGACACATGTATAACTGTTTCTGGAACTACAAAAATGTGAAGCACAGAATGATAAGAATCCTACTGGTTTTAAGTGAAAGGAAAAAATCCTCAGTATTATATTTTCATTAGAAATAGTCTTATAATATTTTACCATGACATATTTTTTTCCTTCTAGGGTATTACATTAGCAAATGCCCAAGACACATTAGTTTTTAAACTAATTTTTGTCTTTTAAACTAATTTTTAAGCTTTATTGGGATATACTTCACATAAAGACATATTAATTTGATGAAACAGAAAATAATAAGGTTATAATACACAACTTCAATTTTAAAAACAGCCATTTCTGGCCAGGCATGGTGGCTCAAGCCTGTAATCCCATCACTTTGGGAGGCCGAGGTGGGCAGATCACCTAAGGTCGGGAGTTCGAGACCAGTCTGACCAACATGGAGAAACCCTGTCTCTACTAAAAATACAAAATTAGCCGGGCATGGTGGCACATGCCTGTAATCCCAGATACTCAGAAGGCTGAGGCAGAAGAACCACTTGAGCCCAGCAGGTGGAGGTTGTGGTGAGCTGAGATCACGCCATTGCCCTTCAGCCTGGGCAACAAAAGCAAAACTCTGTCTCAAAAAACCAAAACCAAAAACAAAAACAGCCATTTCCATAGATCCTTAAGTGATAATTAATTTTAGGAATACTTTCTGTTAACTTTCTCTTTCATTTTCAAGAAAGCTAAATCTCTGAAAAAGTCCTCGAATTATTATTGCAAACAATCAGCTTAAAATTAACTATGGCATGGATGAAGATAAAGTGCTACAATAAGGAGAAAAGAATTGCTGAGAAAGAAATAATTTAAGATCCCTGTAGAATATAAGCCAAACTACCTAGGTCACCTATTACATTTACAGATACTGTAGAACATGACTTATTCAGTATAACTTTCATCGTGGCTGAAGATTTCAGGGATGTATGTGATTACAATTGTTCATGCTCAAGAGCTGAACACTTGGATACGAATCAAGATTCAGAGTTGCTCGTGAATTGATTTTGCCTCCTTAAGCTCAATTCTTCTATTGATACTGAATAAAAATCTTTCACCAATTCAACAGATTACTCTGCAGGCACTACACTTTGAATTTACTGTGTAGTATTGAAACAGAAAACTCCAATTTGTCATGCTGAGAGGAGTTTAGTACTTAATGAAAAAGTATAATAATATTGCACCAACATGTCTAAAAGCAAGATAAATAAGGAAGTATTAGGTGAATGAACCATGTCTATGTACACCTACAAAACTTTGTATCTGATTTTTAGCTAAAATTTTTCTTATTTGTTTTGATGGTGACACCACATTGATTCATTATTGTTGTGTCAGTGACATGGGAAGGCATTAGGCTTGCATATTTAAGCAAGGCAAAAAAATGATTTATTGGACTTCTGTCATTAATCTGTACTAGGTTACTGAATCCATTTATGATTTTAGACACTGCTATTGTATTTCTGTCAAGTAAAAAATTACTCATGACTTGGCTAGAATGCTGCGATAAACATGAACATTTAACCCATAAATTTGAAAATTTAGGTGAATTGGGAAAATCATTGAAAATCACAGTCTAACAAAACAAAAACATAAAGAAATAAAAAAAATTTGAGCAGTCCTATTATCTATTAAAGACACTGATTTCATTATTAAAAACTTTCCCATAATGAAAATCTCCTGGCACAAAGGACATAAGCAGTTAATCTTTTCAATTATTTAAAGAATAAATAACAACAAACTTACATAAATCCTCCATAGGCTGAACTCCTCAACTCATTTTGTGAGTTTGGCACAACACTGATACCAACAAAAATTACATGGCAATTTTTCTTATAAACATAGACACAAAAATTCCAAGGAAAAGATTAGTAAATCAATTGAATCTGGTATGTATAAAAATGATAATAACAATGAAGATGGGTTAGCCCTAGTAACAAAAGTTTGGCTTAATATTTGAAAATCAATTACTGTAATGCTCCGTTAACTGAATAAAGAAGAAAAATCAGATGATTAATTCAATTCAGAAAAGGCATTTAATAAAATGTTATATTTGCTTATGATTAAAACTCTTGGAAAGTAACCAGTAAATAAATAGAACTTTTCTAATCTGATAAAGAATACCCATGAAAATTCTAAAGAATACCCATGAAAATTCTCAATGGCATTTGATATTTCATTATCAAACGTAATAATGAAATACTGAAAGCTTTCCTCTTGAACTCAAAAACAGAACAAGATTGCCAATATAACCACTTCAATTCAACATTATTTTGGAGATTTGTCATTGCATAAAGCAGATAAAATAAATAAATAAATAAATAAATAAATAAATAAATAAATAAAAATAAATAGTATGAGAATTGGATAGGAAGACTTAAAACTCATAATTGTTATGTATAAAACCCAAAATATTCTACCAATAAACTATTAGGACCAATAAGTCAATTTAGCAAGGCCATTAGATGCAAGGTCAATAGTATTTCTGTACAAAGCAAGAAACAACTAAAAATAAAATAGAAAAACATATTATTTAAAATAGCATAAAAGTATTAAATAACTAGGAATAAATCAATAGAATATATTTTTATAAATGCCTGTAGACAGAAATCTATGAAACATTACCTAGAGAAATCAGGAACAAAATAAATATATTGTAAGACTCAATGTATTAAATATATTAATTTTCTTTGAATTTATTATTAAATCAAATGTAACCCCAGTTAGATTACAAAAAGCATGCTTTTTTGAAATGGACAATCTAATTTTAAAAAATATATAAAAACTAAAAAAGTCCAAATGAGTAAGGACAGTCTTTAAGAAGAATAAAGTTGGTAGACTTACACTACTAAATCTGGAGACCTACTATAAAGGTATTACAATTAAAACAAACTGAAATTCATTCAAAGATAAACAAGTAGATTAGTAAAACAGAATAGAGTCCAAAAACAGACTCACATGTGTGGTGAACTATTTATAGGAAAGGAGACACTGCAATGTAGTTGAGAAAAGATGGTCTATTAAATAAATGGTTCTGAACCATAAAAATATATGTTTGGTAGAAAATATTGAGTCCTATCTTATACCATGTAGAAAAGTCAGTTCCATGAAAGTTGAAAAACGTTTCAATCTCTCATTAAAGACATGAAAATTAAAACCATGAAGGCAATATTAAGTACAGGAGAGAAACTGGCCCTCTCATATATTACTGGAATGGAGGGAGTCTAAATTTATACCACCACTTTGGAAAACTGTTTGGTAGTATTGGCTACAAATACCTTATTATCTTTATTACTTTGTTCTGTAGTAAACTTTTAAAATAGTCATCAAGTAGGTTGGCATTTGTTAGGTTATTTTCTGGATGCTTTATGGTTTTATTTTTCCCTGAATGGGGTCCTTGTTTTTATTCTTTGAACTGAATTGTCTAATTATTGTGCTATAAAAAGCTTGCTTTTCTATGTTGATCTTGTTTCTTGCCATGTGTATTTAAGTAGGAATTCTTAGCATCTAAATTAGCATAGCTTTTATCTTCTATATAGTTTTCCACATTACTTTTTCTTGTGTTATTGCTTTGGCAAGCATCTTTACTTCACTAAAATTACTGAATATTAGTAATGGTTGCCAAAATATCTTGTGTCTGATGTTTTTAATAAGATACATTAAAATGTATCTCATTTAATCATTTTAACATTGAAAATGATAAAAATGATGTTTTTATAGGTTTCTGGTAACTACTATTTATCAGGTTAAAAAGTTTTTTTTCCATTCTTAATTTTTAAGAGCTTACATTAAGCTCTTTATATATCCCTTTGTTTATTTTAAAATATATCCCTTTGTTCTATTTAAAAATAGTGTGTGTGTGTGCACGTGTGTTTGCATCAGTGTTCATATACTATATATTTTTTGTCCTTCTCATTAGTTTATTTTAGGACACAGACAATGCTAGGTTTTAAAATCAACTGAGAAGCCCTCCCTCTTTTTCTGTTCTCTAATTCAGAACATGGCTTTTCCTTAATGGTTTTGAAAAATCCGCAAAATCATTTGGATTCATTCTTTCTTAGAAGTATACCTTGTCAGGCTTTGCCTATCTACGTAAAATGTTTTCTTAGGTTTACAAAATTTTTGAGTCAGTTTTGGTATGGTTTTCAAATGTATTGTTATATATGTTTTATATATTTTTAATACGGTAAATCCCCTCTTTATGTGCAGTTAAAGGATATTATTGGTAATACTATTGATATATTTTGTTTTCTCTTATTGATGAGACTTAAGTTTTTCTTTTTAACAATTTTGTAGTCTTTTCAAAGATCCAGAATTTGGTTTTAGTGATCCAGTCGATGATGTTTTTTCTGTTACACTACTCTTTCCCAAATTTAACTATATTTATTTTTAATTCTGTCAGATTCTATGTGCTTTCTAAAGTGATGCATTGTCCTTGTCTATATGGTTCCAATTGGAATAGTTTCAATGCACTGGTAACCAGATAAGATCTTTTATTATTCTGCTTAACTTATCTTAAAATATATTCTGTTTAAAAGGATGCAAAATCCCAAATGTAACTATGGCTGGAGATCCTTTTATTCAGCCTCCAAAAGCATTATATCTCTCACTAGACCCAACCCCATAAAATCAAGTAGAAACTTTTACTAATGGAGGGCCTCTATTATTTGTTTCTTCTATCTTCTTTTCAATAGAGAAACAGAAGGGCTACTTAGCGAAATCCAGTATTCTATTGTACACAGAGGTTGTCCAGCCTTGGTCAGAATTACAACTGTTTTACTCCCATTTATTGTTTGACATTCTAAATATCCTTTGATAATTGTACCTCAAAAGACTCAAAACTGCAAATAATTTTCCATGTCTATAACTATAATGCAAGCATTTCATGTGCTATTTGCATGTCTTCTTGACCCTTTCACCAAATTTGAATGGCTTTGAATAAATGAACTCCAAAATGTAGAGTATTTTACTTGAGAAACAATCCTTCCAACATATTTGCTCATTCAGCTGTCACAAGAAGTGAAGAGCGTGAATACTTTTTGAAAACAATGTTTCAAAAGATTCACTCAGACATAAAGCATGCTATGCATTTCTCCCCCTGGTGGCCAAAAGTGCCATAAGCCACTGCCCAATAAAAAATGGAAAAAAAAAATCCTTTTTGACTGGCTGACATTTTACTTTCATCAGGAAATAAAGGAGATGTCCCTATAACTGCCAATAGCACTGCTCAAATTGCAAGGCAGGCATCTACTTCTGCAAGAAACAAAATTGCCAGTTTCTTGATAGTTTCAAGTCTCAGAGAAAATGTGGGTCTAAAGTCTGCAGTTATTCTATTGCTCATTTCCTGATGTACAGCTTTCAGTGACAGAGGACTGACTTGCAACAAAGAGAGATTTTTGGGAAAGTGAAAGGCATGGTATACTGATAATTATGTTTATAGACAACTTATATACAACACTTTAAATGTAAACGTTTACTTATATACTTAGATGTTTTGCCTTCTTTTTTATCTCTATGTTTGCATTAAACTCAATCCAACCTCAGATCAATTTTGTAGAGCTAAATTAGGCAGATTGGGATGCTCGTTTCCACCTGCTCTAAACAGACACATTAGTTATATGTTGCAAAAATAAACTACCATTTTCTCTTCTGATCTCTTCAAATCTCTGTGATTGCTAAAGTTGAGCTGTTTTCACATATGGAGGAAAAAGGCAACACCCTCTCTGCTCTGCAAACTGCCATTCATTTTAGGAAAATAACGGCCTGTTGGCTGGAGATCCAGCTGCTTGTCATGTTAGACCATGTGGCGTCTGCTGCTGAGTCCAGCTGTACAGCCAAGATCAGTGCCCTAAGGACTGAGCACAAAAATGCTGTGATCCCTGGTGGTGACACGGTCTCTGCTAACAAGCCTCTAGACATTCAAGATGAAATGTCATCACCCCAGTACAGCTATCACAGAGAATGAAACAAAGCATCTAAAGACCTTTAATAGCATCAGAGTCTGAGAAATAAGTGAAGCATCCCAGGTTTAGTTCCCCGATCTACGGAGCTGATGTCAATTATGTGAGTAACTGTGACCCTTTCTCTGTTACCTTTATCCCCAATACTCAGAGATGAAATGTTAACTTGTAATAATAGGTTTTCCCATGATTAAGCTTAAAGCATTTTTGGATCTTACTGCTAGTTATCATTCATTATTCAATAAGTAATTATTAAATATCTGTGTATGAGTTCCTCTGCTCAAAGTTTAGGTAGGCAAAGAAATTGAGAGTCAAGTTTCCTACCTTTATGGAATGGCAGGAAAGAATCATTCAATTTTTACTTCAGGCCCCCAATCCTACTGTTTTGGCTGAATTCTTTAATCTCAGTCTTTCTTGGGGTTCCTTTATCTTTCTGTGGTGGCCTCAGGATGTGTGGAGATGAGCTTGGTAAAGGGCCCCATCTTGTCTTTTTGTTAACTGCCCACACAGGTTTATCTGAAATGTTCATTGTACTGGTTAACATAGCTATTCATTGGCTCTTTGCTGTTGGGAGTACTAGAACTATTTCTTCAAGTCTGCCTGAGGCACCAACTTCCAAAATTTATTTCCTCTATCGGGTCTTGTCATCTCCCTGGAGAAGCTTCTGGGCATCCCACCGCATTACCCTTCCTAGAGAAATCTGTCTAGATTGATGTGGGTATTCCCACTCTCCTTTACTTCTGGGCAAGTCATTTTCTTTGTGACCGAAATTTTCTGTCTCATTGCCTCTAGCCAAGACATTTTGGCCAAGGCATTTGGTCTGTACCCTGAATCCTCCCCTTCTAGAGATGTAGCCTTATGAAAGACTGAAAAGTAAAGAAATTTAATAGGCTGTTTTGGCTTTTAGCTACAGTATGACTTTTCTGAGGTATGCTTGTGTAGGAGGGGGTGGGAATGAATGGAAGAGGGAAAAAACAAAGAAAAAACAGTGAAAAGTATCAAGTTGTTGGAAAGATGTGGAACAACCCCTGCTCTCAAACACTGCAGTGTAAATAAGTACAATCATTTAGAATAACTATTTGACCCAGTTTGCTAATGCTGAACATAAACATATCCTATGACCAGCAATTCCACCCCAAGGTTCCACTCAATCTAATTACACACACAATAGAAACGTATACATATGATCATCAAAAGAAATTTACTATAATGTTTATAGGAGCACTCTGTAGTAACCCCAAACTGGAAATTACCAAGTATCTATCTATAGTAACACGGATAGATACATTGTGGTATAGTAATATAATAAATACTATATAGCATTGGATATCAATAATCTATGACTAGATGCAAAAATATGGATAAATTTCATACAAAAAAATGTTCAGTGAAAGAAGCCAGGCACAAAAGAGTACATAATGTATGCTTTCAATTACATAAACTTTAAAAACAGGCAACAGCGGTCTTTGCTGTTGGTGATCAGAACAATAGCTATCTTTGGACATTTAGTTACTAGAGGAGGGTGTGAGGTGGGCTTCTAGAGGACTAGTGATGTTCTGATTTTTGATTAGGGTATTGGTTACACAAATGAGCTGTATACTTATATATTCAATTTTCTAGTACACCTATTGTACTGGGTTGAATAGTATCTTTCTTTCCAAAGCACAAAGCCACCTGGAACCTCTGAATATGCCCTTATCTGGAAATAGGGTCTTTGAAGATAGAATCAAGTTAGAATGAGGTCATACTCGATTAGGGTGAACCCTATTCTAATGACTTGTGTCTTTATAAGAAGAAGAAAATTTAGACACAGAAAAACCCATAGAGGGGAGAAAGCCATCTGAGGATGAAAGCAGACATTGAAATGATGCATCTGAGAAAGGGAATGCCAAAGATGGCCAGCAACTGCCGTAAGCTAGAGGGGAGTCATAGAACATATTCTTCTTCAGCCTCCAGAAGGACCCAAGCTAGCTGAAACTTTGATTTCAGACATTGGAACTCCAGAAATCTAAGACAATAAACTACTATTATTTTAGGATACTTAGTTTAAGGCAATTTGTTACTGCAGCCCTAGGAAACTAATACATCTTATCTACAATTCTTGGCTTAGGTTGTAAAAGAGAAGCTTTTAGATTGAGTATAGTTCAAAGAATTTGGGGAAGATTTAGAATCCAGTAAGTAGTCAACAAATAACACTTGACTATGATTTAATCCTTTAAAGTGGGGGTCCCCAACCCCCAGGCCTGCAGACCAGTACCAGTCTGTGGCTTGTTAGGAACTGGGTGGCACAGCACTAGGTGAGTGAGGGTGAGTGAGCATTACCACCTGAGCTCCACCTCCTGACAGATCAGCAGCAGCATTAGCTCCTCAGAGGAGGATGAGCCCTGTTGTGAACTGAGCATGTGAGGGATCTAGGTTGCATGCTCCTTAAGAGATTCTAACTAACGTTTAATGATCTGAGGTGGAACAGTTTTATCCCAAAACCACCCCACCACACACCCCCTGGTCCATGGAAAATCATCTTTCACAAAACTGGTCCCTGGTGCCAAAAAGGTTGGGGATCACTACTTTAAAGCTCTATTAAACTAGCTTTGATCTTTAAACAAACGATAAGAGCCAGGATCGTTCTGTGACTACTTCTACAAGTAATGCTACCTAGAGAAGTTTCTATAAGCCAAGCATTGTCAAGGCATTAGTAAGTTGGGATGTTTTCCTGTAGCTCAATTCCTTTGTTGGAATAGATAACACTCAAGCTCCAGCTCCTTTGAAAAGGACAAGTCACATGTGCCATTAGTTGTTTTCTATCTTTGTCAGGGGTGAAAGCACAGTCACTAGAAAATTACATTATCCTGCCTATGAATATGGGTGGACATTTTTAGTGTCCAGTATTTTTTAGGCACTATATATAATGTGTGACCATAAGCATTGAGTGTGTTTTAAAAACATGCCAGGACTGATATATGCAAGAGTGCCATCCATCAAAATGGTTACTTTTGCACCACACACCTCACCATAACTTCCATCACTCAAAATGTACTGGAACTCCTCTTGTGGAATTTTCTTCAAATCTAGTTAATGAACCACACAAGAAAATCGGCCTCGTAAATTTATAGTCACCCATAATTTTGACCATTAAGGATGTCATCTTGCTCGATGGATCATACCCATGTCATTCATCAGAACTGACTTTGAATAACTTTTGACCATTTTCTTCAGTAAAACCCACCATCCATGGAGAAAAATATTTGCCTCAAATGAGCACATTCAAAAGAATAATAGCTTTCAAAAATCCTTTCAAAAGGATGCTGAGCACAATGCCTTGCAGATGGTTGTCACCCAATAAATATTTGTGAAATAGCTTTGAATGCATTGTGTAGGTTCTGAAGATGGTATTAAAAATTCCCTGAAATTGAAAAAAAAGGATATTACAAGTAAGTAGATTTCCAATATGTATCGTAGGCAGGAAATGTGTTTCGATTTTAACTATGTATTTAAATTGTAATCCATGTTGAAAATATGTAGTATGACTATTGGCACATCAATACGAGACATCTTAACCTTTAGAAGGTATGATTTTATTCATTTACAAATTATATACAAGGAACATGCATGCAACTATACTTATGATTAGGTTTTACTTTTGTTTACTTTTTATTTTCTTGGATGATGGATAGCATAGCGGAACATGATTTCACATACATTTATTTTTTGTTCCATTTTGTTGTTTGGCACCGTCTATTCCTTTTTTGTCAAACCATAACTGTGAATCTAGAGGTTACATTTGTAAAAGCAGCAGGAAAGCGGTTAAACAGACTGAAACAAAGACTAAAGTCACTAGCACTGGGATAGCTAATGCAGAGCACTGTGAATTGTTTTCTTACACCAGGATCACTGTTGGATAAAATTCAGAGGAAGAAATGAATTATACCTGAAGGATTAGATGACAAGTGTGACTGAATTGTCAACAGAAAAGAAAGTGACAGAATATGTTAAAGCAATTTAATGATTTAATGTATGATAATATTTTGCTTTAATAGTCTTATCACTTAGCCTGGCTTCTTAACCAGTCACTCTAACAGATGTAAAATGGCAGGTCAAAGCAAAGCCATTAATTTTTTAAAAAGTGAACATGTAATATTAGGCTTTCAAAGTGGATCAAATGGTAGGGATGTAAAATGTGCAGTCACTTTGGAAAACAATTTGGCAGTTTCTCAAAAGATTAAGCATAGTTATCATATGACCCAGCAATTTCCCTCCTATGTATGTGCCTAAGAGAGATGAAAACATGATCACACAAAAACATATACACAAATGTTTATAGGAGCATTACTTGTATTCACTAAAAAACAGAAGCAATCTATATGTTGACAAATGGGTAAAAAAAAAAAGCTGAGAAATATTGATAAACACAAATTGATGTATCCAGGCAATGTCATATTGTTTGGCAATATAAAAATGAAGTAGTGATAGATGCTACAGTGAACCTTATAAACATTACACTAGGTGAAAGATACTGATCACAAAGGACCATATATGATATGATTCCATTTATATGAAATGTGCAGGGTAGGCAACACTGTAGGGACAGAATATACATTAGTGGCTGCCAGAGATTGGGGGAGATGGGGGATGAAAGAGTTACTACTAATGGGGACAGAGTTTTTTGGGGGGAGGTGACAAAATGTTCCAAAGTTGATTGTGGTGATGGCTATATATATACTGTATACAGTTTAAAGTGGATTGTATAGTATGTAAATTATATCTCGATAAAACTTTTAAAAATGGCTTAAATCTTTTTCAAAAGCCCAAAGGGCTTTGTTAAAAGGACTTTCTCCCTAGGTAATATTAAGTCCTCCAGAGAAGAGATAGGGAATGAATTTGGACTTTCAGCAGCTGAGAAAACTTCAGCTTCTGCTGCTTCTCCAGTAATAAAATAAATTAAGTCAAATTTGGAGTAGAGATATTTCAGCTGCTTTGTAGGGTTTTTTTTTTTTTTTTCTTTTCAGGGTGTATCATGCTTACTATGAGTCAATAGAGAGGTGCTTATATGTGATATCTTGCAACCAAATTAGCTCTTTGGAGACCACACTAGCCTCTGACTTTTCTGAGTTTCCCCAATATCTCAAAAAGTTGATGCTGTTACTAAGCATTTCAAGGACATTGAGTTTTGTTTATATCCACAAATTCTGGTTGAGTTAGAGTGTCTTTAGGAAATGAACTCTGACTGATGCCACTTCTATCATCAGTTATTTTTCTGTTATTTTTCAAGTTCTCAGTTGTTGGGCATTTATTTGTGCAGGGGATATATCTAATTTTATAAGTATTCTCATTCGACCCTTACAACAATGTAACATTGCATAACACCAAGGGGAACACCACACAAAATGGATGCAATGTTCAACTGAGTGGCCCTAAGTTTTGTTTATCCTTTGTTGCTCAGAGGGAGGTTCAGAGCCTTTCCCAAGAAGATATAACCAGTAAATAGTGGAGCCAGAATGTTAGCTTTGTTCCACCTGGCTTGGAAACTGTTAGATGAGACTCCTGGGTGAGTTAGCAGAGACATCTCATTAGCAGAGTATAGGGACTAAGATCTAAGGCTCTGTTTTCAGATGACAGGAGTTCAAATATTGGTTGGATCATATAATATTATGGGCTATGGTTAATTGCTATGTTCTTTTTGCCTCATTTTTCTTGGCCATTATATCAGAATGATAATAATTTTATGACATTTTAAGACTTTAAGATAATCCTTGTAAAAAAGGTCATTACAATTTCTGATATACTACAAAGCTATCAACAAGTGTCAACTCTCTATGAGTTTATGACTTCATTATAGGATAATTACATTACTAATTCTGTGCACACCTCAGAAGGAACAGTGGAATGACAGGACTATCCAATTATTCTAGCTGCCTTAGTGAGAAAATTAGGGCTCCCCATCATGGATGGATCAGTGAAGAATTAATTATTGACATTTTGCATACCTAAACTGGCTTCACAGACATCAGTCTATGATGTAAAGTATATATGTTCTTATAAGTTCTTCTAAACCTTGAACAGTGAATAATGTGTATTTAACAACTGCGAAATAATGTGTATTTAACAACAGGTGAACTGTTTTTTACAGAGTGAAGTACTAGAGCTTATTTTGCCTTGATTCAGTTATGAACAGACATGGAATAGTGTTTAGGTATCTCAATTCCCCTGCACAAAACACCCGTACTTGTGAATCTACATTTGAGAAACGTGTATTTGAGAAACAACCCATCAATATGTACTTTTGAAAAATCAATGAGAATACCGTATACACTAATATGGAAGTGCTTGAAAGCATTAAGCCCAAAAAAGGAAAGAAAAGCAATAAGTGGAACAGTGCACTTTATATGATAAAACTGTCCTAAAGAAGAAGGAATGCGGATGTATAGTTGTATCTTCTCACAGAGTGCAAAGTGCCACTGCCGATTAAAATATATGGATGAACAGTAGCAACCTCTGAGAAAGGTGGGAGGAAGCATATGGATATGGACAGCCAGAAGGGATGAGAGTCTTAGCTCAGGGCCATGCTATTCTTATTGATTTATACTTGTGAATGGACTATTTATTTAAAACGTTTAACATATAATTTTAAAAATAAATCTCTTGAATGATTTCTGGCTAAGGAACATTGAAGAAGCATACATCACTTTCTAACACATGATCACTGTTGAAGAACAGAGTAAAATGGCACAGAAAATTCTTAGTTATCACTTAGGAAAGAAAACACAAGTGAAAAGCCAGTTGTTTTCAATCACTGTATTTATAATTATGGACCTGATAATTAAAAGAAAAAAAATAATACCATAGAACACAAGGAGAAAGCTCAGGTGGTGGTGGCTGGCTAAGGGAGGAAAAGATAACTGGGCAGCCAGATACTTTCCCAGGGGAAGAGCATGACCTTGGGGCCAGGTGTGGAGAGTTATGTCCAAGGAGAGTCCAACTCAACTATATTTTTTGTGCTTACCATTTTAAGCCAGATGATCATTTGCTCATAATGTCAAAAAAGCCAAGAGCTCCAAAAATTTTGTTTTAGTGCATTATCTATGCTATGTAATATGGAACATAAAGTATAGTAAAATTAATGCATAATAAATGTACTTATATTGGAAAGCTTTTATTTAGTAAAAATATATCAAGCAAATCAATTAAAGTTATGTTGTATTGATAGCATCAAGATTTATCTGAAAATAGAAAAATAATACATTCACGGCAGGAAGACTGTACCATCACCACATGCCTTCTGCTACAGCAAATCACTTTCAATTGTTTTATGGTGTGATTTTTAAAAAGCAACAATGACAAAGGTCGATTATTTGTTAAAGTGATTTAGAACAATTCTCTTGTTTGGATTCATCTAAATGGCAAATAATCTGTAAGCTGTAAGCTCCTTGAGGTCAAGGTGGTCTTATCTATCTTCTACCCCATTATTAGGCAAAAGTAGACACTAAAGCTCTACCTGTTTGTTTTTCAAACTGATTTAGGGCTAAAGGACCCAGCTCTACCTGTGTGAACAGTGAAAGGACAGCAGGTAGTGAGTTGATGTAATTTACAGTCCCATGAGGAATACTTTCTCCTTTTATTTCAGAAGGAGGATCCAAGAATGTTAGGTCATCTAGTCTGAGACACTGTGTGTCGTATGATGAATTTTCAAAAAAGAAAACAGCAGAGATTGACTCTGGGTTCCTCCTCTGGCCACTGGTTGACTTTTATGTCCAGAGAAGAAAAGAACTAAGTGATATACTGGATGCTTTGAGCCTGGAGGCATGTTTGCCTAGAGGCTGCTTTTTAGACTGGAGGAAATGTTGCACAGAAGCTATAAAACTTAAATATAAGGCTGAAATCTGCTACTTCTAACTGTGTGACCTTGGACAATTCACTTTACTTAAACCTTAGTTTCCCTCATTGGCAAAATGGGGTAACGTAGAAGACAGACTACTAAGATCCCTTGCAGATTCTAAGCAATCCCACTGAATATCCTATCGGACTACTGGCCACTATTTTTTCCCATGCTTTGGTGGTTTGTCCATGGATTTTTGTCCACATAGACCACATGGGTTCAGCTGTATGAATTTATCCTGTTAGGAATTTGTCAAATCATGTTTGTTATTCTTGGATCCCATGCCAACCAACCATGCCTCCCTGGAACCCCACCTCTCCCTTCACCCCTGCTATGTAGCCTAGGCTTTAAATTTTCCCCCATTTTCCAATCTTCCCAACAACCATTTGGTCTGATGTTTTATACTGAATTAACAACTCAACTTTGTACTGCAACAGGGCATTTCTAGCTCTGAAATTGTATGATCCTTAGTGAAATAGCTGCTTGCAAAAAAAAAAAAATTTTAAGTCTCTTTATTCAGAAATAAATACATTTATTCCTAAAATGATACTGAGCACAATCAAATTTTTAGTGATTCAGAGGCATTTGAAATTCTCAGTGATTTATAGTCATTATTATGTATATCAATCTTCATTGTATGCCATTGTGAAGGCGTTCTGATGATTGAGTTTACTGCAAATGGGCCTACATTGCTGTTGAGATAGGAATAGCACTGCGTAGTCACAGGAGGGTGGAAAAACCCAAACAACAGCTAAAACAAGAACTAGTCAAAGAAACCACAGGGTAACAGAAAACCCAAAATAAGAGAGAGAGTATGGCCAAAACCCTAGTCAAGGTGACATATCCATGACTCTTCCAAGCAAACCCAAATGAAGGAGAAAGAGGGCAGTAATGGAGGAAGGAGGATCCTTGAAATCCCCTCCTTTTCCAGAAAACCTAATGATTATTCCACCCCTTAATTAAAGATACACCCATAAAATAGGGATGCTGGGTGGTCATAGGAAAAATGGGAAAATGCCAAGCAGTTGTTTCATATAACATTAAGAAAGGAGCTGTTAAAAATTATCTACAAGGACAAAGAGGAGGCTGGGCTGGTAAGATCCTAACAAACAGG
The DNA here is from genome assembly GCF_000001405.40 of Homo sapiens. Lineage (NCBI taxonomy): Eukaryota > Metazoa > Chordata > Mammalia > Primates > Hominidae > Homo > Homo sapiens. The sequence goes on along the minus strand of NC_000018.10, from coordinate 27,676,166 downwards.
ATGAGGGCTGAGCTGGTTGAGACCACCGGGTCCCACAGGGAGCTGGATTTGACCCAGGCCTTAGCCCAGACCTAATTTTACACTCATTACCATACATACACCCACCAGCCCCATGATAGAGCCAAGCATACCCATACTTGTTATAAAAATGGGTGGCACCTCAATTATAAGAAATCTCCACCTTTTTCCTAGAAAACTTTATGATTACTCCACCTCCTAATTAGAAGAGCCCATAAAATCAGAAACTCAAACTCCCTTGGATGATACTCACTTTCTGGAACACACCCACACTTCTCTCTCAAGTGGGTGCCTTCACTTCGCAAGAAAATCTTCTTGTCTTTTGCCTCATTCCGATTTGTCCCTGAATTCTTTCTTGTGATGGTGTCAAGAACCTGGACACCAGCTTGGGCTAGAGTCTCACTGGCTTCTGAAACCCCCGTGAGCCATCTGGCTATACTGTGATCAATGAATCTCACTGTTGTTAGCTAGCATTTATTAAGCCTTTGTGTTCTTACATTCTTTACTACCTGTCCTTGTCTTGAGTTTTTCTATTGACTTGTATTGATCCTCTACCAATTCCTATAGAGCTGTCACTCTTACTCTTCAATTGCTTATTTATGCAGAGACAATTGTTGCTATTTTCATCTCTACACTCAGATGTTTTCTCCATTACATAATCTTATTCCATATACTACTATTTTAATCTCCCGATTATCCAAGAGGTCAAATAAATTGAGAACATGATAGATAGACGTATATATACATTTCTTAATAATCCAAAGGGTAAATTAACTATTGCAACTCTAGCCTTTTGTACTTATATTAATGCATTGAATAAAAAATACAGTTAAATATGATGTCAGTTTATTTTAAACAATCTATACATATATCAGTGGTAATTGTCTGACGAGATTTCTTATGGCATTTTTAGAAAAAGTATGAGTCTGTGGTGGTTCTACGGGTAAGCAGAGAGGCATTTTATTGTGTTATTTACAGACCACAAAAAATCTTATCTTTCCCTAAACATCTCCCCTACAACCCTACCATAGTGCCAGATGTCCCTACCACTACAGTCACCTGCTTTGTCAAAGCACTGTTCAGAACATCTATATTTTATGCAGACTTATTCCTTAGGGAATAGGGCACGTTTATCTGTAACCAAACTGAACATGTTTCAGAATTTAATTGACAGGTTATTTAACTACCTCCTGAGTGAGGGTAGAGTTTAGAAATTAGGGAAAGGTAAAGAAGATGGGTATGTTTTGAAGTGGAAGAAGAGAGACAAGACAAGAAAATATTTAAATTATGAAATACAGGGTAATAAAAGTTGGTCATGATAACTGTATTCAGGCTGTAGGAAGGTTGTTTGGATTTTGTATAAAGAACAAGATCATAAGATAGGACTGGGAAATGAGTGCCATATGACCATGTAGTTCTGGGGTATGAAGGAATGGAGGAGTCAGAGGGATCAACGGGACAGGGCTAGGGGAAGAGCTTCAAGGCACAAGGAAAGACTTGGAATGCAAGATTAACATAAATAATCGGAGGAAGAAGAGGCTTAGTAAACCACAGAAACAGAGACCACAAAGTGAGCAGGGCTTTGTAGAATTTCATGCCATTCCTGGGCAGCAAGCTTCAGTGGCTGATTTCTTGAGACTTGCCCGCATCAGGCAGGGGACTGCTTGAGCAGTTACAATTAAGCTCCAATTGGCAGAGAGTGACAGAGATTGTCAAGGCCACACATACTACTGAGAGGTGACAGCGTGTGGCAGCCCTCGCCCGCTCTGGGTGCCTCCTCGGCCTCGGCACCCATGCTGGCCGTGCTTGAAGAGCCCTTCAGCCCACCACTGCACTGTGGGAGCCCCTTTCTGGGCTGGCCAAGGCCGCAGCAGGCTCCCTCAGCTTGTGGGGAGTTGTGGAGGAAGAGGCACTGGTGGGAGCCGGGGCTGCGCCCGGCGCTTGCCAGCCAGCTGGAGTTCCGGGTGGGCGAGGCTTGGCGGGCCCCGCATTCCGAGCGGCCGGGTGGGCCCTGCTGGCCCCGGGCAGTGAAGGGCTTAGCACCTGGGCCAGCAGCTGCGGAGGGTGCGCGGGGTCCCCCAGCAGCTGGCCCACCAGCGCTGTGCTCGATTTCTCCCCAGGCCTCAGCTGCCTCCCCGCAGGGCAGGGCTCGGGACCTGCAGCCCGCCATGCCTGAGTCTCCCCAACTGTCTCCCCCACGAGCACCGCCCCCTGCTCCAGGGCGCCCGGTCCCATCCACTGCCCAAGGGCTGAGGAGTGCGGGGTGCAATGCGCGGAACTGGCAGGCAGCTCCACCTGCAGCCCTGGTGCGAGATCCACTGGGTGAAGCCAGCTGGGCTCCTGAGTCTAGTGGGGACTTGGAGAATCTTTTATGTCTAGCTAAGGGATTGTTAATGCACCAATCGGCACTCTGTGTATCTAGCTCAAGGTTTGTAAATACACCAATCAGCACTCTGCGTCTAGCTCAGGGTTTGTAAATACACCAATCCACACTCTGTAACTACCTAATCTAGTGGGGACATGGAGAACTTTTGTGTCTAACTCAGGGATTGTAAACGCACCAATCAGCACCCTGTCAAAACAGACCAATCAGCTCTCTGTAAAACAGACCAATCAGCTCTCTGTAAAATGGACCAATCAGCAGGATGTGGGTGGGGCCAGATAAGAGACTAAAAGCAGGCTGCCCAAGCCAGCAGTGGCAACCTGGGTCCCGGTTCCACACTGTGGAAGCTTTGTTCTTTCGCGCTTTACAGTAAATCTTGCTACTGCTCACTCTTTGGGTACACACTGCCTTTATGAGGTGTAACACTCACCGCGAAGGTCTGCAGCGTCACTCCTGAAGCCAGCGAGACTATGAACCTACCGGGAGGATGCGCCACCTTAAAAGCTTTAACACTCACAGCGAAGGTTTGCAGCTTCACTCCTGAAGCCAGCGAGACCACGAACCCACCTGGAGGAACGAACAACTCCAGACGTGCCGCCTTAAGAGCTGTAACACTCACCGCGAAGGTCTGCAGCTTCACTCCTGAGCCAGTGAGACCACGAACCCACCAGAAGGCCGAACACATCCGAACATCAGAAGGAACAAACTCCGGACACGCCGCCTTTAAGAACTGTAACACTCACCGCGAGGGTCTGCGGCTTCATTCTTGAAGTCAGTGAGACCAAGAACCCACCAATTCCGGACACACTACTGTAGTTACCCTTCCAGTGTCTGGATGCCTATCAGACTGTGCCCTGGAAGCATCATTTCTGCACCCAAATTATCTAAATATTTTCGTTGTTTGTCCATAACTTTGGCATCTAAGCTATTACCTTATGGATTCACTTTTTTCTTTCTCAAATGAGGTACCTCCTTAAGATCCGTACAGGAACTACCAGGAAAACTGGAGAATCTCCCAGTCAGTGATTCTTAGCAAACACAGGCCAAAGTGGCATTGTAATACCCAAACTCCCAGCTGTCCTTCCTGCTGATGGAAACTTTTGTGGCAGAGTGCAAATAGCTCAGCAAGTGATTTTAGGGCGAATGTGAAATTTCTGCTGCACTGCCAAAGGGGGATTTCTCCGGAGCTTTTCTCCATGTCAGTCTCCACAAACATCAAGTGGTGCCCAGTGGCAGCGGAATGACATTTACTGAATCTTCCCCTGTTTTTGCTTATGCTTAGACAAGGTTTTGGTGTCAGCATGTAGATTGTATGGGGATAAAGAGGCGGTTATCTGACCCATCACCTTATCCTGGGTCCACACAAGAGCAGGAGCAATTTCAGTTTGCCAGGTGGAGGCTCTGAAACCTGTGGTGATGTAAAGCCCTTAGCTAAGGGAGAAATTGCAGTGAGCTTATCCTGTTTCCCAGCTAGCTGAACTGAATGAACTCTACATTTAGTGTGCTTTTGGTGATAGACTATGCAGTGTCAAAGAATAAAATCCAATCTTTAGTCAGATGGAAAGAAGACAAAGCCACATTTGCCCCCTTCAAATTGGCTAGAAAGGGGATTGTTCTCCAAGTAACCTTATAAGCTTCGTGTAAAACATGGTAGAGCCACCATTTCGAAGAAAACTGGGTTCCTGTGCATCATGATCTGGAAAAGAGGTGCCTGCTAGTTACGAACACTCAGTTTGGACTTCAAACAAGCAAGAAATAAGTGTCTGCTGGGGTTGGCCTTTTATATATTTTGGAGTTTTCTGCAGCAGCTTGACTGACACAACCTTAACTAATACTGAGCTAATACTAACAATCCTTGAAAACTTCCACGTGGGAAGTCACTCATGTTTTTCTGGCAGTTTGGGCTTTATTGGAACCAACTGTGAGCCGTCTAGAATATCACACATCTACACCCTGACAGGGCAAACGAAGAATTTGACCAAAAAAGAAGACACTGAATAGCATGTCAATGAAATATTATTCTTCCCTATCTCTATACAAACTGACTGGAGACCTTAACGACAGTCCATCTTAGACTATTAATTCTCTAGATGACAGTGGCCTGAACATTTGGGGGCTATCTATCTACATAATGGCAGTTAGCTTTTTCATGACCTTGCATTTCTCAGGGGAATCTGCCTTATTTGTTAACATGGAGCTTCATAAGCACAAAGCAAAGAAAAATGCTTTTGGTGTAGTTTTGCCTATACTTGTTCTTAACACACTATAGGCCAGGCGCAGTGGCTCACCGCTGTAATCCCAGCACTTTGGAAGGCTGAGGCAGGCAGATTGCCTGAGGTCAGGAGTTTGAGATCAGGCTGGCCAACATGGTGAAACCCTGTCTCTACTAAAAATACTAAAATTAGCCGGGCGTGGTGGTGGGCACCTGTAATCCCAGCTACTTGGGAGGCTGAAGCAGGAGAATCACTTGAACCCGGGGGGCAGAGGTTGCAGTGAACCGAGACTGCACCACTGCACTCCAGCCTGGGTAACAAGAGCAAAACTCCTTCTCAAAAAAAATAAAATAAAATAAACATACTATAGAGGGAAGCTCCTTCTGGTGCCCAACTGCTCCAGTTTTTGCCAACTTGCAATTTCAGCCACTCGGGTGATACATTTAGGAAGGACCAAGATTTCCTGGGTATCTGTGTGATAGCAGGCAGGTGGCTAAATTTGAAGACTTGACAGAGACAAATGGAAGAGTAATTTCTATAAAGGTCATATATTTTGGTGCTTTTCTAAAGCAAGCAACTAGTCACAGAGACAATGTTTTAAATGATGACTGAAGCTAATGAGAGGAAAAGGAGAAAAAAGTGACTACCTCAAGAACTTAAAATAAGTGCAAACTTTAAGAACAGAGCAAAAGGACTTTCCATGAAGGTTCTTGTTTGGTTTTAGCCATGAACAGACTCCCAGATAAGCACAACACAAATCTCTCAAGGCTTTTGGGTCCAGGAAGTATATTTCCTTGAGACCCAAAAGTCTCAAGATTTTTGAGGAAGTAAATTTCCAAGGGGAAGACATGGCTGTTGAGTCACACTCCTTAACTTTTACCAAGGGGGCTTCTCTCATCCTCATAGTCAAATGGATCCTAAATATTTAGAACTATCCCCCTCTTCAGTGCTTTCTCTGTAGTCTGGCTTCAAATAGCTTGGCTTCCAAAAGTGCCACTAAGGCATGCCGGTTTACACACACACACACACACACACACACAGAGATATCTATAGCTGTGTGTGTGTATATATATGTGTGTATGTATATATACACATATATATTATATAATTTGTACATATTACATATACATATATATAATACAATACCATATATAATATATATTTCCCCAAACATATTATTATATATGGCTAATACTAAATACCAACTCAGAACACATACAAAATAACAATGGAAATGTAAAGAAACACATATATAGATGTCTCACACCCTCAAAGAAACAGTTCTGCAGGCTTGAATGCCTTGTGCTATTCCATGTTTTTTCCTATGATAACCGCCTGAAGGCTGCTTCACTCTGGAAAGCAGCCTCACTTTCTGAGCCACTCTGGCCTCTACATGTTGCTTGTCTATTGCTTTCACGGGCAAGGTCAAGAGAAAGGTACAATTTAATACTGCCTGCGTAATTCCCTTTTCTTGTAGAATCTTTTTCAATTATTCTGTTTTAATTGTGAGACTGTTTATTAATTTCCAGGAGTTACAATGTTTTGAGTCATTTTAAAATAATAGATTTCCAAACTTTTCTTTGATCAGATGGAAAAAAATATCTGTTATGAAAAATTGGTTAAAGTTTCCGTTATACACAAGTATCTAATTATTTCTTATAATTGTTTTATTGATACATAAAAACATATATTCTCTATTTAATGTATGTTATAGTTCTATATTTAATTTGTTTAATTGAGCCTATCAATTGAATTATTTTATTTCTTTATGTTAATGACTTATTGTTTTCTTTTTTCTACTGAATTTTAAAATTTATAAACCATATTTGTTAAGATCCAGAGGTACCTTATATGCTTTCACTGAATCTCTTTAGGTTCTCTTATTATTTGTGGGGTCATGTTCTAGTGTATCACCTGTAGCTATGTATTCTTTACTTGGACTTTGGTTCCAGATGCCTCCGTTCTCAGGTAATGGCCCCACGGTAGGCTGCAGGAAGTGTGGGCCTGCAAGTTGTCACCACTTTATAGGTACTGAAGGAAGGCTCATTGCCTCCAGGTCTCCTTTGCTGCGAAGGCCACCTGCTCCCACCATGAGGGGTTAGGGAAATGTAGTCTTGCATAGCTCCCTGGGTTGAGAGAGACAAGCACCTCCTCCCCGAATTTCCTCTAGGTTGGTGTTGCTTTCTCATCAGGGACCATGGATCTCCTCTAGCTAAGCTCCTTCCAGCAAACTAGTCATTTTGATCCACCTCCATCCCTGAGCTTCCTTTTGGGCCTGACCAAGAATGTTCTGCTGCAGTCTTTTCACCTAGACTCTGGAGGGCCTTAGGTCCCACTCACAGGTCCCCCTTCAAAAGACATAGAAGTCACACTGACAGTGGGAGGGGAGGGCAAGTGGGTCACATTTAATCCTATCTTCTTCAGCTCCGCTTTCTGTCTTGTCAACACAGTCTTTCCTCACACAATTGGCTGCACAGGCTCTAAACCATTCAACAACCTTAGCATCTGCTACAGAGGAATTATGCCCAGTGGTTTACAGAAGGGTGATTCCGGATGAAGCACAAAGCCTTTCACTCTTGCTTTCTCCAGCCTCCTACCCTTTCGTCATTCAGAGTATGAGCTGCAGACAGCTTTTTAAATTATACAGACAGATTTTTCATTTTAAAGAAACTAACTGGAAAAAGAAAATTTGTGGTAATGATTATGGTTTTCTAGGGCCTTCTGAATATATAGAGTTTATCAACAGTAAGCTTAAATTTCTCTTTCCTCTGCCCTAACAAAGAAAACAATAATTCTCTAAGCAGGTAAACCTGTTCTCTCTCTCTCTCTTTCTCTCTCTGTATCTTTATCTATATCATGTATATCTTTATCTATATATGATTGAACACTACAGAACCTCTCTGCTTATGTCATGCAGGGATGAAAAGTTCTGCTCCTGATCATAATATTACTTGAGAATGTCATTTGATGATACCAGAAGTTCATAAAACATTAAGATAATGATTCCTAATATTACTTGTCAGTAAAATATGGAAATCATTTCTTGTTACCCATTTGTACTAATTTTATCTTACACATATTTAGTCAGCAGCAAAGCCTTCCAGGGGTGATTGTTTCCCTCTGATTAATTCCCAGTTCTAACAGTTAGATCACCAGATGATACATAGTAATATTTTCTTAACAGTGCATTTTTACAGAAATAAAGATTTATATTGCAGCTGACTCACTTAAGAGGTCTCAAAATGTAAGGGAAAATGGTTACACATTTTGCCATTGGCCTGCGGATTCTTAATGAGATACTCAGAGACTCCCAGCACCAGGGTTACTTGTGAATAGAGGGAAGCCTATTTCAGTGTCCCTTGTAACTCATTTACCTCCTTTGGCCTCTTTTTTTCTATCTTGCCCCTCTTCCCCTTTACCACTCACTCTGGGCTCAGAATTGACCTAAGTCTCCAGATACCCCCACAGGAGCTTCTGAAGAGCTGCCCAGCTCTTAGGTTGCAGATGCTCCGTAACTCTTCCTCCTGAGTACCCAGCTCAATTTAGAGTACTAGAGCACCTCTTCTTAATTTACTCACACTTCTTCTACCAGATATTGTAAAATAATTTGAGCTGATACATGGTAGCTTACACAGGGTCTTGCTGCTCTCAACAGTGTTTGCATTTTGAATAGGTTCAGCAAAGCAAATCCTAGAATTACTGCAAGCGCTAATGGCTGGAATGGATGTATTTTTGTGTGAGGATGGAGTCAGTAGAGGGAAGGAGAGAAAATGAATTTGTAGGGTCTTCTCCAAATCTTTCAATCTCTATATTTATCTGCTTCTTTATAAGTTTGGACTTGTCCCTGGATGTGTGTGTGTGTGTGATAGAGAGAGTCCCATTCTGTCACCGAGGCTGGAGTGCAGTGACACGATCTCAGCTCACTGCAACATCTACCTCCTGGGTTCAAGTGATGCTCCTGCCTCAGCCTCCCGAGTAGCTGCGATTACAGGTGCCCGCCACAATGCCCAGCTAATTTTTAAATATAATTTAGTAGAGATGGGGTTTCACCATTTTAGCCAGCCTGGTCTCGAACTCCTGACCTCAAGTGATCTACCCACCTCGGCCTCCCAAAGTGCTGGAATTACAGGTGTGAGCCACTGTGCCTGGCTCATCATCTTTTCTTAATGCTGTGGGTTTATTGCTTTGGAAATAATCACTGTAATATTTGCACCATAATGATTTTCAACTGTGCACAGTTCTTATGCATCGTTATCTCATTTTATTTGCTGTGTCAGCAGTAGCAGTAGCAAATCATGGGACTTTACCCCTGTCCTGACAGTCGAACGCTTTTTGAGATGAGAGTCCACGAATAAGAACCTCAACCCTATTCAGTCACTCACAAAGATAAAGAAACGTTATTTTTATCTTGGTACAGAAAAAAAAAAAAAAAAAACTGGTGCACTGCAGGGACCTTCACCCAGTCTATAGAAACTACCACTTCTTACTCCAGCCTGACTTCTGCATAGCCACACAGCCATGCAAATAAGGCATTTCCCAGGAGAAAAAATGCAATTTTAAAAATAGAAGAGATAATAGAAGACAATGGAAAAGAATCATGTGTCACTCCTTTCCCTTATTCTCTTTTTCTGTAACACTCAGTATAAATGCTGAAAAAAAAGAACCCAAACTTCTACAAGGAAGAATTCACAATTCTCAGGCATAAATCTCTAGTCAGGCAGATACTCTATCTCATTCTAAGCAAGAGTGGCACCTTTGGGAGATAAGAATTGTACAGGATTATGCAAAAAATTGGAGGCCAACAGGGGAGCATTTAAATATATTAGGTAATCCTAAACAGATGTCTTTAGGATCAAGATCAGGCTCTGTTTCTTAAGCAGAGAAGGGGTCTGAGGCTGGTCCTCCTTTGATGGATCCCAAGTAGCAATCCATGCTGCTCTGACACTGATCACATACATAAAATGTAAGAGATGCCATTCCCAAAAGGCAGAGTTATGTGGTTACAGACAATCTCTCTGTAAGTAGATAATGAAATATCTAGCATGATTTTCCCAAAGTCTTGTGAGGGGAAAAGACTAGTATTTACTTACCTTAATGCTTGAGTGGAGTAAATATACTTAATACATAATTATAACACTAAATTGTCAATTAAACATGACAAATATTTCTCAGTTGGAATTGTGCTGGAACACAGGGTAATCCCAACTGTCACTGAGCAACCATATTAAACTTGACATCCAACGATGGTTTTCCAGCTAAGGCCTCTGACATGTTACAGTGAAATTCCAAGGGGCTTTATCAGTTAATTGGAAGACAAATACTGACAATTCCTTCATGCAAAATACTTACAATTTAACCTATAATAACACTGAAGCCAAAAAAATAGTTTGCTGAAATTGAAGCTGTAGACTGATGTGATTATGTCTCATTCTTGTTGAATAATAAGGAAAAAAATGTCCCGTAGAGGAAAGTGGAATAACTGGGGTTTCTCCCAGAGGCTTCCAGGCGAAGCTCATTGACCATCCCCCACAGATGGTTTAACCATGGCAGGAAAATGATATTTTGAAGTAAATGACTAGTTTGCATATTAGCTTTACCCTTAGTTTTCAGGGAATGGTTTGCATTGAAACATTGATGGGATTGGAGGAAATGAAAGGTAAACACAAAAATTGATGAACATTGCTTGGCTATTCTTGATATTCATGAAATGATCTTCTCTATTAGGAGAGGATGCTGAAAGAATTAATTACCTGGGCATATCTTTGAGTCTCTTGGAGCTATATAAACAAAAGGAAGTAGTAATAATTGAAGAGAGCAGAAAGAAATGAATTCCAGGGCTGAAGTCAACAAACCAAATAAACATGTCAGCTGGAGCCCAAATCCAGACATGCAATAATGAGAACAGCAGCAATTTTCCTCTGCAGTCCTGGTTCACACAGTGTAAACCCAATAAGCACGAAGAGGCAGAACTTCAAGACCCAGAGCTAAAGTGCAAACAGCAGCAGCTTTGCAAGTTGGGGAGTTTGCAAGTTGAAATATCTGGCCAGCAGCTCTTCAAAACTACCACCAATCTGAGGAATGTGTCGCAGCTGGGCTGAGCTATTCGGAATAGCTCTTGGTATTTTAGAATCCCTAAGGAGATTGAAGTCTCCCGCAGGCACTGCAGTCATTATTATTCCTGGTGGGAATATAGGAGTCATATTATACAGATATTTACATTATATTTGTAAAATCAAATAAACGAAAAACAGGCCCTGAGAAAATAAATAAGTTTTCCTAGGTGAGGCACTGAGAAAGTAGAATAGAGTTAATACCTAAATGTGAAAATGGTGTTTGTTGGTCCTGGCAAAGTGAGAAAACATGGTGAAGCTTACTAATGTGTACTTAAGGCTAACTACTAGCAACATTAAAAATAAAACCACCTGCGGGGCACAATAGCTCATGCCTGTAATCCCAGCACTTTGGGAGGCCGAGGCGGGCAGATTGAGGTCAGGAGTTCGAGACTAGCCTGGCCAAAATGGTGAAACCCTGTCTCTACCAAAAATACAAAAATTAGCTGGGTGTGGTGGTGGCAGGCGCCTGTAATCCCAGCTATTCAGGAGGCTGAGGCTGGCGAATCGCTTGAACTAGGGAGGCAGAGGTTGTAGTGAGCCGAGATGGTGCCACTGCACTCCAGCCTGGGTGACACAGTGAGACTCTGTCTCAAAAAAAAAATAAAATAAAAAAAATAAAACTACCCAGGCAAAACAACAAAGGCCCATCAAAAGGTGACTGAGGGTATTGGCCATTCTTTACTTTAAAAATAATTATTATATTACAAACATTAATATATGAAAGTGTCATTGTTGTAAAATATTGGGTAACAAAAGTGAATACATTCTAAAGTGACTGAATTTTAAACACTGATTACTGACTACAACTTTTTTCTTTTTCCACATGACCTGATAGGAGGACTATTCATCCCTACCCTACCCTGCCCCTAACTTCAGACAAGAGTGATGTTTTCCTTCTCTGAATTCTCAGGAACTTACACTATTTTAATGGAGTTTTTTTTTTAATGTTGCCTTATATTATGCACTTAGTTTTGCCTCTTCTATTTCCTGTGGAACAGTAGATTTCTTAAAGGTAATGTCAGGCTCATGTTCCTTTTTGAATCCCCAAAGAATGAGTCAAATGGCTTGCCCATAGTTAGCACTCAATAAGTGGTTGTTGAGAAAATGAATGAATGAAAAATGAAAATATTTCACCAAAATTGATATAGTGAAATATCAATGAAATGACCACCAAGTTACAGTGAAATCACAATAAAATTACAAAGAAAATGTGGCACCAACTGACATGCCCTTTCATTTTCTCATAATGGAACATAGAATAGATTGTAAATAAATATGCACCCATCTTACCATGAGTCTTAATTTTTTTTGTATTTTAAAAACAAGATCTAATTACACATATAGACCATCCTAGGTTCCGTGTATCATACGAAGACTCATCATAGCAAGGCCTACACTTGCCAGAAAAATTATAGCATATCCAGCTGTAATTGAATTTCAGATAAACAATATATAATGTTTTATAGAAATAACTCTTTAGTATATGAATGTCCTAAATATTTCATGGACCATATTTATATTAAAAATTATTTACATTGAATATTAGATATTATTTGTCTGAAATTCAAATTTACTTATGCTAAACAATTATATTTGATCTGAAATTCACATTCAACTCTGCATCCTGCATTTTTATTTGTTAGATCTAGCAATGATATGGTTTGGCTGTGTCCCCACCCAAATCTCATCTTGAATTATAGCTCCCATAATTCCCACGTGTTGTGGGAGGGACCCAGTGGGAGATAATTGACTCATAGGGGCAGTTTCCCCCATACTGTTCTCGTGGTAGTGAATAAGTCTCATGAGATCTGATGGTTTTATAAGAGGTTTCGCCTTTCACCTGGCTCTTGTTCTCTCTTCCCTGTTGCTACGTAAGACGTGCCTTTCGCCTTCCACCACGATTGTGAGGCCTCCCCAGCCGTGTGGAACTGTGAGTCCAGTAAACCTTTTTTTCTTTATAAATTACCCAGTCTCAGGTATGTCTTTATCAGCAGCATGAAGAAGGACTAATACAAGCAATCTTAGTAGTAATCAAAAAATCAAACGAGAACCAAATAGAACACCCGTGCCACAGATAGAGCACTGTGAAACTCCTCGCTTGCTTACATCTGACCAAAGGTCTGCATTTGTTGTGTGCTATTCCTGAAGACAACAACACAAGCCTTACACTTTTTCCAGAGCTGCGCTGATGTGGTGCACTGAAAGCTCTGCAATAAGCATTATCTGCCTTGCTGCGCTTTTCTTTCTAAAGATCCTTATAAGGAGTTATTTTAAATAGGACTGGTGAGGAGGAACCAGATGTTTCAATTGAATAAAATGTTAATTTCTGACCAAAGTCCTAGATTTCACAATCTGACAGCAATAAGGCAGACCTTTTCTTAGTAGGAGTTTCAGAAGGGACAGGGTTAGGAGACAATCTCTGTAGGATGGAGAGGAGGAAAACACAAATCTGGAGAAGGCGTTGGAGGGAAGATCAGGAAGGCTCTATAGGGCCTGGGTGCCAGTCATTGTTCTACTTAGTTGTTACATGACTTTAGGAAGTCACTGATGCTCTTGTAGCTTCAATTTTGTCACTTGTAAAGTAACAAAACTAACTGTTTCTATCCTTCAGGATAGTTATGAGGATATTCAATGAGTTTGCTCTTTATTGGCATATGGTAAGTATTCAGTCAATGGTGTGCATGATGATTTCTATTTGTGTTGATGCAACAGCTTGAGCAAACACTTCTGGGATGTTCAACTTCCCTTTCTGGAGGTTAAGATAACTTATGTTTACCTTCATTTCCCTTAATTTCAGTGGTTCAGTGCCTTCTACTCTACTGTTTTTTGGCCATTACAGCACCCAGTTCTTTGTTTGCAGCCTGACTCTAATCAGGAAAGCACCAAACAATAGTGAAAGGGTCCCAATCAGTAGAGAGGAATTTTAGGGGTAGGGGAGGAAATAAGGGCAAAACCAAAGCAGAGATTACAAATTCAAACTAAAACATGGATGCTTGAGATTTTAGAGAAAAGATCATTTGATTTCTGGAAGTCATATGCATTAAAAACTAACCACTTGTACAACAAAGCTGAGTGTTCTCTTCCTCCTCTCACTTGTCACAAATATGACCTACCTAAAAAAGCTTGAAAGACTAATGCAAGTAGCTTCTCTTCTAGAACAATGGATAGCAAATTTCTGCATTTGAGTAAACTACGGGTACTACAGAACACTATACAAAGAAACTTTAAGCTTTCTTTCACATTTTGGCCAATACATCCTTAAGGAAACATTGCAAGTAGAGAAGTTTCATTTCTTCTTTCTTTTATTCTTACATTCTTTCTTTCTTTCTTTTTTTTTTTTTGTTCATAATAGGTTCACCTTCTACCCTCTAATCACTACCTTTTCAGATAATCAAAGGGCTCCCTTGGCCTTCTCTGATGTAGGATTCATTTGAACAAGACACTAAGGATTCTTTGTTTTGCTAGATTCCTATGTCCATTAGGGTTCAATGGAGCCTTTGCCAGCAGACAATAGACTTGATCTGTGGCCTTTCTGCTTGGCTAACTGCTCCTAGAATGCTAACACTGAAAGGCACTAGAGGAGATTCATATTACCAAAAGCGAATTAGCAACAAAAGATCCAACGAAAGGGTTGCACAAACCAGGGTGATTTTCTGCCATGGATCTATTGATCGTTCTCCTTTCTGTAATCTTTCTACAGAAAAAGCAATTGGCTTTGCCTAACCACCGTACTGCCTACTGATAGTATTGTGAACCAAAAGATGCTCTGAATGTTGTCTCTCTTAAGAATGATTATCTTAAAGTCTGCTTTCTCCTTACTGACTCTAATGAGTTCTCTAATAGCATTGCTTTCATTACGCTCCTTTTGTTCTGCCACAGAGAAATGAATTTAAACAACAGCTGTTCAAGAGCTGTGGCATTTATCGATTGGATAAACACAAGTCTGAGATTTGGTTGCGTTCCTCTGAAGCCTGCCAGTTCTCTTTTTTGCTTATCGGTTAGCCTGTTTTGACTCCCACCTGCTGGAGGGTAATCTTGCAGTTCTGATCTTAGAGGGGGTTTCCCTTTTCTTTGGGTCTTTATTTCTGAAGGCTCCTGTACCACATAAAAGTTTCTTCCTTTAGGAATGAAAGGGGCTGTAGAAACTTGCCTAGCATATTCCTGAATCTCCTTGTTATACATTTCCAAAAGTGTCTGCAGATGCTTATAGGGTCCATTTATGGATGAGTAACAACATACATGAAATTAGAATTATTCTACTTTTCTAGAGAATGTGGACAGTTCCATGCAAATAATGAACCAAATTCATTAAAAGCTGGTGAATTTTGTGGTTACACATCACAAGAACCATAATATTTTTAGATCAAACGTAACAAATATTGGCATTTAACGAGATTTGCAAGTAAGTTTGTGTCTGTTTCAAAGGAATTACTCGCTTTGGAAACATGAGATTGTGCTTTTTCACCACCTAGAGATAAAAGCACCTGCTGGAATTGCACCATAAAAGTAATTCTCAGCACTCATTGCAGGTTAGGATTATCTGATATTTTAGAAAATTACAAATCACCAGGCTTTGAGCCCCATCTCTTGAAATTCTGATTTAGTTAGTCTTAGGTAGGGCCTGGATGCTGATACATGTTTAAAGGTCATTAGGTAATCTTATCATGGAGCCAGGGGTAAGAACCACTAGAGCTTTGGCTATACATTAGAATCACCAATAGAACCTTCTAAACATACCAGCATCTTGGTTCCACCCAAACCAAGTGAAACTAATGGGGTTCAGGACATGCTACCCCTAAATATGGAACGTTGGTATTTGAGAAAGCAGTAGAAGCAGGAAGGTCTTTTTGTCCTCTCTCCCTTCTACCCTGAAGAGGCTATAGAAGAATTATCTGACTTTCCTCTGAAGAAGGTCACAAGACTGTGATGGGAGTGGGGTCCACTCTATACCTGAAGGAAAGAATTGTCCTTAGCTTTGAAGACACAGGGAGGAACACAGAAAAGAATCTGAACAATCAGGCCTTGCTAAATTCTCCCGGTTTATTACCACTACATCAAACTTCCTTTATCCAAACCTCTTTCTCCACAACTATCTACTTCTTTGTGAAACTTAGAATAAAAATACACCGGTTTCCCTTTCCTTTGAGTCTTTATTTCTGAAGGCTCCTGCACCACATAAAATTTGTATTAAATGAATTTCATATTTTCTTGTTAGTCTGTCTTTTGTTACAGGGGCCTCAGCCATGAGCCTAGCAATGGGCGAAAAAAAAAAAAAAGGTATTTCTTTTCCCCTACAAAACCAAATCACTGAGGCATGAGCCTGGTCAACTGATTTTTTTTTAAAGTTCTCAAGTGTTTTGATGTACAGTGAGAATGGAAGTCCACTCTTGTAGGAATATAATGCACAGATAGATTTTGATTCAATGTTAGAAGGAATGTTTTTACAACTGAGAACTTACCCAAAATATAATGGTTTGATTGATGATTTTATGAGCTTCTTAGCAGTGTACTTGACATTGATGAAACTGGACAAACACTGACTAGCGGTTTTTGCATTGCATAAGGATATAGTTCAAAATATTTTTCAAATTTAGGACGTCAGGGCCACTACTAGTGTATGCAAGCCTTCAGGCAAATTTTTTTGGTAGGACTTTGTCTATATAAACTTTTATTTTTGAAGTATATTATAAAATGCATGACTATGTAAATTCACTGGGTATAGAGATTTATTGATGATGATAAAAAACAATGGGTAGGAAAGAAGTATTTATATATCTGTTTATTATCCATCTAGTGCAGGTGAAGTTTTCAGGGACCATTTCTTCATACACTTTATTGTCAAGTACATCGCCTCTTGGCTAATATCACATCTCCTACCATGAGCAAAGGGTGGTAATGCTGCTATTTCTCAAAATGCCATGGTTCTTTAGGACTTGTCTGTATTGAAGCGGCACAGATCTTGTGTTCATAGTTGTTTCATAGTTCCCTGATACAATTTACTTAATGTCGGTCACATTATTACTCATGATGCAGCATCATCCCTTATGCCACCTGGGAATTTTGGCTTCCTGTGTATGACTCTGATAAATAAAAGTTCCTACTGTGTTTCATTCAAGATGAACACAAAGGCAAGTCTTACCTCATGTATGCAGAAAAAAATGAACAATAGTTTTTCTGATCATGTAAAATTTACCATTCAGAATATTATAGTGTAATCATAGGACACACATGTTTTAGCATCTTCTAACTACTCTTGTACTCCGTAATCACTGCATTCCTGAATGTGAACTGCCATCCATATACCACCAGTAGGGTCCACAAGTCAGAGACCATGGGCAGAGTGAGAAGAGTAATCCCACGGAGTTAGAAATGCTCCTTCCTCCTCTAGCACATCTTTGAAAGTCTGTATAGAAACAACCATTGTGTGTCAGAAACAAGATAAAATTATGGATTAAAAAAGTCCTTAGAAGCCCTGGGAGAAGACAACTGCAGCCACCCCTAAGACTGCCTGACATGTGACATGGAGCCTGTATAGCAGTTGGGGGACCCGGGTGCCAGCCGCAGCAGCACACTGGGTAAAGGATGCCTATGGTCACATTGCCACACCCAGGTGCTGTAGACTGGAGGCAACATGGAGATCAGAATATGGATAGGCCAGAATCACACACGGGTCTACACACACGGCTCAAGTTTGGCTGGGAATTCATAGCCCAGGGTCTTGACTTGGCCTGAATCTGACATGATTGTGGTTTCCCCCAAATCAGCATGGAAGCACTGTTTTTGTGGTCCATTCTCACGCAATCTTGTGAAAGAAATCACAGGCCAGAGACCCAGAGCGATATGCTTGGCAACCTGCCTTTCTGGAATCTGGTCCTGTCTCAGGGATAAACCCAGAGATGTCAGTGTTTGAGCTCCTCAGGGCATCTGGTCAACCCAATGTGTAGGGGAGAGGTTTGGAGAGTGCCCAGAGAAAGTCCAAAATCCAGGACTGAGGTCCATGTGTGTCCTGTTGCAGACTCTGGGCACCCCATTCACATGGCACTGCTGGCTCTGGCTGGCCCCAAGCACCTGAGGGGTCATTAAGTGTGGGGCCCTGCCCAGTTGCCTATATCTAAGGGTAGTTCTGTTGGCCCACTACAGAATTCTGTGTCTCAATGATACATGGATTATTTATGTGTGATAGTGAAGTTGATCAGAGAATCCTAAGAGGATGCATGAATTTTTCTTTGTTTCCAATTCTCCAAAAAGAGAGGGTTAAAAAAAATCTGATTTTTATATACAACAACCACCCAGTTTTCCACCTTTGAAATTGAATTTTATAAAGCCAATGCAACCTCAGCTTTTTGAATAGCAACTCCTTATTTATGTCATATAGAAAATAAAAACCACATTTTGTGGTTCGTTTTGGTTACAGTGACAAAATACAGATTACATGATAGAAGTATATTCTCCTTGGTGGTTTGTAGTGGTGGCTTACTAGAATTAAAACTATAAAGGATCAAGAGA
The DNA here is from genome assembly GCF_000001405.40 of Homo sapiens. NCBI lineage: Eukaryota > Metazoa > Chordata > Mammalia > Primates > Hominidae > Homo > Homo sapiens. The sequence goes on along the minus strand of NC_000018.10, from coordinate 27,657,933 downwards.
AATAATTCAACGTGTAGCTATTTTAATAAACTTCATAACTGTAAAATTATGGTTGTGTATAAAAAAACCTTCTTCCTTGTTAACAGAATAACACATTGGGTGATATCTTAATCTTATTCTTTCCTTAGACTTATTGATTGCCTAGATATCATGCTCTGATATTTAAAAATTTGAAAGTACTAAAGCAAACTCCCAGAAGTAATAATTTCATAGTTAATCTGAATCCTCCTACAGTTCATCGAATCATTATTTGATCAAATCTAACTCTTACAGAGTTATTGTCTCATAGGAGTAAAAATATTAATGATTTGCCTTTCAAAGTGAACTCACTTATTAATGAATCACACCTGCTGGTAAGAAGCAGTCTCTCATTGATATCTGTGGTATTTCTCCTTTGTTTTATTTTTTCTCTAAAGTCATTTATAAATAATATGTAATACTGTTTCACAACAGAGGGACACTTAGAACAAAGATGATGGGGAGTGACTTAAAACTCAATGAGCAATTATTAAAACAAAATAGATAATAGATATTGGGAAAACATTTGCCAATCTGCATTTAAATTCAGGCTCAAAAATGTAGCAGGAGCAAATAAAACTCATGAATCAAAGGAAGGTGCACATGAATTGGAAAAGGACTGAATAGGGGCTATTAGGCATTTCACATGCATTATCGAAATTACTTGCTCTAGTTTCAACCTAAGTATATTTCACTTTAAAGAACAAACAACTTAAATCAATAAATATTCATTAGTGCCTACTACATTTAGACAAGGCAGTAAGCTGAGTTAGAGGATATCAAAATGAGCTAGTCATACCTAATTTATTTAACTGAATTGACTAAAGAGTTTACTTAATCACTAAAACGTCTGTCTAGACTTCAGATGATTAGCTTTTAAAACAACTTAAGAAAACTTCAATATTTGGACCAACATGGTTATGATTAGACAAAAGTATTTGCCATTTTTATCAATATTTTCTTAACACTTAAGACACTTAGGAAAACATGCTTAACGTGTAAGGACAGAAATTGGCTGTCATTCTAGAAAATATGATGTATGTGATTTTTCTAAAAGGATGAAAGAAATGCTTTACAGAAACTAAAATTCACTTTGGGTTCATGCTGTGCCTAAAAGAAAAGAGGATTGTAAAAAATTTAAAACATATATATATGGATGGCATTCATTTCAAAATTTTCACTGTATTATATTTGTCTCTCTCAAAATGTAATAACTGAATGAAATTTTCTGTTAAGAACAAACATAGCCTTGTAGTCACACCAACGGCATTAGAGAAATATGCAAACACCTTAGGGAAGCCACAGAAACGTGTGATTCAGTGGAGGGCACTAAATGATTAATCAGCTCAGCTGTGTTGTCTTTAAATTATGTCATCCACTTTTGTGAGTGCTCAAAGGGAATGCGATCCAAGTCTGGGACATTTTGTCACATAACAGGAGCTGAACAATAACACTTTTGTAGGATATGTTTTACTTAAGTTCTTATCACATTATTTAAACAGAGGAAAAAAATGTAAGCCTTGAAAGAATTAAGTGGCATTTCAAAGTAATTAACTATAGTGGCACCTACAACTCACCAGGCTCTGATTTGGAAGGCGTGTGAACACCATGCCAGGGAATCCTGACAACTAAGCAAAAGAGGATCATCCGCATTTTACAAAGGAGGAAACTGAAATTCAAAAAATATATGGATTTGCCCCAAATTCTACAGCTAATACATGACAGAGCCAATAAGTGAATTCTCATCTACCTGGTTGTCATAAGCAAGAAAGAGGTTTGGATGAAGTTGAGCAGTAGTTATAATTTACAAGCCTTATCTGAGATATTTGGATTCACTGGTTAGTCGGTTGATGGAATCATTCATTCAGCAAAATACATTGAGCACCTATTTTACTTCAGAAAAAGGCTAGGGCCCTACAGTGACCCGAAAAACCTTCTCCTCCCAAGAAGGTTAATGTCTAGGGATAATATTTTGTTTCAGCATTAACTTTTTCAGAATTCATACTTTACCAAGGCACTTGGTGGTGAGTACTTCCCTGTAGAAATTATGCTCTTAGCAAAGGAGTTCCTCCAAGCTGTTGGATTCTCATTCCCAGGAAGTAATCAGTAACTATTGCTTTGTGTACTTCTAGAAATGTTCTATGCATATTGAAATATGTAGATAACATGTTTTTACAATTTCAAAATAGTATGCAAAATATCCTATATTTTCTTAAATAGGCAAAGATACAGAGTTTTTGTGGGATTTTATGTGTGTTCGTTTACCTTTTTTGCATTATCAGTTCATTTAACTACTACTGCTTTCTGTGACTCTCCTGTGCTACAGGCCATGCAGGGACTCTGCCAGGGGTTTTGAGAAATAGACTGGGAAGATATCATTTAGGGTCCAGAAGATACCTCCTGTGCTTTGACTGCTCTCATTACTTGATCACAAAACTCCATCCTTGGAATGGTTCTATTCCTTCCAACTCAGTGCTCTAGGCAGCCTCGCTCAATCAATCAATAGAATTTGACACAAGAGAAGAAACCATTTGTCATTTGCAATCCAGATTCTCTTCTCCAGAACTACACATTTTTAAAGCATGTATACAGAATTTACATACAAGTTAGAATTTCATCAGTCCCTTCGAAAAAGAAACAAAGTATTAGTGAGCAGGAGGGTTCAGAAGAAGATAAAATTCAGTTTCAGACATTTAAAAATCTGGGTACTGCTGGTGTCAGAGGTAACATTTTCTACCACAATAATCTAGCTGCAAGCAATATTATGGTCTGGAAAAGAGGAGGAAATAAAAAAGTTACATATTGCAATAGCATGGCCATACCTTTTCCAACAAGAAATATCGAGCACCCAATATATGCAGATACTGAGATTTTTCTGGCTTGAAATGGCTGGTGGCTGTCCTCAGCCTCTCTGGCCCTTTTACTAGACGCATCTGGATGTCCAGCAGGTGACCTGCAGGTAGTGCCTCCTCTAGTGAGCTGTGCTGCCTTAATATAATCTAGTGTCTCCACTTTAGGAGCACTTGCTTTATAAAGCATATTTCCAGGAGAGAACAGGACTGCATTGAACAACACTCAGTACACTCAGTTTTGTTTTTGCTTGCTTGTTTTTGGAAGGTAGCAAACTTTGCAGTATAGCTGTTTAAAGCTAGGGGTACAATCTTATTTTTCATCTTGGAGCAGAAGATTCATTCAGGAAGCAAATGTAGAATGTGGAAGCGACTTTCCATGTTAGACTTTAAAAGTACTTAATATGTTTTTAAAAAGTAGAATAATATTGAGGTCTGGAATGACTTCATGATTATCTAGACGAGGTGCCCAAGGGGCCAGCAATCCTTGGACATGACAAGCATAGCTCTGGGTCTATCTGGCTTTTTCACAGCATGGAAGGAGATGATCTATAACTTTTTTTTCAAATTCTGAAAGAGCCCCTGGCTTAAAAGAAACTCATATACACTCATTGATCTAGTCCAACTTCCTAGAATCACTGGAAGTTTCCCAGGACCTCGTGGCTCACTCACAGCAGAATGTTATATGGTTCCTTGATGTTCGTGTTGATGCCCTTTCTACCACATTGCCTTCTGTGGCTTCTACTAATCTGGTAAAATATAAGTCTTTTTCTTCTACAAACTATTTGTTTTAAAACACCACTATAAAACTGTTTTTTTTTTTTCAAAGACATAAAAGCCTTTCCAGGGAGCTATAAAGGGGTGGGCCTATGGGATTCTTCACCTCCACTTCCAGTAGAGCAGCTGTGCTTTTATCTATTTTATGTATGGTGCTCTGAATAAGATTTTGTCTATTTAAGATTCAATTCTTCTATAATGATAACTATTTCTCAAGGGTTTCTAAAATGATAAAAATGGATTTTGGGCCACAGTGCAGACTGCCCCTTGTAGTCTAAGTGATGGAAGCTTCTTAGAGTTGTGCAATGAACAATTACACAATGGCATGTGATGATCTGAATAAATGATAATACGTCAGAGAATCATTTTCCAAAAGGGTTCAAAATTGACAAACATCTTCCTCAGGTGATTTATCTCAAAACAGACCCTTTAATGTCCTATCTACCCATTTTGTTCTGTGATTTTTATACTGTAAGATGTTTAGTTCACTTGTGTTAGAAAGTTTATCCCTGATGCTTCTCACACTCTCAAAACAGAATTTCTGAAAACATTTATTTATTTAAAATATTTATTTTTATTTTTATGCTCATAAAAATAGAATTTAAGAAAAAAGTACTTGGGAACAGTTTTCTTTAGATATGAAAATTAAGAAAATAGTCTCACAGGAGAATTTTTTTAAGTAAAATGAAACAAAGTGTCCTAATGATTTTTTTTCTTGAATAACCTTTTATGATGACCAAATAATAAATAATAATGATTTGAGAATAGATGATGCTATTCTCTCAATCTGCCTCTCCATCCCCACACTTTGCCTTGTTCTACTGATGTTCATCATTTCTCATATGTCAGCACTAAAGCTAAACAGAGGACACAGGAAGAACTCCTGAGAGACCAAGAAGGCTCTAACATACAATTTATATGAATTTATACTTAACCCCATTAAGCCTTTATTTGTTTTTATATATTTATTTATTTATGTATTATTTGTCTTTCATAAAGTAATAGCAAAATTTAGTAGAACACAGAATAACTTATTTCTTCCTCAGTGGTCCAGCCCATAGCAAGATGGGGTAAAAGAGTTCTGAGTTAATTTGAAATAATAGCTTCTGGCCAAGGAAGAAGCTTTCTAAATCCCTTTGTGTGTTGAAGTGGAAGAAAGAAAAACAGATTCCACAGGACATCTGGGGTTATCTGAGACCTCTCAGAGAAAGCGTTTTGAATACCACCATCATTACATACTTCTGAAACACAATGTATGTGGGATAATACTGTGACTATTTTAATGGAGAAAATTTACCTGAATGGACCAAGCTATATAGCACAGTTGTGACTCAGCAGATATTTACACCACCTATAGTACTCTTGAGGAAATATGGAAACTTTGCAAGATGGGTAAGCAGTTGGTATTGTCAAGTAATTATGAAAGCCCATAGGTAAGTACCTTTCAGAGCTGGCAAGCATCAAATGGTCATTAATCTCTTCTCTGTTGTTTTTCTTTGATGAGCTATCTCAAATCTCATGGGGAAACAGGAAGACAGGCTGGTAAGAATGGTCTCAGTTAGCCGAAGAGTAAGAACAAAAGAGAAAGTAGAATTTGTGCAGTTTTCAATACATTGAGTAACTCTGTAGTTATCTCAAATTCCAAAGCACTCTAAAGGACTGAGGTTAAAATAGAACAGCAATTGTCTTGAGGGTGATGACAGAAACCAGAATAGTCAGGGCTGACTATACTTGGCTCAGAGAAGTGGTGCCAAGTCTGTTCATACACCTGAGAGAGATGTGTTTCTTAAGTGATATTTCTCCAGGGAACCAAGCAAAGTTACAAAAAGAAAGAATATCTACCTGCTATAGGCATGCTTAAGTTAGGAAACTTTTGCACCATAGTTTCAACTTCACTTCCCACTTTTGAAATTGAAATACAGATGGATATGAATCTGGTTTAAAAACTGTTTCATTCATTCATTCATTCAATATTTTCTTTCTTTTGACCGAGTGCTATATTGAAGACCCTGAGGTGGGTGTTGTGGAAATACAAAAATGTGAAAGTTAAAGTACCCATCCTCAGTGAGTTTACAAAATTAGCAACTTGGAGAGGAAAGGGAACATTTGGAAAAGTGAAGAGACCCTAGAATAGGTAACTGTTATAACCAGGAATATGATGGTTAAAATGGGGAGACATAGCCATGAGTTTATTGTAATATGTGGTATCTCATCACAGCTCCTACGGATTTTATGAGCCTGTTTGAAGATGGAGGGTGGGGTATTGAGTAAGGTGTATTTCATCTAGTCCCAAAGTTTGGAGTTATTCTTTTGTTTCCTGAACAAAAAAGACATGATTCTCAATAAAGCTTCAGCTTTTCATCATCTCATGTTTTAAGAAAGGTGAATAAAGTTGAAATGATTTGATACTTATCTTTTCTGACATATCACCTATAAAAACACCAATGTCATCTCTAGTTGGGAGAGCATTCCGTGTAAATGAACAAAGCACAATCACAGTAGTAAAATGAAGCCTATGACAGTCTTATACTATATATCTTATAAGCCCATTCACTTTTTCTTTCAGAATTTATAACAAATAAATAATCTCGTAAATTATAAAGACATTACATGATCCTTTCTTCTATAGAAGTGAGTTTTGGGGATAATAATTTTACAGCAAGACAAAGTTGAAGGATATTAACAAAATAATGAATACATCTTTGGGCTAGAGAAATGAAATTAAAGTTCAGAACAAGAACGAATGGTTGTTTGTAAACATGATCAAACTCAGGGCACCCGACAAGAAGAGCTTACATGGACTTTAATGAGAAGATCATCCACATGGTCTAGTTGGCAGCCATGGAGGAACTTGGGCTCAAACTTAGAGTCTGACTAGAAAGAACCTAGGAATTTAAAGTATTGGTTCTGTGGCAAACAGACTGCCAGTTCTGGGGCTGAAAGAGGTCTTAAGATTGACACAAAGGTTTTTATATTAACTTATTCTATGATTAAACTGAGTGTTTAATCACTGATTTCTGTGATTAAATTATTTCTATTTGTCTATCTATATTTACTTTGCATTTTTAAAGAAAGGTTGAAACCCCTGAAACCAGAACAAATTTTCAAAAAAGAAATATAACAAATATAATGAAAGAAAAACATTTCTGAATAAAAGAGACCTAAACACACACATTAAAAAGTGCTTGCATTTTAGCTTATAAGAATAATGAAAAAAGAGAACCATGCCTGGATGCAGAGCAATACTGTTCTATGGAATTGGAAAGGAAAGAAAAGGAAGAATGAGAAAAAGGAAGAACATCTGGAAAAGTTTCTACAAAGGCACAAAATCAGGTTGTGTTTACAATTCTCTGCAGTTTGAGATATCAGCAAAAATAGAACTATGCAGCTATAGTACTGGGAGGAGAAAAGTTGTACCACAAGAAGTCTGTTTCCAGCAATTTTAGATACGAAGGCAAAGGCAAGACATTCAAGCAATTTTCCTGGAAAACTACTTTAAGATATAGTGTAGCCAAAGAACAGAGGAATTCAAAGTAAAAATTTGGAGTCATAAAATAAATGATTGGGACATTGAAATCAGTTAAAAATAAAATTAGGTTGGCTACTGAAAACAATACTTGAAAAATGCTAAACTGTGTAGCTTATGTGGGGAAATTGTAAGGAAATTGAATTATGTCCTACATGTCTAGATATATATTGGCAGTGAAAAAAATTAGTTTATACTTGACTTTTAGAACAAAGCATACATACTTTTGAAGAACTTAAAGATTCTATCTCATAGAAGTTTTAAAAAACAAACATATGCATATTTCAAAATCCTTAGATAATTCAAGTCTCTAAAAACAAAGCAAAACCACAGTTCATATGACAAAATACAAAATATAAAGAAGCATAAAAGAAGAATAAGAGTATGCAAAACAATTTCAGAATTAAGATTAGATATCAAATATGAATATTATATTAATTAATAGTTTAAAATTGTATAATAAAAGGCAAAGAATTAATAGAATGTATTAGCCAGGGTCTCCAAAGAAACAGAACCAATATAGGTTATATATATATATATATATATAGCAAGAGAGAAAGAGAGAAAGAGATTATAAGGGATTGGCCTATGTGATTATGAAGACTGAGAAGTCCTATGATCAGTTGTCTGGATCATAGGATGAGCTGGATGCCCAGGAAATCTGGTGGTGCAGTTTTAGTCTAAGCTCAAAGGCCCAAGAACTAGGGGAGCTTGATGATGTGGGTCCCAGTTGAAGTCAGAAGGACTCAGAACAAGGAGCCATAGTGTGCAAGGGCAGGAGTAGGTGAATGTTCCCGCAGAAGCAGAGAACAAAGTTAGCCTTCCTCTGCTCTGTTGATTAGGTTTAGGGGTTAGATAATTCCTATAGGGACAAGCACATTTTTAATTGGAATTACTATCATCATTCGAGAGCTGCAGGAGTAGCAGTGTTGCTGAATTTGGGACCTCAGCCGATTAGGTGATGAGTACCTGTTCTGGTGAGGGGATCTTCTTTAGTTAGTCTCTCAATTCAAGTGCTAATTTCTTCCAGAAACACCCTCATTTACACACCCAGAAACAATGTTTTTTCTACCAGTTACCTGGGCATTCCTTAGCCCAGTCAAATTGACACATAAAACTAATCACCATATAGGATAAGCAAATAAACTCTAACCATAGAGTTTGTAATTCTTTACAAGAGACAGACATAGAATGAAATAACATAAAAGCATTAAAATGTAAAAACAGGAAAAGGTTTATTAGGAAATATGAAGAGAATTGTAAATGGACTGGATAGTTGGTTGGTTTCAGTCTGGATAAAAACTAATCACTTTTAAGGAAGTAACCAAGGATCTGTTCCTCTTTAGGGCAAGCTCATTCTTGGGTACAAATAGGTCTGAAGCATGAGAAGGCTGTTTTCTTTGTAAGAATTCTTGGGATAATATTTATTTATTTTGACTATACTTGTAAATCAGGATACTTCCAGATGTATTCTATTGAGTGGAAAGAAGCCTAGAACTGCTGAGAGTTACTAAAAGCTGTCAGTTCATTTCATTCTGGGGATTTTTATATTTAAGGCATATGAATTTTCAAATCCTTATAAATGCATAAATATTTGCATACCCACATACAAGTACATACCCACAATGCACTGGGCACCGCGATGTTAAAAAAAAAAATTAGCCGTAGTGAAATTTTCAGCCTCGTCTCTTGCCTCGCATTCATTCCTGTAAAAGCTACCCTCCCTAATTTAGACAGCTTGAAGAAACTTTGATAGCTTTCCAAGCAGTTTCTCTATAGAGACACAAATGACATATTTTTTTTCTTCTTCCTGCCTATTTCTGTTTTTTAACAGGGACAAATGATTAAAAGCAAAGCAATATCAACACGGAGAACTGAAAACCCAAAGACAAGAAGAAGAAGCATTAATTATCTTTATTAAAAGGGTTTATGAGTTAGATAATCCATACAGAAGTAATTTTTAATTGGAATTATTGTTATCATTCTGGAGCTACAGGAGTAGCAGCATTGCTGAATAAGTGAATTATAATTCTAAATAAACCAACTGGGTCAGATGGACAGGTGCAGCTGACCGTTAATTTCATCCTCAGGGAGGGGGAAAGACAAGGAATTAGAGAAGAAAAAAAAAAGAATAAACAATAAAGGATTGTAGGACTTTTAGTCCCTAGGACAAAAAACTCCCTGACTACTTAATTTTCCAGACCAATAGAGGATGTGCTAAGACTTGAGAAAGTAAATTCTTGTGTCTTTTAAGAAATCTCTTCTTATGAGGATGAAATACTGTTTTATAAATGAGGCTATGTGACTGGTTTTGAGTAGCGTATTTTGAATTAATGCCGGTGTATTGCCTGCATTTTGATTGTTTTTTTTTAATGTGATTGAATTAGATCACCCACCGGTAGTTTTGAGTTACTCTCACTGGCTGAGAAAGAGGTTCGGTGTACTAAATCTATCAACCCCTTTCTCCACCCACTCCCACCCAGTAACACATTTAATAGCCTACAATTCAACCTTCCACATTTTCCTCCACACAGAGGGTTTTCATCGTTAATGGTCTTGTTTTTAAAATGATATATTATACACACTTTTCTGTATTTTGCTTTTCTCACATGAAAATACCCCTTAGACATTTCTGAAAGACAAATTGCTATAGCTCAAATTCATTCTTTTTAATAGCTGCATATTATTCCCTGTGGATACACCAGAATTATTCAAACAGTCTCCTTTGAATAGTTTCACTTTCACTTGGGATTTTCTTTCTAGGAGATTCATTACCAAGAATGAGACTGCTGGCTCAAAAAGGTATACCAATTATTAATTTTATGAAATGTTGCTAGGTTGGTTTCCAGTAAAGCTCCAACACCTCCCATTCCTACTGTACTGTTTTCTCATGTTTCCACCTAATGTATGTGCTCTTAGACTTTTAAGCTTTGCCATTCTGATGATTATAAAAGCATATTTAATTACTTTAGTTGGCATTTGCTTATTAGTGACCATGAGCTTCTTTTCATATGTTTTTGGCCTTCGAGATTTCTTTTTTTTCTGTGCGTAGCTTTAAATATTCCATTACTTTGGTTTTTTGTTTTTTTTTTTTTTGGTCAATACAAGAATACCTTTGTATATTTTAAATATTAGTCCTGTAACTATCTGCTTTGCCATTTTTTCAAAATAACTTATTTATTTTATTGACTTTGCTTTTGATGTTTTGCTCTGTATCTCTGAATTATTCAGCTGAATAAGAATATCTCTAGTTTTTTGTCCATGAATTTTATTTTATTTTTATCTTAAAAATTATCTAGAAATTGTATTTATATGAATTCCAATTTTATTTTCTTCCAGATGGATGACCAATTTTGCCAGTATCATTTACAATTATTTTTATACCTAATGAAAACACTACTTGTTTCATATATTAAACTTAATCAACAAATATATAACATATGGATAATGAGATACGCTTCTGGATTTTTCAGATCAATTTTTATTGTTTATTTCTAATTTCATTGGATTATCATCACAGAAGGAGACCTGTAAAATATCAACTTTTGAACAACTGTTGGGGTTTTCTTTGTGACCAAATATACAGAGCATCTTGTGAATGTTCCAAGAGTAATCAAAAATTATAAATTATCTCTTAGAGAGATGTAAGGTTCTCACTACGTTGCTATAAATCAGCTTTACTAATTGTGTAAGTCAGTTCTTCTAGGTCATTATTTTTAATTTATTGAGAGATGTGTATTGAAATTTCTCATTACAGTACATTATAGTCCTTGCATTCTAATAGTTGTTGCTTTTTATATTTAGTTGGAATGGTATACAAAACACAGCTATTTAGGTATTGATATTTCCTTTATAGGTATCTTTATTGTTACATAACATGTCTCTTGCTATATAATGTCTTTAAGCTGAAATTCCACCTTATATGATATTAATATTATTTGTTCCGCCTTATCTTTTTGTTTGAATTGGTTATGTCTTAGTCCATTCTTTATACTCAAGCTTCTTTTATTACTTCACTTTACATAAATTTCAGATAGGCAGCATATATTTGTATTTTGATTTTAACCTACTTAGAATCTGTTTTTGCATAGGAGAATTCAGTCAATTCACATTTAGTGCAGTAACTGATACTGCTGAGTTAATACCTTCTGTCCTACTGTATTATTTATTTTACATTTTCCTGTCTTTTACAATTTTCTGTATTCTGCTCCTTTGATTATATTTCTGTTTATTTCATTTCTTTCCATTGTAAATTAGAAAGTTCTTTATTACTTTTCTGTTCCATTAATGGTTGTTTTTTATGTTCTTTTAATCTGTCACAAATTTCCCTCCTAATATTTGAAACCTCTTTCATTCATCAAGATGTTCTATTTGCCTCCATTGCTACCTTCACATCCTTGTTTTTTAATGAAATTGTTGCATACTTTTAATTCTAAAAGTATTAAGATATTCAATGAATGAATTAATTTATTAATATTTAATATCTCTATGTCTTTATTTATTTTTCACTTACTACCATGATAATTTTTCTTCCAGTAGGTTCCTTATGTCCTAGAAGGTCATCATCATCTGTTGTACTACTTCATTGCTGGGAGGGTGATTTGGCACTATCTCCTGAGTTTGAGCATCCATTTTACCCATGACTCAGCAATTCCACTTTAGAGGAAATCTCCATGAAAGAGAAAATCTTGCACATTTACAAAGGGAACAAGTACAAAAACGTCCACAGTATTATCTCCAGTTGTAAAAATGGAAACAACTGAAATGCCCATTTTTGAGGGAGTGGATTAATAAATTGTCATTCATGCAATAGAACATTAGCAGTGAAAATGAGTGAATGATAGCAAGAAAGCAATACCAAGGAAAATCATAGCAATACAATATTATAGGAAAATGTGAGTCCCAAAAGGCTGTGGCATGATACCTTTTTGTAACATTAAAAATCTAAAACAAATAAGCAAATGATAATTGTAGAGTATATACAAATGCAACAATTTATTTTTAAAGAAAAGCTAGAAAATGTTGAACACAGAATATTAAGTGATGTGTATCATGGATGGCTGAGCCAAGAGGGCTGTGCTGGCAGAAGACACACGTGAGTAGATGTAAGTTATGCTCAATATAGTAGCTTTTGTTTTGGGGTGGTGAATTAGGAGGTGTTTATTACAGTATTCAAAAAACACTAATTGAATGACTAACTAATAAAAGCAAGCTATGCATGGACCACTGATGTTCATATTATGGCCCAAGAATTATGATTCATCCTATACTGTGCACCTGAGGTCAAATGGGGGAAAATTATTTAAATACATGGTTTATAATTGAAGCATAAATGGAAAAGTTGCTAATTGTACCCTGTTGTGATTGTTAGATAATGCCACTATTTTTCAGGTGAAATATAAACTCTTAGCATCGAAGACTAGAAAAACACCTTTTGTTCAGAGAAGAAGTACTTTTTCCAGATGTAGAACTACTCTTTCGAAATAGCTTGTATTAAAATCTAATACAAAAATCATTTTGGGTGTAATCTGTTTGCATAAGTTCAGAAAGAGTTCATTTCAATTTGATTTTTTTCTTTCTCTCTCTACAAGAAGTTGTTCTTGAGGCTTATATTGTTGAAAATTATAAAACTTACATCTTGCAACCGGAGTTTGCCTACTTTCTTTTTCTTTCTTCTTTTCTACAATTATGGCAGAAATTATGCTTTTTGTTCACTCGGTCTCATCTTTTGCACTTCAGTTAATTGCCCAAGTTTATAGCAAATCATGCTTGATAACATTGGCCACTCACCTTGAATTTCAGCTTTGACTGACTGCTGGTCTCTGAATTCCCTTGTAGTACTTAGAGATTATAAGCCTTTTTAGCAACTGGGTATTTTTATGTACCTTTTTTTATTCAACACTCAACTCACAGTGAATTCCTTGGGTGTTTACAGCATAATAAAAATAAGGAGGTGTTCCAATCAGGGGGATATTGTGTTTGAATAGCCATGTTATTTTCATTTATGTTGAGGAGTTGCACTTATATCACCAGGAGGACTTCTCCTTTGTTGATAGTCATTTTGCTAAATTGCAAGCATTTCTGTATTACAGTTTTAAATTATCCATATTCTTCATGTTTTTTGAAAATTTTATTCCCCAGAAAAGGGTACCTTTTGGCAGTTGTTTTATGTGTTAATCATGTTGATCTCATTGGAAATAATGTGAGATTGTTTATATGACAAAAAGAAGATATTCATATATGTAGTGTTCAAGATCTTGCTTTGGCTACTCAGCTGGTATATACCAGTAGGGCCTTACTGGTTATTAAAATACTGAAATTCTTCTATACTGGTTGTTAAGTGCCTGCTCATTTGAGCCTCTCAAGTACCCCTCAATTTTTCCAGACTTTTCCCCAAGACCCCAGAAACTATTCCCAAACTGCCACCAAATGGTTACTATCTGGCAAACTGGGATTTGGCCTAGCTCTATAGTGATGTGTATATTGTTACAATTCTTATGATAGTAATTACGTCATACTAATTGTTAAAAAAATTTTGACTTTCACCCCTGGATATGCCTCTTTCGTTTTATGAGTAATGGTTCAAACCTTCATAAGAAAACTGAGGACTACTCGCATCTTTAAGAAACAATGTGTAATTAGCAAGGTTAATTTACATGGATGATTATTATTATACCAATGAATGTAATCCCCAAGGCTGACAAATGCATTTTAATGACTTTATTATAAATAATACCTACCCTGCCTCCTACATTATTCAGCAGATTAATGCTCACCTAGTGTAGTGTGGCTTGCCCAAGAAGGAGACACTGATATAAGGGTTCAAATGCAAGCCATTTATTTGGGAGGTACAAGGAACACCAGCAAGGAAAAAGTGATATAGGAAAGGAAGGCATCGCATAAAATACATGTGTGTATCTGAAACTGAAGCTTAGTTCCACAGGAAAACTCTGCGTGGGAATTGCTGAGACACATGCTTCATGTCTATCCCACTAGCGGTGGAGAGGGTTGAGGTATTTACGCACTCACCCTGCCAGTCATTAGCGGAGGGGTGCTCTTGGAGAATATTAATTCCTTGATACCGATGATCTGTGAGCCCTAGAACAGGGCAGCCTTCAGGAGAAATTTTCAGGTACAGAGGGGCCAGTACTGGCATGTGGAAGTCCTGCTTTTTGAAGTGATAAGGCTGACAGATATGGGCTGGGCACTGATAGCAGCTACTATTATTACTGTATTATGATCAGAGTTTGGTTCTATGTTTTGCAGCTCTGAAATCGCTCCTTTAACCCGTCCTCATTGAAGATTCATTTTGTTCTGTTAAAGAACTATGTATTTTAGCCTTTCTGGGGAGAGACAGAATTGAAAAACTTCCTTTTAGAAAAGCCATGTTCCTTAAAATAAAAGGGCTTAGTAAATTTGAAGTGGTTGAGGATTTAACTTGCCTTCCAATTTCAAAATTGCCTCCTGTGTTCATGAGAGGCAGTATTTATTTCCATCTGTTCTGTGCAACTATCAATGTGTTCATTTGGTAGCAGTTTACCTTTATGCTCCCAAACGTTTAAAAATTGAATAATAGGGTAAGGTTTTCTCTTATATATTCCAAATGTGGATGTTCGTACGCAGAAAGGAAGTCATAATGATAAGCCATTTAGAAGTTCAAATCAGGGCCTCAAAGTTCAGGCAAGCCACATGTACAGAGCCAGGATAAGAAGCCGTTCTGGTTTAGCTGATGATAACATAATTTAGAAGACCAAAATAAGTGTGTTCAGTTATATACCCAAAGTATATAATCATTTCAGAAAACCTGGATAATAGAAAACATATGAAGAAGAAAATAAAAATAACTTACCATTTTTCTATTCAAGATAACTACTATCAGTATTTGTCATATTTACTTCCATTCATTGTTTTTTGTTTGTTTTTTGCTTGTTTTGTTTTTTGAGACAGAGTCTTGCTCTGTTGCCCAGGCTGCAGTGCAGTGGTATGATCTCAGCTCACTGCAACCTCTGCCTCCAGGGTTCAAATGATTCTTATGCCTCAGGCTCACGAGTAGCTGGGATAACAGGCATAAGCCATCATGCCTGGCCCTATTCATTGTTTTAATGCTCATTTTATATCAGTAAAATCATATGTGTAAGCACTTGTTTTTTCCATTCTATAACAAAATACATTTTTCTAGGCTACTGGTTCTTAAACTTTATTGTGCCTCAGAATCACCTGCAGGCTTTGTTAAAACAGACTGCTGGGCCTTACCCACAGAACTTCTAATTTGGTAGGTCAGGGGTAGAATCGGAGAATTTGTAAGTTAGAAAATCGAGCAAATTTCCATGGGAGTTTGATGCTGTTGGTCTGAGGAGCATGATTACAGGACCTAGGTTTTTAAACTTTTCATATACTGAAATGAGGGTAATGTTTGGTTTCTTGGTCAAGGCATGAGAACACATATGTGTTTAATTTGTAAAAATTCACCCAGATGTGAATTTTTGATATGTGTACTATATATCAATAAAACCTTAAAGAAAACTTCCAAAACATGATTGTAATGGGTTAGCAATATTTTATCTATGCCTATGCCATAATTTACATAACTATAACCTTAATTTTACTTGTTTCTAATTTTTTTAGGTATTAATCTTTTAGAGAATTTCAAATTATTTTATAGTAATGCAAATCTAGGATAAAAACAAACATGAATATTTCAGCACTGCTGATACATATGCCATAATACTTTTCCCAGAAGTATAATCATTCGTATTTCAAACAACAGTTATGCAATTTGTCTGGTTGCTGAACAAGTGATTGTCTTTTTTGGATGAAGGTAGTATGATAATATTTCTTCATTGTTTAGGTACATTTTAAATACTTAAAGCATAATTAAAATGAATGACTTTCCTATGTGATTTTCTTATGCCATGCCTTCAGAACATGGATCACAGCATTCTCTGAAAAATGTAAGTTCTTTGAAAACTTCCACATAGCTTTTATTTAGGTAAAATCCTTGAGATTAAGCATTTTTTTTTTAATTTTAAAGACTGGCAGCTAATAATGCAATTTCAATAGACCCAATCATTTTTATGTTCTCCAGAGTATTCCTTCTAGTATTGTACTACAGTCAGTAAAGCTGAAAGGTTCTCCTTAACTTCCCTCCTTCCTCATTACAAAGGGAAACCACCATTATGTGAGAATCAGAGCGACTTTGTGCTAGGGCAATGGCGTGGGAGAATAGGGTTATCGAAACTCCTGTAAATAAATGTTAAAATGAATGTGATCCTTGAGTTTAACTTTCATTGAATTATGAGTTTTAAAGACACTCTATACTGAAAAGTAGTCATTAAGGACAATCAGATTTTGTGTTTATCTCTAAATGGGTATTCAAAACATAATGCATTATATTGATCAAGAGCCATTCAAGTAGCCCTTCCTGTGTGTGTGGGTGTGTGTGCATATACATGTACTTTTTCTTAGATTCTTGAACCTAAATATTAATGTAAATGAAAAGAAATTTTCAATACATGCAATTTTTCTGTGTTTAAAGAGCATTACAAACACGGTAATCAAATATTACTATATAACTCATTTTTATACACAATAAAAACTTCTCACAAATATGAAAGGTAGTCAGCTGTTTCCATTTAATAGAATAATTTCCAGTATTTCCCAATATTACCTATTTCTCATAGTGAGATATTTAGGGTAGCACTCTCATACACGTCTGGGCAAGAGGGACTATGGCTAAGTGTAATGTGAAAGTGGAATGTTTAAGAAATAGACACACAGTGGATGCTCAGAAACTTTTTATTTTTATTTTTCAACTTTTATTTTAAGTTCTGGGGTACATGTGCAGGATGCGCAGGTTTGTTACATAGGTAAAGCTGTGATACCGTGGTTTGCTGCAAAGATCAATCCATCCCCTAGGCATTAAGCCCAGCATCAATTTGCTATTCTTTCTGATGCTCTCCCTCCTCCCATCCCATTCACAGGTCCCAGTATGTGTTGTTCCCCATCATGCATCCATGTATTCTCATCCTTCATCTACAACTTATAAGTGAGAACATGTGAGGTTTGGTTTTCTGTTCCTGTGTTATTTTGCTGAGGATAACAGCTTCCGGCTCCATCCATGTCCCTGCAAAGGACATGATCTTGTTCCTTGTTTATGGCTGCATAGTGTTCCATGGTGTATATGTACCACATTTTCTTTATCCAATTATCATTCATGGGAGAAATTTTTGTTGCACAGATACATTATAGCTAAAACTTTATTCTTTAACTGGGGCATGCCTCTGGGTTAGAAGTTAAAAGGCTTGTTGATGGATTGCCGTTGCTGGATTGTTTTCTATATTCTTTGCAAATGTTTTGCAGATAAATAAGGGTAAAATTTGAAGGCAAAGGGGAAAAAAGACAATATAATATGCTCTTCATCCATTTCTTACTTATTTTATCTGGATGTTGGTCCTTTATTGCAAGATCTAAATTTACTTTATTAATAAAAATTGAAAAAAATTTACATAGAGGTGTATAGTTTTTGAGTTATTTTACTCTTCTGTTTTTCTATCCTCAAACTTTTCATTTGCCTTTTTCTTCATTCTTTTCATATTTATAATTTATAATTAAAGTCTGTCTGAATGTACTTCACAGCTGTTATAAGAATATAATAGAATTACAGGCAATAATGAAAAGGTAGTGAGATGTGTTTGAAAGAAGTTCCTTGAGCCATGTATCCTTCCCCTTTGCTCTATAACTACTGGTGTTTTGGGATTTGGGAAAGGTGTTGGATTCAAATTTTGCTATATTCAAAAGTCTGTAAGAAAGAAAAACACGTACTCGTTTTCAAAATTATAATACCAAGGAGGGGAAAGGTATGCAGCAGCAGGATAATATACTGGAGTAGACAACTATAAATTTGGCTTATTAATGACATTTTAAATTTATATGTGAGATTATATCTATGCATTTTACAGATATATAATACATTAAAATATGTATAATATGAATATATAATATTATATATATACCACAGTTCATCTAAAAGTATCACTGAGCACTTCACAGCCAATTACTGGTCTTAAATGTCAGTGAGAGGATGTGTTAATTTTTAAGCAAAACCAAAGTGACTTTCCTATCTGAGCAGCCAATGAAATTCTGTATCTAAGGGATTTTCTTTCCCAAATGCCAAACTGGATATATTTGCATATGTTCTCTCTGATGTATCAAGAAGTTGAAAATTGCACATGACTTTAAAACACTTTAAGAAATTGGTTTTACAATCTGGGTGTTTACCTCTATGTATGATTCCTTATTTTAATTTTTGCTGCTAGGTGATTCTAATGAATAACTAATAAGAATGGATTCCTATTTTTTCTGTTATCTACATATAGGTAAACTTAACACCATTTAATTTGGCACTCAAGTTTATAGATACGATATAAAGTATAATAAGTATTCTTGGACCAAAAACTGTAAACATAACTGAAATTTGGTGTATTAATTAAAGGAATATTATGCTTGAAAATCAAAAAAATCAACTCAATCCTATTATCTCAATTGTGACTCTTAAATTACTGGGAACTTCTCATTAAAATCTATTTCAGAAATTAGGTAGTCATATGTATGTACCTTCCCCCTTGTGATTAACTGATTTACTGATATTCATAAGCAACAATGGCCTCAGTCCTTCTTCACTGTGGGAAACCATTTGTCACTAGGTTAACTCCTTTTGTATTATATTCAAAGAACCACTAAACTTCTGTTTCATCATGTACCTTTTATATAACCAGGAAATTCACTACTTATTCCATATACGTTTCTGAATAAAATCATATTTAAAGTGACAACATTCACATATGAGAAATATGACATCATGTAGCCAGTAACAGTAAGGCATACTGAATTGTTTTGGTGTATTTTAGGGATTATTTGTATAAAATTATATTTTAATTATATGACATATAATAAAAATAGTTAAAATGCTAATAAACACAATTATAATGTTGCATAATTGTTTAACAGTTTATTACTATTACTGCCCAACTTTTAAAAACCAGTCTTTTCCTGCCCAGCCACCCAGACCACTCCATAAAGTGCCAACCAGGAATCTATGAATAGATAATCTTTGAGAAGACCAAAGGATGTATAAGTTCCTAATTAAATGAATGCTTTTGCTAATGTTGGGCAACCAGAGTTTTGTTTTTGTTTTTGTGGTTTTCTAAACAATCATTAAAAAAAGAATCTAAAATAAATCAGAGGGTGGTGATAAGAAAAGAAGTGTCACTACTTGTTTGTCTGCAAATACTGGGTCAGAACACCAAGATATGGAATAGGTAAAATGAGAAGATGTTTTAATTTCATGCCAGATATCTCTGATTTTCCTTCATAAGGCATCAATACCTAAAGAGGTTTCTCCATGCGTGCAATCTTTCACAGTGAAAAATAATATCCTTAAGTTTGGAATTTATATTTTGGCAGAATGTGACAAAGAAAATTCATTCCAAAAATATTTATTAAAAATCCCTTACGTGCCAAGACACTGTAAAGCTAATACTACACAGTGCCCCCTTTCCCATAATTACTATGGCTAAGTGAAAACTGCACTGTTTAATTTCAAGCAGCTTGAAATAGACCTCTTTTTATTTGATGGAATAAAAAGAAAGCTGAATCTTTTTTTAATTTCTGTTTCTAAAGTGTAGTTAGTGTTCAGTGTCCTAACACTTAACCTATAGCTAATCCTTGGATTTAGGAATACAATACATCTTCATTTGACATGGTCACTGTATACCAAGCATTGTTCTAGATGCTATGAAGAGTATGAAAAGAAATGGGGGTTGGGACCTTTTCCCCAAGTGGTATTAATATACTGTCAGAAATATTGTGAACTCAGAACTAAAACCAAACAAAAAAAACAAATGAACGAACAAAATGAAAAGCAACAGGTTTAAAAGGAACAAGTTCTCCCAAGTGTGGTCTTATCGGTATTGAAATATCGGATGACTAAGAAAGATCTTACTGTCTTTACGTCAAAGGATGGTTTATTCGGATCGATAAACCCACACATTTATGGAAATGATTTGCACAGCAAATATGAAAGACAACTTCTTAAACAGTATCTATTGTGTTGATTGTAACTGGTGCATTAAAAACCTCAGAGTGTCCACATCAGTCATTTCTAAAATGTTGCTGTTAAAGAGGAGTTTCAAACTAATGCCTCCTGAGATGGGGTGTGTTTAACCTTGTCTGGAGCTCACGCATACACTCACAGGGAGAGATGTTGCATTTAGGGAACTGCGAGTGAGTCTGTGTTATGGCTGGAAAACCATTTAGAACACAGGTGATTTTTTTCTGAGTCCAGATACTTTCATGCCCTTGTTTTTGAATAAGAAGGAGGGTCGATTGCTTGTTTCTTCCATGGTTTTAGAACTACTCTAACGCTCTTGAGCACTTTATGGATTTTAACAATGATAACATTTTACATTCCTTATGCCAGGATTTCAAAGCATTTTATTAAGAACGTGAGTGCCCTTGCTGGTTGAAGATGAAGAGCAGGTTGATCATGAACTCCACAGAGGCTCTGGTCATTGGTTCACGCTGCTGGCATTCAGGGTTTTATGGTCTCCTGGGCCAGACATATGGCAGCATAATGGTATCATGCTCTCTTTTTTCAACATCTTTTTCCTTGGAGACAATGTGGTCTCCTTTTAGAAAGTGTTTATGAAGCAGGATGAGTCTCTAGCGATGCAAGTTCTTTGTTTATCCGCAGAGCCAGCGGATTGTCTTTCCTCATTATTGTTGGCTTAATGTAAATACATTGTTGAAAGGGCTAAAGAGCTTTGAGACGATGGGCATTTTCCTTTATGAATGCACAGGATACCACGCAGAGCCCCTTGGCCGGCATCCCATCTCTCCCCATGAAGTCTCTTAAAGATGACATGACTTCAGATTTTCTTCCTTCTGTTAGAACTTTGAAGGGTGGAGTGTGAAATCTGGCTTCCCCTACGGCTCTTGTGTGAGTGTGAGTGTTGGCTTCACAAACCATCTCGAAAAAGGGTGTTCGAACAGACTGTACAGATGCTGTGTCTGGCTTTGTGGTGCCAAACAAATTGAGGGTACTCTGCTACCAGGTTTTCTATTTCAAGATGGCTTATATATTTTGGCTGGTTTAATTTTTTTACCAAATATTTTGCTGCTGTTGATA
The DNA here is from genome assembly GCF_000001405.40 of Homo sapiens. NCBI lineage: Eukaryota > Metazoa > Chordata > Mammalia > Primates > Hominidae > Homo > Homo sapiens. The sequence goes on along the minus strand of NC_000018.10, from coordinate 27,636,578 downwards.
ACTGACCTAAACTCTGTGGTCAGTGAGGTGGAAAATGGCTCATATGTTCCTTTCTAGCTAGACAACTCAGATTTGTGAAAGGAGTAAAATCCTCGAGTCATATACCCACACGGCAAACATTTCCAAAAGTGATTTGAATATTTGAAAATATGTGGAACGGATATCTCTGTCTTTGAAATATTTATTTGAATGCAAATTGCTCATTTCTCCTCTCCTGTCCTCCAACAGGAATCCCATGTGCATGAGGCCCCTACCTCCCTGGACCACACCAGCATGAGATGTCTTCCTGTGGCAATGAGGGTCACGTAAGAGCCTGTTTCCAGCTCTGTTCTCTGTAATTCTAGAGATTATAGCCTCATCACTGTTCCCCCTTCTCCTTTCGGATATTTTTAGTAGGTATCTTAAGAATGCTGATGAAGTAGCCCTCGGCAGGCTTGGGACACTTGGCATTTTCCTCTCTTTCTGTGATTTTCTTTCTGGCGTCTTCTCTGTCACAACTGTGGGCCGGTCCAGCTGGCTGCTCTGGCACTGAGTCTCATCTCTGCCTTGGTGATTCCAACAGCAGCCCCAGACAGAGGCTTTTCCCAGGTTCTGATACAGGTGAGCAGTAGGCTGTTCTGACCCAATACCTTATTTGAATGAGTGACTGTTTAAGTTTTTAATAGTTTAGTGGTGTAACACATTCCTAGAGGTCAGACATGTAGTCCATGAGAACTGGAGCAAAACCCAGCAAATTCCCATTACAATCACTCTCTCTTTTGAATCCTAATCTATCCTGCCCTAAACCAAACTTCTTAGAATGAGTTCTTTCCCAGGAGGGACCTGGCTCTCCAAAACTATCTTGATCATGTCTGAAAAGACAGAGGACGTGGTTATCTTGTCAATGGGAACTCCAGCGCCCTTAGCATTATGCCTTCGTTGAGAGGGGAGAGATGAAAAAAAAGCAAAATATATTAAAATTTGAAAAATCTTTTAAAACACTAATTAGTACTAATGTTGCTACATTCTTTAAGCCTCTCTTTATTCTCCTCCTAGACTCTGATTAGTACTCATATCCTAAAATCGGCATTTTGCGGCTGATTTTTTTTTTTACTTTTATTTCAGGTTTAGGGACAGATGTACAGGTTTGTTACACAGGTAGACTTGTGTCGTGGGGGGTTGTTGCACAGATTATTTCATCACCCAGGTATTAAGCCGAGTACTCATTAGTTATTTTTCCCTATCCTCTCCCTCTTTCCATCCTCTCCCCTCAAGTGGGTCCCCGTGTCTGTTGTTTCCTTCTTTGTAGTTAATAAGTTCTTATCATTTAGCTCCCACTTATAAGTGAGAACATGCAGTATTTTGTTTTCTGTTCCTGTGTTAGTTTGCTGAGGATAGTGGCCTCCAGCTCCACCCATGTTCCCGCAAAAGACATGATCTCATTCTTTTTTATGGCTGCACAGTATTCCATGGTGTATATGTACCACGTTTCCTTTATCTAGTCTATTACTGATGGGCATTTAGGTTGATTCCATGTCTCTGCTATTGCAAATAGTGCTGCAGTGAACACACGCATGCATGTGTATGATAAAATGATTTATATTCCTTTGGGTGTACACCCAGTAGTGGGATTGTTGGGTTGAATGGTATTTCTGTCTTTAGGTCTTTGAGAAATCATTGTGGCATTATTTTTAAACATGTTAATTGTTGACTCAAATGGCTGAGCAGTGCAACTACCTTGTCATCGGAATGAAGGGACATAATAGGCATATGAGGCATATGTCTGGGTCTACTGTTGGACTCCACCAAGGCAGAGATGAGACTCAGTGCCAGAGCAGCCAGCTGGACCGGCCCACAGTTGTGACAGAGAAGATGCCAGAAAGAAAAACACATGTTTACAAAAACAGCGGACTGCACACTGCTAAACTATTTGGAAGTGTGACACCATCAAACAAAGTTTTAGATATTCATGGATTCAGATGAAAATTGAAAGAAAGTTCAACTAAAGCCTAGAATAAAATCAGCTATATATTAGCCTCAGAGGAATAATAAATAGATATCAATACAGGAGAGCTCTACATCAGGAGCCTTATTTATTTCTATAGCTACAGTGTTTAAAATAAATACAATAAGAATAACATGAATATAAAGGTATGATTATGATTTATAATTTTTTACAATAAAAGGATATAATTCAGAAGAAAAACATGCTAATCCCCAAAACTATGGGAAGCCTGGCTGTATGAGACATCGGTCACAAGCAGTATACTACTACCCTCTTTATAGCGAATAATTCTAATTATAGACAAAGCCCCCAGGTCAAAATGATCCCAGGAATGTAAGTTTTTAAGCAGAGACTACTCATTCACCAGAATGTGTTCTCACCTTCTTCCAAAATGATAGAAGCCCTGCTCATTTTGCAGCAACATATGCAGGCACTTCAAAAACAAACCCCTGAGGTAAAATCCAACTCCTTAGACAATTTGCTTCAGATCATTGCTAAAAGTATATTTTAAATGTTAGGTAGTGTATATATTATGATTCATACAACTTATAAAGCATTTTATTAAGAAAGATTGGTAGACTCTTCATTAATTGTTATATATTCAAAACCACAATAACTGAAACTGAAATTGTATCATTGTTTCATTCTGGAAGAGGGGAGCAACCATCAGACCCTTAAATCCTTGAAATTTTAAGTTGAAGATAGCCATGAGCACATAATCATGACCACTTCCACTGTTTTAAAATGAAGATATTATGCATGAAATACAAATATTTCTAACATTTAGGGGAAAAATTTTCTTTCTTATGTAAATATTTATCATGTATTTAGTCTATTAAATGATACATGTCAAGGAAACTATTATGAGCTTCAGCAGTCTCAGGGATTATTTTATGTTTACTTGCAGCGTTCCCGATAATCTGACATTTCACCATATACATGGGTTGGAATGTTGACAAAACTGAACCATGTTTAGTCTGGGGTTATAAATGTGGGAAGAAGGGGAAAGGTGAGGCTGGAAGGTAAAGCCCCTCCCGTGCCTTCTGTTCTCATCCCCACTCTGAGAAGATGACTTCATCATCAGAAAAGTCATTCCCTCAACTCTTTGAAACCCCATCTACCACTTTATTTTCTTCATCCCCCATCCTTGACCCCTTCCTTCAAACTCTGGAGGGCAACTTGTCTTTTATAATCCAAGGTTAATCCTCCACACAATGTATTTATTATCCTTCCTTGCCTTTTCCAGGTCCTTGTTGTGTCTCTTTTACCTTCTTTCCCTCTCCCTTGGCTCAGTCCTTTCAGCTGATAAATGTGTTTATGTCTCTCCCTATTTACAAAAAAAAAAAAAAAACAAATTTTTCCAACCCCACGTGGTGCTCTCACATTGCTATCATCTCTCTCTCTGGCTCATTACAGTCAAGTGACTTGACAACGTAATCTATACACACTGTTTTCAATTGCTGACCTACCATTTTCTCCTAATCTTCTTCCCACCCACCAAAAGTGCTCTTGACAAATCGATCACTGAAAATCTCAGAAAGGCTCAGTCCAGTAGGTACTTTTCTGTCATTATTTACTGTCATTATTTTACATTATTCTCTACTTCATTTAGTATTGTTAAATTCCTTTTCCTTGAAACTCTCATGATTTCTATGACTTCCCATTTTCTCTCTTGCTTCTCCTGATACTCTCTCACTGGAAATATTTTCCTCTATTTTGCCCATAAATGGTAGATTTCTCTGGGATTCTGTCCTTCACCTGATCTTTTCTTTCTCTGCACTCTCCATGGGAAATCTTACTACCCCTTATAACTTTATCTCCTGTCTTGTCTTTCAAATATCTTTCTCCAGCCAATCTAGGCAATGTTGATAACTCCATGGCCCAATCTGTCCATTTGGAGCTCCCAGGGGCACCTCTAGCTCAACATGTATGAGAGTGGACTTATCACCACCCAGCCTCCTTATTCTCCTCTATTCCCTCTCTTCGTGTATGGCACCACTGTGTCTTTCTTGACATTTCCCAAACAAACAGGATCTGCTTTCTCATTTCCATGCTTTTACACATGCTAGTCCACCTGCCAGGAATATTTTCCTAGTCTATTTCACTTAAGTAGCACTATTTGTCATTAAGATCTCAGCTAAAAGAAATCTTTTTTGTCAAATCTCAAGTCTGGGCTAGAAACCCCTACTGCATACTTTTCATGACCCTGTTTACTTGTCTATAACCCTACTAGGCTTTGAGTTCCTTGAGGCCTGGGAGTGTGTCTTGTTTATTGTTGTATTATCAGAGCCAGGGACATAGAACAGGTTTTATTGTCTTATACCTGTATAGTATATGTATTTATTAACATTATATATGTATAAATAAAATATATAACATATTTTTATTAACATATAAACATCTAAAACATAGAAAATGTTATATATCTAACACAGAACATGTTATATATATAACATAATATTAATATATATACACACACATACATGCCATACACACATACACACACACACGTTCTGAATGACTGAATGAAACTAGAATCCCGGAAATCATCCTAGACCTCTTCTTGTTTTTCTTATAATGTACCAGTTTCTAAGGATTCAATTTCCTGGATATCTATGAAATCAATCCTTTTGCCTTCTTCCCCTAACTTGATTTCTCATCTATTAATTGTAATGGTCTTCTACTTGTCTGCCTGCCACTATCATATTCCTCTCAAATTCTTCACATATGTTTGCCCCAGAATTATATTGCTAAAATGTAAATTTGGTCCTGTCACTTACCTACTCAAAATCCTTCCATGGCTCCCCAACTATCATGTATGTCAAATGACGAAGCACAACATACAAGGCGTTTCGTGCTTTGGCCCTTGCTACATTTCCACATCTATTTCCCACTTCCCATACATGCACACTACATTTACTTCTGCCAAACTTGTCCTAGTTCCCCGAATGTGTCATATTTACTCCCTTGTGGCTTAGTACAAAATCTTCCTTCTGCTTATACCACCCAGTTCAAAAGTTAACCTTTAAAACTTGGCTGGGGTTTCACTTTCTTTGGAAGGACTTTCTTGTCGCCTTTAGACCAGGTGAGGTGCCCTGTCCTCTGTGTCTTCATAAAATTTTCTGCATAATTTTTTATTTGAATATGGGCTAGAAACTCCAAAGAGTTCTTGGAACTGTCACATATGTACTTTTCAAAGCTGGAAATCCTGATGCTACTCGATAGCAATTTTATATTTCCAACGAAATCCTTTTTCCTTTGAGATTTTTTATTTTTAAGTCTTAATATTAAAATCTCCTCACATTTTTCAGGGCTGTTACCTATCACTGTAGACTGAATGCTTTCAGTCTGCTGAATGCTAACTGTTATGGTAGAACAAAGATCTAGCACTTCTCCCTGGAGTATATCACTGTGTTTCCTCTATAAACATACTCAGCTCTCATAGCTGTACTCTTCTGGGCACTTCTTTCCTTATGTGTTCTTTTGAGGTTGTATTTTTGTGCCTACCCAGGAGGGAGAGAGCTGGTGCAGCATGGCAGTGTTGGTAGCTGCTGGGAGAAACAGAAGAGTTTCTTTACTGAGCAGCTGTTCTAGGGAGCACCTCCAGCCACGTGTGGGAACTCTGATCTGATAGGCTTTATTTTAGTGCAAAAAAGTACAACTGTGCAGCAGACCTCACCTCACCTCACTCCACCCGTTCATTTACTTAGTTCCCAAATAATTATGGCACTTGTTAAGTGCTGAGGATACTCAAATGAATGAGGCAGAGCTCTTTCCCCCTGAACACTCACAGATTAGCGAACAGATAAGTAAAAAATGCATGCAGTAAAGGTCAGTATTAGACAAGAAAGATTCCTCAAAGTCGAGCCCGATCAATTGTAGCTGGTGGAGAGAGTCAGGAATGAAAGATGATGGCTTTGGTTTTGGCCACATTGAGTTTGAAGTGCTTGTGTGACATTCAGGTGGAGCTGTTGCATAGGCAAGCGGCATTACAGGTATGACACTCCGGAGATGGTCTCATCCTGATAACATAGATTTGAGATTTACCAGGTGAAAGAAGATATTTGAAGATCTGTAAAAACTGATAGGAAAAGGTCAATGGCAGCAATATTTGAGATTTTAGATGGGAAAAAAAAGGAGCCAGTAAAAAAGAGGAGCAATACTCAGGGATTTCAGAAACAGCTTAAAATGGGGATGACATTTCCGAAGTAAAAGACAGAGATTTAAGAAGAAAGGTGTGGTCACCAGTCAGGTGTCACCAAGGGATCAATAATAGGACATTGAGAAGAGTGCATTGGTTTTAGCATTGAGGAGGGAATTGGAGAGCCAAGGCAAGGTAGAAAAGTTTAAGTGGTGAACACAGAGTGTCTTTCAAGGATCGTGGCTATGAAGGGAAGAAGAGCAATACAAGAGAAGCCGGGAGAAATATGCCTAATGAAAATACCCGTTATATTTTAAAGACAGAAAATACATCAGAATGTATACATGCCGAGGAGAAACCAGTAGAGTGGAAGAGACTAAAGATTCACCAGAGAGAGGAAAGAACTGATAGAACAAAATCCCAGAGAAGAGAAGATGGTTTCATGCTCCCCACACATGAGATTGGGCAAGGGAGCAATTCAAATGGATGCACAGGTGCTCGCAATCACTCTGGCAATATGAATGTCATTAGGAAACCCATCTAGCCCCTTTCAATAGTATATTCCATAAAGACTTGGGCAAAAGTGATGAATTTATTTTTTAGTCACATTAGCAAATAAGACAAACGTTCCCGAGTGCCACAGAAGTATTTCCAAATATTCATTTTTTTAACTAGAACAAATCTCTTTGGTTCTCTCTGGTACTGCCAAGATCACTTAACTGCTGCATTGAGAATGTTCAACCTCCCTCACTTCACTGATCATCCAAAATGAGCTTCAGCTGCATCTTGAGCAGAGCTGGGACTGTCTTTGCAGTTCTTAAATCAGACTAAAAATTGGGCCATCACCACAGTATTTATTAAGTGTTCAAACCTCTCTGATCTTTTTCTTCAACCGATAACTCATAATTCATTTCTAAACAAATGCCATACAAAATCCAATGATCATAAATAGTTCTGTTCTTTCCTTATTTAAAATAAAATCCATAATAGTTTGGCCAGCTGGCCATCACAGTGCACATTATTTAGTCAAGGGCTGATTTAATTTGAACAAGTATTTTAATAGATCTAGATTGTGGTAAATAACTGCATTCTAAATTGAGCAGCGTACCATACTCTTACGCACAAATAATATTGAAATAGGAAGTGAAGATTATTGATATTAATATGCCCAACAGAGGATCAAGTTCTCCTTAAAGACAGGCATCTGCGTGTTGCAGAGTCTCGAGATGTCGGAGACTGTTTGGGCAGTTGAAGCTTTAGCTCAAGCTGTTCTTGGAGCTGAAAGAGTGCTTTGCTAGCTTTAAGTCCAGATGTGTCTCTTTCTGAAACTCTGTCTTTGAAATTCTCAAAATGGGTGAGATGTTCCTCCTTTGATCTCATGTATCACTTACATACACAGACAGCTACAATGAATTTGCTGCATTTCTTGTCTGCAATGCTCAACTAGACTGTGTCGTTAATTTTTCCACCCCCTGGTTTTTGCCCAGGCTCCAGCTTCTAGTATTTAATAAAAGATCTGGAATGATGAAATGAAACAATGAATGTATCTAAATCTTGTTGATTTGGATTTGGAAAGTTACAAAAATACACCTGCCCCATGTGGTGGGGTCTCACTTCCCACTGTGATGTGTTGCTGCTACTTGAGAGCCCCGACTCTCTCAGTGCATTCAATACCGGGAGCTTTTCTATCACCTTGCGTCCTCAGGGAATCTCATATCCTCAGAACACCTGGAGGGATAGTTTCTGGCTGTCAGTTTAGTGGGTAATTTTCTCTTCCTTTTTCAAATTTTCATAGCTTTTTCATGATTTTTTTTCTTCCGTAGCATTTACCACAATTTGAGATGTAATGGTGCTATTTTAAAAAATTATCCTATTTCCTTACTGGCTTGTAATCTACTTGAAGGGAGGGACTGCGTTTATTTTATTACCTCCAACAGTGCCTAACACTGTGCTTTGCTTCTAGGTAGTGACTAATAAATATTTGTCATATTGAACATCATCTGTAACTGCCACTTAAATGGGGGAGCAAAATGCTGAGGGACTTTGGCAGAAAGCCATCTGTCCAGGGTTTCCTCAGCTGCTTTTTCCCTCCAGCACTAAGGTTTCTGGTAACGAAGAGGCATCTCACAGCTTCGCAATTGCCTGAAACTGCCACGAAGAGAAGAAATGCAGCACAGTCCCAGAATGGCTTACTTGGGAATATTTCTTTAGAATGCACTGCAACTAGAACTACAGTGGTGGTAGTTTATGGTATGGAAGTGAGGCCAATGGATGCTGCTAATCACCACCAAGTGGTGCCTTCTGGCATCAGCATGCTCCTGAGGCTCTGACAAGGCAAGTGAGGCAGCCCTGTGCTCCTGCTTGGCAAAGGCTGATAATGGCTGAGCTAATGCATATCGCATTTGCCAGCCAGTCATTCACTAAGTAGACCAACGTAGCAGAGAGGGGAAACTCATCCAAATGGGAAGGACCTACAGGGAGAATCAGGTGCTTTATAAACTAATGTATCTTCCTGGGGGAAAATAAATCCCAATACCGCTTAAATAATAGAACTCCATTTACAGCTGAGGTCTCTCGGGGTACCTGGCACAGTATGAGACATGATAAGGTAGGTTTAAATGAAATAAGTGAAAAATATGCAGTGTTGTTATGACAAAACATACTCGTTACAGCCAAATAGATAATCTTATCTGAATGTGTAAGATTAAACAGTCAAATGTCTACCTATATGAAAAAGGGATGGGACAAGGTGCATTCAAAGTCAATGCCAGACATTGCATTTGTCACATTATTTTCGCTAGTATATTTAAAATCTGTATGACATTGCATTCTAAAACAACAATTGAAATTCAGCAATGTTTAAAAGATGGCTTAAAATGCATTATCTTTTCATTTACTGAAAAAAATCAGTCTTCCTGTAAAATTTTTCAACATCCATAGAATTTATAAGAAAGAACAAAATAACCTTTCTATGTATAAGAGGACTAAAAATACAAAGATAAACATATTAACAGCCAATTGTTTATCACACTTAATAAATTAAGGTGTTTAGAGAATTGTAAGCTAGAAAAAATTTCCTGCCGAACTTTAATTTTTAGAAGCATAAAATTGTTTAAGAAATAAAAGTGTGTATATCTGTATCTTAATTTTTAGTTATGTAGAAAAATAGTATTAAAGATAGATAACTTTGAGGCTATGTTCAAGATACAAAGGAAACCTTAAGAGAGAACTACTACAATTAAATTCCAGGATTTAATTAAGGTTGATGATTTCTAGTATAACTGCAGAAATTACACAGAGATCTGTTATTTGTTGAGTTAACAGTAGAAGACAGGCTGGTTAAAAATTTTTCTAAATAAGAATAAATGGTCAGTTTCAAAGTATCACCCATCATATTATTTATTAATTACAAAGAGGGAAAGTACCTTTACAGTAGAGAAATCTGGTGGATACTACGTTAACTATGTGGTAAAACCTACTTCAAAAATGGACAAATGATTACAAATTATCCTGATTGAAGCTATTTAACCTAAGTATAATCATCAGGAAATAATGAAGCAAATCCAAATTGACGAACATTCTTTGAAGCAATAATTTTACATTCTCCAAAGATGTCAGTGACATGAAAAAAGAAAGATGAATGAGTTGCTCCAGATTAAAGGAGAAAAAAATGTGACAACTAATTACAATGTGTGATCCTTGACTGAATCCTAAATCCAAAAAACCAAAAAACTATGAAGGACATTGTTGGGACAGCTAGGGAAGTAGAAATATGGGTTCTAATTTGATGATATTCATGTATTGATGTTAAATACCCTGAATGTGACGATTGAATTATGGTGATAAGGGAGGATGTCTTTGTTTTTACGTGATATAAGCTGAAATTTCATTACAACTACAACTTATTCTCAAGTTAATGAGAGAGAGAGAACAGATAGAAAATGTGGCAACGTGTTAACAATGAATCTAATTTAAAACACGTAAACTTCATATAGTAGTTTATTTTCTGTTGTTTATAACAGAATACTTGAAACTGGGTAAGTTATTTAAAAAGAAATTTACAGTTATGGAGGCTGAGAAGTCCAAGGTCAAGGGGTCACATATGGTGAGAACCTTCTCGCTGGTGGGGCTCTCTGCAGAGTCCCAAGGTGGTCCAGGGCATCCCATGGTGCAGGGTTGAGCATTAAGTGTGCTAGCTCAGGTCTCTTCCTCTTCTTATAAGACCACCAGTCCCAATTCTGCAATAACCTATTAATCCATGAATCCATGGATGAATAAATCCATTCATGAGGGCACTGCCCTCATGATCCAGTCACTTCTTAAAGTCTTTGTCTTTTAATACTGCTGCATTGGGGACTAAGTTTCCAGCACACGCAATTTGTGGGACACATTCAAACCATAGCATATGGAAATCCATTGTTCTATATATTTTTCACTTTTCCATAGGTTTGGCATTTTTTAAAAATATAAAGTTAGAAGAAAAATTAAGCAATGATAGTCAAACCTATGTTTAAAGACAAATCACCAAGGATACTTTTTAAAAATGTAAATTTCTGAGCTCTATCCTCATAAATTGAGTAGGACACAAGTGGCACCCTCTAGGACAAAAGCATGCATAAAAATGTAAGAATTGGAAATGTCAGCTTTCTGCCACATTACTTCCAAATACATTATTATTCTAACTTGGACCTTTATATGAATTTCCTCACCAAGTTACCAATCAGGCTAATAAAGATGAGAAGGTGAATACAAATTTCTGGGCCTGGTGGTCTGGGAGGGATTCTGGTATTCTGATGTTGTGAATGAATGCAAATACCAGATGAAGGTTCTAGCCTATCCACCTTATGGGGTGAGGGTACTTTCCCCGTTTTGCACCTGGGTTCTTAACTGTTTTCAGCAGCCCTGGTTACCAGCCAGTCTCGACTCTGCCTGTCTTCTTGGGAGTATAGTAGAAGAAACTCAGAGGTCAGTACAACAGGCATGTGGATGTTCTTCAGACTGAGCCAAGTATATCTGGATCTGGGTTTTATTAAGCTCTATAACTTTTTTTTTTAATTGAGATATCATTCACATGTCATACAATTCACTCTTACAATGTATACATTTTTTTCTGTAGGTACAGAGTCTAACTCTTTCTTGCACTATACCCCCAGGTTGGAGTAGAGTGGCACGATTATAGCTCACTGCAGCCTCAAACTCCTGGGCTCAAGCGATCCTCCTTCCTCAGCCTCCTCAGGAGCTGGAAGTATAGGTGCCCACCACCACGCCTGGCTAATTTTTAAATTTTTTGTAGAGACAAGGTCTCACTGTGTTCCCCATGCTGGTTGGGAACTCTTGAGCTCAAGCGATCCTCCTGCCTCAGCTTCCCAAAGTGCTGGGATTACAGGTGTGAGCCACCATGCCAGCCCAAAGTATACAATTTTAAAGTAGTTTTTATTATATTTGCAATGTTTTACAGTCATCACCACTATCTAATTCTAGAACATTTTCATCACTTTAAAAAGAAATTCTGTACCTATTAACAATCAAACCGCATTTCCCACTCTCTCCAGCTCCTGGTAATCTTTTTGTCTATGGATTTGTCCATGGATTTACCTGTTGTGGACATTTTACATACATGGAATTATATAATATATAACCTTTTATTCCTGGCCTCTTTCACATAGAATAATGTTTACAAAGTTCATCCATGTTGTAACATATATCAGTATTTTATTATTTTTATAGCTGAATAATATTCATTAGATGAATATAACATATTTTGTTTACCCATTAATCAGTGGATGGACATGTGAGTTTTTTCCACTTTATGGTTATTATGAGTAATGTCACTTGAATATTTATGTACATTTTTTTTGTGGACCTAAGTTTTCATTTCTCTTGGGTATATACCCAGGAACGCAATTGCTAGGTTCTGTGGTAACCCCATGTTTAATTTTTGAGGAACTGCCAAACTGTTTTCCAAGGTGGCTTCACCAGTTTACATTCCCAACAGAAACATATAAGGTTTCCAACTTCACCACATTCTTTCCAACACTTGTCAGTTTCTTTTTAAAAAAAAAAATAATAATAATAATCATCCTAATGAGTGTGAAGTAATATCTTACTGTGGTTTTGATTTGCAGTTCTCTAATGATTACTGATATTGAACATCATTTCATGTGCTTCATCATTTCCTCATTTTTTTTTCTTTTTTTTTAGACAGGGTCTCACTCCCATTGCCCAAGCTAGAGTGTGGTGCGCGGTGGCACAATCGTGGCTCACTGCAGCGTCCGTCGACTTTCTGGGCTCAGGTGATTTTCCTACCTCAGTCTCCTGAGTAGCTTGGACTACAGGCATGTGCCACCACACCCAGCTAATTTTTGTATTTTTTTATGGATACGGGGTTTTGCCAGGTTGCCCAGGCTGATTTTGAACTCCTGTGATCCTCCTGCCTTGGCCTCTCGAAGTGTTGGGATTACAGGTGTGAGCCACTGCACCTGGCCCATTTCCTCATTTTAAAATTAGGTTGTTTTTCGTTATTATTGAGTTTTAGGAGTTGCTTATGCAATCAGAATATTAATCTATATTTTCTTTTTCAATGTTTTCATGTTGTATTTAAGAGGTTATTTCCAAATCCAGTGTTATAAATCCTTTCCCCCAGTGTTTTTTTTTTTTTTTTTTTCTGAGAGTCTTATAGTTTTAATTTCTACATTTAGGGCTTTGATCCATTTTGAGTTCATTTTTGTATATGTTGTAAGGTAAGGGTTCAACTTCATTCTTTTGTATGTGGATATCCAGTTTTCCCAATACCATTTGTTGAAAAGACTGTCCTTTCATTATTGAATGGTCTTGGTACCCTTGTTAGAAATTATTTGACCATATATATGTGTGTTTATTTCTAGACTCTTTATTTTATTCCATTGGTCTTTATATCTGTGTTTATGCCAGTACCACATTATGATTATTTTAGCAAGTAAACAGTGTACAAGTTTTTTGTCCCCTTGGTTAAGTTTATCCATAAGTATTTTATTCTTTTGATGCTATTGTAAACAGTGATGCTATTGTTTTCTTAATTTTCCTTTTGGATTTTTTATTGTTACTGTATAGAAATGCAGTTGCATTTTGTGTGTTGCTTTTGTAGCCTATAACTTTGCTGAATTTATTTATTAGTTCTTATAGGTTTTATGATGATATTTTTAGAGTTTTCTACATATAAGATAATGTCATCTGAGAAAAGATAATTTTACCTTTTTCTTTCCAATTTGGATGCCTAAACATTCATTTTTAAGCCAGGTATTTTTGTAGTAAAGATGAAACAATTGTTTACATATCCATTTCAGCTCTGAAGTTATGCTTAAAATCTTAGGCATAATTGGGAGGCTTTGACATCACTGGCATATTTTAAACAAAAGGACACATTTTAAGTATTCTCTAGTACCTGTTATTTTTATCTTCTCCTCAGATTTGCTTCTTCTGTATGACCAGTCACAAATTTAGGCAATGAAATTTAAAGTGAACTGATTAAACGCCTTTGCAAACAGGACTGGCTTATAAAAGGAAAAGAAAATCTTATTTTACTGCCTGCATTTTCTACTGGCTCTGGGCAGGATCTATATAATTGACTCTTTCACACTGACTGTTGACAATTTGATCAGCTCTTTGTGAGCAACATCAGTGATAGAACCCAAAACAAGTTGGCCTATACGTATTGAACTTGGTAGTGCTATGAAATGTAACTCACATAGAGACTTGTAGCAGTTCAACAGCAAACCCATTAGCAGGCTGAGAAATGAAAAGGCCACAGAGAAAAAAGCCATTTGAGTGATGGGACAAGTTATTCCAGGTCAGCTCCATCTGGAAAATATTCTTTCTCCATCTATAGTCCAGGGTTCTGTAGAAATTTTCCAGGGTAACAGTAGAAACCTGGTAATGGATTTGCACAGCTGCATGAATGTTACATGAGTAACATTCATGTAACTTTTTTTATATAACTTTTACTTATATAAAAATGGACTTTAAGCAGTTAGTACTTTCTGGAATCTCCAGTTTGGGGAAATAAGAAGTAAGAGCAGAAATAGAGGCAAGAACAGCAAACACAAGAGCAATAGATATCCAGGCGTTTAAATTGGTATGGTTGATCCTGAAAAGTTCCTTCCTCTAAGGAATGATCTTTGGATAGGTATAGGGAGAGAATATAAAATCTGTTATTATTTTTGACCCCAAGAAGTGACAAATCGAAACAAGTTTCTTAACCTCAAAATATATCATAAGCAGTGTTGTGTGTCCATGTTATAACTCATTTGCAGGTAAGGTACAGAAGATTTATATTTTAAGAAATTTTGCTTTTTGTAACATAAGAAATAAGGGATTACCTCTACCTTGGTCTGATAGGATTTAACTAATGAATTTCTGAAAGAAAATACTTCTGGCTTGCATTTTCCAAGCACCTCTGACAAAGGGCTTGTTTATTGTAATAATCACTCTATCAGCATAAATTTAAGAAAACTGCTGGAGTAAATTTTATGAAAATGGGCTTCAACCTTTCTTTGGACCCTGTGATTTAAGCTTCCTTTTAACAGGGCAATCTACAAAACCTGCAGCTGAAAAGTGGCATTTTTTCCACCAATCTAAATTCATGTTGAGTATTAAACACTGGTAGAGTCTGAAATGAGGAACAAACAGTCACTTAGGCAGCACATATTGGAGAAATATCCCATAAAGAGGCAACAGTCTGCATTAATCATCTGAGTAGGACAGTCAGTGACCTTTTCTAATAAGAACTGGAGCATCAAAAGTGAACATTAAATTTCACTGCAGCCCTATTTGCTGTATATCTATGGCATACATCACTGCTGAGATGTAAATGTCCTGAGACTTTTGGAATCTGACAATCATACTTCATGGAGAGAGAATGTTCTGAAGAGCACAGAATGCTTGTTCACCCCCAAATTTTGGCAACCTTAGGGCCATTACAGCTTCGTTTCTCTTTCATTATGAAAGCAGAGCAGCTGTTGAGCAAGCAAGGTTAACAAACCTTGGAAAAACATTAAAGTTAATTTGTTTTTAGGGCTTTCGTAAGCCCAGAAGTTGGAAGAAGATTATTTTACATGGACCCATTAGTCTTTCAATAGTCAAATCTGTAGAGCTACTTACAAGATTTACTCTTTGGGTTTTAAGCAGATATTACCAAGGGTGGGCATCTGTTTAACTGGCATTTGGAGTCACTGGGGGCTATGGGTTGGCCTGAAAAGTATTTTGGACTAATGACCTGTAGAGAGACTGGAGAGTCATGAAATCTCAGCTCAACTCCTGACATTTAAAAAGTCTTTGAAATTACTGGTGAGCAGGGTCCATGTTTGTACAGAATTAAAACTAAGTAGAGAGAGAAAAAGTGAGTATGAAAGTTATTTGGGTAAATTTAAACTTTTAATTTAAAATCAGAAATTTAGTCAACCAAATTTGAGCAGGCAATATGGAAATGCAATGAATGCCTTGGATCACTCAAATCTATTTCTTAACTGCCCCAAAGCTATGTGACCTTTTTAAACCTTTGTTTCTTCATCTTGAGATTGTTACAGCAAGTGTGATCTGCAGATTTAATTTGAGGATTAAACACAAGAGATGAAATGTAATAAGGTACTAGAGTCTCATGCTTACATAATTGGTGATCTACATAAATGATACTGAAGATCATGCAGATAGTATGGGAAATCTGCAAATTTTCTTGAAACTCTTGTCTTTTAAGTAGAAAAGATAGAACACCTTTAAGACTCAAGGGATTAAATTTTAAATGGTAACATTTTTGGCACTGTGGCAGATAGGCAATAAGGAAGATAGTTTTTGAGAGACCTGTACAAGGCTACTCAAAACCTACCAGTTTGAGTTAAATATTCTGAATTTGAATTCTAGCCCAGATGCTCTCTATATGGATCAGTAATTTCCCTAATCATGGGCCATGAGCAGTATCTTTTATTCTAGGAGATAATTCTAGAACCTCAGTGGCTAATGAACTCTGACCAAGGGTGGTTGAAATATCATTCAGATAACTGAGGCTGAAGGTTAGTTCAGAAAAGAAGGCTCAATGTGAGTTTAAGAACGTTGGGATTCAGAGGGAAGAATTCCTGGGCACTGAGGGCCAAAGAGCTCCAATGAGAGGCCTACATCGGAACTCATGGGACCCGCGGGAAACGGAGCATAACCTGGAATGCTTCATGTGGGCTCTTTGAAGCTAGTTTACCTCCCTACCCTCCAGACTTTTTGCTACAGACAGAGTGGTCAGGTGGCCCAGGACTGCAGGACTTCACTGGGTTCTATGAGGCTACACTCCTCAGTCTTGGACAGGGCATGCAGTGGTGTCATGCATACAAAGCATTTAGCACAGTGTCTGCCACCTGATAAGCATTCAGAGAATCTTGCTATTATTAGTATGATTGTGATTGGAGAGACTTCAGGATTTCCACCAGGCATTTGAGTACTCCTGTGTGCGGACATCTGGCTGGGTCATGAGGAGGATTTCCCAGGAGAAGGGTTTGTAATAGTGGGAAACTGATCTGCATTTACCACTAAGCATAAGATAGGAGGCTAAATATGCTTGAAAATATTTTGATTTATTTCAATATTTGCATTTAAGCCCAATGAGCTGGGAGAGAAAAGAGGAGCTTATTTTTTAAAAGTAAAATTTAATGAAGAAGTGACGTTTTTGTAACTGGAGATCAACAATAGAAATACTCTCGTTGCCTTTCCTGGTTCACAAACTTACTTTGTGTCAGGAACTGTTTTAGTTGCTATAACTCACCTGACGGTCTCACTTTAAGCCTACGAAGTTGATACTATTATTATTATCTCCATTAAACAGAGAGTGTAAATAATTTGTCCAAAGTCCCAGAGCTAGTCCTGAGCAGAATCAATATTCAAACCCAGGCACTTTCACTCTGGCGCCCACATTCTTAACCCCTATGCCAGGCTGCCTCTCACGTATGCCTTCTTCATCCTTCATGCCATCCAGATCCCACAGCATAGAGTGCCTGCTTCCTCAACACTCCCAGGGACATATAAAAACTACCTTTGTTAACTGGAAATGAACATGACTAACATTGACAAATACGATCTGCTCTCAACTTGCTGAAATCAATTCATGTAAATTAGACATTACCACAATGTCTTTAAAAGGAACTCATTCATTCACTGAACAAGTACTCATTGAATGGCCACTGCATGGCAGGCATTAAGCTAGATATATAGAGGTGGGTGGTGTGGTAAAGGCCATTCAATAGCCTCATCTTACTCTTTGGTGACACCTCTGAAATAAAATAGCTTTGATATGTTAAAGCTGAATTCTCAGAGGTCAAATTCATCCTAGGGATAAGCTTTAGGATGCCAAACTCCAAGCCCTAGGAGGCTGACCACTTCTGACAGGAACCAGCCAAAACCAAATTTATATATATATACATACACCCCACACACCCATACATACATTTCAAGAATTTATATATGTCAAGATTATGTGGTGTGTGTGTATGTGTATAAAATCAGTTTAGATATTGTGTACAAGTAATGCAGACACTCATGTAAAAGAAAAATCTACCTAATTACAGAGGAGGGGTTGAGGAATCTTAAATTCATGCTTTTCTGATGTTTCTACTCTAGAAATAACACTTTGGGAAAGATGGGAGAGCAATTTAAAGGAAAACAATGATTTGATACAAAACAGTCAGCAAACAAGTATAGAAACATGAAAAGAGTTTTGGTCAAAGGTTTTATGCATTGTGCTTTCAATGACCTCAGAAAGCACAGTATTAGACATTTGGTTGGAGAAAGATTGAAGGCTGCAGTTCTAATATATAGTAATTTCATGTCAAAAAGGAATTAATTGTCCAGTCTCTTTGTGCTCTTGATAGTTGTGGTCAATGAATTGATCTGACACTGAAAATTAATGCCTGCCATATATTTTGTGTGAAATGAAAATACTATGTTCACCAAGTTGTCAAGGCAAGCTGTTACCTTCACTGAGAAATCTATCTAAAGATTAGCTTTTACAAAAAAATGAAACATCTAGAGGTTTTATCAATCAACCACACTTTCCTTTCAGCGTGAAGTTCTGCATACCCAGTCAAAAGACCAAAGTTACCTTGAGTTTTACTTTCAAGTAAACCATAGCCGATGCTGTTTACATGTGGCACTCTGAGGACAACAAAATTAGAACAACAAATGGGAACTGATGAATGGGTCTTACTATCTCACGCAGCAGCCAATACAGAATAATCCCTTTAGGGATTTAAGGGGTGCAAATTTCAATTTTTTTTCTCAAGCTATTAACACATAACAGACATACAGTAACAGTTGAATCTTAAGACGGATTGAGGGTGTTTTGTTTTGTTTTGTTTTCTCTTGGTTTATCTGCAAAATGTAGATAACACCATCCTTGAACAATGTTAAAGGTCAATGAGGTAATATATGTAAAATGAAATTGATTGTTCCAGAAAAAAAAAAAAACTCATCTAAAGGCTAAGTGCTCTACATGTCAATTTTTACCTGATCTTATTGTTAAAGAAGCAAAATAGTGCCATTAAAAAAAGTTAACATTAGATAGCAAGTCCTTCATTTGAGAGATACAAGGTGATTTCCAGCTAGAATTGAGAAAACATCTGAGTCAATGTCATAAAGTAGGCAAGCATTCCATTTAATAGTTTGTAATATGTTGGCTATGGTTTGCTTTGTTTTTGCTTTGCTTTGATTTTGTTTTTGTTGGAAAAACACATAATCAGATGAGATATAGCCTCAGATAATAAGTACAATTATTATTTAAAACTTGCTTGATAATCAACATCTTTGGTGTAGAATATTTTAACAAGTAAGCTAAATATTTCCATTTTCTCCTTTTATTCACATCTACTTAAGGACTTTTTATAGATAATATATAAATGTTCTTGGCTAACGTAACTTATAAATGTATCTTAAATTTTTTGAAGACATTGATTACCTTTCAAGAGCCATGATTTTCTCCTGTTTGCATTATGCATTTCTAAAATCTTTTATACAAGTTGCTACTTCACTAATTATAGATTGGCAGTGATCAAGAGAACTAATAAGAGCATGCAGATTTTCCTTAAGAATAATTCTGTTCTGATGTTAATAAAAGGGGCAAAGTTACAATGTCAGTTCAAGAACTGTTTTCTTTTCCAGACACTTATTCTTAATGATGAGTTATACTTGAGGAAGACAAATACTGTTCTTTCCTAAAGAACTCATTTTTCCCCCATGATGGCGTTTTTGAAGTCTATGATTTGTCACAACTCTTGGCAGGAAGTATAATGGCCAAGCATGGCTTAACATGTCATTTATCCAAGTATCATGGTTTCAGTACTGTGGCTGACAAAAGTTCTCAGTCTGGATTGCCCTTGGCCACCATTTTAGCCAATGAAAATAGTGCAAGGATAAAGTTTGGACTTTCAGAGGTGCTTTATTGTGGTAAAGTTCAGAGCTACTTTGTTTCACCCTATGGAAATAGTAATTAGATATCCAGTAAGGAAAACAACACCACCAACATCAACAAATACCTTAATTACTTTTCCATATATGCAAAGTAGCTTGAGACTAAAACAATCCCTTTCCATATATGGAAAAATTCCCCAAGTGAAATGTACATATGAAATAAATACACAGTTTTCCAAATATTTTCAAAAGCCGGCCCAAGTTGTAACCCCTGGTATAAAGAAAATGGTAGTATGGGAGACTAGAATATGCCACCCCAATATATGCCTCTTTGGCATAATGATTGTTTTGATCTGAAGGCAACTGAGAAGAGGCAGGCGCAGGAAACCTCTCCATTCTCCCTCTATTTGCCTAAAAGCAGGACATAAATTTACAAAGAGAAAAGGCATCCTGCCTCCCCTCTCTACCAGCGGGAACAAAGGTTAACCACTGAAACAGCTTTAGACGCTTGTCAGCCTGGAGATGGCACCAAAGTAATCTTCCTTAACAACCTTTCCTCACTAGCCTTTATCTGCCATTTATTTGCTTTCCCGCAATCTGCTGCCCCCAGAGACTTGAATTCCTTTTTCTTTGTCCTATCACTTCTCTAAAAATTTACTGTTCTTTGTCAAAGATGTTATATAAGCTGGAATTCAAAGCCACCTCTTTGAGAATTACTCATTCCCTGGGTATCTTTCACGTATATATGAAATAAACATATTAATAAACTCCTGGATGTTTTTCTCCTGTTAATCTCTCTTTTATGGCAGAGCTCTCTTTCCGCTAAGAACTCATGAGGGTTGTTAAATCAAGTTTAGCCTAAAGCTGCTTCCTTATGTTGTAGGACTTTCTCCTTAGTTCAGCTAAAAACGGGGTTCACACTACCAGGAAAGATTAGGCTCGCGGACACATAGAAGGGTGGGAAAAATGGAATTTATTGGGTGAAAAGGAAAAAAAAACTCAACAAAGTGAGAGGTTCCTGTTTGCAGGCCCTCATCTCACAGATTGAATCCCAGGTTCCCACCCTTGAGCAGGAGAGGCCAGGCTCCTCACCACTGCAAAAGGCATGAACATCCTGAGGCTCCACCACAGCGCGCTGTCTTCCCAGCGCCCAGGCCGGTCGGAAGTTCTCCAGGGACCTCTTTTTACTTGGCTGTCTCACTTACATGTTTTAAGTTTGGCCATAAGGTTTCTCTGTACATGGTGAACTATAACTCTAATGGAGTGGTAAACAGACTATAGCCTACTTTCGTGCCAGTCACTGAGTTTTGTCCAGTCGAAGGCAGCCAACCTTTCAAACCATGTTCAAATAAGGCAGATGCCAAGCTGTCACAATTCTCTGTTTCTGTACCTCACTTCTTTTTTCTACAGATCACTTCCCTTTTTCTGTCCATAAATCTTCTTCCACTACCTGGCTGCGCTGGAGTCTCTGGGCCTACTCTGGCTTCGGAGGCTACCTGATTTGCGAATCATTCTTTGCTTAACTCAACTTTGTTTAATTTGGCGAAGGTTTTTATTTTAACAGGGTGGACAGAAAAAATTTTTTTTCGTCCCCTTCAGTAGCTTTACAGAAACAAAGTTTAATCCAGCAACAACCAATAGGACATAGATATTTGCATTGACAGCAAATGTGGTTCATACAGTGGAAATAAAGTGGAAAGCAGATTTGAGTTCCTGCTGCTAAGAAGAAAAGTAACCAGGAAGGAGGTCATATAAGAGTCCCTCTCCTTCATTAGGACAAATACCTAATGCATGTGGGGCTTAAAACCTAGATGACAGGTTGATAGGTGCAGCAAACCACCATGGCAGATGTATATCTACATAACAAACCTGTGCATTCTGCTCACGTATCCCAGAGCTTAAAGTTAAAAAAAGAATCTCTCTCCTTAACAATGAGCTATTTGACACAAGTACTCTGCAAGAGGAGTTTTGTGGGATTTGTATATCATGTTTGTCACTTTTTCCACATAACTATTCTCTCACAAATCATACAATGTCTTCAGCATTCCATGTTTCCTTCAATCCCAATTTTTAAAACTCTGGTTTGAAAATGTTAACAGTATACAACTTTTCCCAAATGTTATGTTCTAAGTCTGCATAAAAGTTAAAATGCTAAAATCTTGTCAAAATACTCCTAAAACATCCCGTAAATATTTTATGAAAAACAGTGCAATGTACTTTATCTTGAATATATAATCTGCAGACGTTTAAAAATTTTGTTCTATTAGTCAATGTTCCTCTGTAGCTCTCAACTAATTATTTAATAGTTTTCTCCAGGAACCTGTTAAATGGTCATAAAACCCTTAAAATCTTTCATACATTCCTTTCATGCATTTTACCAGTGTCCAACTATTTAAAACTTTATTACATTCATTGCTAGCAGTACACAGCCACTTGAGTAGTAGAATTTCAGAGGGAATTTCGTATACTATTTAAAATGCTACTTTATTTTCTTTTTCAATGCTTTTATTGTGTATTTATTATATACTTTATAATACAAAATAATAAAAGCTTCTTATTTTATTTAAATTTTGAATACTAAACCATACCAAATGGCACGGTCTTTCTCAACTTTGATTTGTCACATTTAGGGGAAATAGCTCACTTAATACAGCAATTTGCTTCTTGTGGAATTAAAGAAAGCCTCTGTGGGTCCAGGCATCCTTTGTTGAACAAGCAAATTAATATACTGCAAGAGCATAGAAGTGAGATCACCTGGATTCTACTGACCCTGGCCCTGCCTTTTCCTAACCAAATGACCTGAAGATAAATGTGTTACCCTGTTCTGAGGCTTTTTTTTTTTTTTTTTTGAGATGGAGTTTCACCGTTGTCGCCCAGGCTGGAGTGCAGTGGTGCAATCTTGGCTCATTGCAACCTCTGCCTCCTGGGTTCAAGTGATTCTTCTGCCTCAGCCTCCCGAGTACCTGGGATTACAGACACCTGCCACCATGCCCAGCTAATTTTTGTATTTTTGGTGGAGATGGGGTTTCACCATGTTGGCCAGGCTGGTCTCGAACTCCTGACCTTAGGTGATCTGCCTGCCTTGGCCTCCCAAAGTGCTGGGATTAGAGGTGTGAGCCACTGTGCTCGGCCTGTCCTGAGACTTTGTTTACACATTTAATAATGGTGATAATAATATCAATTCCATAGGATTATTGGGAGGTTGAATAAAATAGTGCAGTAAAAAATCACTTATATGGAAAAGTGCTACAACAAAATTATTCTTTTTTTCTTTTTAAAAATGTGCAGTTTGAAGAAGAAAGCAATGCAGTGAGCTTAAATGATTATATTCAAAATGGTTTATTCCTAAAAGTTGTGCATACGGCCTTTTGTAGAGAACAATTTAGAAAGAGAAATTGAGGAGTAGCAATATTCCTTCTTGTACTTGTTGTCTTCTTTTCTTATACCAACACGAAGCACAGGGATTTAGGTAAAGCTGTATATTTGGGGTTTATTTGTTTGCTAGGTTTTCAGAGGAAGCATGGTTAAGGGTGATAGGATACTTTTTTAAAATTATTATTTTACTTTAAGTTCTGGGATACATGTGCAGAATATGCAGGTTTGTTACATAGGTATACATGTGCCATAGTGGTTTGCTGCACCTACCAACCCATCTTCTAGGTTTTAAGCCCCACACGCATTAGGTATTCGGCCTAATGCTCTCCCTTGCCTTGCCCCCCATCCCCCGAAAGGCCTAGGTGTGTGATGTTCCCCGCCCTGTGTCCATGTGTTCTCATTGTTCAACTCTCACTTATGAGTGAAAACAGGCAATGTTAGGTTTTCTGTTCCTGTGTTAGTTTGCTGAGAGTGATGGCTTCCAGCTTCATCCATGTCCCTGCAAATGACATGAACTCATCCTTTTTTATGGCTGCACAGTATTCCAGACATTTAAAAATTTTGTTCTGTTAGTCAATATTTCTCTGTGGCTCTCAACTTACATGTGCCACATTTTCTTTATCCAGCCTATCATTGATGGGCATTTGGGTTGCTTCCAAGACTGTGCTATTGTAAATAGTGCTGCAATAAACATACGTGTGCATGTGTCTTTATAGTAGAATGATTTATAATCCTTTGGGTATATACCCAGTAATGGGATTGCTGGGTCAAATGGTATTCCTGGTTCTAGATTTTTGAGGAATTGCCACACTGTCTTCCATAATGGTTGAATTAATTTACACTCCCACCAGCAGTGTAAAAGCATTCCTATTTCTCCACATCCTCACCAGCATTTGTTGTCTCCTGACTTCAATAATCGCCACTCTAACTGGTGTGAGATGGTATCTTATTGTGGTTTTGATTTGTATTTCCCTAATGACCAGTAATGATGAGCTTTTTTTCATATGGTGTTGGCTGCATGAATGTCTTCTTTTGAGAAGTGTCTGTTCATATGGTGATAGGATACATTTTACATTTTAGAACATATCATCCTTAACAAAGTGACCAAAATCTTTTAAGTGACATATCACTGGCCTTCATTCTACCACCTCCTCTCCCATCATCTTATTTCCCTGTGAGTGGAACAGCTATTGTGATATATAAGCTAGATCTGAGCAGGAATTCAAATAACTATATTTGAATTCGAGTATAAAGTCTCTCTAGCCTCATCCATTTCCTTCCCTACCTTGGACTGATACTTCTAAGCATTATTCCTATAACTTGGGATGCATAATGCTTTTTACTCCCCTTTTATTTTTACACATGCATCGTCCTCACCCTTGTTGTTAAGTCTCCGTTCTCTTTCATGCATGGTGCCAACTGAGGCCGTGCCCCCTAAAGTCACCATTGTTTGACACGTGGCTTCAGGCTTGAGTTGAAGCCTGGCTTCCGGCTTCCATGGAGAATTTGACAAGTTGATCTTGTCCTTCTTTCACAGGCTCATCTTGACTTGCCTCTTAATTATACTAGTATTCCCTCTCCAAGTCAACCTTCAGTCTTCTTCTTGTCTCATTGCAGAAATAAATGCTCAATGAGTTCATTATCCTCTAAGGTTTTAATTAGCACTTACCCAGTGATAATTTCCATTGCTTGTCTCCTAAGCATTGTTCTTATTTCCATGGTCCAATAGGTATCTACAAATCAAACATAATGCCAAAATTCAAATCTCATTATCTCTAAAAAAAAAAAAACACCAAACAGAAAAGAGACTTATCATATCTCCTGTAATTCCTATTTCAGTTAGCTCTATCACTTCCCACCCAGTCTGGAAATGTAGAAAACATTGGGAAGTCTTTGGATGCCCTGTGCTCCTTTATCCCCCTCAACAGGTCTTTCAGCAAGGCTTGTCAACTGTGCTCTCGAAAAAAATGTATCTTTAATCTATTCGTTCCTTGTACCACCACTGTCCTTGTCCCAGGGCAGGTCCTCATCAGCCTTTTAATTATTAACATCTGACACCTTCCTGGTCTTGTCTTCCATCTGCCTCCCATGTGGCCACCTAACTGGTCTACCCAAGACAACATCCAACTATGCTATTTTTTTTTTCTGCTTAAAAACAAAAGCAAAAACAATGCAGTGAATGATTTCAACTTATTTGAAGAGTCTCCATTAGCAAGTTATTCTCAGCGCATCTGTCCAGATTCATGCCTCTAGGATTTTACACATTTTCTTTCTGGTATATGGTATCTGGTATCTGGTATAGGGCATGCATTTCTGGTATACGGCATGCAGTTGTCTTTTTAACTCACCCTTCAAGACTTTGCTTAAATGAATCTCTACTCTCTAGCTAGAATGAATCATTCCTTATTCTATGTTTTCTTAGCATTTTGAACATGCCCCAGTAATTGTGATGGGCATCACATTTTCTGAAGCAAGAATAGAAACATGTAGCATTACAATTGACAGTGCTTATTAGTAGAACGAAACAGAATATTTGAAGTGGATAATGTCTCAAGATATCTAGTAAGGATGGTCACGGAAAAGATGACATGTATCCTACATAAATGAAGAGAAGGGTAATTTTTTTCCTCGTCTGTCTCCCCTACTAGATTATAGGCTCCTCTATGATCTTGGTGACTATGACTTAGAGTTGTAATTTTTCTAGGATCGACCACAGGGTCTCAATAAATGTGCATTAAGAAATAAGTGGTGAATCCATGAGTGAAAAAAAGTGAATACATTGTTTCTGTTGTTTATAAAAGTATGCCAGTTTCATGGCTCGAGTTCTTGTGTGCTCTACATAACTGGTCTTGAGAACAAAACTCAATCCTCTTTCACATACCACCCCTCGAATACTGACCAGGTGCTATCAAACTTCCAATTTCTCTTTGCTCTTCAATCTTAGCTGATTATCTTGCTTCTCACTCCCTGGAAAAATTGAGTAAGAAGCTACTCTTCCATCACCGTATCTATCCACCTGCTTCCATTTGTGTGCATAGCTTACCATCTTTCTGGTTGAATTGAACTTTACATTCACTACTCAGTCCCTTTGCTGGGAACATACGTACCTCCATTCTTGGCTACCCAGTGATAACACTCTCACAAGCATCCCTTCTCTCACCTGTCAAAAATTATTCTCTTTCTACTGGATAATTTCCTTCCCCATATAATCATGTTAAAATACCTCAGTTTTTTAAAAAAGGAGACTTTGTTCCTTCTTCCTCAAGAGGTAGCACTCCATTTTGTATTCCCCTTTCAGCAGTGCTCAAAGAAGTTCCTGTATTCAAGATGTCTTATCGCCTCTACTCCAATTCTCTCTCGATTTCACTCTAATCAGTTTTTCATTTCCAACAATTCACCAAAACTTCTGTCAACATCAAGTACAATTTTTATGTTGTAAGTTCAAAATTATTTTGGTTCTCATAGTACTGTATTAGCATTGCCCAACAAAGCCAGTGTCTCCATTTTTGAAACACTTTCTTCACTTTGATTCTGAACTACTGTTTTCTTTTGATTCCCCTCTTTCCTTCCCAACATTCTCTACTGGTTCCACCTTATCTTCCAGATTCCAAATATTTGAACGCCTGAGGGTTCAAGCCTCCAAGTCTTCTCTTCCTACTCTCACTTTTTTGTTAATTTCATCCATTCCCATCGGAATAAATCCCCTATGTAAGTTCATGATTCCCATATTTATAACTCTGGCCTCAACTTTATTCCCAAACTCCAGACATATTTGTGCAATTATCTGCTTAATATTTCACTTGGATGTCTAGTAGGCCAATGACATGTTTAAGTGTGAGCTCTGCCTCAAATTTAACCTGCCCAACCTGCTGTGTAGTCTTCCTGATTTTTAATTTGCTCACATCTCATACCAAACAAGACAACTTTTAACCCACCTCGCTGCTACTTTGCTAAACGAAGCCAAGTTATTATCCCATTTATACCATTGCAATGCCTGCTATCTTGTCTCTCTACTTCCATCTTTGTCCCCTTTGGTCTTTTCTCACATAAGGGCCAGAGTGATACTTTTAAACATATGTGAGAACATATCATTTCTCTGTTCAAAATCCCCAATGCCTTTTCATATGACAGTAAACCCCAAATTCTTACCATGGCCCAAAGGCCTTCTATGGTCTTGCTTCTCTATGCCTCTCAGAGCATGATCATCTGTTATCATCCTCCATCCCTCAGCTCTGACCACACTGGCTCCCTTGCTGTATCTAGAACATGCCAAGTATGTTGTGGTTTAGGGCCTTTGTACTTTTTCTCTCTACTCAGAAACCTTTTTTCTTATATCCTTATTATTTTTCCTTCACTTCTTTCAGGTCTATCCTCAAATATCAGTTTATCAAAGAAGTCTTTCATGGCAACTTCATGTAAGTAACACTCCTCATCATTTTGTATCTCCTTGTCTTACTTCATAGTATTTTTCATCTTAGAAACATTACATATTTAACTTCAAAATACAGTGTTAGAATGTAATTTATCTGCTTTTATTTGTCAATGATTTCCTTAGACCTAGTTGAGTACTTGGTATCTACTAGGAACAATAAACATATACTGAGTGGACAAAATGCTGACATTGTGCATATAGAACTATGTAAGCAAGATAAAAAGCAAAACAAAACATAGGGAGCTCATCAAAATTTCTGACAAAACTACTCAGAATGACTGACAGTGGCCATTTATTTCAATAACCTGCAGAGGGCAGCACATGGCATTTTACATCATACTTTGTTCACAAAGAACCAGTAATAGTAATTAAACTGGTTTTTGTTTTTGTTTTTGTTTTTGTTTTTTTCTGACACAGAGACTCACTCTGTCACCAGGCTGGAATGCAATGGCACGATATTGGCTCACTGCAACCTCCGCCTCCCCGGTTCAAGCAATTCTCCTGCCTCAGCCTCCCAAGTAGCTGAGACTACAGGCGCCTGCCACCACACCGGGCTAATTCTGTATTTTCAGTAGAGACGGAGTTTCACCATGTTGGTCAGGCTGGTCATGAACTCCTGACCTCAAGTGATCCACCTGCCTCAGCCTCCTAAAGTGTTGGGATTACAGGCGTGAGCCACTGAGCCCAGCCCTGTAATTAAACTTTTATCAAGGGCAGTGACTCCACAAGGAAAATTAAACACCCAAAAAACAGAAGAGGTTTAAATGAGGTGGACTGGAAAACCAAAAGGAACTTAGTGACCAAATCAATGTCACTATTTGATCCTGGCCTCTGATCAACATGTACCTGCCAGCTGATCCCACAGAGATCATTAGAACAGTGTTTGCCTCGCTCTCACTCACTCTCATAAATGCTAGTGATGGTCATGCACTGTCTGAGAGGTGGGGGAGTTTATAGCTGAGAATTTGTTCTTATTACAAATAGAATGGAATGAACCTGACAGATTAACTGGACCAGTGGGTTTCAACCTTTCTTTCTCCATGGCAGGATACCTGCCCGGTAACATTTACATGAGCTACTTACTCATATCACTCCTAGAATTTGTTGCGTAGGTAAAATAGTCTATGGATTTTGTGCTATTCCCTATCACTACCTAAATGTCTCTCACCCAGAATCATTTCCTCCCATCCATTTACATATTCACAATATAAGTATGTGAACTATTTTCTTGAAAAACTCTGTTATTTCATGGTAAAGTATCACATTGATCCCAAACTTGGACAAAGATGGCACACAAAAAGAGAAACACCTAAGCAATCTTAATTTTGACTATGCATGCACAAACCTTAAATAAAATAACAGTGAACAGGATTCAGCACCAGTACATTAAAAGTAATAATCTTCACCAAGTGGAACTTATTCTAGAAAATCCATTATTACAATTATCCATTCATATGATATTAATTTTTCAGATTAAAAGACAAATTCCCAATTCTAGGCATGTCTGTATTGAAACACTAGAAATAAAGTTGGACTCTAGCTCAAAAACAACGTAAACCAAAACATTTTTAGTAATAAAATCTGTGAGACTTATACAAGATTGAGAAATTAGAGTATACTTTTATTAATATTTGATTTCATATCTATAAAATATTATGTTAAATCTAGTGATCAAATATTCTTTTTTAAAAGTGGAAAATAGAGTAAGATAAACAACATCAAAAAGCATTGTGAGCGATATAAATATGTATATTTACATATGTATATGTGAAAGGCAAGAATTCTAACTCTTTAGTTCCTACCAGGTCCTCGAAACTGCAGCAGTGCTATCTTATCTCACCTTCGCAAGATATCCCTGAAGTTTTATGGCCCATATTGTACAGATGAAGAAACAAGTTCAAAGAAATAAAGTAATAGGTATTGTCCATTGTTAAGCTAAAGAAGTTAAATTGAAGAGGTTATGAGAAATAGTGCAGTAATAAACTGCTCTTTCTCTATTTCTTTTCCTTTTTCTTTTCTTTCTTTCTTTCTTTTTTCTTTTTCTTTCTTTCTTTTTTTTTTTTTTTTTGAAATAGGGTCTCATTCTGTCACCCAGGCTTTGAGGGCAGTGGTGCAGTCTTGGCTCACTGGAGGTTTGACCTCATGGGCTGAAGGGATTCTCCCACGTCAGCCTCCCCAGTAGCTGGAACTACAGGTGCATGTCACTATGCCTGGCTAATTTTTGTATTCTTTGTTTCTTTGTTTGTTTGTAGAGATGGGGTTTCACCACGTTTTCCAGGGTGATCTCAAATTCCTGGGCTCAAGTTATCAGCCTCCCTTGACCTCACAAGCTGTTGGGATTATAGGCTTGAGCCATCACACCTGGCCTGTAAACTGCCATTTCTTTGCCTAGTTTCTTACAGCTTAACTGCAGAAACCCCAAGGCCCTCAGTAGCTTCTGCTTGTTGATTCAATGCTAAGGCCTCTCTTTGCTGCAGTTGTCTAAACCCTCCACACCTTGTGCCCAGAACTACTCTTTGCTGGGCCTCCCGGACTTCATTGGTGCTCCTGGATTATTTCTGGCTATGACACCTTTGATTCTTAGCTCATCTTCTGCTATATACTGAGTGTTTGTGTCCCCCCGAAATTCATATGTTGAAACCTAATCTGCAATGTGATGATATTTGGAAGCAGGGCCTTTAAGAAGTGTTTAGGTTATGAGGACAGAGCCCTCATGAATGAAATTCAGAGAATTCCCTTGCCCCTCTGCTATGTGAAGACCCAGCAAAAAGATGGCTGTCTATGAACCAGAAGAGTAGGTCCTTACTAACCACTGAATCTGTCAGCACCTTGATCTTGGACTTCCCAGACTCTAGAACCATGAGAAATAAATTTCTATTGTTTATAAGCCACCCACTTTATAGTACTCTGTTATCTGGCTGTTATCTAAGCCAGAAGGAACTAAGACACTTTCAAATTCCAGATTTGACACGTAGTGGGTATGTGAAATTGGCCCAGGACAGGACCTTGCATAAATTAATCTTCTTTCCCATTTTAGGAGCCCTCCTGATCTCTGAAAAGCCCCAGCCACTCCTCTGACCCATGTTTCCCCAGCCTGCCAGCCACTACCCTAGACACATATAGAGGCTCTGGGAGGTTGTAACAGGGGCCAGGCCCATCCTCCCCTCTGCCTCTTGAGTGGTCCTCTGCCTGCTTCCAGTGTGAGCTCCAGGCAGAAATATGGGGCTCACTTGGCAGATTGATTCAAGGATGGTTCTGGATAGGCACTTTTTGGTTCTGCCATGACATGTTGCAAGACAAAATGTGCATGACAGACATTTGTAGATATTGTTTGTTTGCCCCACATGGGAAGAAACAGACAAGGGGCAAGACAATAATAAAACATCAAACTGATGCAAATGTTCTTATTCAATCTTACATTAACCCATGAGGTAGATCTTATTATCTGTGTTTTAAAAGTAAGAACAAGGAGGACTGGAAAGATTAAGTAACTTGACCAAGGCACACAGCTAGTAGTAGTATATTCTAGATGTACAAACCTATTCTGTCTGGTCCTAAAGCCTATGTGGTCTTTCCACTCTGCTGCACTGTCCCTCAAGGCGAATATCTAATCACAGTTTGAAAAGTGTGCTGGAAGCCGGTAAAATGATGTTAACACAAAATTTTTAAAAGAATAAGCATTTTCGAGGGGACTTTTGGTTGAAGTGGTAGAATCCTGGGATCTCTGTTGCCAGAACACTTATTCCAAGCTCCGGCTGCTGAAGTGTGACTAGCACAACCTTGCTTCCCTGGTTAATGAAGTGTGTGCTGCCCTCTACTGGCCTAGAGAAAGTGGTACATCAAGCTTTGTGTTGGCTCAATGTGATTCTAAAACAGGAATGTGAAGATTCAATTATCCTGCTGAATGTGAGGTTTGCAGTGGGGTCTGGATTATTTCTATGGTATTTCCTACCAGAATAAACCTATGAACTTCTGTTCCCCGCTTTGTTAATCTTATCTGCCTCTACCATGCCTGTTAATGTACTTAATGTTTAGCAGAGGCAGCTAGAAAAAAAAGGCCATGTCTGTACACATGCAAATGCAAGAGATTAGGAATTGGCACATATGCCAGGATCAAGAAAGCACTAGTCCCTGTTGTTTGTTCTTAATA
The DNA here is from genome assembly GCF_000001405.40 of Homo sapiens. Taxonomy (NCBI): domain Eukaryota; kingdom Metazoa; phylum Chordata; class Mammalia; order Primates; family Hominidae; genus Homo; species Homo sapiens. The sequence continues at coordinate 27,605,083 of NC_000018.10, read as the reverse complement.
TTGCCCTAATACAAATGACTGATACATAAACTTTTGAATTCATTATTGTTTCCTGTGTATATAAAACAAACTATTGATTCTCAATAGGCCAACTCTAAAATTCAGCCATTAATATAATCATTCATTCATTAAACAAAGATTATTAAAGATTATTGTGTGCCACCATGCTAATAGTGGGGCAGGTATAAATGAGAATAAGCTAGCTCACAACTTAGCGGTGGAGTCGGGCATGTCAACAAATAATTGCAATATAGTTTAGATAATGCTGTGATGTTTACAAAGTGTTGTGGTATCTCGGAAAGAATGACTCACTTTTGCCTGGTGTGACAAGGAAAGCTTTACAGAGGAGGATATGCTTACCCTTCAAGATGAGAAAGAGTTTACATGACTGAGAAAAAGAGAAGGGCATTTCAAATTGAGGAAATCTTGGCGCAAAGCCATGGAGGTAGGGGGCTATGGAAGCAACCTGGAGCACTCAGTTCCATAAGCTGATCATGAATATTCAGGGAGTGCTGTGAGTTAACTCTAAGACAATAAAGAGAGCAGAGTTAGGAAGGGGCTAACTGCTCTGCATAAGTCTGGATTATATATTATGTATATTACATATATACAGAAAGTGTGAAAAACCATTGAAGGGTAATGTTTTAAATCCATGAAACGTGTTTTGTTTCTATCTTATCCAATGTAAAGTGAATATATTGTAGAATTTGACTACTAAGGGGAAACTAACCAAAAATCAATTGATTGAAAAATACAAATTTTACTCTAGAAAATGCATGTCCAATGTGATATTTCCTGAAATGTTTTGGTTTGTGATCAAATTAAATGGATGACTACCAAATTTCACTTAACAGTGTATTAGGTAACCACATACTGGCTCTTCAATGTAAGGCGAATTAGACAGCAAGGAATTTTTCAAGTGTCTCAATAAAATAAATAAAACAAACTTCTTCCTCTAATACCCACCATACACTCTCCTCTTCAAAACATATGAAATTCTCCACTATGCTTTGTTGATGTAAAACAAATTTCCTGGTTACGCTTTATCTACTTTACCCTAGTTCCATTTCTTAAAATGAATTTTACTCTTGTATTAAAGTAACCTTTAACATAAAAATGCAAAAATATTGAAAAGTAGCTTATAAAATATTCCTTTATACCCAGCTCTTAAAGATTCCCACTTTTAAGTATGTGAGTATGTATTTGCAGACCAGAAAGACAGTTAAACATTGCTTCTCATGGTTTTCCAGGCTACATGTTTTACACAAAGATTTTTAAATATCTCATCATTATGAGTTCATATGGTTTCTGACTCCAGTAGCTCTAGTCAGAAGTGAATTTGGTATTCAGATGAACCTTCCATGGTCATTGTAATTCATTGTAATAAAACAATTATTAACAGAAGTTTAAGACAATACTGCCATTCCCACTCTGGTATGGTTACTGCTTTATTTTCTTCATCATCAATTAATATTCTATTTATAGGGAACCAGTAAAGTTACTGTAGAAAGTCTGCCATGATATAACATATAGCTACCGAGTTCTTTAAAATTAGTTTTACCTGAACTTGTATAGCAACTTTTTGATTGTGCAACAATATCATACTAAGTGCTGGAGTATGGGAAAAGTGATGTGAAAAAAAAAAGCCTCTTGTATGAACCAAATAATTTACTCAAATTTTATGAGCAGTAGATTCCTCTCCAAGGCCTTTTTTCTAGAATTATTTCTTGCTTTCTGCATTTCTAGAATTTTTGACATTATTCATACAAACATACTTACATTTTATGAATATATTATTTAAGAACAATATTAATTATAAAGTCACTTTGGGATAATCATAACCTACTCTTTTATATGCTGGAAATGAAACAAAAACAGCCACAAACATGCCAAAGAGTGATGTGCCTTAATTCCTTTGCATTTCTCTCCTTAAAGATCCATTAGCAGTTCCAGATCCAATATGCTTCTGCTTTTTAAAGGCACTGCTCCTCGATGCTGTTGATGTAGTTGAGCAGCTGTCTGGGGAAGTTGACCTAGTAGTCAAATGGCTCTACTATTAAGAAATTTGCTTAGTGAAAGGCTAGTCTTTAAAATATCACCTTTCCACAGATGGGAGCATGCCTCTGTTTCCATAGCAGACAGGTCTCAGTGGGAGCAAGCTCATAATTCATTTAAAAACAGACGCTAAGCTGGAAATTCAAATGTGAAGGACTACCAGGTGTCACCTGCTCTCGGTGTTGGGTGGAGCTGTTTCATCTTTTCCCTAAAGCACATTTCTCCAACCGCATAACTTGGTTAGAGTAAAATAGGCTGCAGCATTTCCTTCTTATGCATTGGGTAAGCATTAGTGTTCCCTGAGATCAGCTTACCCCTGAGGCCAGCCAAGCTGTGTTGGCTTCTCACATGGTGATTTTGAATAACCTTAGTGGTCCTCTGAATGTGGCTGCAGACCCTCTGGCCATTTTTATTTTTCTGATATAGATACATTTTCAATTTATCATTTGTATGTAAGGCCATCTGCTGTTTTCCTTGAGATTTGAGAAAGTCAAAAGCTAGATATTTGGAAGAGCTGTTATTTGCCCCCTCCAGATCCATCTCCCCCTGTCCCTGCCCTGCTTGCTGTCTGGGAGGGTGACTCCTGTGGATTGCATCCATCAGTTTTCCTTGTCTTCTGCTTGTCTGATAGATTTGGGGGTGGAAGAGTCAGACAAAGAACTGGCAGAAAGAGAAGTTCTGGTACTTATTCTTTAGTTCCTCTGCCTGGCCATGGGATGGTAGTGGCTGTATTGCGCAATGAAGGTCATGGATCCCATCATGGTAGCCCTCTCCTAGGGCTAGAAATCTTACCTAGTCCTGTAACTGCTCCTCTTTTTTCCTCTTCTTGTCTAAGTATGACAGTAGCTTCCGCTAGCCTAGGATTTTTCCATCCCTTATTGGTTTCTCTCAACTCTGCTAAATGTTTATAAATAGTCCTGTGGCAGACATTCCCTAGGGTAGTCCCCAAATGTGTCAAGCCCATGTGTAACCCCCTCTCCTTAAGTATAGATAGAACCTGTGACTTGCTTCTAACCATTAAAATATGGCAAAGGTGATACAACTCTTGATTAGAATGTGTATGAGGCTCTGCTGGCCTTGAAAAAGCAGCATGTTGTGAATTTCCTGAGGTTGAAAAATACACACATACACACACACACACACTCTCACACACACGCACTTATATATGTTATATATATATAGACATACACACACACACACACACACACACACACATATGTATAGGCTCAGATCAGCCTTTTTGTTTTATTAAGGTTCTCAGCTGTCTGGATGAGGCCCATCCACATTAGGGAGAGCATCTGCTTTACTCAGTCTACTGATTCAAATGTCAATCTCATCCAAAAACACCCTCATAGGCACACCTAGAATAATGCTTGACCAAATGTCTGGGCATCCCATAGTCCAGTCAAGTTGACACATAAATTTAACCACCATAGTGAACTCTAAGACCTTATGACAGCCCCTCGCCAGCAAGCAAATAGGGATGCCAGTCTCATAACTATAAGAAATTCTGCCAACAAGCTGAAGGCACTTGGTCAGGAATCTTTCCCCAGTCAGGCCTCTGATGAGACCACAGCCCCACCCAACATCTGGATTGCAAACTGATGAGACTACGAGCAGAGGACCCACATAAATTGTGACAAGACTCCTGATTTACAGAAACTGTGAGATAATACATGAGTCTATTTTAAGCCACTAAGTTTGTGGTAATTCATATGCAGCAGAAAACTCACACAAGTTCTTTCATTAAATGTTCTATTGAAGGTGATTATTTGTTTCTTTCTAGGATCTTAAATCATACAGGTAGACCAGGAGTTGGCAACCATTGTCTGTAAAGAGTCAGATAGTAAATATTTTAAGCTTTGTGGATCATAAACACCCTGTTGAGTATTCTTCTCTCTTTCTCTTTTTCCTCCATCTAATTGAAACTGTAATAATAATTCTTAACTCATGGGCTGTACAAAAACAGATGACATACTAGATTTAACACATAGGCCATTATTTGCCAACCCCTGGATAGACAAATATATGGTATCTAGGCAATGTGCATGTAACATGTTCACTGTATTGCTATATACATATTCATCAAAACCCATTTCCTCAATTTCCCAAGCCCAAATCTTGGTAATATTTCTCAATGTATGTGGAAGTACTGGTGGCTAGGTGTCTGAATTCCTTCCAGCAAAATGAGGATAAAATAAAGTATACAAATTCCAGGTCTGGTCACACAAATGTCTGGTGCAATTCTTCTCCTCACGCCTTATCTGGAGTGAAAGGCTCCAAGGTCCTAGTGAATGAATGGAAGTGTCACAAGGTGGAGGGACCCTGGGTCCCTTATCTTGGCGTGAAAGACTGCCCACAGAATATTTGCATGTAACTATTGTGTGTGAGAAATAAACTTTTATTGAGTGTCCAGCAACTGAGATTTAGGGGTTCATTCTTTTAAATATATCTCAAAGCTGAAGATACCAAGGGGCAGCTCATTTTATTTGCATTTTCAGAAGAGAATGCCTCAAAGACCTGTTTTGATCACATCAATAAGGGAAACTTTTCTGACATCATTTGGTGCAGGTGTGCTGTGTGGAAATGAGTAAGAGTAGGAAAGACCCAAGAGGGTTAGATTATGGCTCTAGAATACACATCAGATTAGTGAAAAATTCCACAGCTGATGGCCCTTATCCTGTGCTCTTGCCACTACTTTATGCTTCTTCTGTCTTTGAGACAGAGCTCTCTCTTCCACCCTGCTCCACTCCATCCTAAGAGGCTTCCTGGATCCCTGGGAACACATCTGCTCTCCTTGTGCTCAGCAGGGCGAGAGGTGATGTCAATACCCTCCCGCTCCGGACATCTACTTCTCATGTCATCACACACTTGCCACTCCAGTGAGCTCCTTACCACAGAACTCCAGCCCTTCACGTTTCTAACATCCCTACTCTTATGAGCTTCTACTGAAAGGCATATAAACACCCCCATAAAATGGACATGAATCTTGAAAGCCATTTAAATCTCATTACTTCAGACTCTTTGAAAGGTAGTTCCTATTCAACAAAAAATTTCTCATGCAAGAAAATCATTGTACTTTGTTTGATCAATTTCATTGGAATACAGTAGTGCATTTCTTTCTGGGATTTGTCTTTGCCCTGAAAAGCAAAATGACTTGGTGGGTTGTGGGTTTCATTCGAGGCCTTTGGCAGAGCTATTGACAACATCCTTAGAGAGTTGGAATCAATAGGAATAGAATAAAAAAGGACACATTGCTTTTACACATGGGTTATTGCAGCATACATCTATTTATAGTGAACTTCATCAATATGGATGATTGCCTTAAGCTACCATATTGTCTTTTAAAGCCTTCAATTTAAAGCCTTCATCCATTTAAAGCCTTCAAAGAATTCAAATGCCAAGCATATTAAAGAAGCAAGTCTGGAACGCAGACTATTCAAATATAAAAGAGTCAATAGGAAGAGACAAAAATTTCCTAAATAATTAATTATGAAGATCATTGCTAAAGTAACATCTCTGTGTGTGTGTGTGTGTGTGTGTGTGTCACAATACAAAGGATGATGTCTTTCTGATGCACAAAGGCAAGGTGTCAAGCTGAGGCAGTGCTTGCCCAGTAACACTAGGTGGCAGCAGTGGGTTTTTAGCCAATGCACTCTCCTTTTTCCAATGGGCAGAAGTTACCATGATTAAGAATCAATGAATTGATGAATAACTAGATTTGGATTACATATAAAGACATGGAATTCAGTGTATCTCTTTTTAAACACATGAAATATTACAAATGCTATCAGAGTGTGAGGAAGCAAACTTGTCATACAAGGGAATATCAGGAATGATATGAGTATAGTCCATGACAATTGAATATAACATACATAAAATTGAAAGCCTTCCTTTTGCAGAAAATAAACTATTCCTTTAGAAGAAGGAATAGTTTCACAAAAGACTTGCATTTAAAACACTAGCAGTTGCTACCCATGGAGAGTGCTTAGCCATTTGTAATTTGTAAGGGAGTGACTTGTCAAAATATGATTGATATTTGAAAGGTAACTTGAACTTTTGTTGATTTATTTTCTGTAATGTTACTCAATATTTTTAAGACTCTGGTGTAAATATCTCTTAACACAAGAGAAACCTATTAACCCTTCTGGAAAGAACTAAATTGTGTGTCAATTTTTGAAGGAAGAAATAAAACAAAATTAACAATCTGACCTTAGTTTGGCATGTTGGGTCAAGAAATAAAGATCGTATATGTTCCCAGGTTCTAACAAGGTTTTACTCAGCATTTACTCTCGATAAGTGAAAGCAAGTTTGGAGTCCTGTTACCAACAGAGGTAGGATGATGCCGAGGAAGAAGATCTGGACAGAGTCCGAATTTTAGTTCTAGCTTTGCCTCTAACTTGTCACCTTGAGTCAGTAATTCAACAAACCTAGATGTCGAGTGTTCCTTTTGAAATATGTAAAGGGTGTATGTTTTTTTAGATAATTTGTAAACTCTCATATGATCAACAGATTCTAATTTATTTGTATAATCATCAGTTGGTATATGTATTTGGCTTATAATGTGAAGAACCTGTGTATGTGTGTGTGTGTGTGTGTGTGTGCATGTGTGTGCTGTTTTAAATTCACAGCCAAAGCAATATACCCATAAGTATTGCTTCTTGTGCAGGGCTACACTGTGTATTTATTAATGTATTTTACAAATAGTCCTTGAGAACATTGTGCAAGTCTCTGTGTAATATTGTAGTCAGGAGGAAAAAGAGACAATAACAAGCAATTTTGTTACAACCAGAGAGAATTATTTGCATTTTTATCATGATTTCCTTTACCCTCATTTACAGAATGCAAATTGAGCACCTTTAAGTGAAATCTACCACAGGGAGCAATGTCCTGAAGTCATTACACCTTGGCTCAGGTGCCAGTGATCAAACAGACCTGATTCTGCCAAAATGGAGAACCGTCCTTTAGGCCCAGAGAGCCATGGCAGGTGATATTTAAACTATTCAGCATTTATCACACAGCTTGGACTCCATGTCATTCCTGGAAACCATGGTTCCCAATGTGGCAACTTTCAGGCTTTCCTATACTACCAATTTTTCTTCAGGGAAATGGCACCACTGTTAAAGGGAATCATGGTTATAACATATCATGAAATTAGGAATGGTAGGACTGGGAAAGTTTCATGCCTGAGCACAACTAACATGCATTGAGCATCTGCCATGTTCCAAGCTCTGCTCTACATACTTTATCAATAGTATCTCATTTAATCTTCATATAATAATATGAAATGTATATGATTGATTTATAGATGAGGACTCTAAGGTGAAGGAAAGTTAAGAAATTTGCCTAAAGTAATAAGTGGTAGAACCAGGATTTGAACCCTGCAATTCTCAGTCCTGAGCCATGATCTAAACTATCACTTCAGGTAACTAGTCTCAGAACTAAATCTTCTGCTGTGTATGCACCAGAATGCAAGAATAATGAGATATTGTTGAAGAATTAATTCAATTAGCATATAGCTGTTGTCTTTTGGCTTGTCAACCCTAGTATCCCTTTAAGAAAGAACTAAAGTATTGATACCCAATGAGGACAATCAATTTGCAAAAACTCTCACTGTAATCTTCCTTGGCATCATTAGTGGGAAGGCCTTTTGCTCTTCAGTCAATACCACTTGCTTAAAAAATAACCCCAAACCTCAACGGTTTTGAAGGATTTTTTGTTATTTTAGAATGAGTCATTTGAAAAGATATTTCACCATTTTTATACCAAAAAACATCCCTATTCTATATCCCTTTATTGATCTATGGCTTTTATTACTAACAGGTCCAGCAGTCAATAGATCAATGCTGCTCAGGAAGTTTCTATTTCTCACCTATTACAACAGAAAGAAGCACAGATAGTTAATGACAGTATAAATGATCACTCTCAATAATTACTTTCGTCCAATACTTCCTGGTTAAATGTGCATAAAAAATAAATTAAACTGGTTAGCTTCTGATGGGATACATATTCCATAGCTGTAAATTGGTTACATTATTTGTAATCCTCAAAGATGCAGGAGAGAATACTAAAACATTTCCAATTAATGGAGAGGTGTGAGCCCATGGGAAACCTTGTCTTTGACCAATGATCTCTTCATTGGAGGCAAAATAATCTCTTTGGTTTCATGTACTATGGAAACTACATTTTTCCTTACCTCAACCAAGAGGTGAATATCACCAGGATGATCATTTAATTTCATATTTTATTAAAACACTTAATGCAAAGCCATGTTATAACTGAAGGCAAAGCACAGAGCCAAGTGTAAGAAGCTCTTCTTCAGAACATAGTAATGAGAGAATTACCACATTAATCTATGTAAAAAGGCCCTTTAGAGATTTTCATGCCTCCCGTGGTTTCATTTTCCAAGGAAATGTGGAGTAAGAAGAGCTTCAAACAAATTATTCATCATTAAACATTTTACGTTTACAGGTACAGCTCTGTGAAGCCATTGCTTCTCTGGTGACATGTGATGTGACACTTGGTTTCGGCTGAGTTCTCCATGGCACCCACCAGCAGTGCCACACCTTGATCCAGGGCACACAGAGCTGTCACTCAGCCAACAAATAGGTCTTGGACAGGCTGAGCCTCCTCTGTTATATAAATGGGCATCCTCCAAGTAGCGACTCGTCTGCTATCTGTCTGATAATTTGTATCCAATTGATAGATGCTGGCAAACAACAAAAAAAAACTATGGGTAGTGTTTTCATAGTGCTATTTATAAATGGTGACCACACATCCTGGACTATCAATAGCCTGCTCAGCTCTCTTTGAAATTTCAAAAAGGGGGAAAATATTAGAAGTGAGACTAAAACTATTTTTGTAAATGTGTGTTTGCCCCGTAGGAGTCTTGCCTGATTTTCTATGGTTCCAGAATCACCCAAGCGGATAATGAAGTGAGTTGCAGTTAAGATGGAGCCCACTGGGGAAGAGATGAAGCAGTGTTCACCTGAAGCACCATCTGCATTTTCCTAGTCCTGACAGTTACCTCTAGCTGACCAGGGTTTCTGTGCAGGACTTCTGGTATCAAATCAACGATCAAGGGTGGTTACACATAAAGATGAACAGTTCCATAGGCAGGTTTAAAAAAGAAAGCCTATGAAGAAATGTTAATACTTAGCAGCACTCTGAAGTTAAGGGATATGGTGCTAGAAAAGCTTTAAATATCCTTATAATAGTCTAGAATATTGTCTCCTCAATAAAAACAGGCAGTAGGCTTTCTATCAGCTAAAGCCAAATGCAACCTGCCATCCAAGCCAGTTACCAAATAGTCCTTGCTGCTATTAAAATTATCACCAGGGAGTTCAAGGACTAGGGAGTCATTTGAAATGGCCTTGGAAAATGTGTTGAAAGAATTGCCTCAAACCGTTGTCCCTGGTGCTTGTTCTTTGTCCCTGTGCTCTAATATACAGTACATGATAAAATATATCCTGTATATTTATAATGTGTCCAGAAAACGCCAAAGTGCTTAAGGCTCTGACATTGTTTTCATTAGAGATTGATACTTTAGGGAATGCAAATGCCAACTTTTCAAATTTCCTATAGGTGGAAACTCCAAATGATGCCAGCTTTTAAAAACGTTTTGTACTTTGTGAAGCTCTAGAGCAGCTGTGTGTGACTAGAATGAAGAAAGACGCTTGTATAAAATGCCAGCAAAACAACCCCACCTGCTAACAGGAATGCTGGCGGTCATAATAGCCAAGACCTGGGAACTTGATTATTCATTCAGCTAACCTCATCTTTTGTCAGCCTCACCAGTGGTAGGTAGTAAATCTGAGAAAGATAATTTAGACTGAAATATTAGTGGCCTTTCAAGTTGCAATACAGCTCATTCCTTTGATTCTAGTCTACCAGTTGCCACTTCTGGTCCATTTGCATATAACACTGGAGAAGTGTTCCTTTATCTTTGTGAAGCCCTTAACATTCAAGGAGCCACTACTGCTTCTATGCTGCTGAAAAATACAAGACACTGCCTCTACCTCTGCATCTGTCCTTTGCTTTTTGCTTGGAAACTATCACATCAAATCACACTGAGATCAGGTGAGTCTCTCTGGTTTTGCACCCTCCAGTTCCTCTAGCAAATGAACTCCATAAGAATCTAAGCCAGTGCTCTTCCAATCATGCCCTGATTGCCTGTGAAATAAGTCTTCTGAGGTTTTCACACCGACTGAAAAACTCTACAGTTATCCAAGCAGGAGGCCAGATGAATAGATAATTGCACTCAAGCCTAATTTAGTATGCAATGATGACCGAACACACTCTTGTAAATTTTCTTTAAGCAGAGAGGATATAGTTATTTTTTTTCTCAGCATGAGGAGGATAGATGGATTATAATACTGACTTTCATTCATGGCAGAAAATGAGGATGAGCATAATAATGATGTCTCTTTAACTCTGATATAAAAAACAACAGAGTGATTCTGTTTTCTTCAAGAAACATTTATTTATCACATATTTTGTAGCAGATATTGTGTCAGGTACTGGAAGTACAAAGAATAAGATACACACTGTGTTGTCCGGGAGTTCATGGTTTTAATGGAGGTGCTAGATTAATAAATGCATAAGACAGTGCAGTGTGATGACAGCTATGATGGTAGTGGCCATGTGTAGCATGTTATTACTGGGCCACGAAAGGGAAGGTGCAAGGGAAGTTTCTGGAGGGAAGACACCTGAGCTGAGCATTGCGTAGTGAACAAAGCTGATGGAAGAAGGGATTTGGAATGGGGAATAGTGACGAGTGGAGACAGCAAGGAGGGATGGATTCATAAAGGAAGGAGAGAAGGTGTTCTAGGGTGGGGGGAGCAAAAGTGAGAGATTCAGTGACAAGTTGTGGAAACCTCAAATAGTTGTGCATAGCTGATTGTAGAGTGAATTATGGTGACCAAGAGGGAGAGCGGAGAAGGGGAGGCCAGCAGAGGGCTGAACTGAGGGGCTCTTCATGTCTTTGTGTGAAGAGAGTTGCACTCCAACCTCAACGTTATGAGGAACCAGTGAAGAATTTCATATGGAGGAGTAACATGATCTTATTTGTTCTAAAAGATCACTCCTCCCTTGAAACGGATTTTGTCCCGTGTACAGTGGGAGGTGGAGGTAATTGTGGGAACAAATACTGGAGGTAAATTTATATGACATTTAAAGATAAATACACTTTTGACTCCCTCCTCCTTTTAGCTTTTACGTAATTTAGGATTTTCAAATTTCTACACACATATTTTTAAGAAAAATATATATTCACACCATCATTAATATTTTTAGAAATACATTTTTTTCCCCAGAGAGTGAAGAAATTTAAACCAGAGATAGAAAAAAGAGTTGGCTTAAATTCCTGTCTTTCTAATAAAATGATTGCTGCTGTAGATCTAGAGAAATTAAGTATATGAACCAAATATAGAGGAATTCCTTTATATTTACAATCATACAGGTCTGAGTCTAGGAGGTGCCTTACAATAAACATACACTAAGTCAAATTAAGTCAATGGGAGATCAGATTGAATTGGTTTTTTTGATCAACAGGTGCTCAGCTTACTGTCTAGATCTAAATTTAAATGGAAAGATTTTTCTTTATCTTTTAAATCCTATGCAACATTGGCAGCTGTATTAAAAGGGTCATGAGAGCAGGTTGTGCCTACATAATGAGCAAATTGATCATTTAAAAGTTTACTCTGACATTGGCTTTCTTATGTGACAAACTCAATTGACTTGTTGAGAGTTCTAAATTAGCCAGCAGAATAATACCAGGTTGCCCTTTTTAATCAGGAAGATATGACCTATATTTATTGCTTTTATCCCTAGGCCTCTCACATCAAATGCAAAATTCAACAAAGAACCTAAATATGGTGGCTGTATTTATTTGTTTTTTGGGGGGGTTAGTCATGCATGAGTTCCACTTCCTAATAGCATCTCCATTTCCTTTGGGAAACTTACTCTTCCTCCCTGTAAGTCATCTTCGTAAGCCAATAAGCAAGATGCTCATTCCTCTTGCTAAGGAAACCAATGAGGTTTCTGGAGACTCTTCGTGATAAATTTTTTCTCATTGCTCTGTTGATGCAAAGAGGATAGATTTGGGATTTAATTAGAGCCAATTGATTCTCTCTTCCACAATTTTGAAACCTTAGGAGATGAGATGAAGGATCAGCTGAGGAACAGTCATCCCAACAGTAGTGCCTGGTAAGACGGTGAGGCTATTCCCACTCCCAGCATCCTCTGTTCTCTTCTGGACCAACCCAGTTATTCAATCCCTGAGCTTTCTCATGTGGTTCTGGTAAATCCACTTTTTGCTTAGGTAAGCTGTGTGTGTTTTCTGTTGCTTGTCACCAAAGAATTCAAATTGATAGAATGGTAATGAACAATTTACTTTTTACAGAAGCTAAAATATATTCTCACAAATCACAGAAACTCTAACAACACGCTTGTGAAATATTGAAGAACTAGGGAGTATTAACTCCATTTAACAACAGAGGTAGCTAAAGTACACTCAGCACTTGCTCTATTGTCATGGGGCTCATCAGAAGCAGAATTAGAAACAAAACTTGGCTCCCAACTCTGCCAATAATTAGTGGTGTGATCTTGAGTAAGTTACTTAACCATTTGGGGCTTCAGTTTCATCAGCTGTGAAATGGGAGCATTGGGCAAGATGATCTCTAGGACCTTTTCCATCCCTAAAGTCATTCCATTTTTTATCTGAGGCTCTTTCCTAGAGACTCCTTCTCTGTGGTTGGAGATCCAATCTGTGGACCGAATGCATCAGTGGCTGAGATGTAGTCTTTCTCGTAAAATTTATTTTATTTCTATATGTTTTTATTTATTTATTTTTTCATTGAGACACAGAGTCTCATTCTGTTGCCCAGGCTGGAGGGCAGTGATGCAATATCGGCTCATTGCATCCTCTGCCTCCTGGATTCAAGCAATTCTCATGCCTTAGCTTCCCCAGTAGCTGGGATTACAGGTGTGCACCACCATGCCCAGCTAATTTTTCTATTTTTAGTAGAGATGGGATTTCACCATGTTGGCCAGTCTGGTCTCAAACTCCTGACCTTGGGTGATCTGCCTGCCTTGGCCTCCCAAAGTGCTGGGATTACAGGCACGAGCCACCAGGCATGGCTATAAAATATATTTTAATCATCTGTGAAAGCAAAATATGGCAATAGAGTTCACATTTGCATTTCCATAGGCTCTGTGTCTGTCTCTCCTATATTTTCTTTGTTTCCACAAATAAAAATTATGAGACATCCTAATTGTTTCTATTACTAATAGAAAAATCAGTGCATTTATCAGAACCCAAACTGAGCTCTTTTGGCTTTGCCTAGTGGTCTATTTATGTATTCAATATTATTAAACATATTGGGAGACAAAAATACATTGGGGTCAATGCTTTATTAACGTTATCACATATGTTATCTGTTTCCACTCCTGAGGGACGTCACCCACATGCTTATACCATCTTAATAGTCAACATTAACAATGGCTTTTTAAATCCCAACTTGTTCTCTTTATCCTTTCACACATCTGTCCTATTTTGAAAAGCAACAAAACAGATCTCCTTATATACACTATTACTCTAATCACCTCCCTTTCTTGTTTTAACACAGTCATACATTTTAAAATGTGTGTCACTGATTTTTAAAATAAATGTATATCTCTTTTGTCACTCCCTAAAACCTGGTTTCTAGTAGAAAATGGGAAAAATAACTGTGAGTAGAAAAATATTTCTCAGACAATATACAAAAGAATGATCCTTAATGTAAAAGACTGACACTACTGAGAACATTAAAAAATAAAAAAGTCTTTTCAGCAAAAGACACCATAAACGAAAGACAAACCTTAGATAGGGAGAAGATGTATAACCCAAATAATCAATAAGTAATTACTGCATAAAATATATAAATAAAACTTAAATCAGAAAAAAGACCAACAACTCAATAGAAATAGACAAAGTGATATGAATAGTGAATTCACAGATGAGGAATTGTGAATTGTCAAGAATATTTGACTCTATGCTACGTCTCACCAATAGTCAGGGAAATGCCATCAATAAAAGCAATGCAATATCACTAAATAACAATTCAATTGGAAAAATGTTCGCTAGTTGAGACAGAGGATTGAGGAAACTTGAACTCCTAGTATAAATTGGTACAACTACTATGAAAATCATATATCTCTTTCTCTATATATCCATAAACTAGAAGTTCCATTCCTAGGTACACACCTTGGAAACTCTTGTATATGTAAGTGAAGATATAAATGCCAAAATGCTCATTGCATCACTATGTGTGATAGCAAAGAGAAGAAGAAAGAACAAAGAAAAGTAGAAATAACCTGAGAATAGTTGAGTTGTATGTATTTATTCAATAAAATACTATATAATGGTTTAAATAAATGAATTATAACCATAAATATCTACCTTAAAAAATTCTCAAAGTCTTGATTGAAATAATAATTTAATCATTCATGCCATCAGAGTTTATATTAAGTTAATAAATGCAAAACACTACTACGTATGATTTTTGAATGCATACATATGTAGTAGAAGTATAAAAATTATGCAGGGGAATGATAAATGTAGCATAGTGTTTTCCTCTGAAGAAAGAGTAGATTATGATTGGGGAAGAGGATACTGAGGTTTAATGTGTATGTAGAACATTTTATTATTCTTATAAATCTGTTGTGAATAAAGAAAAATATTAAGTCAATAGTTTTGTGATGAGTAAGGACACTATGTCCATGATATTGTTCTTTGTAACTTTAGTATGTTTGTCACGTTTCATGAGAAATATATTTCAAAAAAGAAATATGATCTTAATTTGTGTTGGGCTATGGAAACTGATCTCTGAAGGTAACTAGCAGTGTCCTTCTTGTCAACTTCAAAAATATTTTCTTCATTCCTTGCTCTTTGAAAGACTGAAAAATTCTGTAGACAAATTCAAGAAACTACCTCCTTTTTCCCCCTTTCTCGTTAGTGCATTATTCTGCTACTTCTCAGTATCATGGTTGAATCCGATAATATCTTAATATATCCTGTAGATAAATAAACATCCTTCTATATTTAAGGCCCTAATTCTGTAACTATAGGTTTCAAATTTTCAGTGGAACAATATACTAAACTCTTCAAAAAATTAGTCAGCTGTTTACTAATGAGCTGAAACCCAAGATTAGTAAAACAATATTGGTCAATACATTTTTTTCATCATATTGTCCAACTTGAGACTTTAAAAAGCATATCTTCCAAAGAGAACTCTTGTACTGTTAATTTGTATATAGTATAACTAAGATATTTTTCCATTCCCTATAAGAAAAAGGAAACAAATGAGAGAAAAAAATTAAAATTATCAATTGGGAATATTTAATTGGAAGAATTATTATCAGATATTTAATAATCTATTTTATTCATAAAATGATGAAAGCACGAATGTATGTTTTCAAAGGGATTTTTGATACCAAGTTCCTTTGATGCTTTGAGGCACTCAGCTGTGGAATGGGTGGCTTCTAATTATAAAAGAAATGCCATGAATTGACTCATTCTTGACAGTAATATCCAGAAAATCTTAGCAAATTCTAGATAATTTTTAAAGTACTGAATTATATTTGAAAACTTATATTTAAAAAAATTTATTCTAAGATATATATCGCTTTTTATAATTAATTTATACTTTGTTTCAGGAAAAGTACAAGTTAATGCACATGTGTGTAAATATGTCTATACATACATAATGCATGCATACATACATGCTGTGGGAATGAGTTAATCATGTTGAAAAGCAATTAATCATTTGGAGCATTGTGTTAGTCCATTTTGCATCACTGTGAAGGAATACCTGGGGCTTGGTAATTTATAAAGAAAAGAGGTTTGTTTGGGTTCACAGTTCTGCAGGCTATATGAGAAGCACAGTGCCAGCATCTGCTCCCAGTGAGGCCTCAGGAAACTTCTAATCATGGCAGAAAACAAAGGGAGAACCAGCAAATCACAAGGCAAGAGAGAGAGTGAGAGAGAGGGGAAGGTCCCAGGCTCCCAACCAGATCTTGCATTGACTGATTACCACGGGGAGGGCGCTAAGCTGTTCATGAGGGATCTGCCCCCATGACTCAAACATATCCCACTAGGCCCACCTCCAACATTAGAGGTCATACTTAAACATGAGATTTGGAGGGGATGAAACAGCCAACCCATATCAAGCATACAGGTGTAACTGGCCAACAATGTCCACCCTAAGACAACTATTAAAATGTCAGAGAATGATTTAAAGAAAGCATACAATGTATGGTGTGTAGCTTTTCACACCCCATTTTAGAAAATAAAAAGTTTGCATATGTCTTGTATCAATTATAGCTGGTCCTAGGTAACAGAGCCCAATTCTCAAATTCAGTTGATGGGGAAAAACAATTTGCATTTATAAAACTGAACATGCTAGATGCAAATGGAGCTATGGGTGAAGCTTGACCCAAGGCTCACAATGCACAGGATGGCATCAGGACTAGTTTCTCCTTTCCTGTTTCTAGGTGATGCTTTCCTGGTTGGCTCATGGTTTTAAGAGGACTTCCAAAAGTTCTTAGTGTAAAGGAATAGAGATTTAGGTGAAGAATATGAGTCTCTTTCAGAAGACTCGGTAAAAAATATCAGTGCGACTTGGTGGTTCTGATTGGTCACCTCTCCAAGAATATAAAGGTTTGATTGACAAGACTTGGGTTACGTGCCTTCTCTTGGAGCTAAGGTAGTATTCACTTCCTTGAAAGTACACCAAACTGGGAGGAGTGGGTAGACCTCAACAGAAAATATCAAAAGAGCAAATGGATACTGCACAAAGGGGAATAAAAACATTATCCATCCTCCTCACCACAGTTATGTCACCTCCTCCTCATGGAAGTATGGTGTTTCCAAAGCTTAGTCCTCAATGTACTATCTTGGGCTCTTCTATCTCATTTGAGGACTCATTCACTTTCAGTCCTCAAGTGCTGATTTTTGGCTAGACTCCCAAGTTTAGATCTATAGTCTGCCTTGCAGTTCTGAGTTCATCATTTGTTTATGGATATTTAATAATCCACTGTCAAATTGGAGTCTGGAAACTGGGATAACATAAACCCTGGAGGTATAGAACAAACATTTCACAGAGTACTTCTGTATAGCGAGTTTTATGAGCACTAATTGATAGATTATCAAATTCCAGTTGTGCTTTTCCCAAAAGTAGGTCTGCCTGAGAAGGGGCTTATATTCATACTAGTCTTGTCACCATTGCAGCAACAAAGGGCAAACTTTATACTCTTTCAAAATTATACTGGGGTGGTTAGCTCTGGGCTATCCATTAAAACTTTCTGGGCATTAAAATAGTCATAATTTAAAGTACTGGTTTTAATAATATCTCCATTTTTGATTAATTAAAATATCTTAAATCTGAATGGCTTTCGTTCTCTGTTATTCATGTCTGTTAAAGATGAGATGTTCCCTACCTTAGAATGTTCTGAATTCAGAAAAACCTAAGGAGTACAGGTAATGATACTGATTTTTAAATATAAAACTAGAATATTTTCTAGGGTTACCACAATTTTCAAGAACATATTACATAAAAACCTATTAATAGAATATTTACATGATTTGTTTTCTCAAATTATATATATATTACAGTTGTTAATGCCTACTTAATCCAATTATAACATGGTATTTAATCAGGTAGTCAAAACCTATTTTTACCAAAACATGAAATACTTATTCCATTAGAATAAATTCTTACTATATTTTATCTTATTAAACCTATTATTCCCTCCAAATAATAATTTTAAAATAAAGTTTTAAAAATTCACATTGGAAAATTCAGACAAATTAAAATGGGCCAGAGGGACATCATGTTTCAAAAATTGTGAGATTATATGAGTTAAAATATTTGAAAACCACTGTCCCAATATGTGGGGAATTATATGTAAATGACCATTACAAATGAGGTATAAAATCCTTAGATCAGCCTGTGGGCCATGGGTAGATATAGTGGGAGTGTAAAACATACAGTGCTGATTTAGACCAAATTAGGAAATATCACTCTGGCCTTTTTTCTCAGGGTCCAGGTCTTTCACATGCTCACAGCTCCCTTCTGCAGCATGTTACAAGAACTGCACTCCAATTTTCCTGACTTTTTCAGACAGTCCCTCTTATGAGAACCAACATGCTCTCCAAGTCCAAGTGGGTCTTCTTTTTTTTTTTAGGGAGTTGACAAATCAATCAGACTAGCATGATGGGGTGAGCTTATATGTGCAAATACTATTTCCATCTAATAATAGGTTTGGATATTAATGAAACCAAACACCTTCTAGAACCAGTGCTGCAACTTGGAGAAATTCCATTGACTGTATTACCTGACGAGTAAAGAATTTGGGGGTTACACTTCATAGTATCTTTCAAGTTATTTTGGCTGTGTGAGCTCAACTTGAGGAATAATTATATAAGTAAATGACCATTACAGATGAGTTACAAAATCCTTAGATCATCTGTTACTGAAATAATAATGAGCAAAAATGCAAATAATTTTACTGAATATAAACTTAAGAATTTAACATGAGCTTCAAGAAAGGTTATTAGGTAGCTTTTCAGTTATGTTTACATAGATAGAGCCCGTGGTCTCAAAAAGATTACTTCTTGTCCTCTCTAGGAAGCAATTTTAGAAAACAAAATTGAATTTCTGTCAATACAGTTAGATACAGTTTTTTTAATTGCATATCTATATGTAACTTTAGATTCCTAACTCTATAAAGGATACATTCTTAATTTTCACTTTAAGCATATCTATAGAGTTAACTTTCTGAATCATCGTTCAAATAGCTAGCTTCTTTGTCCAGCACAATAAGCTTATCAACTTCCTCCTAACCATTCTATATCAGAGAAATATAAAGGATACCCTATAGTGAAACCCAAGATATTTAAAAATATATCCAGAACCTGCCGGGTCTGTCTCGCAGACCCTGGCCAATGGATAAAATGAGTACTCGGACATAGGTATGCAGTGTAAGAGCAGCTAGATGACTGCCTGGCTCTAGTGGCCTGAGAGCAGCCCGAGAAGCTCGATCTGCTTGCTTTTATTCAGTGCAGGCACAATGCTGAAAACCTGGAGCCCACACAGCCTGTAGGTAATTAACATTTATTGTTCCCCTTTCAGGGAACGTCACACGTGTGGATGATCAAAGGTCAGATCCTGGTCAACTTAAGTAAACAAGCTTGTTTAAGATAAATTTCCCAACACTCGCTTGAGCCTACTCCTTGCCCTCTGCCTCAGGGTTAAAGAACGGGTGCCTTCAGCTATTCTCCCCAGAGGCTCTGCAGAACCTTCTGACCTTTCAGGTTTGCATCCTTTTCCTATAGTTTTTCCCAACACTCTGACCGATCCCCCACATCCAGATGTCTGGTATTATATTAAGGCATACAGTTCAGTTAAATATCCTAATATTTAACTGATCCTAATATTTAACTAAACTGTAAGTTTTTTATATGAAGATATTCAACTGAACTGTAAATTTTTTATCTGGATATTTAGGCACAATGGAACCATAGACAAAAAGAGTAAGGTGAATATGCACGCCTTTGCATACTCTACAGAATAGCTTCAGAGTAGATGTGTATAAAAGGCATATAGCTGGGCCAGGCGTAGTGGCTCACGCCTGTATACACCCAGCACTTTGGGAGCCTGAGGTGGGCGGATCCCGAGGTCAGGAGATCAAGACCATCCTGGCTAACACAGTGAAACTCTGTCTCTACTAAAAATACAAAAAATCAGCCAGACGTGGTGGCAGGCACCTGTAGTCCCAGCTACTTGGGAGGCTGAGGCAGGAGAATGGCGTGAACCCAGAAGGTGGAGCTTGCAGTGAGCCGAGATCACACCCCACTGCACTCCAGCGTGGGCGACAGAGCAAGACTCCGTCTAAAAAAAAAAAAAAAAAAGGCATATAGGCATATAGCTATAGTTATAGCTATGACATATTTGAAAGTATTTCCAGCCTTTTCTTACATACTATCATGGAATAGCAGTTAGTTATTCTTATTTGTCTTTGAAGACGGTGCTGGTTTTTATTCAACCTAGTCATAAACTGAATCTGAAAAATAAAACTGTTTTAGACTAAAAAATCCCGAAGCCCAACTATTCTTTAAAGCATTGTGCTGATAGCCTCAGTTCATACAGGTCTACTGGCTATTAGAAACATATGGATATCACCTGGGAGAGGTTGCCTGCTACCCACTTGACTATACTTCTTTCAGCACCCTTAGTTCCACCATTAAGTTATAAGAGAAATAAAATAATGGTGCAATGCATACTCTGAGGTGGCTTCAGTAAAATGTGAGAATTAAATGAGAGCCAAGACCATTCCGAAGTAAGTAAAGCTAGATGCCTGACTCACATCAGAATCAACATAAATTTAACATGAATTTGATATTTAAATATAAAAAAATGAAATTGCAAAATTATTTTCTAAAATAAATTGTGGGTGCTTATTTACGTGATTCTGGGTGGAAAGAGCATTGTGAATACACAAAAAAGGGAGAAACCATAATGAAAAAGACTGATAAATGTAAGTACCTTAAATATACACAAGTAGGTATTGTGCATAGAAATGTGCACACACACGATGACTTCTGGGTATTAAAAAGACATTCTTTTTAAAAAAAAAGGCAAGGATAAACTGGAAAAAATCTTAAATGACAACGTTCGTATTTTCAATGATAAATAGCTCTTGCAGAACAACAAAAATAAGATAAACACCTCCAAAAATGGGCACTGTATTAAGAAAATGCAATGACCAATAAAAGGAAAAAATAAAATAGTACTAATTCAATTAAAAACAAAAAATATATAAATTTTAAATAAAACAGGCAAAAAAAAAAATAAAACATCTTAATGTTAGTGGGAAAAATGTGTATTTTCATGCACTGCTAGGAAACTTAGAGAAATGCCCCAAAAGCCTTAAATGTTTGCATGTTCCATGACATGATCTTTCCAGGTCCATGAATTTTTCCTAAGGAAATATACATAGTTATGCATCAAAATAGAAATATAAATCAAAAACACTGTTGATAATGCTGCAAAATTAGAATCAAACAAATTAAGTAAAAGTAAGTTTTGGCACATTAATTGGATGATACTTAATTACTAGTTTTTATTTCTTTAAAGTTATTTGGTACATATTATTGCAAGACAGTTTTTAAAAATACTGACAAATATATGTAACCCTAATATCAGGCCTGTGATGCAAGGCAGTTACTATAATTATCCTCATTTTACAGGCGAGGCCAATTTACAACTTTACAACTTTATACTTTCAACAGGCCATTTCACAATTGAGGCCCAGAGCAGTAACTGACAAGTTCAAGGTCATACAGCCAGTGAATGGTGGAATTTGTCCACCTGACCATGCAATATTCTTTAAACTGGCTACCTTCTAGTAATATTAATGAAAACAAGCTAGCATGTTTTCATTCCTAGAATTACAGTGTCCAAGTTAGGCCAGCAGTATTTGATATAATCACATTTCTTCCAAATTTTGCTTTCCTTCTGATCAAGAGCTGAATTTCTATGAGGGCAGAGAGAAAACAAAATCAGCCTTGGAAACATTCCACCTTAAAAGCCATTGTGGAGGATGCAAAGAACCTATTTTACATCATTCTGCACAGTGCTTATTCAGTATAAATGTCTTCTCTGAATGGCTTTCTGCTGTATGCTTATGAAACAGTCCATTTCAGTACACTCATATATACACTTCCTTTCCCCACCCCCCATCTTATCTTATGCTGTGAGCCAAAGAGTTAGAGCAGCGGCAGACAGTTTTGTACATTCTTGGACAATGAGTTCTAGTGTAAATTCTCTCATCCATAACCATTCTAAAATGCTATTCAGAACTGACTGTTTTGCAATGTATATTATTTATTTTGGTCTGACCTCAATTTCTGCTATGTATTTTACCCTTGATCAAGAGTTTTTGCATACTTCAAGCTGAAAAAGAATGAGCAAATGCTAGTGCAGGCATTACCCCCAAAAAAGAGAAGATGACTGTCTCTCTGCATATTCAAATGCAAGGATATATATGGGGGTTGGGAGTGTGTGGTGCATAACTCCAGGGAGAGAACACAGACGACAGCGGATAAGGTGGAAGTGATGGTAGTTAATTGACATTACGAAGGACAGCCTAACCATCATTACAACCTGTGATGTTTAACCAAAATTGGATGGGTGTGGAGGGCAGCCTTACTCTGGTGAGGCCCTAGTGAGGACTTCAGGGAAACCCAGAGGAAAGGAAGACAGTTGCTGCTGTCTGATGATTAATGGAAACACTAATCCTTTTACTCTTCCCTTTCAAATTTCCATTTTTCTCAATTAAGTCCACTCTCCTATCTTTGTTTCTGACATTGTATTGGGTTCTTGGTCTTGAGAAGGGGGATTCCAACTCAAATATTTTCATCAATTTGAATTTAGACATCTCTTAGTTGTTTAAGGGGCTAAGGATATAGATCCAGTTTAGTACAGACTTCATTTCCATTATTGATCAAGTCAGTGTCTGTAAAGATTTCTTCATCCCCAGGTAGTTATACTTCATAGGCTAAATAAAGAGCATGATATGGGGGCTGGCCTTTCTCCAAGGTAACGTTCCTCAAATCTGCATTCCTAAGTGTTCCGAAAGAAAGACAGCAAAGTATCCTCTGGTTAAAAACATTCAGGAAAAACTGGGTTAAATCAAATTGCTCAGTTTTCTTTACTCTGGGGCCATTCAACAACTTAAATATGCAAACATATCTTAGGTATTTTTCAAAGGGGGGGATAAATACTGATGTAGCATTTCCCAAAGAGAATTTCCCATAAGGATCCTGTTTCATGGAGCACAAATTGCCATTTGCTAGAGCTGAAGCCCTGCAGAACACATTTGAGGATGCTGATAAGGGCACATCCAACAAGCCTCTTATTGGGTTCTTTCTGTTGCCTCATCTTCCTTTTTTTTTTTTTTTTTTTTTTTGCAGTTCCTACTGAGCTCTCACTGGCAAACTATCAGTAGAAGAAGCCTGGTAGGTGGTCCTTTATCTCTTTAAAAGTTCTCCACGTAATTTGAGTAAGAGTGTCAAAAATTTTTTCAAAAACTTGCTTTTCCATTATAAAAACATACATACCAATCATAATAAGAAAATTATTAACATACCTAATCCCCCAAATATAGCCAACTTGTGTATATTTTTGTTACAGGGCCACCAGGTTTGTATGCCCACTATGTAGTAACAAACCAATACACTGAAACAGCAGGGTTTGCAGCAGAGAAACAGTTTCATGATTGCAGGGTGGCCAAGAGGCCAAGGCGGGAGATGGGAGGACCCTCAAATCTGTCTCCCTGAAGAGTTCTGGCTTGGAGCTTTTAAGGAGATCATGGAGGGCAAGGGGCTGTAAAACTGGGGCCATTGATTGGTTGGGATAAGGATGATGAAATCATCGGGATGTGGAAACTGCATTCTTTGGTGAGCAAGTCAGCTCCTATGGGGTTGTTGACAACAGCTGACTTTAGTAGTTTTATTGGTATGCAGGACCTGAAGGAATATCTCAAATGAAAAACTTAACATTTCACATCATTCAAGTTCTTATCTATAGAGCAGTTAAAGGGAACTATAGTCTTGTGGCAAGGTCTGCGTAATTCTTGGGTAACAGGCACCAAACAAGTATGAGGAAGCAGGTCAGAAAGCAGCTGACCTAATGATTAATGCCAAATGTGCTGCAAACTTGGCTTATTTTCATTTCTCTCCCTTTTTTCCCTAATTAATTTTATAAAGTTTATAGGGATGGTTTAATTTTAGTTTATTTCATTTCAAACATTTTTACTTATCATTTTTTAAGTCAGTTAGTATCATGCTATATAATAATTTTGTATCCTTTTTTCAACTTTGCATCATTTCAATAGTATGTCCTAATGATATTACAAATTGTGCAAACAGAACATTTGGAATAAAACCCAAACTATTAAGCCCATCAAGGCCTTACATGTCTGGCCTTCTGCTTCCAGCTCCAGAGGAAGATCCTAACTCCCTGTTTCTTTGAAACAATCTTTGGGCACACTTGTCTCCTTGCTAGTTTCCATGTCAGAGCTTTAGCACTTACTTTTGATCTTCTGGAAACTTCTTCCAGATCTTTAAAAGGTGTGCTCCTTTTCATCATATAGTTTAATGATAATTACACAGGTTAGGAATACTGATTTTCTGTCTCCCAGGAGTAACATATCTGTTAGTATTAAGAAGTAAAATTCTGCTATTTTAGTAGTATTATACCATCATTGCACCAATAATAATAATCTGAAATTGGAATCGTTAATGTTTTGGAATCAAGATAAAAAATTCAATTATTCTATTTCTATAAGAAGACAAAACAAAGTTGTATGTACACATCTGGAGTGGTCCACACCTACAGAGATGACAATGTATTGAGGTATTGCAGAGCTTCTACTGCAATTATAATTCTCACTTTAGTTCAAAGACAGAGTGAGTGGAATATAAATATGAGAGTACTGATATTGATTTATCTATATATGATAAAACTGATATTGATAAAATCTTTGAAAATTCTTATCATTAAGAAATTTACTTCTTAATAATAACAGATATGTTACTCCTGGGAGACAGAAAATTAGTATTCCTAACCTCTGTAATTATCATTAACTATATGATGAAAAGGAGCACACCTTTTAAAGATCTGGGAGAAGTTTCCAGGCAGTTTTACCTATATATGATAAAACTCAAACTATGACAAACTACAAGTCTTTTTTGAAACAAAAACTACAGCTTTCCATCAATAAAAACACTGAAGTTCCTTTAAAAATATCAAAATAAACATATAAACATGGTTTTTCAAGAGATCTTTTCAAAGATTTTATCAAGAAGTGGAGTTATTAGAAAGAGTCAGAAGAAAATATTTGGTGTTAGTTCAACAAATGGCATACAATGACCTTTGCTACAAAATTATGACATTAATGCACTTTGTTGGTTAGTACATAGACTAAATTATGTTACTTTTGACATTTTCTTGTTAAATTAAATGTCTTCATTTTGTTGGATGTTTATTTTTAAGTAAGAATTTCCTTCTAACAATTTTATCACCTAATAATTTATATTTAAAATGATAATGCTTCTTTGTCCTTTGAATTTATGAGTGTATGATGTCATAATACATTTACAGATTTTATATTTGAAATATATTAAATATCTAGTTTCATGGAATTTTATTTTATTTTGTGAAATTTGAACTTTTTTTCTTTTTGTAAAATACCAGTAGGTTCAGTATTACGTAAAATAACTGATGAAATAGCACTGTATCCTTTTGTTTTCAGTATTACCTTCCCTAATCACTAATTTGGGTCTCTTGTCAAATGTCACCATCTCAGAAAGGCCTTTCTGGACTACTCCGCCCAAAATAGAACACTCTAAACTCCCACACCTGTCCCTTTCATTAACCCACATTGCTTAATACTTTGCTATTTTTTATGCTTCTTCTTGCAAAAGAATGCAGTCTCCCTGAGGGTAGAAACATTTCTGTTTGTGTGCCCAGTGCATAGAAAAATGCTCTGCATAGAGTGGGTGATCAATACATATTTATTAAATGAATGTGGTAATAACTGAATTGGAGATATATTTATTTGTTTTTGGACAGCTAATAATACTAATGGTTACTATATAAGTTGCTAGTATGTGGGAGTTCTTAGTATTGATGCTGAGATGCATACCTTTGTATATAAAGCTATTTTCAAATTTGGTATTATTTATTTAAGATGAAAACCAATTTTTAAAATCACTGGGTCTAAGATAATGACTATTCTAAAGTGACTAGAAATCCATTTCAAAATTGCTCTTTGGGGAGATTATATGAATTTACATCTCTACCAATGATTCATTCTCACTTTACTGTTTGACTTTCAAACTTCTGTTCATAGGCTTCTTTCTCTGCTAGTGTTGGCGTCTCCCTGCTTTCTTCCTTTCAAATGATGGTATTAGATCTGTCTTTCTCTACTACGAGCTGCAATGCCCCTGTTACAGAAAAAAAAGATTTGAGGAGACAGCTTGAAGCACCATGGTTGTTTTCTTAGAAGTTCTCTGTAAAATTTTTCATGGTATATGATCTTAAAAATTAAAAACAAAATTTACTGAAAAATCGTCAATTTCTTCCAATATGCCTTTGCAATCATTACTATGAACAAACAAAACTAGGTGCCTTTCAGAGCATGGACTTGAGTTTGTATTTTCATTTAGTTTTTATACTAGCAAATTGTTTTATAGTGATTTATATAATGTCTAACATTTTGAATTTTGCCAATATACAAACAATCCTGTTTAGGTTTTGTTAACAGTTTGCTTGTCAAAATCTGTATGTGAATATGACCACTGAGGCAAGATATTCTTTCTTTCTTCTTTCTTTTTCTTTTCTTTTTTAAATACATGCTTTTATTTTGGAGGGCTAATAAATGTGGAATGCTGTGCATACATCTGCAAGGTACCACCTTTAGCTTTGGAGGCTTTTATTCTAGATATCTGATAATAATTACTGCATAAATAAATTCATAACACAAAGCAGTTAGAAGCAGTCTAATTGCAACAATTAATTTGTAGACTTACCTAATTAAACTTCCCTAGCCAGAATGTGTTGTCTGCATACATCAAAGTTTACAAAAGAGAAGTAATAGAGCAGAATAAAGAATGACATTGCCCCTAATAGAGTCCCTTGAGGAACTTCTAAGGTTAAAATAAAAATCTATCAATGCTGAACAAGAAAATATGCAGTTCAGCTGCAATGATGGATGGTTCTGCTAACCTTCATGCAAAGCAATGCTGACACATAATATTACTGAAACAGAAATGAGCATATCTTCGTCTACCTTTTTGCTTTTATAATGTGGCTGAAATGGTCTGGGAGTCTGAAAACTCTTTTTTTATATCATACTTGGAAACATTAAGATGATCCTGATCGCTTTCTTCCTCTTGAGACTTCTATAGCTACTTGTTTATCTGCTTTCTTGGCTTCATGTAAGAGTTGAGTAATTTCACAAATGCATGCTGAGGATAGAAAACTGCACAGCATGCACCTTTGCTAGCACAAAAGGGCTTGCCCTGCCACCGTGGGACACAGGCGAATTCCAATTTCCCAGTCTTGTATGCGACATATACAAGAACAAATGACAATTATAATGTTAAATTATTTTTACAGAGAGGGAAAGAAAAAATTTAAATGGCTAAAAGGAAATAGCAGAGGTCAGTTTAACTGGGAAATAGTACTATCAAAATTTTTCAAGAGCACGTCATTAAGCCTTTAATTTTTCAAAAGCCTTTGTTTTCATCTTTCTTTTTATCTCCCACATTGGTAGCTAATTCTTTTAATCTCCTTGGTATCGATTAACAGATAAGGCACTCTCACTTTCAACCTTGCATTACAACTCTTTCCTGGGCATCTCACTGCCCTTACTAAACTAAAAGTGTCTGTCCACCCTGCTTACTGCCATGGCCTGCCTCCACCTTCCACCACCTCCTCTGTCCACTCCCCATCCATGCCTGGCAGTGACTGCTGGCTGCTATGTAAATGCCCTGCCCTGCCGGAGCTCCTGAGCCATCCTAAGAAGACCAGGCTGAGTATTAGGGTTCCCAGTTCTCATCTGTCCCCTGCTAGTGATAACAAGTATGAATTTAGTTAGCAAGTTTGGATGGTGAATTATTGACTGCTAACGGACCATCCAATCAGCAGATCTTAAGGTGACCTTCAGCCTTTTCTTAGCACACAGTTGCTGCCCGGGGGCAACTACCTCTCACTTACGAGGCATGCGGATGAATATTCTTACTAAAATAAAGGATAAATTAACTTATAAGGCCACCTAAATAGGGATGATGTTAATAAAAAAATTATTAGGAAATTACTATGGGAGATCAAGCCTTATTTTTTAATTTAATTTAATTTAATTTAATTATTTATATTTTTGAGATGGAGTTTCGCTCTCGTTGCCCAGGCTGCAGTGCAGTGGCGCGAGGCTCACCACAACCTCCACCTCCCAGGTTCAAGACATTCTTCTGCCTCAGCCTCCTGAGTAGCTGGGATTACAGGCATGTGCCACCATGCCTGGTGAATTTTTTATTTTTGGTACAGACGGGCTTTCTCCATGATGGTCAGGCTGGTCTCGAACTCCCGACCTCAGGTGATCCACCCGCTTCAGCCTCCCAAAGTGCTGGGATTACAGGCGTGAGCCACCATGCCTGGCTAATCAAGCCTTATTTTTAGGCACTTTACTATGTCTCTTATTGTATCCCAATCTATCTCTGGAAAAGTAGGTAGGAGTAAGAGGCAGACAAGATAGGACACATACAAGAATTTCCTCATGTGTTTTGCATAGAAACTTTCATTAAAGTTCTAGCATTAAATAAAAAAGTAAATAACACCCAGAGGATATTTAAAACACATATTAGGGTGCAAAATATGTGAGACTTGACTGATTGTGAGGCTTCCTTTACCATTTCATGTAGAAAACATAAATTCTTAACTTCGGCGGGGAGGCCGAACAACAATAAATATGTTGGCTCCCTTCAAGTCTGTTATTGATACCATTATTATCTCTTTATTTTCTCTTCCATATTTTTAAACCGATAGTAGCCCCTTTTAATTTTATTTTGTTTTATTTATTTATTTTTCTGAGATGGAGTCTTGCTCTGTCACCCAGGCTGGAGTGCAGTGGCATGATCTCCGCTCACTTCAACCTCTGCCTCCCGGCTTGAAGCAATTCTAGTGCCTCAAACTCCCAAGTAGCTGGGATTACAGGCACCCGCCACCACGCCCGACTAATTTTTGTATTTTTAGTAGTGGTGGGGTTTCTCCATGTTGGCCAGATTGGTCTTGCCTGGCCTGACCTCAAGTGATCCACCCGCCTCAGCCTCCAAAATGCTGGGATTAGAGGCATGAGGCACTACTCCTGGCCAATAGTAGTTTTTCAAATGACCAAATGAAACAGTTCCCACTAAATTTTAAGAGTCTTCTTTCAGTTCTATCAAGGAAAATATAATTCCAACAATTGTTTTGCCTAGAAAGATTACCTTTGTTTAGACTGAGCTCTATTTGTGATTCATACCCACGCAGCGTGACAATATAATAAAGGTGGGTGGAGAGAGACTAAGAAAATCAGAAAATGTCTTGGTTAATTTCTAATCAGACTATTAGTATGACATCATTATTCTATTTTACATGTAGATTCCCAGGGCATTAGTTGTGGTTAAATTCAAATGCAAGCGTAATGTCATATCATGTAAAATACAAATGATCTTTGAGCCTATAAAATAATAGACTATTACCACCATTTGTTAAAGTAGAAAATGAGGAGCTTTCAATCCCTGTACCTAGGACACATTATTGAATTTATATATCTGAGTCAAATACATTTGACTTTGAAATGTGTCAGCCACAGAAGGGTGTACATATAAAATTCAGGTCAAAATAAAATAAAAGCAAATCCTATCTTCTGATGTAAATTAAATTAGAAACTCTCAGAGCAATAGGATGAAAGAAAGATAATAAAGTTTTGGTAATGGAATTAACCATGAAAGAAACCTTCCCTTTCTGACCTCTTTTGAAACACTATCTGCTTTTGGCTTCTCTGACAACACTCCCTCTTAGGTGCATATTCTCAGTAAACTGTACTGGCTCATTCTTTTATTGGAATCTCCTCTGGGCTTTATCTCAGCCCTTTTTTCGTTTGGTTCTATCTCAGTGTCTGTACTAGTGGGATCCCTGAATCAGTGGCATCAACAAATCTGATACTGTCAAGGATGCACAGTTCAGGCCCCACCCCAGAATCTCAAAACTTATTTACTAGATCAGAAACTCTGGAGTGAAGCTCAGCAAATCCTCTAGATGATTCTGAACATACATCCAAGTTTTAGAACCTCTTCTCTCTCTTCTTATGAGGCTTTCTGGTCCTTGACTACTGGCTTCAGGTGCAATGTACATACTGCGGAAGATTGTATTTTCCAAAGATGGTCACATACATATCTACATATCTCCTGTCTCAAAAACCCTTTCAGAATCTTGCTAAGCCTCCATCAAGAGGTGGAATCTCGGCCGGTCGTGGTGGCTCACGCTTGTAATCCCAACATTTTGGGAGGCTTAAGTGGGCGAATCACCTGAGGTCAGGAGTTCGAGACCAATCTGGCCAACATGGTGAAATCCCATTTCTGGTAAAAATACAAAAATTAGCCAGGCATGTTGGAGGGCACCTGTAATCCCAACTACTCGGGAGGCTGAGGCAGGAGAGTCGCTTGAACCCAGGAGGTGGAGGCTGCAGTGAGCCGAGTCCGCCCCATTGCACTCCAGCCTGGGCGACAAGTGCAAAACTCCATCTTAAAAAAATAAATAAATAAAAGAAGTGGAATCTCATTACTCTGCTCTTGAATTTGGGCAGATTTGTGACTTGCTTATAACCAATAATGCGCAGTGTAATTGAGTTTGAGTAATTTCTGAGAATAAGTCATAAATGGAGAGTCTTCTGTTTGGCTTGTTAGAACATCTCGACTTGGGTTCTTGAACCACCAAGTAAGAAGTCTGACTTTCCTGAGTTTGCCATGACGTAAGGAAGCCAGCTGCACAGAGACACAACATGAAAGCTCTCTGCTCTAGTCGGCAGTCCTAGACTTTAGGCTCTTTCTGGTTAGGAACCAGACATGTGAGTGCAGGAGCCCTCAGCTGACTCCAGCCCCATTTGTGGAGCTGCCCTCCTGCCTTTGAGTTTTTCCAGCTGTGGCCTGAACATCACAGAACAGAGTCAAGCCATCCTTGCTGTGTTTTTTCTGTGTTCTTGACTCACAGACCCCTTGAGCACAATAAAATGATTCTTCCCTTCCCATAAAGTTTGAGGTGGTTTGTTACATATTGATAGTAACAGGAACATGCAGTAATGTCCAAATGTATATCTCTACTTCAAACTTCTATTTAAGGTCCAGAACTGTACATCCAATTGCCTACCTGACAGCTCCACTTGGAAGTTCACAGGCATCACAAACTCAAGAAGCAAATAAGAAAAAAAAAAAAAAGGAGAAGACAAGAACTGACGAGTTAGAAAATCTTAAAACACATGCACACACACATTCACACACACACACAAACCAACATAATTAATTAATAAATCAAAAGGCTTGTACTTTAGAGGAAAAAAAATCTACAAAATAGATAAATTTCTAGCAAATCAAACTTTCATAAAAGAAGAAAGCAAAATTCATAAAATGGGAAAGTTTAAATAACCACCAAAGAGAGGAAAAATTTAAAAGAGACTTCTTTGCATCACTTTATATAAATAAATTTGAAAATCGATATAAAATGTTTAACTTTCTGGAAAAATGCAATTAATAAAATTGACTGCAATAGAGATAGAAGTTCTCTTCTGACAAATTTTCATATAAGAGTTAAAGAAAGTTGTAAAAGAGCTCTTCCACAAAAAATACACTTGAAGACCAGATGGCTTCTTGCATTATGCTCCCAAACTTCACAGGGTTAGGTATTCTCAATCCTATTTCACCATTCCAGACCACTGCAAAAGTAAGAAACCTCCAAATTTGTTTTATGAAATAAATTTACATTGATATTAAAACTGACAAAGAATATACCAAATGTACTATAGTGCAATCTCACTTATGAGTATCAACACAAAAATGTCAATAAATTAGCAACAGAATCCCACATCCTTATAAAAACAACATATATCATGTCATGACCAACTGGACTTAATCATATTAATAACAGAAGAAAAGCATGCAATTATCTTCATAGAGCATTAAAAGATTGTTTGTGAAAGTTTGGCTGGGCGCTGTGGCTCATGCCTGTAATCCCAGCACTTTGGGAGGCTGAGGTGGGCAGATCACCTGAGGTCAGGAGTTCGAGACCAGCCTGGCCAACATGGTGAAACCCTGTCTCTACTAAAAATACAAAAAATTAGCCAGGTGTGGTGGCAAGTGCCTGTAATCCCAGCTACTCAGGAGGCTGAGGCATGAGAATTGCTTGAACCTGGGAGACAGGGGTTGCAGTGAGCTGAGCCAAGATTGCGCCATTGCACTCCAGCCTGGGGGACAGAGCAAGATTCTGTCTCCAAAAAAAAAAAAAAATTGTCAAAATTCAACTCTCATTCATGCTTCAAAAAATACACTTGAAAAAGAAATTGGCAGATGTCTCATTCATATTATGCATGTATACATATTGGTGTTACATAAATCATATCTACCCTGCTGAAAATTCTGTGGGGCTTCTCCTTGTTTTCAAATTAAAACCAGTATCTTTCACCTGGTGTTACGGACTGAACGTTTGTGTCACCCCAAAATTCTTATGTTGAAACCCTAACCCCAAGGAGATGATATAGGAGGCCTTTGGGAGATAATTAGGTCATGAGGGTGGAGCTCTCGTGAATGGAATTAGTGCCCTTACAGGTGAAGACAGGACAGTCTGCTTCCTCTCTCTGCTATCTGCCATGTAAGGATACAATGAGAAGATGGCCATCTGCAAACCAGGAAGTGGACCTCACCAGAAGCAAATCTGCTGACACCTGGATCTTAGACTTCGCTGCCTCCAGAAATATGAGAAATGGCCTGTGCGTCCATGAGTAATCTGGTGTTGACTACCTTTTCTAGTTTCATCTCTTATCTTCCTCCTGCTCATTTTCTGAACTCTAGCCACAATAGATGCATTTTTAGTTTCTTGAACCCACCGTATTCTCTTTAGTGTCAAGACCTTTGCTATTACCTTTCCTTGAATGTTCTCACCTCCATTCTTTTGATAAATTTGTATATATTCTTCAGATCTTAGAACCAGGAATTTCTCCCCTGACGCCTATGACTGTGTCAGACTCACACTTCCCCATTCCCAGTCATTACATGCCCTCCATGAAACACATAATTTCTTTCATAGGAGATTGAATGTTGGTACATAAGTTATTTGTTCACTGTTAGTTGTGTTCCCTGACAGCAAGCAGTGTATTTGGTTATTTCTCACCATTGTCTCAACACTTAGTGCAGTGCCTAACACATAGTAAGCATTCTGGTATATGTGTAAACTGAATGAATTGACGAATTTCTAGGGAAACTAAGACAGTCATGATGTAGTCCAAAGCATACTGGAAATGAGGAAATAACATTTGGGTTCCTTCTCCACTGTATCTTAGCTATGGATCTTATTTCTGATAATTTCATTTTACAGTAGAAGAATAATGTATTAGCAAACTTTAGAGCAACATACAAATGAAATCTGCTGTTCTCTTTAACAATTTCAAAGTGTTCTTGATATCTTAGCTTTATGGAACCAGGTGAAATGTATAGCTATTAATGACATTATGCAATGCAAAAGTTTACAGTATCCAGGCATTCTAGGATAAAGTAGTAAAAACACCATGGGCCCCTGTCTGAACCCAGGCTCTGCTGCTCAGTGACTTCGTGATCTTAGGACTTGAGGTCACACCTCTGAGCCTCGTGTGCTTCGTTCAGAAAGATGACAATACTACTTATGGAAAGAGTGGAGGCTCAACAGAGGTAAAAAGCAGTGAAAGTTATTTTCCTCTTTACACTTTAATACAGTTGTGTGTGTGTGTGTGTGGGTGTGTGTCTGTGTGATTGTCCAAGCCAGGAATTGTTCATTTTTCTAGGGCCCTAATTATGGATTTTTATTTTAGAGATAGGGTTTTGGTCTGTTGCACAAGCTAGAGTGCAATGGCATAATCATAGCTCCCTGCAGCCTCAAACTCCTGGGCTCAAGCAGTCCTCCTGCCTTGGCATCTCAGGTAGCTGGGACTATGGGCATGAGTCACCATGCCCAAGTTGTGGATTTTAAATATGAAGAAAGGAACAAATTGAAGATATAAGAGTTGTAGGGACCACTTCCAATGGTGTTTCTACTGTCCCTTTATCCTATTTTCTACCCCAAACAACAATTAATTACATTGGCTACACTGGCTTTAGCCCTCTGCTTATATAATTCTTCTCTTTTCTTTGTTTTTCTTCTGTTTTGTTTTTCTAACTAAATATCTTGCTAGAGCTTGCCTTTCTATCACTCCCATATTTTTTTCTCACCACTAGTGTCTGTTTACAATGGGGAAATTGTTTTGGTGCTTTTAAAAAAGTCATTTTGGAGCAGAAATGATTGGCAGCATTGACAGTCTATAACAAATCCACTACCACATTTGAGGTGGCTTTAACTGATGGGTTTTGTCTCTGTTTTTCAGTAGCAATATCAGATTGTAGGTCTCTTTAGAGAGAATCTCCTCACAAGAGTGTTCCAAACATTGCAGTTTCACTGGCAGCAATTTGTGAATTTATCTTTGGGGAAGAGTATACACAGATCTCAATGTGACATATCTAGTGACAACACATGACAATTTAATTGTAAGGAGAGTAATGGAAGTCTTATCAGATCCATAAGAGTCTTCGAGAACATGAACATAATTCTTTAACATAAACACTCATTGAAATACTCTCAAATTTGCTCACTGACATAGTCCGAAACTCAGTGATACTCTGAAATATGCTTGACTGATTTTTGGGCCTAGTATATTCTTTTTCTTTTCTTTTCCTTTTTATTCTCATTTCACTTTAATGATTATGCAAGACCCCAGTATAACAATTGACCCAGCAGATTTCACTCACATTAATGACCAGAGTATAACCCTTTAAACCTTTAAGACATATGCTTCAGATTTTAAGTTTTGAGAGGTTTTCTTCTACTTGTTTTATTCTGTCATTGAAGCTTTTGAGTTTACTTTGTATTTCATCTAGTGATTTTTTTTCAGTTTCAGAAGTATTGTCAGGTTCCTTTTAAAAATATCATTGCAGTGGGTAAATTGTTCCTGCAGACCCTTGTTTCCATCTTTTCCCTTTGTTCTTTTCCAAATGACTCTTGCACCTTGCCCATTGACTGTATAATCAGTATATTCAATTCTCTATCCAAAATATCTTCAGTTTCTTTTGGATTGGGATTGGTTGCTGGAGAATTACTGGGTTCCTTTGGAGGCGTCACATTTCTTTGCTTTTTCATGTTTCCTGTGTCCTTTTGTTGAGATCTGCACATCCTGTGTAAATCGCTTCTTCCAAGTGAGAGGTGAAGCCAGCTGGACTTCCTGGGTCAAGTGTGGACTTGGAGAACTTTTCCGTCTAGTTAAAGGATTATAAATGCACCAATCAGCGCTCTGTGTCTAGCTAAAGGTT
Organism: Homo sapiens; assembly: GCF_000001405.40. Taxonomy (NCBI): domain Eukaryota; kingdom Metazoa; phylum Chordata; class Mammalia; order Primates; family Hominidae; genus Homo; species Homo sapiens. The sequence continues at coordinate 27,569,805 of NC_000018.10, read as the reverse complement.
TGTAAATGCACCAATCAGCACTCTGTAAAAACGCATCAATCAGCACTCTGTAAAACGGACCAATCAGCAGGACATGGGCGGGGCCAAATAAGGGAATAAAAGCTGGCCACCGGAGCCAGCAGCGGCAACTGGCTGAGGTCCCCTTCCACTCTGTGGAAGCTTTGTTCTTTCGCTGTTCGCAATAAATCTTGCTGCTGCTCACTCTTTGGGTCTGTACTACCTTTATGAGCTGTAACACTCACTGCGAAGGTCTGCAGCTTCACTCCTGAAGCCAGCAAGACCAGGAACCCACCGGGAGGAATGAACAACTCCGGACGCGCCACCTGTAAGAGCTGTAGCACTCACTGCGAAGGTCTGCTGGTTCACTTCTGAAGTCAGCAACACCATGAACCTACCAGAAGGAAGAAACTCTGGACACATCTGAACATCTGAAAGAACAAACTCTGGACACACCATCTTTAAGAAGTGTAACACTCACCACAAGGGTCCGCAGCTTCATTCTTGAAGTCAATGGGACCAAGAACCCACCGGAAGGAACCAATTCCAGACACACAAGTTTGTCAATTTGCTTTGTAGTGGGGGACATCTTCCCGTTTCCCCTACCCGGGAGCTGCAGGCGGTCTCTGCCAATCCGATTTCTCCGTTCAGGCTGCCCGGCTGCCTCTGCTCAGCTCCTCAGGCTCCCTGTGACTTCTCAGCTGAATCCCTGCGTTCTCTTAGTCGATCTGTTCCGAGTGTGAAAATCTACTGGTTCCTTTGGTTCCCTTTGGAGGAGAGGCGCCTGCTGGCTGCATCTACCTGCCACCTTGAGCCTGTGGTCCTAGGTGGGAACAGGTCCCGCGTGTGCGAGTTACTTAAGGGCGTTCCCTGGAGGCTCCTGGTCCTCTTTTTCTGAAAAATCTTACAAGTATTTCCTTGCACACATCCCCCATCATCACCCCCACTCCCAGCCCCACCCCCTGCAGTGAAGCTGGAACAAATGATTCTTGAGGAGCATTAGGCAATCCCTAAATTCTTGCCATCAACACAGTTGGGGCTGCCCAGACTAGCATAGTGCCCTGGCTACTATTTCCTTGCCCAGAACAAAGAATAGGTCAGTCAGGCCAGGCCTTACAGGCTTATGTCTGTTTCAAATTGCTTAAAAATGACCACTTGGATTTGGCTGAGTTTACTTTTTTCTTTGTTTTGCTATTGAATGAGCAAATTCACAGTGCATAGTATGTCTGAAGTTATAGATCCAGGGGGATCTACTTCTCAGGGCTTCACTGGTCTTTCAGGGAGGGATGCTGGTACTTCCATGGTCTCAGGCAGCTGCGTGAATGGAGGAGTCCGCCTCATCCAAAGAGCCCAGACCCATTTAAAACAATTTTAGAGTGAAGAAAGAAGTGATTCTTTGAATCTAAATCATGGCACCTCACCTAGACTGAACGCCTGGGTTCCAGATTCATGATTTCCTGCCTTGCCATCATGAACTTCTGCAATGGATTTTTCTCTGCATCATCTGCCGTATCTGCAGTTTTGGTGCAGCAGGACTGGCCATGGCCATAAACCCAGAAAAATAGAATTTTTGAGGAAAATGAGTGAGGTAAACGTACAAAGCAGAATAGGTTCCTGGGGTATTAATCTATGATCTATGATAAAAGGACCATTGAGAAAGTCTCTTTTTACCTTCAGGGAGTGGTGGAAATAAATATAATGTAGATGAAAGCATACAATTTCACAGTATGTGTATTCCGACTGGAAGAAAGGGAGAAGGTAATATTGTCAACAGAGAGTCAGCTACTCTGCCCCTGCGCAGGCCATCTTCAGGAAAGCACCAGCTAATTGTCCCATTTAAATAGCTGCTTGGTTACGACTTCATCTGAATGTTAATGATTTCCTTATTCATAAAGTCTTAGGTGTTCACCAAGCAGTGGCATCTTGCTTTTCCTTTTCATAAGCTCCCTTTTGACTACAAGTATGCACAACATTTATTAATTCATCTACTCTATTCAGATGCATTTGAAGCCAGTGTCTTCTTTCCCCTTTCCTTTTAAATGAAAAGAAACTAAAATTGAAAAGAAATCTTTCATCTCACCACCATTCCCTTGAATGTGAGAGCTTTTCTGCCACTCGTAACCTCTTGTGGAGTTGTTGAGTAGGTTTTCTTACAAAGTAAGGCAGTGTATTTTGCTTTTAGAGAATAAAGAATGATTTTTTAAATACCATACATCATCAAGTAGATTTCCATTAGCACTGTGGTCAGTTTTATTAAATGGTATGAATACCTCTATTATGTGCTAGAAGCACTCATTCTCCTTTCAGAAATACATTGAAAATAATTTGATGTCAATTTCCATGGTGACAGAAGAGAAGAACATCACTAAGAACCATAATAAGTACACACACACACACACACACACACACACACACATATATACACACATATGAGTTACTGTGGAACACTGAGTTGGTCCCTTTTTGTCAAGAGTTCTCTGTTTTTTGTTGTTATTATCATTTCATTACCTGAGAAGAAAAAAATGTTTCTTAGAAAAATGTAGGGCTATTATTGAATCACATCTTTTTTTTTTTTTTTTTTTTTTTTAGATGGAGTTTTGCTCTTGTTGCCCAGGCTGGAGTGCAATGGCGTGATCTCAGCTCACTGCAACCTCCACCTCAGGTGTTCAAGCAATTCTCCTGCCTCAGCCTCCCGAGCCACCGTGCCCGGCCAAATCACATCCATTTTTTTTTAGATGGAGTCTCACTCTGTCGCCCAGGCTGGAGTACAGTGGCGTGATCTCAGCTCACTGCAAACTCCGCCTCCCAGATTTATGCCATTCTTCTGCCTCAGCCTCCTGAGTAGCTGGGACTACAGGCGCCCGCCACCATGCCCGGCTAATTTTTTGTATTTTTAGTAGAGACGGGGTTTCACCGTGTTAGCCAGGATGCGGGCCAACCAATTTTTTTCATGAAATTATGCTTCAAAAGAAGAAGAATATTTTAATAATAGAACTCCTTCTGGATGGAAAGGGTTTAATATAAGGTGTCAGTTCCTAAGATTCTCTTTACTTTGCCAAATATCACTTAACCATGTTTTTTATTGTTTACAAAGCAGAGAAACTACTGGATAAGTACTATATCGATATACCTTCCTGTCATTCTTTTCTTCCACCGTTTGTGCCTACTTGGTATCACATGTTAAACCTATATGAAAATGGATATATTCATTATTTTTATTGGTGCAGTAAGTTGCGAGGGATGTACTTAACTTGTTTTGCTCTCTCTGGGTTCCAGAATCACACCAAAAATTGTCAGACAGGGACCTCCCAGTCCAGGTAGGATCTATATCATCTTTTAAAGAACTTTACAGAGTCAAGACTTCCAAAAAGAGACATACAATTAGTTGAACATGAATGAGCTCACACTATTGGTTTACTCTCTATTTTACCTTATTAAATACAACAAACTCAAGTAATATACCTGCGCTGGTCAAGATACCTCCCAGTTATTCCACATACAGAAATTCATGAAGAACCTGAAGCCTGTAGCCAGATGTATCTAATGCACTTGTCTCCATCCGAGTCCTGCTTGCATTCTCTGCTTTCGTTACCCTGTGGCTGTGTCCTTCTTCTTGCCTACATCCCATACCAGTCTCTATTAAAATGGTTTATTGCTTCTATCAGAACTTCAACTGCTTTTTGCAGAAATTCGTTAATCTTCCTTCCTGCAGTGATCTCTTTCTTACCTATGTGTCTAAGGAAGTTCAGCTTTGCGCTCTACTCCCTCTGAACATTGCTGGACTCAATTACTGAGAAAGCTCTAGAGATGGCTTTCTCTCTGCTTGCCAGCAGCTCTTTTGCACCTTTTCTATAGTTAGCAGAAGGGATTTCCTTGTCTTAAATTTTCTCCAAGTTGGGCATGATTCAGAAATGACTGTAAAATCAGAGAGGGATTATGTTCTTGTGGCCACCTCTGGCTTTGGGATTTACCTCCACTTAATTAACCCAGGTAATGGATCACGTGACTGTCTTTAGCAGCTGCTCCTCTTCCACGTGGTGATATGGGGTGCACTGATGGAGTTGGACCTTTCCCTGATTTACACACACACTGAGATTCACAGAGAGAGAAGAGTACACCTCACTGAAGACTCACAGGAAGTTACACTGTAGAAATTTAAAAACTTGAAATTGTATATTAGATGTCCTTCTTCTGAAAGTCTTTTAACTACCCTACCACTTGAGATTTTTCCCTAATCTGTCATAATTTATTTTCTATTATTTATCTCTCCTTCTTTTCTCTTACTTCTCCCTCAATTTTTCAAGATTTCTGCCTTCCAAATTCTTCTATTTGGTGGAGCAATTGGATTATTCCTCTGCTTCTACTCTGAAGCTCAGTCCCAGGCTTCCCCAAACCCACCATAGTGCTCAGGTAAACATAAGGACCATCTACTCCACTAACAGTAACACAGAAGCCTGGCAAAGAACTTGAAATTTCACTTAACAGGAATGTAGCTATGATTTCAGATCTATTTTCCTACTATCCTGGTTATAGTTTCATTATATTTTACATTGATCTGAACAAAATCAGCATCATCATATTCAATTTGTGACATTTCATTTTGAAAAGGACTTGACTGAAGCAGAGTTAGAGGAAGAGAAAGTTGAAAAAAATTGACTATTAGCAACTATTATGATAATTGAGATACATTAATCTGAAAAAAGACCCACTTGGGCAAATGAGAAAAATTAGTGTATTCATCACTTATTAGAAATATTCCTATAGAAAGTACTTAATGTGCTACCCCTTCTTAAAGGGTTAAGAAATATGAACCACTTGGGAGGCCAGGGCAGGCGGATCAGCAGGTCAGGAGATTGAGACCATTCTGGCTAACATGGTGAAACCCCGTCTTTACTAAAAAAAATACAAAAAAATTAGCTGGGCATGGTGGCAGGTGCCTGTAGTCCCAGCTACTCGGGAGGCTGAGGCAGGAGAATGGCGTGAACCCGGGAGGCAGAGCTTGCAGTGAGTAGAGATTGCGCCACTGCACTCTAGCCTGGGCAACAGAGCGAGACTCCGTCAAAAAAAAAAATATGAACCACGTTTATTAACTTCATAGTTATGTAAACTGTTTGGTGGTGGTAATTTTGTTGCAATTAAGTCAAATAAGGCTTTCATTCTAAAAAAAGTACCTGCAAATGGAAGTAAAATCTAATTTGAGAGGACAGTTTACCCACTGTCCCTGCAAAGTGACATAAAATTCTTCATAGGATAACACAAACTCTGGTGTGACCTTGGAAAGAGTGGACACAAACAGCTGCCTATATATTTTTGTGTTCAGCTCTTTCAAACAAAGTTTATCCAAAAAGTATGCCATGATGAGTACGTGACTGAGCCTTCCAGAGTGGAGCCAGTTACATAATTTGGATTCCCTTGAGAAGGATATTTGATGACATGATCATGGGTCCAATTTCCTGATTATCCCAAGAGAAATGCTGGTCAGCATTTAATTTATTTTGGGAAAGGGAGGGTAATCCAGTGTGTGTCTCCGGCACTTGCCAATTCCTCTGTCTGAGGCCAAATTACTTCAGCCAGCTGTCTTGGCCTTCCAAAGCATTTCGAGCCCTGTGCTGGCCATACTTCACCACTGATCATTACCTCTGGCAGAAACTGTGCAAAACAGACATTACCTCAGGGCAGGCTTACTCCTAATGACATTGGAGGATGTAGAAGCACAAGTCTATTTTACTCTGGGGTCACTATTAGAACCTGCAGAACTCTGTAGTCACTCTGGTTGTAACAATAAACATGGGAATTCCATTCTATTTACCCATGTTACCATCTTTTTATTTGGTAAGATTGTGCCACAACATTGAAAGCAGACTTAGATGGTTCTGTAAAAATTGATTTTTTTGGACATGTACCTCTTCTCCATTTACTCAAGGCATCTATAACTCAGTAACAACCCAGACTCATTAGTAAATGTAATTTGAATATGGTTGGAGAAGTTGAGTGAAGAATTTGATATTTGTTCAAAATAATTTCAAATCTTTCTACATCCAAAGACAATAAGGTTTTGAAATAAGACTAGTTACACTCTCAATATAATTCCTGTCAAAGACACTTGGAAAAAGTGCCTTAGAAACATTCATTCATTCAAAACATATTCATCAAGTATCTACCATGTATTAGACAATTTTCTAGATATGAGAAATACTATCACAAATTAAACAGATAGGTGCTAATCTTTACAGAGCTAATTGTTTCTGGGGGAGGCAGCCACAAAACAAGTTAAAAGATAGACAAAAAATGTTCAAGTCTAATAAGTGCTAGGAAGAGAACAAACAAGGAGTTTAGAGGGAGAAAAGCAGAGGCCATTTTAGGGATGTTTCCAAATAGGCCATGTGGACCCTGAGACCCAAAGACAGAAGGAGTAAAGGAAGCAAAAGCTATCTATGCAGAGAAAAAGAGTAAGTAAAACTCTTGAGATGGGATAAACCAAAATGAATGAGAGAGACACTGGAACAAGATGAGGTTGGAGAGAGAGACAGGGTTCGAGGCATGCATGCATGGATTTATAGACCAAAGCCAGGTGTTTTCATTATATTCTAAGTAAAATGGAGAGTCCAAAAAAGAGGGCTTTTGTTTTTATAATATGATTCCATTTTTGCTTTAAAAATGCCTTTTTGTTTCACTTGAGAATAGAAAAGTTTGGAGGAGATAGAAGGAAATAAGAAAAGAAGTAGAGAGACCAATTAGAAGACAGTTGTAGAAATCCAGGAAGGAAGTGACTTATGATAGTGGCTGTAGGAACGGAGAGCAGCAAAATATTTGAGATAGGTTTTGGAGGTTGAATGTTGAGAAATGGTTAATAGATTAGATATGGGTGAAGCAATAAGTATAAAGATGACTGTAGTTTTCTGCTAAAATAATGTGGAAGAAACTGGAAACAAGACAGGAAGACCTGTGTCTTATCTGGGGAATGGCAGTTTTATCCAGAACCAGTCTGTAGGCTACAATCGTACATATTTATTTCACAGACACTGAGCCAACATGTGGGTCTACGTAGGAAAAAGAATCTGATGAAGTGTGCCTTTCTTGTGAAGACTGGAAAACAAAGTTGTGGGGACCATTCATCTTATCTTAGGTGACAGCAGAAGCTCTCCTCGACCTAACTCTATTTGGGCTTCCCTAGGCCCTCAAGGCCCTGACCTTTGGCTCTGTACTTGGCTGGTTTAGTCCTGTTTCAGCAAGAATCCTGCTGAATTCGTTTAGTAAAAATTTCCCATCCTTGATATCTGTTTAAATTCCTCATTCCCTGACCTCGATATGTTACTCTCTGGCCTGCCTTCAGCAAGAATCCTAAGTGGTGGGTCTAGCAGGAATTCCCCTAGCCTTGATGTTTCCTCTTAGTAATTTTTTAGCCTCTGATTCCCCAACCCTACTCCTTGGCTATAAATCTCCATTTGGCCTTGCTGTTTTCTGAATTAAGCCCAAGCGCTCTCCCTTACCTCAGAACTCCGTTGTAATAGCCCCCTTGCCCCTAACGAATGGAGTCCGCTTAACCCATCTTTAGCAATTGTCATGAATATTTTTTCTTTAAAAGTGAAGGAAAAAAAAGCAGTCGGGAAAGAATGAGAAAGTATAGCAAGAGCTAAGAGTTTGGAAAAATGGAAGTGAATGAATATTTTTAAATGGCGGGAGGAGAGCCATCAGCAGAGAGAAGTGATGGCTAAGTGCCTTGTAAGTGAGAGTATTGGATGACAGGGCTTGGGGAGAAAGATTCTGCATCTCCGCCAACACACCCCCCCCACTCCTCCTCTTCTCAGAAGAAAAGGTAAAGTCTCCCACACTAGGGGCCTTTCCTTCCCCTATCCTCCCAGCCACACAAGTTGTTTTCCTGTTCAAATAAAATTTCTCTTTTAAATTCCACAAATCCCCAGCATGACAATTCTATAGAAACGGAAACACTGTGGAAACATTTGCTTACCTGAGGAAGCACTGACTTTGTATCATTCAAGACCCTGGAACGGATGCATGTGTACTTAGGAGGAAATGACTATAGATATCCCACAGAGATAGCATGCTGAGATCATTGTCATTCCAATGACACTTGCGTTTGCATTACACTTAAAGCTCTTGATTATTTTGAATGCATCTTTCAGTGACATGTAAAGCTGATCAACCTGAAACTTTCCAAACACACACACACACACACACACACACACACACACACCTATGAAGTGGAACATGTAAGATAAACTCAGACTAGTCTGGGCATTGATTGAGTGTGATTTTTTTCATTCTAGATTTAATTCCTCAAGGATTCTAATATAAATCTGAATGCAGATTTGACTCAATTTACAGTGTGTGCCTCTCTAAGAAAATGGTTAAAGAATTGACAACTCAAAATCCATGTAGATCATTTTAACATTACTTGTCTCCTGAATTAGATGTTTTTGAGTATACTGGCTAATATCAATTTCTTAAACAGTTGTACTGTACATGCATTTCTTATATTCTTGACAATCCAAAAGACATTCTTGGAAAACGTGGTTCAGAAGTTGCCCCTTCTTTGATGTATTCTCTTTCTCTTTCTCCAGAATATTGGTGGCAATCTGCCTTGAGCAGTGAGAAGGAGTAGAGTACAGGATATAATTTCAGTATCTTTGGTCTCTGGCTTTAGATTATTCATCCAAAAGTTATAACAAAGGTTAAGAATCTCTCATCGACCAAATGGTCTTTGGTATTGGAATTGCAGGTATCTTGTTAACAGTTTGATCAAGTCATTTCATCAGGCAGACTCCTGATGGGTGTGAGGAGCCTCCTTCACATAATGCAGTCCCACAGCTGTCAATCAGTTCTCTAGGGTTTTGCACACTTGAATGGAGATAATACCTAACCACAGCATTTATCATCAAGTCTGAAGTACTTTTCAAGTGTGAGTATTCTTCTATCACTGAATCAGGATAAGCCTGTAAAATAAATTGTTAGGGGGAAAAAAGTATCCTTTGTCCTTTGGGTCTTGAACAAAAGGGAAAAGCTTTCTTGTAATAACCTGCAGCCGAATCAGGGCCATCAGGTAAATCAGAAAATAGGACTTTTGCAAAGGCTAGGCAGATTTCTGAAATAAATTTGTAAAAATGCAAGCTTTTCTAGGATGTGTTTTCCAGTTTCAGAACTTGAAATTCAGCTGGAGTTTTGAGCAAAGTCCAGAAATGATATTTAGAACTTTTTCAAACTCTGAAACCCTGAGGTCTTCCTATTCTATCCATATTTTTCTTTTAACAGTCAGCAGCCCTAAAATACAAAACACAAAACAAAATGTACACACTCTTCAAACAACCAAAAACTTCTCTCATATGGAATATGAAACAGAAGTTTGGCAGTTATGAACATAATCACAAGCAGATGCACATAGAACCTGAGAAAATACAAATATCCTTTTCATCTCTTGATAGCAATCACTCTTGTCAGGTATTTCTGGTATCAAATGTTGGTTCTATCTTGCCGAAGTCTTGCTTTCTCTTGCTTCACAATTTCTCTTCTACATTTGATTTCTCCTCTCTATTTGTAACACTTCTATACTTCCAATGTTCTTTTGTATTTGGGCTTGATGGCTTTTAATATCACATTGTCTTATAAACTGAATAGCAGTTTGGGCTTGATGGCTTTTAATGCCATGTCTTCCAATAAACTGAATATCATTGTGTGTAGGTTTGTGTAGGTTTCACTTACTCACACATTCAGGTGTGCGTGAGTAGGTAAAAGCATCAATCTCTTAAGCAGCAATATTAATATGACCACATAGGGAAGGAATTTGTTGTTATATGAAATTAAACAGTGGTGGCAGTTTCTAGTTCTCACAAAACACCTACACAGGATTTCTTTTCAAATCCTGAAAGCAAACATAGAATAGCATCTTGTGCATGCTATGTTTGAAAACCTCTTCCACACCGGCTGAGTTGCAATTTATTTCTTCTGCAAGATGAGTTGCCACCACTATTGTATGTGTTGGAGAGACTGCTTGAGCAGAAAGTCTAACATTTTTTCTCATTCTTATTGTTTACTTATAAGGATCTGCCAAAGAGAGATGCACTTTGCATTCATGACTGACAAAAAAATTAATTAATTTGATGCTTGGGGAAATAATTATGTAAATGTACTTCAAGAATTCCATACATGGTCTATAAAATAAGACAAAGTAGCCACTGCTGGCTTTGGATCTATAAGCTGTACTTAGTCACAAGACTCATTTCTAAGGAAAAATCGTAAATAAATAATATTAAAACTGTGACCATCTGAGACAGTTATGTGATGTTTGAAAGTGTTTGAAACTACTTACCATAATCAGGGCTTTTCCAACTTTTCTAACTTAGCAGCAGAGAAAAGTAAATATGAACCCTTGGGCAATTCAGGGGATAGTCTGTTGCTCTAAGTATGAAATTTCTTTGAAGTCTCATAAATATTCATGAGCATTTTGCATTCTATACATGTAATATACCTGTTTATTTCAATACAAAATTAATATGTCCCCTACCTCCTTGAATAAAAAGATGCTGGAAGAGATAACCAACTTTATTCTGGGACTTCCAGTAGCTGCAAAGATTCTGCCAACATCGCCAGGGTGTATCCCAGGTGAAGGGGCTTGCAGTGATCTGTCCATCTTGTCGTAACAACCCCTTGGAGTATTCTAAGGAGGTAGCTCTTGTTGTCCTTAGTTTACAAAAATAGGAACTGGGGCTTAGAATTTTTAAGTAACTTGATAGAGGTAAGCTGTAGTTTCTCAATTCCAAGCCCCATTGCTCTTGTCATGGAATTGAGCTGCCTGCATAAATAAATCAACTTGTATCCTCAGCGCTCTCAATGGAGCCAAAAATAAAACCTCTTCTGTCAGCACCTCACTGCTGCTCCCACCCTCTCATCCCAGCCCAAGAATTTTAGAGATGTTACATAAGACTGACATTTTTCAACTGGACTGTTTTTGCTTCAAATAAGCTCTCAAAAATGTCACCAACATTTTGTAGTTTTCAGAGTGGGGAGCAGGGATAGAAGGAAAAACACGTACACATGGGCCTTTTCTCTTCAAGTTAATTCACTTTCTAAATCACTCACTTGCTCACTCACTCTCCATCTCACAGACAAGCATACAGTCACCAAAATGGTAGGCACCGTGTTCTAAGCACTGTGCTATGAGATTTAGTTGCTCTCTGCAGACAAATTGCAATATAATTTTTCTCTCTTTTTGATTCACTCATATCTCTCTCATAGACCAGTGAGTGGAATAGATAGACAACTAAATATAGAAGATGACACAGTGCAAACAGCTCTTTCATTGAGATAGGACCAGGATTTTATGAGAACACGGGAGGTATACCAAAATGAGAATGATCAGTCAGGGAAGCCTTCTGGGAGATGTGGTAGTGAGCTGAAATTTGAGGGGTGAGTAGGAGTTGGCTAGACTAATCAAGGCAGAGAGGGAGGAGACACGAATGGGTTAGGGAGGTCACACTGGTTTCCTCATGGTGCTAGTTCTAATCCCACATGGAGTTAACCAGAGAAATATGTTGAGATGGATTTGTAGACCTTGTCTAGTCTCTACTGGGAAAAGCTCCCAAATCAAACTGTGATGTATACCATTGGCGGAGTAAGGGGAGTGTCAAGCATTTGTCAGCCTTATTCTCAAGGGCTTGTTGGAAGGGAACCAAAATGGAAGATTCAGATTTAATTATTATGACATGGAAAGAAGTAAGAGTGATAAAAAGCAACACTGGCAATTTATTGCAGAATGAGAGGGCATTATATATTTGTTCCAGTCTTTTGTGTATTCTTACATTTTCTTATTTAATGGAAGAAAGATGTAATTGAATTTTTCCTGTGAGATTCTGAAAATGCCATTGTTCTTATTTGCACATTTTTATATCTATTTGCTACCATGGTCACAATATAGTCTTTCTTATTTATATGAAGTATTTTGAGAAACCTTTGATATGGGAAGACTATGATCTATTTGTTAATGTATTATACATAAGCATGGTTTGAATCTATTTTATCTAAACCTGTGCTATCTTTTCAACTGAGTTTGCATAAAAACGTATTTCTAGTGCCCTTAGAATACATGACATTTTATCAAAAGTGACCTGTGTGCTCCTGTATGTTTCTCCTGCAATGATGCCTCCTGGGTTTCTGGTAACAAAGAATCCGAAGCTTCTGAGAGAAGTTAATGTTCTTTCTTTTGAAGACTGTGAGTTTGTGAGATCACACACTAGGTAACTGAAACCTGAAACATCATAAAGGTATTTTCAAAACTCAGGCATTCTGTGCATGAGACATGAAATGAATTTCATGCGCATCAGCTCCCCGGAGCCTTGTCACAATAGATAAGGCCAAATAGAAGGATACAGCATTACTTCTTGTGGGCTACTGAGCAGCAGAGTTAATAACTGAATCATAATTTCACTCCAGGACATAGAAGCTGCTACATCCTGTCCTCTTTTGATCCCTTTATCCATAATAACAAAAGTAGGAATACTTTTAAATCAGACAAAATAATGAATACATCCATCTGTGCTCTCTTATAATTTGGCTTAAAAACACTTATTCAAAATCACTTTGTCTGGATGGGCTTCTCAAATTAATCTCACCATCTGATAACTTAAATATTTCATTTATGCAGTACATTGATTGTATTAATTGTCCCAGTTCTTCATCACCACCACCACCAATCATATTGGCACCTTCTGCAATGTGACTTAGCAGAGCACAGCATTGAGGAAATATATTTCCCTGATCCTTGATTTAGAGTTTGGCCATGCGACTAAATTTGGCCAGCATATGTTCACAGTTGTGATGCAAATAGAGGCTTGTTAAAGTACCTGCCATTTCCATCTCTTCTTTTGCTTCCCTGACTTTGCCATGAGAACACGTCCAGGCTAGCCTGGTAGAGAATGAAAGACATGTGGCCCACGTGTCCCTAGTGCTCCAACTGATAGCTAGCCAACCATCAGACATCATTACTATGGAAATAATCCACAGATATTTGACCAACCCTGCTGAGCTCAGCCTACATTGGCTGAACGCTACAGACTCATGAGTTAAATCTGTATGTATTGTCTTATGACATCAAGATTTTCTGCTTGTTACACAACTGTAGCATAACTCATGATAATTTCTGTTGTTTCTTTATATTATTTTAGAATTTATAGTATAGGTATATATTTATATTATGCTTTTGTCATATGCACTAAACCTATTCCATTATCCTCCTCTGTCCTTATTCACCTTAAAGAACTTTCTACAAAGGGACTTCAAAAATTTCATGGAAAAATAAAATTAAAGGATAAAAATAAAAATATTGAAATTATTTCACAACATAAGCTCTGGCAAGTTAAACATACTTTTGTAAGCAATGATATCAGCCATTTAGTTCATCCCTAAAGAATTGAGGGTCCTAGGAAATTAACTATGTAAATGCAATATTATTCCATGATTAACAGAAGAAAAATGGGTGCTCTTTAAAGATAGATTTATTTATTTATCTATTTATTTATTTATTTATTTATTTATTTATTTATTTATTTATTTTGAGACAGAGTCTCTGTCGCCCAGACTGGAGGGCAGTGGTATGATCTTGGCTCACTGCAACCTCCACCTCTGGGGTACAAGCAATTCTCCTGCCTCAGCCTCCTGAGTAGCTGGGGTTACAGGTAGCCACCACCAGGCCCAGCTAATTTTTGTATTTTTGTTAGAGATGGCATTTCACCATGTTGCCCAGGCTGGTCTCAAACTCCTGACCTCAAGTGATCCACCTGCCTTGGCCTCTCAAAGTGTTAGGATTACAGGCGTGAGCCACCATGCCCAACTAAAGATTTTTTTAAAGATTAGGAATCAAAAAGAAGTCAGAGATGCCAAATGAGGACTGTAAGGTAGATGTCTAATGATTTCCTATTGAAACTCCTGCACTGTTATCTTTGATGAGATAAATAAGCAGGAGCATTGTCGTGGTGGAGAGGGACTCTCTGGTGAAGATTTCCTGGGCGTTTTTCAGCTCAAGCTTTGGCTTCCTCAAAGCACTCTCATAAATAAGCAGATGTTTTCATTCTTTGGCCGCCCAAATAGTCAACAGCAAGATGCTTGAGCATCCCGAAACACTGCTGCCATGACCTTTGCTCTTGATGTGTCAGCTTTTGTTTTGACTGGGCCACTCCCACCTCTTGGTAGCCATTGCTTAGATTGTGGTTTGTCTTCAGGATTGTACCGGTAAAGCCATGTTTCATCTCCTATTACAATTCTTTGAAGAAATGCTTCAGGATCTTGATCCCCCTCATGTAAAATGTCCATTGAAAGCTCCACTTTTGTCTGCAGCTAATCTAGGCACAACAGTTTTGGCACCCACCAAGTGGAAAGTTCACTCAACTTTAATTTTTCTGTCAGAATTGTGTAAGCTGAGTCAATTGAGATGTCTATGGTGTTGATTATTGTTACTGCTATTAATAATTGGTCCTCTTCAATTAGGGCATGAACAAGATTAATTTTTTCCTTGAAAATTGATGTGAATGGCATGCACTTCAAGCTTCATCTTCAACATTGTCTTGTCCCTTCTTAAAACTAGTTATTATTTGCATAATGCTGATTTCTTTGGGGCATTGTCTCCTAGAACTTTTTGTAAAGCATCAGTGATTTCACCATCCTTTCACCCAAGCTTCACCTTAAATTTGCCATTTATTCTTGTTTCAATTTTAGCAGACATCATGTTGTTCTGATAGGGGCTCCTTTCAAACTGATGTCTTACCCTTCTTAGTGCCTCAAACTAGATTCTGTTCAGATATGTTATAACAAGTTAGTATGAGTTTATTTTGGTACAAAAAAATTTGAGATCCATGCGCAATTTTTTCATAATACATATTTTTCATGAAAATTTTAAAGACCCTTCATATTTGAGACCCTAAAATATCACATGGTTCTTTGCCTCCTCCTCCCAAAATAATTATGTGGACTAAGGTTGCATATCTGTTCTAAGAACAGACAAGCCATTGCCTGACTGGCAGCTAATCAGATTCCGTGTCTATTATGAAGAAAAAAAATTGACTTAAGTCAGCTAAGATTCTTGCTGAAGCTAATGCAGTGACTGAGAGATAGAAATGTTAGCCATGGTGAACCATGTGCATGGTTACTTAGTAGATAAAGAAAGTTGTGAAAGAGAAGCTAATATATTAGATAAAGCATAGATAAGAAATCCGGTGGCTACTGAAAAACATCAAGGATGGCTTGTGCCTTAATGCTCTCCCTTGTGCCTTAATGCTCTCTAGTCTCCAGGTCTGGCTTTTCATAGGCATGACCGTGAGTCTGATCTTTGACTCTAAGAGATTCCCTTTCACCTTCAGTAACCAGCCAGATTTCACTTCCTCCACTTTTTAAAAATAAAACTTTAATTTTTAGAAGACAGAAGCTTCCCAGAAATCCACACCTAATTCTCCCTATTATTACTTTTATTAACATCTTCCATCAACGTGGTACATTTGTTACAACTAATAGGCCAATACTGACACAGCATTATTAACTGAAGTTCATAATTTACTCAGATTTCCTTAGATTTTATCTAATATCCTTTTTTTTGGTTCCGGGATCACATCTAGGATACCACATTACATTTAGTCATCATGTCTCTTTAGGCTTCTCTTGGCTTTGATAGTTTCTCAGACTGCTTGTTTTAGAGGACCTTGGTAATTTTAAGGACTGCTGGTCAGGCATTTTGTAGAATGTCTCCAAGTGGGATTTGCCTGTTGTTGTGTGTGTGTATGTGTGTGTGTGTGTGTGTGTGTGATTAGACTGGGGTAATGTGTTTTGGAGAGGAAGGTCACAGAGATAAACAGCCAATCTCATCACATTGCAAGAGTACATCCTATTGGTGAGGCATGGTGGCTCACACCTATAAACCCAACATTTCGAGAGGCTGAGGTGGGAGGACTGTTTGAGTCCAGGAAGTCAAGACCAGCCTGGACAATACAGCAAGACCCCACTGCTACAAAAATTAAAAAAATTAGTCAGGGATTTTGGTGCATGCCTGTAGTCCCAGCTACTCAGGAGGTAGAGGCAAGAGGATCATTTGATCCCAGGAGTTCTAGGCTGTAGTGAGCTATGATTGCACCACTGCTACAGTAAGCTATGAGTGCACCACTGCATGTCAGCCTGGGAAACTGAGCAAGACAAGACCTTGTTTTGTAAAGAAATAAATACAAAATTAAAAGAAATAAAAAATAAATAAAAGAGTACCTGTGGCTGGGTGCAGTGGCTCACTCCTGTAATCACAACACTTTGGGAAGCCGAGGCCAATAGATCGCTTGAGCTCAGGAGTTCAAGACCAGCCTGGGCAAATGAGTGAGACCCCTCATCTCTACAAAAAATACAAAAATTAGCCAGGCATGGTGGCATGTGCCTGCAGTCCCTGCTACTCAGGAAGCTGAGGTCGGAGAATGGTTTGAGCTTGGGAAGAAGAGGTTGCAGTGAGTCAAGATCATGTCACTGCATTGTAGCCTGGGGAACAGAACCAGACACTATCTCAAAAAAAAAAAAAAAAAAAAAAAAGAGTACGTGCTACTAACATAACTTATTGTTGATGATGTCAACTTGATCACCTGGGTGAGGTAGTGTTTGGTAGGTTCCTCTACTGTAAAGTTACTCTCTCTTCCCGTGCTTTTTATACTGTACTCTTTAGAAGAAAGTCACTATGTGTAACCCACAGCTAAGAAATGGGGAATTATGCTTCCTCTCCTTTCGGTCAGAGTATCTACATAAATTATTTGGAATTCTTCTGCAAGGGACATTTTTTAATTCTCTCCTATGTATTTACTTATTCAATTATTTATATTCATATAATGAATACATACACAGTTATGAATATTTATTTTATATTTTTGGTTATAACGCAGTATTATGTTATTTGTTTTATTGATTAAATTTTTTCCTCTTTGCCTACTGGGAACTCTTCAGTTGGCTCCTGTGTCCTTTTGGCATTTGTGGTTTTTTCTTTTTTCTTTTTTAGCACTTTCTTACCTTCTGGCACTATAAGATGTTCCCCCTGCTACTGCTTACTGGAACTAATTTCAGCAGTTCTCTTGCTTGCAATCACCAAGCTTAACTAGAACATAGATTTACTTGGATTCTTAGTTCCATGTTCTTACTATTTTATTTTCTTAGCTCTATGTGCTAGTGTGTGCATTTGTTCATTGTGCGTGTGTTTTCATGTACTCACTAGGTGGAAAGGCATGCCAGAAAGAGAATTATGATGATACAGAGGACCAAAAAAAAAAAAAAAAAGGTTAGGAAATACTGACTTCTGGAATACCCAAGGGTGAAGTCAGTGAAGAACAAAGCTATTATTGCTTTGCTCTACTTCCTTGCCAATCAAGAACACAGATACATCTTAGCAGACATTTTTAAGAGTAATTATAACTTACACTAATTATAATGTGGTAACTACCCATATTTCTAATATTTTAGCTGTGTATTAATAGCATGAACTAATAAAATCATGCTAAAATATGTCAAAATACCAGTAGGATGTTATCTTTTAGACAGAACGGGTACAGCAGAAGTTATTCCAGAAGGATTTGTTCCACAGTGAGTCCAGAAGGAGAGAATTCACATATAAGATTAATGATGGTTGGGTGCAGTGGTTCATGCTTATAATCCTAGTACTTTCACCGGCTGAGGTGGGAGGATTACCTGAGCCCAGGAGTTTGAGACCAGACTAGGTAACATAGGGAGACTCCAGTCTTTACAAAAATATAAACAAATAAATAATCCAGGTGTGGTGGCGAGTGCCTGTAGTCCCAGCTACTAAGAGGCTGAGGTGAGAGGATCACTTGAGCTCTGGAATTTGAGGCTGCACTAAGCCACGATCGCACCACTGCAACTCCAGCCTGGGCAACAGAGCTAGACCCTATCTCTAAGAAAACAAACAAACTAAAAAAGAATAATGCCAGTACTTTGGGAGGCCAAGGCAGACGGATCATGAGGTCAGGAGTTCAAGACCAGCCTGGCCAACATAGTGAAACCCTGTCTCTACTAAAAATACAAAAATTAGCCAGGCATGGTGGTGTGCACCTGTAGTCCCAGCTACTCAGGAGGCTAAGGCAGGAGAATTGCTTGAACCTGGGAAGTGGAGAGTTTGGTGAGCTGAGATCGCACCAATGCACTCCAGCCTGGGCAACACAGCCAGACTTTGTCACAAAAAAAAAAAAAAAAAAAAATGATGATGAATACTCTGTGCTCTGTGCTGACCACTCTACTAAGTGCTTTACTGAAATGTTCATTTTAAGTGCTTTACTGAGATGTGAGTTTCTTGGGGAAAAACTCTGCATCTTCAATCATCGCATTCTTTGTAACAAGGTCAGGGTTTGACAAAGAGTATAAATATGTGTTGAATGAATGCTCATATCCAACTTCCTCCCTCTCTTGTCTTTCAGCAAATTTTGTATTTCATAATACATTTTATTCAGTTCTTCTTTCAATTTCTTCTTTGATGCCAACAAGGCAATACTTACAAGAAGCTGAACTTAAGTCTATATTTATACTTCATCCCATAACAGAAAACACTATTTCAAAGAGTAAATGAGTTTGTGAAATGCTTTTTAGGTAACTATTATAGACACTGCACTGTAACAATCAAAATGGCGGCACTCTCTCTAAACTGCACTGCTCTCCGCCCTTCTCAGAATTTCCAACTCTTAAAGTTCTCCTTTGGTTTTTCAGAGACCCATTAGTCTGTCACCCAAGGTCTGCCTCCTTGTAAGATTTTTGCCCTTTTTTTGATTGTGTGTTCTTTACATGAACACATCAAAACCATCAAATAATGTGGTATCAAAGGTCAACTGCTTCCAAGATATTGAGTGCTTGACTGTGGCTAAGGGGCAGTAGACATCTGAGAAATCCTCAGCTGGTGATTGTTTATTAGTAACATAAAACATGAGCTCTCAAGCAAGTGGAAAAAGTACAAAGATAAAACTTTAATTTGAGCTTCTTTGTGTGAGTCTGGGCATAGTCAGGGAAAATAACTGTTATTCAAATTAATCTTGCTTTTCTTTTTCCATTAGCCACTCTGCTCATCTCGTCCAATGATGGCACAATATACAATTATGAAGGATGCAAACTCTACTCTAGAACCACTCCACCCTTTCTCTCATTGTGTCTCTTCTGTTCTGACTCTGTCCCTCAGAGCCAAAGTTCCATTCTAGAAGGAACTAAACAATAACTGGAATCTCAGAGAACATTAGTACCTCCAGCTTGTTAGCTGATTTAACAGCTAAAGCTAAGCAAAAACAACATTTATGTTAATCACATATGGAATCACATTGTCTGTTTTAAGTGTAGTATTCTAATTTGTGTTTTGATATTTTTAAATCTTGGAAAAAGTAAACACTAACCACTCCTCAGTCTACTTTGCTTTTTCCTTTTCCTATCCCTCACTCTGAGAGTTGGAATAGCCCAGAGATCTAGTCTTGACCCTTTTAAATTTTTCTTCTCTATCTTGTCCCATTTTTTTTAGTCCTGTCCAGTGCAATTTTCTGTGATGATGAAAATCTCTATCTGTGTTGCCCAATAGGTAGCCAATAGCCATATGTGTCAATTAAGCTTGAGATGTGACAAGTGTGCCTTGGAAACTGAACATTTAATTTTATTAGCTTTTAATTAATTTTAATGGTAGCTGCATGGAGGTAGTGGCTACCATATTGACTAAAGCGGTAGAGTAGGAATGGTCTCATTTAATGCTATGACTTTGAACTACATTCACGATTTTACATCCAAATTTTATCTCAAATATTTCCACTTCTTATCATCACTTTGGTTACCCTAGTCCAAGCAATCATAGTTGCTTTCAGCAACTATGGTATCCTATCTCGTCTTACTGGCACTATCTTTGGTTTCTTGTGTTAAACCACTCGTGTTTTAAGTGATTACTCTGACAGCTATGTGGAGAATATACTTCAGTGTTGACAGTATATTCTCCACATAGCTGTCAGAGTAATCACTCAAAACACAGGTTGTACACATCATATCACTCCCCTGCTCAAATCCCTCATATTAGTTTTATTGATGCTATAAAAAATTACCACAAACTTAGTAGTTTAAAACAACACAAATTTACTTTCTTACCTTTCTGTAGGTCAGAAATCTGATGTATGTCTCACTGGACTACAATCAAGGTGGCTACAGAGCTGCGTTTCTCTCTGGAGCCTCTAGGAGAAAATCAGTTTCCTTATCTTTTTCAGCCTCTAGAGGCCACCTGCATTCCTGGACTTGTGGCCTCTTCCTCCATCTTAAAGCCAGCAAGAGAGCATCATTCTGGGCCAGCTTCTCTCCTCACCGCTTTCACTGACCGCAGTCAATAAAGGCTCTTTGATTTTAAGGTCTCCTGTGATTAGTTTGGGCCCACATAATCCAGGATGATCTCCCTATTTCAAAATTCTTAACTTAATCATAGCTACAAAGTCCCTTTTTTTCATGTAAGGGAACACATTCACAGGTGCTGGGGATTAGAGCATGGGCATCTGGGGGCCATTATTTTGATTATGAGATACTTTGGATCACTTGCTTGATCTGGTCTTTTTTTTACCTCTTTGAACTCTTTCTACTACTCTGCTCCATTCTTGCAACTTCACAATAGTCAATACTTCCTTCTCAAAGCTTTCCATCTAGCTTTAAACTTCTTCAACATCTTCCTGACCCTTCCCATTTTCTTTTATCAGGGCTCTATTCAACTCAACTGTCACTTCCTTGGGGACACCTTCTCTAACCATCTTGACTAAAAAACAAAAAACCCAACAACAAACACATCAAAAACAGCCCTCCCTGCCTAGATTAAACTCTGCTAAACTTAACTCTTACTTTTTAAAATTGAACTTATCATTATCTGAAATTATATTAAAATAAGATTTGTGTGCTTGGATCTTAGCTATACACCAAGCATGTAAGCTGCTGAAAAACAGAAACCTTATCTTCTAGTTCATTGTCAAATCTCTAACACTTAAAACAGTGTCGATGCTCAGTAAGTATTTGTTGAATGAATGAATAATTGAATAGTGTGATATATACTCTTTTCATAATAATGGAATTTGATTAGGTGATTCTGACCATATTCAATAAATGTTAATAAAGACTTAATGTTATTGAGTAAAAGGACATATTCACCCATGAATAATCTATATCCATTTTTGCCCATTATCAAACTGAAGTCTCAAGCTAAATTAACTCTATTGATATAATTTAGAGAGAAAATATCATAATCTTATGATTTCCCTTGAAGGCAGAAACTATATTTGCTTACTGTACCATGTAAATGTAGGTGCACAATAAATTACATTTTATGAGAACAAAATAATTCTGATAAAAGTAAACGGGACAAACACTTGCATGACTGATAAAAACTAAATTTATCCTTATTTTCAAGAATAACTTTTACATCCATTTCACTGATTAAAATTGTATACTCCATCAGTGCAGAAGTCCCCAGTTTCTCATTAATACCTGTACATGGTGTAACACACTAATTGTTACCATGGTAATTTACAAAGCCTGTAATTCTCAGGCAAAGTCTGGCTTCTCTCTATTAAATATTTATAAAGAGTAATTAGATGTTTTCATACCTTCACAACTTTATGTGTCTGCCAAATATTTCATATTCTGGATTTCACACTATAAAGTTAAAACAATTAAAACAAATTAAGCACAGAATGGCGATCAGCGACTGGATACTGAAGCACGTGCAAGGGCCTTTAATAGATTGTACACCATACTCTTGAATGGATGTATTGGAACAATTGTCTCCCTTGACCCAGTCAATAACTGCTGGTCAGAGTTGCACATTTTTTTAGGGCTTAGAAAGCTATGGTATCAGATTCATGCAATTTATTCCATGTCATGGGGTGTGTGAGTATGTAAGGAGGGCAAAGCCAGAGGAAACCGGAAGTATGAAATCCTGGTGTTCATTCCTGAAACTGAAATAGGAATAATGATCATTTCATAAAGCCTAAAATGGCAGAAATCAATTAAAAAATAAAACATAAGGTATTGCTTTATACTGCCCACCTGTGTGCCTCTCCCTGCTTCCTTATTTTTATATTAAAGTTCATGTTGGCACATGAATTTTCTTACATAGTGATCCCTAGCTTGAGTAGCCACACACAGCGTCCGGTTTGCCTGTGATAGACTGGTTTATGTTGGTTGTCCGAGGGTCATTACTTAATAGTTTGGATGATACATTATGTTTGCACCCGAACACTCACCCATATGCATTACAAAAGAATAGCAGCTGGCAAATGTTACAATGAAAAAAAGATTTTTATATAATTATCGGTGTAAAAATACAACAATACTGTTCATATTTTTCCATGGAATTATTTCCATTAGTTGGCATGAGATGTTGGCTTTTGGAAATATAGCAGCTGAGTTCTGGTTTATTTACTTAGAGAAAAATTGTGGTATATTTCAGTGTGCCATGTTGGTGTGTGTTGTATACATAAACACACCCAAAGGACACACACACTTGTAATATCATTACAGAAGTAAGACTCAAGTTGTTTGTTTACACTGTAGGCTCAGACATGTTCATGCTTGTCTAGAGAGCTAGTAGGATAAGGCTGCCTCTGCACTGGGACAGGTAGAAGAGTGGTTTCCATTCGCATAATGAGCAGAGAAACCTGATAAAAATGTGAAGACTCATAAATTTGTCAAAGCCGAAAGGATCCACTCAAAGTGATTACGAATTAGTGTGAGTGTGGATGTGTGTCTTGCTACACAGTTTGACTAATGTATTAAGGAAATCAAGTAATGATAATCTAACAAATTCTAAGGGTGATTATACTTAAAATTTCCTATGGTTATACATTTATTCACTCCCATCCCTCATTAGAGTGTCTCTTTCCTCCCTCCCTTCCTCTCTCCTTTTCTTCTTCTCTCCCTCTCTTCCTTCTTTACTTTCTTCCTCTCTGCCTATCCCTATTTAATCAAGGATAATTATAAAAAGTATAAACTTGACAATTGATCCAACTTTCCAGATAGCTCCCACCCAGGAACCACATACTCATCCAAATACACAGATTTTATCACATACACCTAAAACTTGTAAATTCATCTCATATCAACTTTTTTTTGACTTTTAAAATCTTTCTTTATTAGATCTATTATTCAGACTATGATGATAGCATTTTGGAATGATAAGGCTCTCTCTCTCTCTTTCTTTTATTTTGTTTAATTTTATTTTAGTGTGGTAAAAACACTTAAACTCATGAGATCTACCTTTCTAACAAATTTAAGTGTACAGTACATAATCAGCAACCATGGACTATAGGTACAAAATTGTACAGCAGATCTTAACAACTCATTCATCTTAACTGAAGCGATTCCTGTTGATTAGTAACTCCCCATTTCCTCCATCTCCTGGTAACCACCATTTCAACCTTTGATCCCATGAATTTGACTATTTTAAATACTTCATATAAGTGGAATCATGCTGTAGTTTTCTTTCTGTGACTGGTTTATTTCACTTAGCACAATATCCTCAAAGTTCATCCATGTTGTTGCATATTACAGAATTTTCTTATTTTTTAAGGCTGATTTTATTGTATGTCCATGCCACATTTTCTGGATTCATTCATCTGTAGATCAACATTTAGGTTGTTTCCACATCTTGGCTATTGTGACTGGTACTGCAGAGAACATGGGAGTGCTATCATCTTCTCAAGATCCTGCTTCCCATTCTTCTGAATAAATACCCAGAAGCGGGATTGTGGGATCTTTTAATATTTCTATTTTTAATTTTTTGAGTAGTTCCGTGTAATGTTTTCCATAGCAGCTGGACTGTTTCGCATTCTCACTAAAAGTGTGCTAGCCATATGAACTTATGATAACCTTGTATTTTAACCTGTCAATAATTTGTGTGTGCATATAAAATTTTCACATGTTTATGTCATGTTCCAAAAATAGAGTGTAAGGTCCTTTTGAGCAAGGACCATGCCTTATATATGCCAGTGTAAGAGATGATCAGTAAGTATTTCTTACATTTCATTAGCATTGCTATACCACAAAGAACTAGGAATAGATGTTAGAAGATTTGGGCTTAAGTTCCAATTATGCTTCTAACATTTGCATAATCTTGGGCAAATCAATTCTTTTGAGACTACTTCTTTGTTTATATGATTGTGCATAATTTATCAACATAAAAAGCAGGCAGGCAAACTTGGAAAGAAATTTTTAAGATGGCTGATAGGCTTTGCTCTCTTTCTACCTTGGGGTTCACCCCTTGAAGGTATGTTGTGCCCCAAAGCAGAGCCATGCAGTCCCATTCTGCTTATTGCTAATTTGGCTTCTCTAGATGCTGCAATGTGATAATACAAAGCAATGTGTGAACAAGGGCTGTGGTGCTGTAGCAGCCTTGCTGTGAGAAATAATGGACCTCCTCTACTTTAATACAGGAAAGAAAGGATTCCATTCATCTTCAAGTTGCCAATATACTGTATTTGTCTGGAAGCTCAAGTCTTATAGATTAGAGCCACAGCTTTAAAATACAGTTTGCAAACAAGTAAAGTGTTTAGTAAAAATTCAAAGTAAGGCTGTATAAGAAAGGACACCTTGCCCATGAAAGAGAAACCAGGCAGCTAGCTGGGCTTCAAGCATAGAGGTAAAGACACAAAGTCAAAACATTTTGGATCCATAAATCAATTTATGGATTTGATGCTTCTATTAATGTTAGGACAGCATGACATTATAGTCACATTAAAGGACAGAAACCATAAGGTCAAATGCTTCCCTGCTGGCCACATACTGCCTGCCTTTGATTACTATTTCTTGTTTCTGCTTTAATTGGCTATGGGATGATTCTGTCCTATGTGAACCATATATTTGGTATGAATTCTTATGTTTATAAAGATATAAAATATCATAGCTTTTATTACACATATGTATCTTTTACATAGCTTTTAGGAATGTCTATATCATGGAATTGTTGTTTGAGACATTTGGGAAATCCTTACGTAAGGCATGTAATAAGCTCAGCATACTTGTATCAGCTGTCAAGATAAGGTAGGAATAATAGTTCATTTGATTTTGAGAATGGAGACTTTTGTCAATATCAATGTATATTTACCTGCAGGCTACAAATGGAAGAGGGTGCCCAGGTTGAAAGTAACTAGAAAGTCTAATAAAACCATGAATCAGAGCCAGACAGATCATTTAGGATCTGACAAAAGGTGGTTTCAAGACATCATCAATAACAATAATGTTGGGATGCTGTAGAGCTTCTTATAGTTTAATTAGTATTTTCATACACATTTTCTTGTGTTATCCAGGCACAGTTCTGTAAGAGACATGTTGTTATCTTTATTTTACTGAGGAGGAAGTAAGTGCAGAGAGAATTAATGAGTTAATAATTGTCCTAACTCTACTACTCACCAGCTTAAGCAAGTAACCTAACATGTCAGTATCTTGGGTTCTTTAAAACTAAAATGGGGATGATAATAATACTTACCTTATATTGATGTTGTGAGAAAGAAATAAGTTAAAGCATTTGGAAAGCAAAAGATAGAGTCTGACATGCAGTAAGCATCCATAAATATTAAATGAAGATTGTGCTGATTGTATGAGGAAGGTCTAGGATTTAAATATGGGTCTTCTGATATTAAGTCCAGTAAGTGACCTATTGTGGCATAGCTGTTCTTTGAATAGAGGTGTCTGGAATGGAATCAGAGACCTTAGATTCTGGAAATGTGTGTACTTGTGTGTGTTTGCAGGGAAGGAAAGCAAGCAAGAGGAGCTCAAGCTAGAAGTATGAACAACAAGGAGCAGGTTAATTACTATGAAACATAAATTGAGAGAAAGGGCCTGATATTAGCTCAACCCTCTCTTCTCTGGGAACTGGGGTCTGATGACTTTTAGGGTGGGGACTATTTCCCAGGAACTGCTAGCCTAAGGTCTGCGGGCAGAGGTGAGGGGTGGACAACTGGGCTGTCCATGACATCATTACAGCTAGTTTACATGCCATATCAACTTAGAGAATGAAAAGCCCAGTGATATTTCTTGATCTTTGATGGCAAAGAAGTAATAAAACACTGCTTTTAGATTGTGCCCTAGAATCTTTTGTGGCATATAAAAGAAGAAGTTTAAAAGTCATGAGTCAAGTCCCTAGTGTGATTGAAAGACTTTTTGAAAAGAAATCCATACAATCTCTGGTTGTTAATCTTATGAATCCTGGCATGTTTATGCCTCATAGGCTACTATCTCTAATATGGGGGTTAAGTTTGGATAAAAAGAAAGAACTATGTAATAACTGCAAGTTTCTACATTATATTCTGCAGAAAGTTACTAACAAGTAACACTTCTGGGATTTTCAGCCAGTTTTAAATCTCTGAGTATCAATTCTATCATTGGAAAGGGATTCCTACTTTATGAAATGATTGTAAAAATCAAATGAGAAAATACTTTGAAAACTGTATGGCGCATGATGATTAATAATCTACAAATTTAACATAAGCTTGTCCTTCCGTTCAATTTTTAGTTGTCTAATCTCAAACTCTCCAAGGTCACTAGCTGAAGATGATGGTGAACCATGCAATTCGAATTGCCAATCATACCAATGATATTAACAGAGCTGTCGGAAATGCACAAAATTTCCCAGTGATAGATTACACAAACCTGTTAACATATAGGAAGACTACAATCAGAATGACTAAGAAGGAGGCTTTTGTAAAGGGCCACTTTAGAGAAAATGGACCTTCTATGATTGAGATGATGAGGGTGTCTGAAGTTAGGAGGAGCTGCATTTGTAAAGAGGTGATGAGTTCAATCCTAGATGTGTTTACAACCTTGAAGCAGAACCTCAGAATCATCTTGATTTATTCAGATCTACTGCCATTTCAAGTCATTTACCAATCAATCCCTGAATAGTCCCTCTTCTTGAGACCTGGCAATAATGATCTTTCTTTCATCTCTGCTTGCCAAGATCCTCATCATTCTGGGCTGACAACTGCCACAGGCTCCTCAGGGTCAGCTTGCCTTCACTCTTACTCTTCTGATTTCCTCACTCACCCTATTGGTATCTAAGATGCTAAGTACAAAAAATGTATATTTTTAATCACTCATTTCCCAAGTAACATACATTTGGGAGCCTGTTGATCTCTTCCTTTGTTTAGCCCTAGTGAGCCAAAAATTTTACTTTAGAGAAGGCTGCTACATGCTGGGCTAACTCATTCTTTCAGTTCAAATTTTACATAAGAACTCTAAGGTTCTTTGTGATTCTTTTCAGAGGACACATCAATAAAGTAAATGGTTATCCTGAAATTGTTGCAAAGCTTCCAGGGAAGTGATGTTTGAATACAGTGAAATGCTTAAGTAAGGTATACCAAGTGATAAGCTCATGCCTTAAAGTTAACTAAATATTCATAAACAATTTCCATAAACCTCATGTTATAAAGCTTCCATTTGGTTGCAGTCGTTTTAAAAGTTTTACTGAGAAATGAAAAAGTATATGAAACATTCTGGAAAATTTTAGAATAAGAAAAAAGTATTCCCTAATGTCCCAATGATATCTAAATGTGTGTTGTGAATAGTTGCAGAGAGAGTATAGTAATTGCAGTTTGATTATAAAATGAAAATGAAATCAGGTGAAGATTCCTGAATGGATATGTCACTTGCAGTCAAGACAGTAGTTAAAATTCGACCAGTTGGTAATTTCTTAGAATCCTAGACAGAAACTTAATAGTAGTTGGGCCTAATGTATTTGATTTTTTTAATGTATGGGCCTTTATAAACTAAACTATCTTTATATCTTCTTATGATTTATGATATCCAGCAGCCTACAATGGTAAAATTATGAACAAATAAGTCTATTAAAGGTCATTTCAATCACTATCTTGCAGGATATGCTTGTGTGCTCTTGACCTTTGAACATTAAACCAATGGTTGGGCATCACAATTTTGAAGGTCATTAACTATGATGGATCTATGAAGTTAAATAAGATTGCAAGAAAGAAAGCTAAAAGCTGTCAGTAGCATATATATGAACTATATTATATGTAGTGTGTGTGTGTGTGTGTGTGTGTGTGTGTGTGTGTATTGAAAGAGAATGGAGAAAGAGAGGGAGAGGAGGAGAGAAGAAAGAGGGAAGAGAAAATCAACTTTATTAGTATATTGAAGGAAGGGAAAAGTCAGAAAATGTATGTGCTTTTTTAGAGGAAATATATGGTATGCTGATAGGAGAGCAGAAGTTCAGGGAAGATTAAGTTGGAATCAGTATAATGGTCACTTTATTACCTCTGATATTTTTCAGTCTCCCTTCTCAGCTCCTGGATATCATATTCCCTGTGTGGAAATGCTAACCGCAACTTGGTCAACGAAGAAGTTTTTGGTCTTGGATAAATTACTTCAATTCTGTGTCATTTATTTAATCAAATGTGAAGTTTCATATGATAACACTTTCATATCAGTAGAGAGGAGCTGTTTCTTTTTCAGACGTGTGGGGATTTATGATATTCTATCTATGGAAAATACATTATCCTGATTGCTTACATAAAGCAATTAACACATGGCATTAGTTGTTGTTTCCCTGTATCCCCTGACCACACTGTGAGCTATTTGACAACAAGAACTACCTTATTTATCTCTATAATTCCAACAGTAGGCCCAGGACCTGACTCATAGAAAATGCTCATAAATGATTATTGAATTCAAGGAAGTTTTAATTGTATCAAAAGGGCTTATGATAGCATATCAGTCAATTTTACTCTACAAATTACTTAGTATAGTAAGTTCAAGGGCAAATTTTTATGCAGAACTATTAGCAAACCAATAGCAAATATTTTTAAAGTAAAATTTTTTAGTGCAAGGTTTCTTCTATAAATAGCTCCATGACAGTAAGGCACAAAAGTAACTTAGAGATATATTATATTGTGGAGAAGTCTTGAAATGATGGTTAGTTTTAAGTGTGGTTGCCTTATTGAAATGGAAAACTATTCTTAAATCAAGATGATCCTAGAAAATTTTTAAAAAGTCCAGTCACAACAATAAAGAAACTGTCTGAGGTAGCTATATTTGTTTCAGAATCTTTTCCAGAAATTTACAGGACTTTAAGCATGGAAGGGTCAGGGAGCTGGGAGATGGAGAAGGGCAAAAAAAGTATTGAGAGTTTGATAAGAAAACACTCCTTGGTGCTCAGATAGCACCACTTCATGTCATTTGAATTCGCAATAGTGTACTCTGATTATTATTTAAGCCATGGGACACACAGTATGTTGGATTTACCTCTGATTTTTTTCCCTCTTTCCTCAAACTTTCTCCCTTAGGCACTTACAAGGCTAAGAGAAAAGCCAAAGTGTTAATACACAGAAACAGAAGTGTTTTTAAATACTGCTATGGAACAGCACAGCTTGCCTTCCCGACAACCAGGCAGAAAAGGCTGAACTTTAAGTCAAGCTCAGGGTGGTGGTGCACTGGCTCTCTGTGTGGAATGCCCTACGGGGTGAAAGATCAATTCAGCTTTGCTGAGCCGTGTCAGCAGTGGCTGTCTTTAAGATGCTGACACGGCTCTGGTTGACAGTTTGAAGAAATTTAACTGCTTTGATAAGGTTAAAGGGGGCAACCAACCACGAATAGAAAACAAAACATAAGGCTGTTTAGAAGCTCGATTGCATGCTAGAAATGAGTTGTCAACTGGCAACATTACCAACACCCATTACCTCCTTTTCATTTGAAAAAATAAAGAAAGAAAAAGACAAAGAAGAATACATAGAAGCAAATAAAAGAAAAAAAGCAAAGTCTCTCACAAAAAATAGCCCACTGTATTAGACATTTGTCAGTTACTCTGGATGATACTGTTCAAAAAGTTTGGCTACAGCAAGTCAAGGGCACACAATGTCTATTGTTTTTGCTAACCCCTTTGAGAAGTTTAATGGGACAAATAAAAAATTTATTTGGGATCATGGAAGGAATTATGACCTTTCTATATCTATTCGGAAAAATAACAAAGTTTGTATTTGTTCAGAAAATAAATTTAACATAAAGAATTGCTGCTGATGTCCATACAATATAAAAATAAAAATTTTGTGAAATCTACCTAAATATGTCCTAAACTCTCATTTTTAAAAATCAAGCAATAAGTGGTAGTGTTTATGCCTTGACCATTAATCATGGCCACTTAGCTTTAGTTGGAAGCAACTCAATTTAGTATTGTGGCAAAAGGTTATCAAAATATTTCCTTGAAACCCACAATAGTTGTTACATGAAATAAAATATCTGGTTGGATATATTTCTTCACTTTCTTTAAAAAAAAAAAGGGAATTGCATTTGTGCGACTCTTAGGATGTGAATACCCATATTGTAAAGATGTTATCTGGTGGAGTTAGTCACAAAGTATAACCCTTCTGATTTCTGTTTATACTATCAATGAGAGAACAAATATTTAATTACTTGAAATTATATAAACAGTGCCATTATTTATCTATTACTGTTCTAGGGATTCATCAATGAAAAGAGCAAAGGTATCTTCTCTCATAGGGCTTAAATTGAGAGGAAGGGGCCATAGATGGATGAAGAAAAAAAAATAAACATGACTATTAAGTTGCCTGGCTGGTATGTTAGAACATGATAAAGCCTATAGAAGAAAAGGAAAGGTAGAGCAGGGAGAAGGGTGTGATGCCCATGTTGCACCATCAAGTAGGGTGGTGATTGTGTGTTTCATGGGAAGGGAGAGATTAGAATTAAAGGAAGGAAAGGAGATACTGTGTGTATGGGTGCGGGGGGATGGTGGCCACTGGAAGAAGTTTCCAAACAGAGAGAACGATTTGTGAAAGACCCTAAGGCTGGAGTGTGAGCTTGGAGTGTTCAAGGACAACAGGGAGGCAGGAGAGGATGGAAATGGAGGAAAGTTGAAAATCAGGTTAGAGAGGGAATGTGGGGTGCCGATTATGTATGTGAATTTGGAGGCTTTTGAAAAGACTGATTTTCTCTGATAGAAGTAAGGAGTTGTTAGAGAATTCTGAACAGAGAAGTGACATGATCTGACTTATGTTTTCCGAAGATGACTGGGGCAGAGTGGGGAGAGGGGATAGAAGCAGGAAAGGGTATTTCAGAAAGTCAGGGGAGTGGGCTCTGGCCAGTGTGATGGAAAGCAAGGTGTTGAGAAGTATTCAGATTCTGAATATATTTTGCCTAGTTTGCTTAACTTTTTGTTTGGAGCTAATTATATAGACTTCTGTTGGCAGGGAGACTGAAGGAAAAAAAGTAAAAAGAAAAAAATAATTATGTAAGCTTAGAGAAATTAGCAAAGGTAGATTGAGAATTCCTGTATCGTACTCACCCAGCTTCCCCTGATGGTAACATCTTACATAACCATAGCATAAGAATCAAAACCAAGAAACTAGTATCAATATACACTATTAAGTCAACTCCAGACCCTATTCAAATTTTACCAGTTCTTACAATGCCTTTTTTCTGTTCCAAGATTCCACCCTTGTTGTTTTTACCCCTAAGTCTTCTCCAAACCGTGATAGTCTGATAGTCTGTAGTCTCCCGGGTTTCAAAATCTTGTCTCTTTTGAAGAGTACTCATCAGTTATTTTGACAAATGTCCCTCAATTGCAGTTCCATGATTTTTCGTGATTGGAATAAGCTGTGCATTTTTATCAAAAATACCACAGAAATGATTTATACTTCTCAGTGCATCATATCAAGGGCTTCATAATGTCTACATGTCTTATGATTGGTGCTGTTGTCTTTAATCACATGTTATAATGGTGTATTCCAGATTTCTCTATTTATAACATTAATACTTTTATACCATGCAAATCGGTTTCTCAAAATTCTACCCATTCATTTTTGTATCCATCAGTGGATCTCATCTCCAACAATGTTTTACTGTGGTGCTTGTCTAATAGTGATTTTCCATGTCTTTTCTACTTTTATTAATTAGAATTTTATTGTAAGGAGAGTGATGTCTTTTCCCCTAAGTATTTACTGATTCTATTATTTATTTATGGGCTCAGGGAAGTATCGTTTATTCTATGGGTTAAAATTCAATACCATCATTATTTATTTTGTGCTCAAAATGTTCAACTTTGACTCTTGGGAGCTTTTCCAGCTTGGCAGCTCTGTTCTTTCTGCAAGCCCCATCTTTTTTTTTTTTTTTTAATAACTTCCTGTTTCTGGTACCACACGATGTTGCCTGCTCATCTTAACCCCAGCTCTGGAATCAACCAATCCTCCACTGATCCTTGGTTCCTTTTATTGGAAAATGGTGTTAAAAAACCATGATTAAGACACTAAGTAATCTGGCGTGCTCACTGCTGTTGGATTCCATCTTTAGGTCCTCTTAGGGAAGACAACTAGGAAATTCATGTGTACATTGAACCATGTGGAGCAGGCTCACTGTGTCCTGGTTATCATCTTATCTGAGTTTGGTGAGAGGGACACCCACTCACAGCAAGTCACATGAAGCAGGGTTACTACTTACAGATAGGCAGCAAGGGAAAGCAGAAGCCTAGGATTCTTCGCAAGCAGGTAGCGCAAGGCTCAGGAAAGCTGGGGTAGCTGGAATCTTATCTGCGCATGCCTCACTTGCAGGGCAGTTGAGGGACCTGGGGAAACAGCCTGCCCGGGGTTTTAGACCACTAAGCCATGTGATTCGCCGTGCTAAAGAATTGAAGGACATCTTGTTTCTAGGGGGGACTGAAACAGAGCCGGAACTGTTGTTTCAATAATGTTTTGACTTGCTGCTTTCTATTCGTATTTGGATATTTTTCATGTTTTGGAGCCTTTTTAATATCTTTTTAAAAATACATGGTGTGTTCTTGATACATTAGGGACAGTAACTCTTTATTTGTGATGTAGTTTGCACTATTTTCTTCCAGGTTTTCAGTTGTCTTTTGACTTTGCTTATGATTGGTTTCACGCAAAATAGTTTTTATTTTTATGTAATCAAATTTATCAATCTTTTATTACCTCTGAATTTTGAGTCATAGTTAGAAAGCCTCTTCTTATATCAAATTTAAAAATGAACTCACCTGTGTTTTCTTCTTATACTTGTTTGGTTTTATTTTTATTTTTAAAATTTATATCCCTAATCTCTTTTGAGTTAATTCTTGTGTATGGTATGAGCAGTAGATCTAATTTATCTTTTTCCAAGTGACTACCCAGTTGACCCAGCACTAGTTATTAAAAAGTTGATCTTTACCTCAGGGATTCGAGATGTCACTTTTATCATATACTAAGTTTCCATTTTATTAAGGTCTAATTTTGGACTTTTTATTCTGTTCTACTGGTCTGTTGTTTATTTATATGCCTGTTTTAATCACAGAGGCTTTGCCGCAAGCAAATTTTAATATCTGGTAAGGTTAAAAACTGTTGCAGTTTTCCTTTTCATTGATTTAGTGACTATTCTTGCATATTTGTTTTCCCATATGAGCTTTATTTTTAATTTTTCTAACTCCATAAAATAGCTTATTCGTATTTGTCTTTGGATTACATTGAATTTATAAGTTAATTTAGGGAAACTGACATTTTTATAATGTTAAGTTGTCTTATCCAAGTACAGGGGATGACTTTCCATTTGTTCAAGTCTAGTTTTGTGTCTTTTGGGAATATTTTAAACTTTTCTCATGTTAGTTTCATACATTTCTTGTTAAGTTTATTTAAAAATGCTTATATTCTTTGTTGCTGTTATAAATGAGGTATTCTCTGCCATTATGGTCTGTCACTTTATTTTTGTATATATGAAGGCTATTGATTTTTTGTTTGTTAATTTTATATTCTGCTGCTCCTTGAATTATTTAATGTTTGAGTTATTATTATCATTGATTCTCAGGGGGTTCTCAGTTTGCTATCATATCAACTAAAAACAGAGATTGTTTTATTCCTTTTTTCCCATTCTTATGCTTCTAATTGATTTCATTTGTTAAATTTCTTTGGCTCATAGTTCTATAACAATGTTGAATAGTAGAGAAGATTGAAGCAGCCTTACCTTTTTTTCTGATGTTAGTAAAAATGCCCCTTTTTCCCCATTAAATAAGATATGGTACTGACTTTAGGACTAAGATATGTGTGTGTGTTTGTGTGTGTGTGTGTAATGAATATTTTGTTTTGTTGTTTCTTTTTTAGTGCTTTCTCAAAAATATGGGTATTTAGAAAATTTTATATTTTGATCTTTCTTTTGTAATTATACCTTTGTAATCCTCTTAGTCTCCTATTGTATTTTTACCTTTTACTGTGTTTATCAGTATTTTCTAGCATTTTGAGTGCCTATCTATTGCTTTACAACAATACACTTTTTGTATCTTTCTTTCTTTTCTTACCTTCTTCCATTTTTAGTGGCATTACTTCTAATTTGTCACAACATATATTAGCCTTTCACACTGACCTCTATCATCTTAATCTTATTATAAATTTATAAAGTTCTCACAATCAGTAATTTTCCTGAAGTTTTCCCAGTAACCATTGTTTTGATAAAGCTTATCCTCTAATAGAGTCCTCAAGAAGGGCTGATGGATGCAGAATTCCCTAAGATCACTAAGATCTAGCATGTGAAATGTGTATTCCTATAGCTGTGATATGTGAATGACAGCTGGACTGGATATACAATCCTTTTGTACACTTTCATTGAGATGTGTAAAAATTATGCTTGCTGTTGCCTTGCTTTGCCTGTTGACTTTGAAACTTCTCCTGGTAGTCTGATTATTTTGGATTCAATGCCCCTTCTTTAATGCCTTTTAAAATTTTTTTCATTTGTCTTTCGTTTTCCTTGGGTAACTTCTAATTTATTATTTATTTGTGTGGTAATTTTCTCATTTTCTTCCATTTCTCCCTGAGTTCAATGAAATATTTTGAAACTTCTCCCTGTTTTTAGTCTGTTTGGCCTTTCAGTTTTTTGAATTTCTGATTTAAGGGTAAATCCTGATATCCTTAAGGACTTCTTTGAGTATATTTAATTGAATTTGGAGTGTAGACAATCATTTTCTTTGTTGCATGGTTGTTTTTCAAGGGAGTTTTATGTATTTGTGTGAAATTCTATTTTCTGCTTTTGGGTTTTTGGGAGGTTTTGTTGTTTTGTTTTAGTTTTTTGAAATAGTTCTCTACGAATCTTACTTTCCTGCTGTTCATTTTCATGATATTGGAGTGTTTTACAAGATTCTTGGTTTAATGACTTTTCTAGTAGCCTAGCAAAATCTAGGTCTTTCAGGAGGCTTTTGTTGTTCATTTTGGTTTCACTGGTGGGGAAATATGTTATGAACAATTTTATGGTTCTTTTTGGTCACTCAGGACTCTAAAATTGTCTCATTTCTCCCTGATTTACCACCAGATTCCCAAATGGCATGTCTTCTTTTGTCTCCCTCTTCTTTTCAGAGCTATGTTATTGGAAGACTGTCTTCTTAAACTATGCCTGTGCTTTTAAACTGTATTCAACTCTTAAATCTTTAAATTGCACACCTGGGCCTTGATGCACCCTCTGTCCTTTAAATCATGCGTATGTTGAGCTTTGAAATCCCTTTCCTGTAGTGACTGCTCTGATCTGCCTGTTTACTTTTTTTCATAATTTCTGATTTTGTTTGGATTTAGTCTTTCTCAGGGTCACCCAAACTCTTACACTTTGCTAGAGAATCCTTTTTGGTTTTTGACAGTTTTTACTGTTTGCTTTTGCTTAAGGTACGGCTCTGTGGCTGGGCAAAGGTGGGCAGAAATGTAAGGGATAAGGGCTGTGGCTCTTGTTAATTTTTCTCTTTCTACTCACAGTTATTTTGAAGTTTCAGTATTCTTCTGTTTTCAAGTAACATGGAGTGTCTGCTTTTGGGTAAGATTTTTATACTTTTTTTTTTTTTTTTTTTTTTTTGAGACAGAGTCTTGCTCTGTCATCCAGGCTAGAGTGCAGTGCTGTGATCTCAGCTCACTGCAACCTCCGCCTCCTGGGTTCAAATGATCCTCCTGCCTCAGCCTCCCAAGTAGCTTGGATTACAGGCACCCACAACCTCACCCAACTAGTTTTTGTATTGTTAATAGAGATGGGGTTTCACCATGTTAGCCAGGGTGGTCTTGAACTACTGTCCTCAAGTGATCCACCCACCTTAGCCTCCCAAAGTGCTGGGATGACAGGCAGGCATGAGCCACTGTGTCTGGCCTGGATTTTTATCCTTGTGAAGCTATTTTATAATGTTTGGGGAGAAAACTTTGGGAAGTTGATTAATACCTGAACTTTATCTTCTTTAGATGCCTAGAAGAACTCTGGATATGTTTTTAAGGTATAAGGCCGGGCACGGTGGATCACGCCTGTAATGCCAGCACTTTGGGAGGCCGAGGCAGACGGATCACGAGGTCAGGAGATCGAGACCATCCTGGCTAACACGGTGAAACCCTGTCTGTACTAAGAATACAAAAACAGCTGGGCGTGGTGGCAGGCGCCTGTAGTCCCAGCTACTGGGGAGGCTGAGGCAGGAGAATGGGGTGAACCTGGGGTGTGGAGCTTGCAGTGAGCTGAGATCGCGCCACTGCACTCCAGCCTGGGTGACAGAGCGAGACTCCATCTCAAAAAAAAAATAAAAATAAAAAAAGAAATTCCCTAATAGGCTGTATGTATGGTGTGAGAAAAGAAGACAGTCAAAGATAATTCCAAGACTTTTATTCTAAACTGCTGGAAAGGTAGAGTTATCATCACATTATGTAGAGAGGACTTCAGGTGGAGAAAGTTGGAGGGGAGATCAGTGTCTATATCAGTGTCATTTTCAGCCACATATGCAGTTTTTCTGAGAACAAAGGCAAAACCAAGATTTTGTGATTATTTCTCTCAGCCTTGTGACTCAGTACATAAACTTCATGACCCCCTTTTTGAATTTTGTTTTTCTTTTCTTTTTCTTTTTTTAATGTTTTTTTTAAAGTTTTTTTTCTTTTATTATTATACTTTAAGTTTTAGGGTACACATGCACATTGTGCAGGTTAGTTACATATGTATACATGTGCCATGCTGGTGCACTGCACCCACTAACTTGTCATCTAGCATTAGGTATATCTCCCAATGCTATCCCTCCCCCCTCCCCCCACCCCACAATAGTCCCCAGAGTGTGATGTTCCCCTTCCTGTGTCCATGTGTTCTCATTGTTCAATTCCCACCTATGAGTGAGAATATGCGGTGTTTGGTTTTTTGTTCTTGCGATAGTTTACTGAGAATGATGATTTCCAATTTCATCCATGTCCCTACAAAGGACATGAACTCATCATTTTTTATGGCTGCATAGTATTCCATGGTGGATATGTGCCACATTTTCTTAATCCAGTCTATCATTGTTGGACATTTGGGTTGGTTCCAAATCTTTGCTATTGTGAATAGTGCCACAATAAACATACGTGTGCATGTGTCTTTATAGCAGCATGATTTATAGTCCTTTGGGTATATACCCAGTAATGGGATGGCTGGGTCAAATGGTATTTCTAGTTCTACATCCCTGAGGAATCGCCACACTGACTTCCACAATGGTTGAACTACTTTACAGTCCCACCAACAGTGTAAAAGTGTTCCTATTTCTCCACATCCTCTCCAGCACCTGTTGTTTCCTGACTTTTTAATGATTGCCATTCTAACTGGTGTGAGATGGTATCTCATTGTGGTTTTGATTTGCATTTCTCTGATGGCCAGTGATGATGAGCAGTTTTTCATGTGTCTTTTGGCTGCATAAATGTCTTCTTTTGAAAAGTGTCTGTTCATGTCCTTTGCCCACTTTTTGATGGGGTTGTTTGTTTTTTTCTTGTAAATTTGTTTGAGTTCATTGTAGATTCTGGATATTAGCCCTTTGTCAGATGAGTAGGTTGCGAAAATTTTCTCCCATTCTGTAGGTTGCCTGTTCACTCTGATGGTAGTTTCTTTTGCTGTGCAGAAGCTCTTTAGTTTAATTAGATCCCATTTGTCAATTTTGTCTTTTGTTGCCATTGCTTTTGGTGTTTTAGACATGAAGTCCTTGCCCATGCCTATGTCCTGAATGGTAATGCCTAGGTTTTCTTCTAGGGTTTTTATGGTTTTAGGTCTAACGTTTAAGTCTTTAATCCATCTTGAATTGATTTTTATATAAGGTGTAAGGAAGGGATCCAGTTTCAGCTTTCTACATATGGCTAGCCAGTTTTCCCAGCACCATTTATTAAATAGGGAATCCTTTCCCCATTGCTTGTTTTTCTCAGGTTTGTCAAAGATCAGATAGTTGTAGATATGTGGCGTTATTTCTGAGGGCTCTGTTCTGTTCCATTGATCTTTATCTCTGTTTTGGTACCAGTACCATGCTGTTTTGGTTACTGTAGCCTTGCAGTATAGTTTGAAGTCAGGTAGTGTGATGCCTCCAGCTTTGTTCTTTTGGCTTAGGATTGACTTGGCGATGCGGGTTCTTTTTTGGTTCCATATGAACTTTAAAGTAGTTTTTTTCCAATTCTGGAGAAAGTCATTGGTAGCTTGATGGGGATGGCATTGAATCTGTAAATTACCTTGGTTCTTTTCTTTTTCTACATATCTTGGTGTATTAGTCCATTTTCGTGCTGCTGATAAAGAAATACCTGAGACTGGGCAATTTACAAAAGAAAGAGGTTTAAATACAGTTCCATTTGGCTGGGGAGGCCTCACAATCATGGAGAAGGCAAGGAGGAGCAAGTCATGCCTTATATGGATGGCAGCAGGCAAAGAGGGAGAACTTATGCAGGGAAATTCCCGTTTCTAAAACTGTCAGATCTTGTGAGACTTATTCACTATCACGAGAAAAGCACAAAAAAGACCCATCTTCATGATTCAATTATCTCCCACCAGGTCCCTTCCACAACACATGGGAATTATGGGAGGTACAAGATAAGATTTGGGTGGGGACAGAGAGCCAAATCATATCACTTGGGTTCACTCTAATTTTTATTTTAACTATTGTTGGTGTTTTAAAATTCAGGTTTATCTCTATCTTTTGTCTTCAAGGTGCCTTGGGTTTTCCATCAGTACTTTCACTCCTTTTCAGACAGAACCTACCTCAGACATCTAGAAGGTACTCAAACATATTGGCTTTTCTGTCTATATCTGGCAGCTTAGGTTAAATATGCTGTGATTATAAGCAACTCTAAAATCTCAGTGGCTCACATCCCATTTCTGACTCAAGTTCCATGTCTGTTTTGAGTTGACTGAGCTTTGTTCCATAACCTCTTTGCTCCAGAATCCTGCCTAGGGGCACAGCCTCTTTCCAGACCATCACTGATCTCATGAAGGAAGAAAAAAGATATGATGAGCTGTGCTTCTGCTCAGAAGTGACACACATAGCTTCTTCTCACAGTGTCTTAAGCAGGGCACAGGGATGAGACTGACATCGATGAAGAAAAGAAGTTTAATTCTCCAGCAAGGAGCATCCTTCAGCAGCATGGGCGTGGTGGGCATAAGATGTAGGTGGTCAGAAATCCAAGTCTAATTCACCACATTGTTCGCCTTGCCTATGTCCTGTCTGAAAGAACTCTGCTCTCACATTGTAGGCTTTGCTGGCACTATTAGTTTTGTCATGGGATGCATTCTAGCTACAACTCCAGGTCCCAACGTTCCAGCCACATGATGTGACTACATTCTTAAATTGATTTGCTTCATTCATACCTCTTCAGCCTGGGGTAGAAAGTCATCTATTTTTAATGCCATCTTTTCTAGGCTTTGTTGAATTTGGAAATTCCCTGGCTCAATCTTCTTTGATCAGTATTTATGCAATTAGTGACATGGCCATCCTTTAGAGCCAAAGGTTAGAGCAATAAAGGGATGTGTTCTTACAACTAGGTATATTTAGCTGTAAACATATTGAGGCTACTCTCCAATTTTATTCCTAAATTTGACCTTGTACAACTGATAGGAGAGTAATGCCTTGAGCAAGGAAGACTTAAACTCAGACAATATCATTAATGAGTTAAGTTTAATAAAGTCTTAATTATTCATAAGTCATCAAGAAGATTTCGGTAACACATAATAGAAAAAAATGTGGTATTTCAAAACATGTCACATCTGCCCTCAGAACACATTATAGGCCTTATATTGGTGACATAGTATAGCTTCCTTGTTTTTATCTCTTTTCCCTGATCTTAATATTAACATTAGTCTGTATTCCATTTGTTCATACAAAAATATTTATCAATACCCAATTATGTGCCAGCACTCTGTGCTTTGACTAAAGGTATAAAGGAACTTTCAGTTTTTTTCTGAATGAGCTTGCAGTTGAGTAGGGAGATAAAATTAAATATTAAACAAATAACTTTACAAATAATGAACTACAATGATGATAAATGCTATTGACAAGATGCTCAGCTCACTCATTGATTGCATAAGGGAAATTTGATGGTACACAGATTGCTTGTGGGTGGGCATAAACCAGAAGCTTACAAAGGAAAAGAGATGAAAAGTTTGCTATGAGTGCTTCATGATACATGGAATTTGGAGACAGTTGTTAATTTACATAAACAGATATATCATAAAACTGACACATCACAGGGACTTCTGATGGTGTGTTATGCAAAAGTGGGTAGGTGGGTCCTCAATTAGTACCCAAAGCAAATGCCTATGTTAATACAACATTTAAAGCCAAAAAAAGAAGTTTTTCCAATGTCTAAGATGTTTGAATTACAAATTTGGAGATTTTTTATGAGTTTGCTTTGTCCCTAGGCCTTTTATTCAAGCTATTTAAAAGCCTATAGAGTTAGAAATGCTTTCTGATGAGCTCAGTATTGGAGAAGCCATTTCTATTTCTAGGAGAGTTGTTAATTAGCTCGGTTACCTTAAGCGAATAACAACCTCTCTGGGTGTCAGTTTTCTCAACTCTAAAATGAAAGATTGAATTGGATGATCTAAGTTTTCTTCTAGCTATGCTTGCTAAATGAGTCAAATGACTGCAGCAGATTGAAAGGCAGTACATAGTATAACACGAAAATACGTGTAAGACTCTGTCCTTAAGCAAACCAGGCACCTGTGACATTTAATGATTTTTCCTCTGTTTTTACTCTCACTGTAATTTATCTGATATATTAGACACCTATACAAGGAAAACCACTAACTTAATTATACTGATATTTACGTATAAAGTTCATTTAGAGAAAAATGTCCAAAGAATCAATATGACACAGAATTTTACTGGCATGTGAATTGTAAGGGCATTAATTTGTACACACAAACACGCACATACACACATACACTTTTCTACACACAAAGTATCTCTTGCCACCGTACACTTTTCTACTATTAGAGAGTTCTGAGAGTTCCTGTTATTAGTAAAAATGCATGTTTGTTTTTTCTCTAAGAATGTCAGGTCACAACTTTCCCAGAAAAATCATTTGTTCACACTTTTTAATTTGTATATGGTCACTTGCACACATTGCTAAGCCCCAGGATGTTTGCATCCATCTGTTGGATGCTCAGACATTTCTATCCATCGCACGGCAGATGCTATTCAATCAGAATCCTTGGCTTTTTTCCCTGACTTTTTGGATGGAATGGAGGGCCAGTTAGGGGTTTTGTCAGCAGTGCTTCAATTTCAAGTGGAGCCACTTGGACAGCAATTGTCCTCCCAGGACTGATCTGTACTCATGTAAGGTAATGACCTGTTCTCACAGTGTCTATTCCATCAGGTTTTCCCCATCACCTCAGTGTGGGATTGCTGTGGCTTGGATAGACCTTCGGAGAGCACTCCCAGACCACCCTTTACTACTTTTGACCCATAGGAATGCTTTATTGTTCCAGGAACTTCCACAACAGTTCTACTCTGACCTATAGCTAAAATTTGAAATTTGACCCGAGCCCAGAATACTAACGACTCCTCAGAGGAAGCTGAGTTCTTCCACAGGGATTGGAAATAGCTCCTGGGTATCTGAATTCTGTCAGGAAGCCAGACATATTTCCATAGTTCTGGGCATGTTCAGCTTCTTAAGACAAGTTTTGGCTGATATTTATTAAGTAGATATATGTGTTAAGCTTAGAGCTAAGTGTTTCTGTATGTATTTTGAATGTAATTCTCACACACTGCCTTGAAGAAAGTGAATGCTTTTAGTGTGTATGTTGCGCAGAAAAACTGAGTTTTAGAGAAGCTAAGTAACATGTCTAAGCTTGCAAGCAGCATAGTCAAGAGCTTAAACCCTGAACTGTCTGACCAAAACTCTAATATAAACCCTAAGCTACACTGCACATTTTGGAATTTCAGTTCCTCTCCACCTTTGTTCTCTCAGCATGGATTAAACCTGGAGGTAGCTTTCAGGTTATAGAAAAAACTTTGGTCTTTTGGACAAACTTTTGAATTATACAAAGTTAGGCAAAGTGCTGGTGCTGACAATTACTAGATATTCTATACTGTACTTCTCTGAATCTCAATTTCTTTATTTATTAAAAGGAGAAGATAGTACACGTCTTATATGTTTATTAGCAAGTTTACATATGTAAGTGCATGTAAATTCTTAGAAAATAACTCATCTTGGCATCAAATCTTATCAATAAATACTCATTTTTTCCTTTTCTTCTCAGATGACTTAAAGCCATCTGGATATTCTTTAGGGTATACTAGAGTTTTATGAGTTCAGGGATCTCTTGAAAGACCAAGAGCTCTCATAGTGGTGAAATCTTTCTCGTTACTAAAGATCAAAAATTATTTTCTCATGAAGTCTTTTCTGATACTTTAACCAAAAACTTGACTTTCTCTGTGTTCCAGGGACTGTGATGATTATTCTCACACTAGTCTCACTCAGTAGACTAGATTGTTTGAGGACAGGATGTAGATTATGTGCTTTATTCCCACTAACTAGCACAAATTGCATGCTACATTGTGCCCAATAAGATTTTTTGCAATAGTTGTGACAATCTATTACTGAACAACAAATTTTAGAACTCAAATTTTAATTGTCTTTAATTAAATGAGCTATAAAAAGATAAATGTAGATGTTTCAATATCCAATAAAAGATCTAGATGTTTCTAATTGGAAAAGACTCACAAAATGTGTTTTGCTGTGGAATCAACTTCATGTAAATGACTGAAAGGGGACTTTCCCATTGTGTCACTCCATAAAGCCTGTGCAAGCAGGATGGTATACCATCTGAAACCAAATTCATCCATTGTTATCTAGTAGGATTCTCTCTGGGGCCCAGGATAAGATAGAAATGGTGGAAATTCTCTTTGACACAAGATATTAGAGGAATCAGAGACTAGCAACCCCAAAATGCTTTTTTTGGAGGGACATTGCACTGGGTGTTTTATCTTTTACCTTATCCCCTCTTGGTATTTATCTTGAGAATGAGTCAAGTGTAATAGACGTAGCAGGGCCAAAATATGCCATTCAAGCTTGAGGCAAAGAAATTACTTGCTACTTCCTTGTCTTATATTAATGTTCTATCTAGAGGCAGAGCATGAGTGCTTTGATCCTCTAAGTAATCCATATTATGAAGCTAAAGTAATCAGTTAATTTGGTAAAATGGGTACTTCCAACTATATTAGAAAACAAAAGAAAGGCATTTTATGATGACTGATGATTAATATTAAGAAAATGAATGATAGTGTGATTTAATTTTCAATATAATAAAAATAAGAAGATTATTAATTATTGTGGCTAAGTGATCAGTGCAAAAATGCCAGATAATTTAATTCTGAGAACTCTTTTGGGAAACTGCATTACCTGCTTTAGCTCTCTTCATTGACAGCTAATCTATTTTGTATGGCTTAGCCTTGAAGCAATGATGAAAAATATATTTACTCTTAATGCTTTTGTTCATATGACGTATTAGAGGAATTTCAAAGAAACTGCTTTTCTCTCTGATGGTTAAGATTCTGTTATTCTATTTTTTAATGTTGGCAACAATTAATAACATATCATTGATAACATCTTAATTAAAAAGATATATTGTTTCTAGATTAGAATAAATAGACATGAAGGAGATAGCTTTTCACTCTTGATGTAAAGAAATCATGCTCATGGACTAGAAGAATTAATATTATTAAAATAACCACACTTCCCAAAGCAATCTATAGGTTAAATACAATTACTATCAAAATGCCAACATCATTTTTCACAGAATTAGAGAAAACAATTCTAAAGTTCATATGGAACAAAAAAGAGCCCAAATTCAAAGCAATCCTAAGCAAAAAGAAGAAAAATGGAGGCATTAGATTGCCTGACTTTGAATAATACTCCAAGTCTATAGTAACTAAAACATGACACTGGCATTAAGAAAAAAGGACACATAGATCAATGGAACAGAATAGAGAACCCAGAAATAAAGCTCACAGTTTTACAGCCAACTGATCTTTGAAAAAGTCAACAAGAATATACAGTGGGGAAAGAACATCCTTTTCAATAAATGATGCTAGGAATATTGGATTGCCATATGTAGAAGGGTAAAACTAGGCCCCTATCTACCACCATATAAAAAATCAAATCAAGT
The DNA here is from genome assembly GCF_000001405.40 of Homo sapiens. Classification (NCBI taxonomy): domain Eukaryota; kingdom Metazoa; phylum Chordata; class Mammalia; order Primates; family Hominidae; genus Homo; species Homo sapiens. The sequence continues at coordinate 27,525,408 of NC_000018.10, read as the reverse complement.
TGGATTGAAGATTTGAATGTAAGACCTGAAACTTTAAAAATACTAGAAGAAAACCTAGGAAAACTCTTCTAGACATTGGTCTAGGAAAAGAATTCATGATCAAGACCTTAAAAGCACAGTCAACCAAAACAAAAATAGACAAATGGGACTTAATTAAGCAAAAATGCTCCACACTGATATGGTCTGGCCGTGTCCCCACCCAAATCTCATCTTGAATTCCCACGTGTTGTGGGAGAGACCCAGTGGGAGGTAACTGCATCATGGGGGCAGGTCTTTCCCAGGCTGTTCTTGTGATGGTAAGTCTCACAAGATTTGATGATTATCATAAGGGGGAGTTTTCTTGCACAAGCTCCTTTAGCGTGCTGCCATCCATGTAAAATGTGACTTGTTGTTCCTTGCCTTCTTCCATGACTGTGAGGCTCCCCAGCCATGTGGAACTGTAAGTCCAATTAAAGCTTTCTTTTGTAAATTGTCAGTCTCAGGTATATCTTTATCAGCAGTGTGAAAACAGACTAATACACACACATCAAAAGAAATAATTAACACAGTGAACAGACAACCTGCAGAATGGGAGAAAATATTTGCAAATTATATCATCTGACAGAAGGGTAATGTCCAGAATTTACAAGGAACTCAAACAACTCAATGAAAAACCACCAAATAATTACATTAAAAAGTGGGCTGAGGACATGAATAGGCATTTTTCAAAAGACGACAAAGAAATGGACAACAATTGGCTGGATGCAGTGGCTCACACCTGTAATCCCAGCACTTTGGGAGGCTGGATCACCTGAGGTCGGGAGTTTGAGACCAGCCTGACCAACATGGAGAAACTCTATCTCCACCAAAAATACAAAATTAGCCCTGCATGGTGGCACATGCCTGTAATCCCAGCTACTCGGGAGGCTGAGGCAGGAGAATTGCCTGAACCTGGGAGGTGGAGGTTGCGGTGAGCCAAGATCACACCATTGCACTCCAGCCTGGGCAACAAGAGTGAAACTCCATCTCAAAAAAGAGAAAAAAAAATTCAATATCACTAACCATCAGGGAAATGTAAATTAAAACTACAGTGAGATATCATTTCACACCAATCAGAATGGCTATTATGATAAAGAAAAAACAAACAACAGGTGTTGGAGAGCATGTGGAGAAAAGGGAACTCTTGTACACTATTAGTGGGAATGTAAATTAGAACAACCTCTATGGAAACAGCCTGGAGATTTCATGAAGAACTAAAAATAGAACTACCATATGATCCAGCATTCCCACTAATGGGTATCTACCCAAAGGAAAAGAAATCATTGTATCAAAAAGATACCTGCACTTGTTATGTTTATTGCAGCATTATTTGCAATAGCAAAAATATAGAATTAACAAAAGTGTCCATCATTGTAGGATTGGATAAAGAAAATGTGGTGTATATACTTAATGGAATAGTATTCAGTGATGAAAAAGAATAAAATCATGTCTTTTGCAGCAACATGGATGGAACTGGATGCCATTATCTTAAGAGAAAGAACTTGGACACAGAAAGATAAATGTTGTATGTTGTCACTTACAAGTGGGAGCTAAATAATATGTACACATGGAAGTAGAGTGTGGCATGATGGACAATGGAGACTTGAAGTTTGTAGAGGAGTGGAAAGAGATGGATGATATGAGGTTGCTTGGTGGGTACAATATGCATAGCTCCAGTGATGGATACACTGAAGGCCCTGACTTCACCACAATGCAATATATCAATGGAGTAAAGTTGCACTTGTACCCCATGAGTATATGCAAAAAAAACAAGCTTTAAGCTTAAAACACTTCAACATAAAAATAAGCATTCTATATTGATTTTGGGACTCAACCATATCATTAAAAATGAGATATTGATAGAAACTGTAGTATAATGTGTTAAAAGTACAAAGGCATATTCTTCTATGTAGAAGTCCAGAGAGAAATGGAAGAGTCCAGGCAGCTCCATTACCATAAGGTAGCAAGTTTGTTCCCATTTTGTGTCATCATCCAAGCTCTTGACATCCATCCTTACCTCTTGGTCCAAGAGGGTTGCTGACTATTCAGCCATATATATTTTTTATTTTATTATGAAATAAGGAGGTTAGGTAGAAGGGGTAAAATTTGCAATCTTCCTTTCCCATGAAGACTGTTTTCAGAAGACTACTTTTATACCATTTTTCAGAACATCAAATGGGCCATAAATCTATTAGCTGGGCATGTTGCAGAAAGGAAATAGAATGAGTCTTTGTTACAGCTATAATAATTAAAATTGTAAACCTGACATAGTAAAGAAATTAGTAAAAACTGCAGGTATTCTAAGAGCTTGTTATGGGCCAGGCATTAATCTAAGTGCTATCTGTACTTTTTCTTTCATTTAATGTTTAAAACAATCATATTTAAATTAGGAAAATGAGGCCCAGAGAGGTTAAGTAACATGTTAATGGTCATATAACAGTGGCAATACCAGGTCTGAACTCAGATTGTTCTGCACTGTATTGCTTTTCTAAAGTAGTAACAGATCAGCAGAGCAAAATAGAGATTCCATGAATGGGTCTGTGCATATATAATCATTCAATATAAGATAAAGCTGTAATATGGCCATTATGGAAGACAGTATAGAGCTCTGTCAGAAAATTAAACATAGAACTACTATATGATGCAGCAATACCACATGTGGATATATGTCCAATGGAAATAAAATTAGTATTTCTAAGAGATATCTGTACTTCTGTGTTCATTGTAGCATTATTCACATATGGAATAAGATATGGAATCAATCTAAATGTCCAAATATCCACTGATGGATGAATAGATAAAGAAAACATGATGTGGGGTGTGTGTGTGTGTGTGTGTGTGTGTCTGTGTGTGTGTGTGTGTGTGTGTGTGATAAAATAGTTATCATTCAGTCTTAAAAAAGGAAACTGTCATTTGTGATACCATGAATGAACCTGGAGGACATATCATAAGTAAAACGGATCAGGCAGAGAAAAACAAAAACTACAAGATTCCATACATATGTGAAATCTAAGAAAGTTGAACTCATAGAAGCAGAGAGCAGAATGGTGGCTACCGGGGGCTGAAGTGTGGGGTGGAGGGAAATGGGGAAATGTTGGTCAAAAGGTACAAAGTTTCAGTTAGATGGGAGGAATAAGTTCTGGAGATCTATTCTAGAGCATGGTACCTATAGTTAATAATAATGTATTGTATACTTGAAAACTGCTAAGACAGTAGATCTTAAATATTGTCACTACAAAAAAATAAGTATGTGACATGATAGATATGTTAATTAGCTTGATTTAATCATTGCACAATGTTCACAGATATCAAAATATCACTTTATATACTATAAATATATACAATTTACATTTGTCAATTATACCTTAATAAGACTGGGGAGGAAACAAAATTGTCATAAATTCATTAGGGAGAAAATTATAGAATCATGATACCAGAATATTGATTTGTTATTTAGAAAAAAGCCAAATTACTTTCTCAATTCATACAATTAGATAAATTTTACATTAATTTTTTAAAACTATGAAATACTTGAATAAAATATATAGATATATGTGATCTAATACTGACTCAGCAAAGACCTTCTGATCATCTCTATGAGGAATAAGATACAAATGAAAAATTTATTTGACTTTAAAACCATTGTCCAAAAAAATAAGAAGAAAACATAAAGAACAAGCAAAGAAAATGTAAAACAGAATGTTGAGAACAAATTTTTCATTTGATACATAAAATTTTTATTCAAATCTGAACACACTAAATATTGGAAAAAATCACAAATAATAGACAGGAAACATAAACACGAATGAATAACAAACATACGAAACATTAAACATGAAAAAAAATCCTGTTATTTTTCACCTATCAAAAATTAACAAAATAAAAAAGCTGATCTTTGTTAGATTGCAGTATTCCTACGTATTGATAGAACTAATTTCAGAAAAGCAATTAAGCAGTGTGCATCAAGTCTCCTTGAAGAATCTATACTTTTTGACCCAAAACCTTGACCTCTTAGCCCCAATTTATGAATCTAGAAATATAGTGATATATACAGGTAAAGAATTAATATCAATTGTATTTAGCATAGCATTATCTATTAGGCAGTGCTACAGTAAGAACATGTGTACTGTAGAGTGACAAAATAAACAGTATAATGTAGAAAAGACTACAGTCTACAGAGCCAGAAGTCAGGTTCCACTACTTACTAGCTACGAGACCCGGAGACAGGTCTCTAACCTCTCTGTGTCTGTTTTCTTAGCTCTAAAATTAGCATAATCATCATCATAATAATGATACCTGCCTCACAGACTTATTAGGGTAAAATATTGATATATGCAATGGTACTTAACAGTAATTGGTACAAAAAGTTATTATTTGAATTATTATAATTATAATTTTTTATGATTATTATTATTATGGTGCATACATAGGATGGGCTTTTATTCAGCCATAAGAATTGTGTTCTTAAAGTTCGATAACATGAAATATCTCAAATAAAATGTTGAGAAAGAAGTATGTAAATACTGTTATTATTATATAATACTATTTTTCTATTTTAGTCAATAAGTTATATTTAGAGATTAAAGATTGGAAGGAAATTTATGAAAACACAGATGGTTTTTATTTCTGGGATTGGTGGAATTATGAGTTATGTAATTCACCATATCAACAGACAGAAGAAGAAAAACCATAGAATCATCTCAGATGAAAAGCATGCATTTGGCAAAATTCAACATTCTTTCATAATACCTCTCAGCAGACTACGAATAGAAGAGAAATTCTTCAAACTCATATGGCATTTTTGAAAACCAACAACTAACGTCATACTTTAGGAGTGCAAGACTGAAGATTTTACCCCAAAGATTGGAAAAAAGGCAGGAGTATCTGTTCTCACCACTGCTATTCAACATTATACTGCAAGTCCTAGCCAGCACAGTAATGTGAAAAAGAAAATTTATAAAAGACACACAGATTGGAAATGTATAAATAAAACTGCCTTGATTTTCAGATAATATGTCCATGTAGAAATCCCAAATAATCTGTACTAAAAAGAGTAGATCTATTGAGTTCAGCTAAGTTGTAGGATATAAAGTCAGCAGAAACACCAAAAATTCTATTGAATTTATATATGCTACCTAGAAATAATTGCAAATTGCACTGTAATTTAAAAGTAATATTTAAAGTAATACCTTCCAAAAGGAACTACTTAAGGGTAAATCTCATAATGTTTGTGGATATTTTGTATGTTAAAAATTATACAACATAAATAAACATCAAATAAAACTTCAATAAATGGTGAGATAAGCCAGACTTATTAATTGTAAAACTTAACATTTGACCAGGTGCAATGGCTCACGCCTGTAATCCCAGCACTTTGGGAGGCCGAGGCGGGCAGATCACAAGGTCAAGAGATTGAGACTTTCCTGGCCAACGTGATAAAACCCCGTCTCTACTAAAAATACAAAAATTAACTAGGCCTGGTGGTGCATGCCTGTAATCCCAGCTGCTTGGGAGGCTGAGGCAGGAGAATCACTTGAACCCGGGAGGTGGAGGTTGCAGTGAGCCAAGATCACGCCACTGCACTCCAGCCTGGCAACAAAGCGAGACTCCGTCGAAAAAAAAAAAAAAAACCTTAATATTCTTAGATATGTCAGTTCTATCCCAAATTGACCTATGTTATCAACACAATACCAATGAAAATGATAGCAGGATTTTTTGTATCAACAAGTGGATTCTAAAATTTATGCTGAAAAACAAAGGGGATAGAAGAACCAAATAAAAAACAACAAAATTGGAGAACTAATGTTGCCTAATTTCAATTCTTACTAAAAAACTATAGTAGTAAAGACAGCAAGGCATTAGCAAAGGGTAAATACATAGATGAATGGGAAAAAATAGCCTAGAAATAGGCCAATACATATATGATCAACTGATTTTTGACAAATATACCAAGGAACTATCAATGAACCATTCATAAACTATTCATTGAACTGTTAACTTTAATAATGAGATTCAGAAAATAAAATTAAGTGTGAAGTTCATTAAAACTCAAAGCTTGAGGATAGCCATCTGGGAGCATACACTCAAATTGCCCTAAATAATATACAATTAACAGCAGTGGGGTTTTAAGGAAAAAGGAAGATGCAGTTATTAAAGTGCTTACCAAGAATTTACATTAAAATAACACAAGCAGCTGGGCATGGTGGCTCATGCCTGTAATCCCAGCACTTTGGGAGGCCAAGGTGGGTGGATCACCTGAGGTCGGGAGTTCGAGACCAGCCTAACCAACATGGAGAAACCCCATCTTTACTAAAAATACAAAATTAGCCAGGCATGCCTATAATCCCAGGTACTCGGGAGGTTGAGGCAGGAGAATCACTTGAACCCAGGAGGCGGAGGTCGTGGTGAGCACAGATGGCGCCATTGCACTCCAGCTTGGGCAACAAGAGTGAAACTGGGCAACAAGAGTGAAACTCTGTCTCAATAATAATAATAATAACAACAACAACACAAGCGATTGATGGGTTATGCATTGTTCTTTGTATCACAAATTTTTCAGGTACATAAAGATAATGTCTAAGGCAGCCAGTCAGGGACAAAATGCCTTTAAACAATTTTCCCTGGGCAAGAGTTCAGCATGTAAGAGGTTATTAAAGTTCCATACTCCTGTCTCTCTAGGCCTGATAAATACTGCAAACTTCATGTAGCTCAGACTGCTCTGAGCTATTTTTCTTTTCTCAGAACAAGTGGTAGTGTTTTCAAAAAATGTTACTGGAAAAATTGTGCATCCATATTAAAAAAATAGAAATCTTAACCTATACCTCACACCATTTATAAAAATTAACTCAAAGTAGACCCTATATCTAATTGTAAAACCTAAAACTCTAATCAAACTTTTATCAAAAATCATAGAAGACATTTTTTGATTGTAGGCTAAGCAAAGTTTTTTTAAAGATAGGACACAAAAAACATAAACCATAAAAGAAAACATAAATAAATTAGACTTCGTTGAAATTAAAATGTTCTACTCTTTGAAAGTCCCTGTTAAAATAAGACAAGTCAATATTGGAGAAAATATTTGCAAAAAAAAAAAATCTGATAAAGGACTAATATTCAGAATATATAAACAACTGCCATATTTTAACAATAATAAAACAACCTAAACCAAAATGGGCAGATAATTTGAATGAACTTTTCATTACAAAAGAGATATGTGTCAAATAAGCACAAGAAAATGTGACTAACATCAACAGACATTAGACAAATTCTAATGGAAAACAAATATATCATTACTCACATGTTAGAACGGCTTTTTTTTTTTTGAGACAGAGTCTCACTTTGTCACCCAGGCTGGAGTGCAGTGGTGCGATCTCGGCTCACTGCAATCTCCGCCTCCCGGGTTCAAGCAATTCTCCTGCCTCAGCCTCCCGAGTAGCTGGGATTACAAGTGCGCATCACCACACCCGGCTAATTTTGTGTTTTTAGTAGAGATGGGGTTTCACCATGTCCCAGGCTGGTCTCGAACTCCTGACCTTGTGATCCACCTGCCTCGGCCTCCCAAAGTGCTGGGATTACAGCTGTGAGCCACAGTGATCAGCCAGAAGGGCTATTTTAAAACAAAATGGCAATATAAAGTGTTAACAAGAATGTAAAGCAACAGAGACTCTCAAACATTGCTGGTGGGAATGCAATATGCAATATGCAATATGCAGCCACTTTGAAACATTGCTGGTGGGAATGCAATATGCAGCCACTTTGAAAAACTATTTGGAAGTTTCTTCAAAATTTAAACACATAGTTACCTTCTTACCAAACCAAACTGGCCTGGTGGAGTAAGGCCAAATATCCACACTGTGGTTTGCAGTGGGAGAAAAGTGTGTTTATTTGTAGGGTGCCAAGCAAGGAAAATAGGGAAGTTCACGCTTAAGACTCAACCTCCCCAGTGGCTTGCAGGTCGGATGTTTTAAAGCAGGGATAAATTTCAGGAAAGCAAAAGTTACAGACAAAATTGTAAATTGGTACCTTGAGGTTACACATTGGTTTGGCCTATGAGGGCAGGATATCTTGAAGCGGGGGCTTACAGGTCATAGCTAAATTCAAAGGTTTGCTGATTTGAATTAGCTAAGGAAGAGAAGCTTTGTTAAAAAATTTGGGGTCATCATAAAAGACTGTTAGCTCTGGCTCATGGATGTGATTTTCTCCAGTCCCTTCAGAAACAAATTTACAACAGTAGTCACAGTTCCGTCCTCTGTTCCCTTTTATCTGAGGTCTACATGCCAGTGGATCTGCTTGGAGGGAATCCAAGTTTTTGGAAAACAACTCAGGGGCATTTGTTAAGGTGTTGTCTTTAGTTTTCATAGGGCCTAACATCACATGATTCTAACTTCCTTGGCTATTTTAAGCTACGATTACCTTCTTGCTTATCAAGCTGCTCATTTACTTCTCAGAGTTCACTAAGTATCTGGAATTCCCTTTGGAGGAGCTCAAGATTTTCCTTTATTTCCATGTTTAGTGTGGGAGTCCCACAGCCCTCTAAGAGCATCCCTGCTCCATCTGAACCTTATAACTCAGCAATGTTCTTCTTAGGTATTTACTCAAGAGAAATGAAAACGCATATCTCCATAAAGACTGTTAGGCAAACATTTACAGCAGCTACAGTTAAATATCCAAAAATTGGAAACAATTCAAATACCATTACCTGGTGAATGCATACACAAATTGTAGTATACTAATAACATACAGTATAAAAGCTATAAAAAGAAATGTCCTACCAATATACCTAGCACCATGGACAATCCAAAAGCATAATGCAAAGTGAAAGAAGCCGGACTGAAAAGGTAAAATACTGCATAATTCTCCTATGTGACTTTCAGGAAAAGGCAAACACTAGGTATAGGACAGACCAGGGGCTGCCAGATGCTGGAAGTGGAGAGAGATGATGAGCTACGAAGGTTCATGAGCAAATTCTTTAAGATGAAAATATTTTATGCATTGATGGTGGTGGTGGTTACATGACTCCATACACTGTCAGATCTCAAGAACTGTACATCCAGGAGTTATTAATAATTTTACTACTCACTAATTATATCTCAATAAAACTGACTTAAAAACAACAACAAACAGAATCTATGACTTTAGAAGAATTCAGATTGGCACAGTCTCATAGACCCTCAGTAGCACTTGAATTCCTTGTGGTAATTGCTTCATGCTTTTTCAACAACTCTTACCTCCCACTGATAGAAGTATTTGGGATAGTGAACTATTACATAGAAAGAAGTTTATTCAGCTTTAGATGCCTAGCATCTAAAATAGAGCTTTCTTTTTTTTTCTAGTTTTTATTTTATTTATTTATTTATTTTTTATTATACTTTAAGTTTTAGGGTACATGTGCACATTGTGCAGGTTAGTTACATATGTATACATGTGCCATGCTGGTGCACTGCACCCACTAATTCGTCATCTAGCATTAGGTGTATCTCCCAATGCTATCCCTCCCCTCTCCCCCCACCCCACAATAGTCCCCAGAGTGTGATGTTCCCCTTCCTGTGTCCATGTGTTCTCATTGTTCAATTCCCACCTATGAGTGAGAATATGCGGTGTTTGGTTTTTTGTTCTTGCGATAGTTTACTGAGAATGATGATTTCCAATTTCATCCATGTCCCTACAAAGGACATGAACTCATCATTTTTTATGGCTGCATAGTATTCCATGGTGTATATGTGCCACATTTTCTTAATCCAGTCTATCATTGTTGGACATTCGGGTTGGTTCCAAGTCTTTGCTATTGTGAATAATGCCGCAATAAACATACGTGTGCATGTGTCTTTATAGCAGCATGATTTATAGTCATTTGGGTATATATCCAGTAATGGGATGGCTGGGTCAAATGGTATTTCTAGTTCTACATCCCTGAGGAATCGCCACACTGACTTCCACAATGGTTGAACTACTTTACAGTCCCACCAACAGTGTAAAAGTGTTCCTATTTCTCCACATCCTCTCCAGCACCTGTTGTTTCCTGACTTTTTAATGATTGCCATTCTAACTGGTGTGAGATGGTATCTCATTGTGGTTTTGATTTGCATTTCTCTGATGGCCAGTGATGATGAGCATTTTTTCATGTGTTTTTTGGCTGCATAAATGTCTTCTTTTGAGAAGTGTCTGTTCATGTCCTTTGCCCACTTTTTGATGGGGTTGTTTGTTTTTTTCTTGTAAATTTGTTTGAGTTCATTGTAGATTCTGGATATTAGCCCTTTGTCAGATGAGTAGGTTGCGAAAATTTTCTCCCATTTTGTAGGTTGCCTGTTCACTCTGATGGTAGTTTCTTTTGCTGTGCAGAAGCTCTTTAGTTTAATTAGATCCCATTTGTCAATTTTGTCTTTTGTTGCCATTGCTTTTGGTGTTTTAGACATGAAGTCCTTGCCCATGCCAATGTCCTGAATGGTAATGCCTAGGTTTTCTCCTAGGGTTTTTATGGTTTTAGGTCTAACGTTTAAGTCTTTAATCCATCTTGAATTGATTTTTGTATAAGGTGTAAGGAAGGGATCCAGTTTCAGCTTTCTACATATGGCTAGCCAGTTTTCCCAGCACCATTTATTAAATAGGGAATCCTTTCCCCATTGCTTGTTTTTCTCAGGTTTGTCAAAGATCAGATAGTTGTAGATATGTGGCGTTATTTCTGAGGGCTCTGTTCTGTTCCGTTGATCTACATCTCTGTTTTGGTACCAGTACCATGCTGTTTTGGTTACTGTAGTCTTGTAGTATAGTTTGAAGTCAGGTAGTGTGATGCCTCCAGCTTTGTTCTTTTGGCTTAGGATTGACTTGGTGATGCGGGCTCTTTTTTGGTTCCATATGAACTTTAAAGTAGTTTTTTCCAATTCTGTGAAGAAAGGCATTGGTAGCTTGATGGGGATGGCATTGAATCTGTAAATTACCTTGGGCAGTATAGCCATTTTCACGATATTGATTCTTCCTACCCATGAGCATGGAATGTTCTTCCATTTGTTTGTATCCTCTTTTATTTCCTTGAGCAGTGGTTTGTAGTTCTCCTTGAAGAGGTCCTTCACATCCCTTGTAAGTTGGATTCCTAGGTATTTTATTCTCTTTGAAGCAATTATGAATGGGAGTTCACTCATGATTTGGCTCTCTGTTTGTCTGTTGTTGGTGTATAAGAATGCTTGTGATTTTTGTACATTGATTTTGTATCCTGAGACTTTGCTGAAGTTGCTTATCAGCTTAAGGAGATTTTGGGCTGAGACAATGGGGTTTTCTAGATATACAATCATGTCTTCTGCAAACAGGGACAATTTGACTTCCTCTTTTCCTATTTGAATACCCTTTATTTCCTTCTCCTGCCTAATTGCCCTGGCCAGAACTTCCAACACTATGTTGAATAGGAGTGGTGAGAGAGGGTATCCCTGTCTTGTGCCAGTTTTCAAAGGGAATGCTTCCAGTTTTTGCCCATTCGGTATGATATTGGCTGTGGGTTTGTCATAGATAGCTCTTATTATTTTGACATACGTCCCATCAATACCTAATTTATTGAGAGTTTTTAGCATGAAGTGTTGTTGAATTTTGTCAAAGGCCTTTTCTGCATCTATTGAGATAATCATGTGGTTTTTGTCGTTGGTTCTGTTTATATGCTGGATTACATTTATTGATTAGTGTATATTGAACCAGCCTTGCATCCCAGGGATGAAGCCCACTTGATCATGGTGGATAAGCTTTTTGATGTGCTGCTGGATTCAGTTTGCCAGTATTTTATTGAGGATTTTTGCATCAATGTTCATCAAGGATATTGGTCTAAAATTCTCTTTTTTGGTTGTGTCTCTGCCCGGCTTTGGTATCAGAATGATGCTGGCCTCATAAAATGAGTTAGGGAGGATTCCCTCTTTTTCTATTGATGGGAATAGTTTCAGAAGGAATGGTACCAGCTCCTCCTTGTACCTCTGGTAGAATTCGGCTGTGAATCCATCTGGTCCTGGACTCTTTTTGGTTGGTAAGCTATTGATTATTGCCCCAATTTCAGCTCCTGTTATTGGTCTATTCAGAGATTCAACTTCTTCCTGGTTTAGTCTTGGGAGAGTGTATGTGTCGAGGAATTTATCCATTTCTTCTAGATTTTCTAGTTTATTTGCATAGAGGTGTTTGTAGTATTCTCTGATGGTAGTTTGTATTTCTGTGGGATCGGTGGTGATATCCCCTTTATCATTTTTTATCGCATCTATTTGATTCTTCTCTCTTTTTTTCTTTATTAGTCTTGCTAGCGGTCTATCAGTTTTGTTGATCCTTTCAAAAAAACCCAGCTCCTGGATTCATTAATTTTTTGAAGGGTTTTTTGTGTCTCTATAACCTTCGGTTCTGCTCTGATTTTATATTTCTTGCCTTCTGATAGCTTTTGAATGTGTTTGCTCTTGCTTTTCTAGTTCTTTTAATTGTGATGTTAGGGTGTCAATTTTGGATCTTTCCTGCTTTCTCTTGTGGGCATTTAGTGCTATAAATTTCCCTCTACACACTGCTTTGAATGCGTCCCAGAGATTCTGGTATGTTGTGTCTTTGTTCTCGTTGGTTTCAAAGAACATCTTTATTTTTGCCTTCATTTTGTTATGTACCCAGTAGTCATTCAGGAGCAGGTTGTTCAGTTTCCATGTAGTTGAGCGGTTTTGAGTGAGATTCTTAATCCTGAGTTCTAGTTTGATTGCACTGTGGTCTGAGAGATAGTTTGTTATAATTTCTGTTCTTTTACATTTGCTGAGGAGAGCTTTACTTCCAAGTATGTGGTCAATTTTGGAATAGGTGTGGTGTGGTGCTGAAAAAAAATGTATATTCTGTTGATTTGGGGTGGAGAGTTCTGTAGATGTCTATTAGGTCTGCTTGGTGCAGAGCTGAGTTCAATTCCTGGGTATCCTTGTTGACTTTCTGTCTCGTTGATCTGTCTAATGTTGACAGTGAGGTGTTAAAGTCTCCCATTATTAATGTGTGGGAGTCTAAGTCTCTTTGTAGGTCACTCAGGGCTTGCTTTATGAATCTGGGTGCTCCTGTATTGGGTGCATATATATTTAGGATAGTTAGCTCTTCTTGTTGAATTGATCCCTTTACCATTATGTAATGGCCTTCTTTGTCTCTTTTGATCTTTGTTGGTTTAAAGTCTGTTTTATCAGAGACTAGGATTGCAACCCCTGCCTTTTTTTGTTTTCCATTGGCTTGGTAGATCTTCCTCCATCCTTTTATTTTGAGCCTATGTGTGTCTCTGAACGTGAGATGGGTTTCCTGAATACAGCACACTGATGGGTCTTGACTCTTTATCCAATTTGCCAGTCTGTGTCTTTTAATTGGAGCATTTAGTCCATTTACATTTAAAGTTAATATTGTTATGTGTGAATTTGATCCTGTCATTATGATGTTAGCTGGTGATTTTGCTCGTTAGTTGATGCAGTTTCTTCCTAGTCTCAATGGTCTTTACATTTTGGCATGATTTTGCAGGGGCTGGTACCGGTTATTCCTTTCCATGTTTAGTGCTTCCTTCAGGAGCTCTTTTAGGGCAGGCCTGGTGGTGACAAAATCTCTCAGCATTTGCTTGTCTGTAAAGTATTTTATTTCTCCTTCACTTATGAAGCTTAGTTTGGCTGGATGTGAAATTCTGGGTTGAAAATTCTTTTCTTTAAGAATGTTGAATATTGGCCCCCACTCTCTTCTGGCTTGTAGGGTTTCTGCCGAGAGATCCGCTGTTAGTCTGATGGGCTTCCCTTTGAGGGTAACCCGACCTTTCTCTCTGGCTGCCCTTAACATTTTTTCCTTCATTTCAACTTTGGTGAATCTGACAATTATGTGTCTTGGAGTTGCTCTTCTCGAGGAGTATCTTTGTGGCATTCTCTGTATTTCCTGAATCTGAATGTTAGCCTGCCTTGCTAGATTGGGGAAGTTCTCCTGGATAATATCCTGCAGAGTGTTTTCCAACTTGGTTCCATTCTCCCCATCACTTTCAGGTACATCAATCAGGCGTAGATTTGGTCTTTTCACATAGTCCCATATTTCTTGGAGGCTTTGCTCATTTCTTTTTATTCTTTTTTCTCTAAACTTCCCTTCTCGCTTCATTTCATTCATTTCATCTTCCATTGCTGATACCCTTTCTTCCAGTTGATCGCATCAGCTCCTGAGGCTTCTGCATTCTTCACGTAGTAATCGTGCCTTGGTTTTCAGCTCCATCAGCTCCTTTACGCACTTCTCTGTATTGGTTATTCTAGTTATACATTCTTCTAAATTTTTTTCAAAGTTTTCAACTTCTTTGCCTTTGGTTTGGACGTCCTCCCGTAGCTCAGAGTAATTTGATCGTCTGAAGCCTTCTTCTCTCAGCTCGTCAAAGTCATTCTCTGTCCAGCTTTGTTCCATTGCTGGTGAAGAACTGCGTTCCTTTGGAGGAGAAGAGGCACTCTGCTTTTTAGAGATTCCAGTTTTTCTGTTCTGTTTTTTCCCCATCTTTGTGGTTTTATTTACTTTTGGTCTTTGATGATGGTGATGTACAGATGGGTTTTTGGTGTGGATGTCCTTTCTGTTTGTTAGTTTTCCTTCTAACAGACCAGACCCTCAGCTGCAGGTCTGTTGGAGTACCCCGCCGTGTGATGTGTCAGTGTGCCCCTGCTGGGGGGTGCCTCCCAGTTGGGCTGCTCGGGGGTCAGGGGTCAGGGACCCACTTGAGGAGGCAGTCTGCCCGTTCTCAGATCTCCAGCTGCGTGCTGGGAGAACCACTGCTCTCTTCAAAGCTGTCAGAAAGGGATATTTAAGTCTGCAGAGGTTACTGCTGTCTTTTTGTTTGTCTGTGCCCTGCCCCCAGAGGTGGAGCCTACAGAGGCAGGCAGGCCTCCTTGAGCTGTGGTGGGCTCCACCCAGTTCAAGCTTCCCAGCTGCTTTGTTTACCTAAGCAAGGCTAGGCAATGGCGGGAGCCCCTCCCCCAGCCTGGCTGCCGCCTTGCAGTTTGATCTCAGACTGCTGTGCTAGCAATCAGTGAGACTCCGTGGTCGTAGGACCCTCAGAGCCAGGTGCAGGATATAATCTTGTGGTGGGCCGTTTTTTAAGCCTGTCGGAAAAGCGCAGTGTTCGGGTGGGAGTGACCCGATTTTCCAGGTGCTGTCAGTCACCCCTTTCTTTAACTAGGAAAGGGAACTCCCTGACCCCTCGCGCTTCCCGAGTGAGGCAATGCCTCGCCCTGCTTCGGCTCGCGCACGGTGCGCGCACCCACTGACCTGCACCCACTGTCTGGCACTGCCTAGTGAGATGAAACTGGTACCTCAGATGGAAATGCAGAAATCACCCATCTTCTGCGTGGCTCACGCTGGGAGCTGTAGACCAGAGCTGTTCCTATTCGGCCATCTTGGCTCCTCCTTCTAAAATAGAGCTTTCAATCTCCTTCACTATGAGGTCAAGGACATTGAGTCTGGTTTATTTTTATTTAGTGACTCACAAAATGCTAAGAAAATGTTGCTTACGTTGAATAAAATTGAGAAAAATCCTGTGGACTGGTAAGTTTTGCACAGTTCTTTTTCTTTGTTTACTAAACAATTGTGGATCTGAGTCTTCTTTGGAACTCTGCAACTCCAATGAGATGTGGTTTATTTTCAAAAAGCCAATTTTACTATCGATCAGTATACCAAAACATCATGTTGTATACCTTAAATATATACAATAGAGTCTATTTTAAAAAATAAAGCCTAGACATTCTCAACCTTCAGTATCACCATTAATCATCTGAGGTAACTTCTAATATGCTGATGCCTGGGTTCCAGTACCTAAAATTGGCCTGGAAATTTACAGTTTTCACCAGTTTCCCAGGTAAATCTCATGCAGGATTTCCTAGGTCACACTTTGAGGGAATACAGCCTGAAGCTATCAGTAAAATTTATGAAAGGCAGGGAAAATAAGCCAGTTTACCTTTTTTAAGATATATATCTGGTTTTGAAAAAAAAATTTATTTTAATTTTTGTGGGTACATGGTAGGTGCATATATAAATTGGAGACATGAGATGTTTTGATACAGGCATGCAATGCATGCGTAACAATCACGTCATGTAAAATGGGGTATCTATCCCCTCAAGCATTTATCCTTTGTGTTACAAATAATCCAAATATACTGTTTTGGTTATCTTAAAATGTACATTTAAATTTTTATTGACTATAGTCACCCTGTTGTGCTATGAAATACTAGGTCTTATTCATTCTTTCTATTTTTTTTTTTTTTTTTTTTTTGGGACCTATTAACCATCCACACCTTCCCTTCACCCTCCCACTACCATTCTCAGCCTCTGGGTGACGATCCTTGTACTCTCTATGTCCACGAGTTCAGTTGTTTGAATTTTTAGATACCACAAATAAATGAGAACATGTGATATTAGTCTTTCTGTGCCTGGCTTATTTTACTTAATATAATGACCTCCAGTTCCGCCCATGTTGTTGCAAATGTCTGGAACTCATTCCTTTTTATAGCCAAATAGTACTCCATTGTATCTATGTACCACATTTTGTTTATCCAGTCATCTGTTGGTCAACAATTAGTTTGCTTCCAAATTTTGGCTATTGTGAACAGTGCTGCAACAAACATGGATATGCGATTATCTGTTTGATATACTGATTTCCTTTCTTTTCTTTCCTTCCCTTTCTGTTCTCCTTAGTGGTTGTACTAATTTACATTCCCACCAACAGTATATGAGGGTTCCCTTTCCTCCATATCCTTGCCAGCATTCGTTATTGCCTGTCTTTTTAATACAAGGCATTTTGACCGGGGTGAGATATCTCATTTTAATTTTGATTTGGATTTCTCTGATGATCAGTGATGTCGAGCAACTTTTCATATGCCTGTTGGCCATTTGTGTGTCTTCTTTTGAGAAATGTCTATTCAAATCTTTTGCCCATTTTAAAATCAGACTATTAGACTTTTTCCTGTAGAGTTGTTTGAGCTCCTTATATATTCTGGTTATTAATCCCTTGTCACATGAGTACTTTGCAAATATTTTCTCCTATTCTGTGGGCTGTCTTTTCAAATTGTTGATTGTTTCATTTGCTGTAAAGGAGATTTTTAACTTGATGTGATTCCATTTGTCCATGTTTGCTTTGGTTGACTGTGCTTGTGGGATATTACTTAAAATATTTTTGCCAGACCAATGTCCTAGAGAGTTTCCTCAATGTTTTCTTATAGTAGTCTCACAGTTTGAGGTCTTAGTTTAAGCCTTTAATCCATTTTGATTTGATTTTTATATATGGTAAGAGATCAGAGTCTAGTTTCATTCATTTGCATATGGATATCCAGTTTTCCCAGGACCGTTTCTTGAAGATACTGTCTTTTCCCCACGGTATGTTCTTGGTACCTTTGTCAAAAATGAATTTGCTGTACGTGTGTAGATTTGTTTCTGGGTTTTCTACTCTGTTCCTTTGGTCTATGTGTTTGTTTTTATGCCAGTACCCTGCTATTTTGGTTACTATAGCTCTGCAATATAATTTGAAGTCAGGTAATGTTATTTTTTCAGTTTCGTTCTTTTGCTTAGCATAGCTTTGGCTATTCTGGGTCTTTCATTGTTCCATGTAAATTGTAGGATTGTCTTTTCTATTTCTGTGAAGAATATTATTGGTATTCTGGTAGGGATTGCAATTAATCTATAGATTGCTTTGGGTAGTATGGACATTTTAACAATATGATTCTTTCAATCCATGAACATAAAATATCTTTCCATTTTTTGGTGTCCTCTTCAATATCTTTCATCAATGTTTCATAGTTTTCTTTATAGAGATCCTTTACTTCTTTGCTTAATTCCTAGGTATTTAATTTTATTTGTGGCTCTTGTAAATGGGTTACATTTTGATTTCTTTTTCAGATTGTTCACTGTTGGCATATAGAAATGCTACTGATTTTTGTGTTTTGATCTTGTGTTTTGCAAATTTACTGAATTTGTTTATCAGCTCTAATAGTTTTGTGGTGGAGCCTTTAGGTTTTTTTTCAAATATAAGATTGTATCATCTGTAGACATGGATAATTGGACCTCTTTTTCAATTTGGATGCCCTTTATTTCTTTCTCATCTGATTGCTCTAGCTTGGACTTCCAATAATATGTTGAATAACAATGGAAAAACTGGGCATCCTTATTGTGTTCCAGATCTTAGAGGAAAGGCTTTCAGTTTTTCCTCATTCAGTATGATACTAGCTTGGGTCTGTCATGTCTGGGGTTTATTATGTTGAGGTATATTCCTTGTATACTCAGTTTTTGAGGGTTTTTATCATGAAGGGATGTTGAATTTTATCAAATACTTTTGCAGAATCAATTGAAATGATCATGTGGTTTTTTTTCCTTCATTCTGTTGATATGATGTATCACATTGATTGATTTCCATATGTTGAACCATCCTTGCTAACCAGGAATAAATCCCACTTGGTTATAATAAATAATATTTTTAATGTAGAGTTGACTTCTCTTTGCTGTTATTCTGTTGAGGATTTTTGCATCAATATTTATCAGAGATATTGGCCTGTAGTTTTCTTTTTTTTGTTTTTAATGTGTCTTTGGTTTTGGTATCAGGGTAATACTAGCCTCATAGAGTGAGTTTGGAAGTATTCCCTTCTCTTCTATTTTTTGGAAATGTTTGAGTAGGATTGGTATTAGTTCTTTAAATATTTGGTAGAATTCAGGAGTGAAGCCATTGGATTCTGGGCTTTTCCTCACTGAGATACTTTTTATTATGGCTCGATCTTGTTACTTGTTATTGGTCTGTTCATGTTTGGGACTTCTTCCTGGTTCAGTCTTGCTAGGTTGTATGTGTCTAGGAATTTGTCTGCTTTTTCTATATTTTCCAATTTATTGTCGTTTAGTTGCTCATACTAGCAACTAATAATCCTTTGAATTTTTGCAGTATCAGTTATAATGTCTCTTTTTTCATCTCTGATTTTATTTGTATCTTCTTTTTTTTTCTTAATCTGGCTAAAGATTTGTCAATTTCGTTTAACTTTTTAAAAAACCAAGCTTTTGTTTTCTTGATATTTTGTATTGTTTTCTTCATTTCAATTTCATTTATTTCTGCTCTGATCTTTATTATTTCTTTTCTTCTATTAATTTTGATTTTAGTCTGCTCTTGCTTTTCAAATTCTTTACGATGAATCATTAGGGTTTTTTATTTGAAGCATTTCTTCTTTTTTGATGTAAACACATATAGCTATAAACTTTCCTTTTATTACTGCTTTTGCTGTGTCCCATAGGAATTGGTATGTGGTGCTTCCATTATCATTGGTTTCAAAAAACATTTTCAATTTCCTTCTTAATTCCTTCATTGGCCCACTGGTCATTCAGAAGTATATTGTTAATTTCCATGTATTCATATAGTTTCAAATATCTCGTTATTGATTTCTAGTTTTACTTCATTGTGGGCAGAGAAGATGCTTAATATTATTTTAATTTTTTTGAATGTTTAAGATTTGTTTTGTGAGCTAACATATGGTCTATCTTTGAGAATAATTCATGTACTGAAGAAAAGAATGTGAATTCTGCAGCTGTTGAATAAAACATTCTGTAAATATCTATTAGGTCCATTGGGCTATACTACAGATTAAGTGTAGTCTGATGTTTCTTTGTTGATTTTCTGTCTGGAAGATCTGTCCAATGCTGAAAGTAAGGGTGTTGAAGTCTCTCCAGCTATTATTGATTGAGGCCTATGTCTTTCCTTAGCTATAATAATATTTGCTTTATATATCTAGATGCTCCAGTGTTGGGTGCATATATATTTAAAATTGTTATATCCTCTTGCTGAATTAGCCCCTTTATCATTATATAATGACCTTCTTTGTCTCTTCTTATAGTTTTTGTCTTGAAATCTACTTTTTTCTGGTATAAGTATAGCTACTCTTGCCCTTTTGTGGTTTCCATTGGTATGCAATATCTTTTTCTATCCGTTTATATTCAGTCTATGTGTTTCTTTATAGGTGAAGTGTGTTTCTTTTTTATAGGCAATAGATCATTGTTTTTTTTTTAAAATCAGTGAAGCCACTCTATGCCTTTTGATTAAAGAGTTTAGTTCATTTACATTCAATGTTATTATTGGTAAGTAAGAACTTAATCCTGCCATTTTGTTATTTGTTTTCTGGTTGTTTTGTTGTCTTTCCTCCTTCTTTCTTTTCTTCCTGTCTTCCTCTTAGTGAAGATGATTTTCTTTGGTGATATGACTTAGTTTCTTCCTTTTTTTGTGTGTGTGTATCCATTGTATGTTTTTTGGTTTAAAATTACCATGAGGCTTGCTAAAACTATCTTATAACCCATTATTTTAAGCTGATAACAACTCAGCACTGTTTGCATAAACAAACAAGCAAAAAGAAAATGAATACACTAATCTATGCCTTAACTTCATCCCCCCATTTTTTAACTTTTTGTTGTTTCTATTTATATCTTATTGTACTATGTCTTGAAAAGTCATTGTAGTTGTTATTTCTGATTGGTTCATCATTTAGTCTTTCTACTTAAGAGTAGTTTACACACCACAGTTACAGTGTTATAATATTCTGGTTTTCTGTGTACTTACTGTTACCAGTGAGTTTCATACCTTCAGAAGATTTCTTTTTTTTTTCTAATTGAAGGAATTCCCTTTAGCCTTTCTTGTAGGACAGGTCTGGTGTTGATGAAATTCCTCAGCTTTTGTTTGTCTGGGAAAGTATTTCTCCTTCATGTTTGAAGGGTTTTTTTCACCAGATATACTATTCCAGGGTAAATTATTTTTCCTTCAGTACCTTAAATGTGTCATGCTGGTCTCTCTTGGCTTGTAAAGTTTCCACTGAGAAGTCTGTGCCAGACAGGTTGGCGCTCCATTGTATGTTACTTGTTTATTTTCTCTTGCTGCTTTTAGGATTATTTCTTTATCTCTGATGTTTTGAGTTTGATTTTTAAATTCCCTGAGGTAGTCTTTTTTGGGTTGAATCTGTGTGGTGTTCTGCAACCTTCTTGTACTTGAATATTGATATCTTTCTCTATGATTTGGGAAGTTCTCTGTTATAAACCCTTTGAGTAAACTTCTTACCCCTATCTTTTCTCTACTTCTTCTTTAAGGCCAGTAACCTAGATTTGCCCTTTTGAGGCTATTTTCCAGATCCTGTAGGCATGCTTTATTGTTTTTTGTATTCTTTTTTCTCCTCTTACCATGTATTTTCAATTAACCTGCCTTCTAGCTCACTGATTCTTTCTTCTTGATCAATTCTGCTATTAAAATACTCTGATGCATTCTTCAGTATGCCAACTGCATTTTTCAACTCCAGAATTTCTGCTTGATTCTTTCTAATTATTTCAATCTCTTTGTTAACTTTATGAATTTCTTTTTTTTTTTTTTTTTTTTGAGATGGGGTATCACTCTGTCACCCAGGCTGAAGTGCAGTGGCATAATCTCGGCTCTCTGCAACCTCTGCCTCCTGGGTTCAAGTGATTCTCCTGCCTCAGCCTCCCAAGTAGCTGTGATTACAGGCACTGACCACCATGCCTGGCTATTTTTTTTTGTGCGTTTTTAGCAGAGATGCGGTTTTGCCATGTCAGTCAGGCTGGTCTTGAACACCTGACTTCAAGTGATCCACCCACCTCAGCCTTCCAAAGTTCTGGGGTTACAGGTGTAAGCCACCACAATTCCTTCTCTGTGTTCTTTTAAATTTCTTTGAGTTTCCTCAACACAGCTATTTTGAATTCTCTATCTGAAAGGTCACATATCTCTGTTTCTCCAGCATTGGTCCCTGGTGGCTTATCTAGTTCATTTGGTTAGGTCATGTTTCCTGGATGTTGTTAATGCTTGTAGATATTCTTCAGTGTCTGGGCATTGAAGAGTTAGGTATTTATTGTAGTCTTCTCAGCCTTGGCTTATCTGTGCCCATCCTTCTTGGGAAGGCTTTCCAGATATTCAAAAAGACTTGAGTATTGTGCCCCCTTAGGGGGCACCCTAAGCCCAGTAACTCTGTGGTTCTTGCAGACTCATAAATGTACTGCCTTGATGGTCTTGGACAAGATCCAGAAGAATCACTGAATTATCGGTCAGAGACTTGTTCTCTTCACATATTTTTCTCAAATGAATGAAGTCTCTATTGTCTGTTCTGAGCTACCTTGAGCTGGGGGTGGTGTGACACAAGCACCCCTGTGGCCACCACCACTAGGATTGTGATGGGTCAGACCTAAAGCCAGAACAGCACTGGGTCTTTCCCAAGGCCTGCTGTATACACTCCCTGGCTATGGCCTATGTTTGTTCAAGGCCCTGAGGATCTATAGTCAGCAGGTGGCAAGGCCAGCCAGGTTTGTGTTCTTCACTTGTGTTCTTCCCTTCAGGGTGGCAAGTTCCTCCAGGCTTCAGGTGTGTCCAGATGTGCCATCTGGGAGCCAGGGACTAGGGTCAAAAACCTTAGAAGTCTACTTGGTGTTCCATTATACTGTGGCTGAGCTGGCTCCCAAACCACAAGATGCAGCTCTTCCCACTCTTCCCTCTCCTTTCCAAAGGCAGAGGAGCCTCATCCCATGGCCACCACCACCATAGGCCCAAGGGGAGGAGTGCCAGACTATCCCCAATGTTTTCATAAGGCTCAAGGTCTCTTCAGTCAGCTTGTGATGAATGCTGCCTGGCCTGGGACTCACCCTTCAGGACAGTGGGCTCCTCCCTGGCCCAGGGCAGGTCCAGAAATGCTGTCCAAGTGCCAACTCGTGGCATTGGAGACCCCAAGAGCTCACTTGGTGCATTACCCCCTGTGGCCAAGCTGGTAACTAAGGTGCAAGACAAATTCCCCTTTGCTTTTCCTTCTACTTTTCTTAAATGGAAGGAGTCTTGCCCCCTTAGTCACCACAACTGGGAATGTGCTGCATCTCACCTGAAGCTAACAAGTCTCAGAGTCTCGCCCAAGGCCCATGACATGGTAACTGAGTATCACTGCTGATTATTCAGGATCCAAAGGCTCTTCAGTCAGCAGATGATGAATCTTGCCAGGACTGGGTTCTTTTCTTAAGGCAGCAGGTTCCCTTCTGGCCCAGTGTGTATCTAAAAATGTCACCTGGGAGCTAGGGCCTAGAAAGGGGGGCCTCATGACTCTGATTGGTGTTCTGTCCTGCTGGGGCTGAGCTGGTATCCAAGATGCAAGACAAAGTCCTCCCCAGTCTTTCCTCTTCTTTCCTTTCTTCAAGCAGAGGGAAGTGGCCTCTTTTGAAGCCATAAGCTGTTCAGCCTGGTGTTGGGGAGAGGTGATGCCAGCATCCCTTTAGCTGCCCCAGTTAGTGTCTCAAAAGGTCACATGCCCTTTTAGTCTACTGGCTCTGGGCCCAGTTCAGCACTAAGACTCACCTAAAAGTTGTAGTCCTTATGGCCTAGACTGCCTTTCAAGTATATTTGGAGCCCCAGAGCACTTTAGCCTACACTGGCGAGGTTTGCAGGAACTCAAGTTCCCACAGCTGGAGTCAATGATTCCCCTCTAGCTAGGGCTGGTTTAAATGCTCCCTCTGTGAATGGGAATCAGCTGAGTTTGGCCCAATTTTCCTTTCTGCTATTACAGGACAAAACTGAGTTCAATGCTTCACAATTGCTGCGCTCTTCTTCTCCCCAGTGGAAAAAAAAATGCTCTCTGCACCACATGGCCGCTGGCCGCTGCCAGAGGATGGAGGAAGGGGTGATGTTGGTCATTCAAGACTGTTTTTCCTACCTCTTCAGTGCCTCTTTCAACTGTATGAAGTTAAAACCAGGTACTGTGAGTGCTCACCTGATTTTTCTTCTTATAAAGGTGGGGTTTTTTTTGTTTGTATATGTTGTTGTATGTTGTTGTTGTTTTTTCTTTTTGTAGATAGTTGTTAAATTGATATTCTTGTGGAGGGGGGAGACAATTAGGGGAAACTTTTATTCAACCATCTTGTTTTTCCATTTTGCCTTTTGAAAGGTAAAGTAATTGCATTAAAGTTGTTTAAAGAAGATAAAAAGATGAAGGGAGTTGAAAAAATTTTAATATGGCCTATTTTTCAAATCTTGTATTTTGCAAGTGCTAATTATTTATTTTATTCCTTTTCTCATTTTAGTTTAAGTATATCTTTTAGTAGCAACATGACTAAGTTAAAAACATAGCTCAAGAATTATTTATCAAGATGTGAAAACCAGTAACAGTAATCATTTTTAATAACATGACCAATGGCCTTAATTTTGAACATAATTTTATTAAGATGTTAGGTTATAAGTAGGAATTAGGTGGGAAATTAGTTCATGAATGACTCTCCAAATTTACTTCCTAGAATTCTGTATTTCAAAATTTCATGCAGGTAGTAATATATGTAAAAATCCAACTGAAATAGAGAATATTGTTCCTTTTTAAAATATATCCTTTTTAATCTATCTTCATATTAATTAGTGCAATAAAAAGCTTCCTCATTCTGTTATTTGGTAGAATTTTAAATATCTAGTCAACCTATTAGAAATGTCAGAAACATTTCTATTCTGATCCCATAGCAGCTCGTGAGTTCCTCATTACCTTGAAAATTTTGATCTTAGCAAAGCAAAAACCCCAAGAATCAGGCCAAACAAGTGTGAAACTGAGAACTGGGTAGCCCCTAACTCAGCTTCTCAAAAACGGCCTGTCTTCTATGGTCTGTGAGGGTTCAGACAACAGCAGCTCCATCGAGAGACTTCAGAGCTGAAACGTTGAATGAAAGCCTTTGTGTGGCGGAGGGCTGGGCACTGATTAGAACAATGGCATGTCAGTTTCTCAGGCTTTAGATGTTGTAATTATTAAAGATAATTGGGCACATGTAAATGTTGCAGCTATTTAAGTCTTCCCATTTCCCAGTCTTAGCATCTTTTATTCTTAAGGAAGATTTACCTCACACATTGTTTCTAGAGGCATATTCCTCACTTATACTGAAATAAAGCCTCTGGGGTTGTGAACAACATTTGGAGGAGTCCATCATTTGTCTCCAGAGAAGGCCAAAGTGTTCCATCTCAATTGTATAATGTCCTAGAGGTACCCTAGACAGCAGCATCTCTGCCTAAAGTTTCTGTACTTGTAAATTAAAAAATAAGAGTGTGCAGAGGGTCATTATTCTTCTCTGTACCTGTTTCTCCCAGTTACAATAATTTTCGTTGTCTAGTAGAGCAGGAAAATAATATTTACAGTGAGCTTTGGTAACATACTGAGCTGTCAGCATTAGGAGTGTTTGCTAGACAATGGTACCTTGCTGCTGTTGCATATTCAGTAAGAATGGAAGAGAGAACGTCTTTATGTGTGATACCACTGTCTTCCCTGTTATAAATGCTTCACGGAGAAGTGCACCCTCCTATGTGGGCTGGGTGACATATTCTAGGTTGTATCCAGTCCCTGACTTCAAAGTCCAGTGACATGGTGACTGCTCTCACACTATTTTATTTGAAGCCACTTGCCAAGCTGGCTAGAGTTGGTAAAGCAGCTACCATTACTGCTAATGGCAACCCATTGGAATTCATTTTTATCTTCCTAATCCTGTTACATGGCTAGGGGTGGTCCACAGATGGTACGGTTGCAGAATCTTGAGCATAAACTACTGTGCTCACACTTGGTTGTTTCAAGAGCTTGTACAAGGTAGGAATTTCCCGAGATTCCTATTTATACATCTCTCTATATCAAATGCATAGATCCTACTCATTAAGGATCTCCAGAGCATGATTCCAGTGTGTAGACAGGTTTTGGAATCATCTCACCAAAGTAGGACAGGTTAGTGTGCTTGCCTATTACTTGTACTCCATTTTCACTTATTGACCTTGTCAATCTGTTACTCACATTATTACCATGAAAAATGTCTTGACTTTTTTTCCTTCAAAAAGCATTTTAAAAAACTATGTCTACCCCTTTAAGTTACTTTTATCACCATAGTTATGGGTCTGGATTATTGTATCAGCTACCTGCTTATCTCATTGTAATTTTCACCTTTTACATTGCATATCGTCTTTCTTACACATTTATCATAAAGCTCATTTGATTGATGGCATAAAATTACACTGTTTATATTGCTGCCATAGTCAGTGTATCCACCTAGGAAGAACAAATGAAGGGTGTAAACATTCATTCTGCTTCCCATTCCCAGGGTATCAATATGCCACTATCAGTAAGGATCTAGTTTCTGGGCTTAAAAGCAGAAAATGTGGGTAAAAGTCCTGGTTCTGTTACTTACCAGCTGTGCGATCTTGGTCTTCAATTTTCTCATCTGTAAAATAAAGATGCTGAGCAGTGGTTCCCAAACTTGGCTGTGAATCAAAATCTGTTAGGGAGCTTATTAAAAATATAAGTTTCCAAGTCCCACTGCAGGCATAAAGATTGGAATTATCATGTGTGGAGGCCTGGAATTTATATATTTAATGGGCTTCACAGGTAATTTTATGCATTTAACTAACCTTTGACTCTTGTTAGGGGACCTTTGGATGAGATGACTTTTGACATCCTGTCTAGATTTAATAATCTATGACTCTAGGTCAAAGAAATAAAGGATATATTAAAATGAATAGCATCTATTCCCATGATTGGCATATATTAGACATTTTGTTAGTGCAAGTTGATTCATTAATATGACTATAACAACAGCATCACCATTAAATGTGCCAGACCTTTTTTTAGGCATTTTAAATTGCACATGATCTCATGTAATTCTAATAGCTGTTGTACCAGGTAGCTGCTAAATAGTGTTCTTTCTGAGATTGCATAGTGGTTTGGCAAGAAGGTGGAGGAAACTCACTTAATACCCTGCCTGGCTATCATCAACTGACCCTAATTAATCCTGCCCCATTCACTGATGATTTTCACACCTAGATCACTGTATTCCTTCTACTGCTACTCCTGTCACCATTCCTGGCAATTTCAACATCCAAATGAATAATCTAACCAACATTGTTACCTCTCAGTTCCTGAACTTCCTCACTTTGGTAAATGTTTTCTCTGCCCTACTTCAGTTACCTGCTTCCATGGTCAAACCCTTGACCATGTCATCACAGATAGCTTCTCTAATTCTTAAGCCTCAACTTCAACTACCACTTCCTCTAACCATTCTCCTACTTAATTATATCCAATCACTCTTCAACTTTATCAATGCATCATTAAGTGAACCTACAACTGTCTCACCTTCAGTGACTCCTCTCATTTCCTCTTGTCACTTTTTACCAAACTTAGATTTGATGTTCCATAATTACAATTAGTTCCTTGTAACCCTTCTCTATGTACTGTATTAACTTATCAGGCTTGAATGTTAGTTAAATGCAACTCTCAAGCTCACTCTGTGCCTGTACTCAAAATACACATTGCTGGGGAAAAAGTCACAAAACCATACAGACCAACATCAATGTAAATTTATGACCTAAGATTTATTTAGATGCATTATGTATAGTTCTTCTTTTGCTTGTTGTTATCCCTGCTTAGCAAAACCACCATTGCATTCCTTTTTCTCTCTCAAAATGTTGACACCTCACAACCCCAACTCATTTTCAGCTGATGGCTTTACCTCGCAGTTCCTTGGGAGAAAAGAAATTTCCAGAGTAACCAAAGTATTTATATTCTTAGATACCTTGTGACTTCAACTATCTCCTCTGTTTCACATCATCCATCTTCTCCTCTTTTCTGGAGAGTAGCTTACAATTCGCCTATCAGTGTGCAATAGTAGTTCCTATCTTTACAATGAACATACACACAAACAAATATCACGCAACCCCTGTTCTGCTCATTACCTTCCCATTTTAACATTCTTTAAAATATCTTAAAAAGTTGCCTGTGGTTGCTGAATTCATTTCCTTAGCTCTCATGTTCCCTTTCATACCACTCCCAGTGGTGTTTGCTTTTACTACTTTATAGAGACTGTTATTTGCAAGCTCACAAAGGATCTTCTTGGCATCTTTCTTATTTGACCATGCAATTCTCGACTGACCACTCAGCACCAAATGATATTCTGGAAGAAACATATTCTTCCCTGGTTTCCATGGCATCAGACTCTTGGTTTCCTTTCACCTCATTGGCTGCTTCTTCTCAGTCTCTCTAGTCTTCTGCTTTGCTAGTTTCTCCCCTTTGAAGAGGCTTTTGATGCTGTAATGATACGACACTGAGCGAAGGCACTGTGTTGCTCAGAACGTAATGCACTCTTGCCAGTTTAAGCAGGAAGGGATGCCTTCTTTTAGGCAGAGAATTAAATATTTTAAACATTTAAAATAATAAACTAAAAAAGAAACTTTTGTCTGAGCTTCCACAAATGAGTCTCACTGAAGAAGGGATCTTCTAAGAATGCTGCTATGCCTGCCAAAATTAGGCAGCTGTAGAATTTGGAGCTACCTTCAGAGTTGAGAAGCCAGTATTTATAGTGGCTGAATCTAGAAGCACAGCAAGATCAGTTCTCAAAATGATGCCTATGCCCTACCTTACTCCCCAGGTCTCAGTTCTGACCTCCACACTTGCACAAGTGCAGCTGATAGATGGAATCTAAATCCTAGCTATAACCCAAATGAAGGGATCCTGGGAAACATAGTTACTAGTTTTTAAGATTCTGCAATCCAGGAAGACACACTAAGAGGTTGGAATGGATATTGTGGATCAATCCACTGTATTTTCTGCAACCCCATTTACTTCTCTGTGCATGACTAGAGGCTTCAGCCAATCCCATGGATTTAAAATCATCTGTGTTCTGATGGCTGCTAAGCATTAACTTCCAGCCCTAACCTATCCCCGGAGTGAGCTTCAGGCACATATCACTTAGCATCTCCACTTGGATGCCTAGCATACATTTTCAACTAAAATCACAAACACACTCTTGATTTGCCAATCTGCTTCTCCCCATAAAACGTTCCTTACAAAAAGCATAACCTTATAGCCAATTGCTCCAACCAGAAATATAGGGATTATCTTTAATTCCTTGCCTTCTATTACTCCCTGAATTCAGTTTATCAGCAAGTCGTGCTGATTCTACCTCTTAAGCATGTCCCAAATCTGTGCTTTTCCCTCTCTTCTTCATCATCAACCCTATTTCAAGCCACCATTATCTCTTTCCCAGACTTCTGCAACAGCTTTTTAACTAGTCTCCCAGCTCCAATCTACATCCCACAGCAATCCATTTTCTATTCAGCAATAGTGATCTACAGAAATACACTCTATACATTTCCTATTTCATTTAAAATACATCTGGTCTTCTTAGCCTGACTTATGAAGCTCTCCATGACTTGGCCCTTGCCCAGCTCTCTGTCCTCAGCTCAATCACTCTTCCTTTTACCCACAAGTCCATATTGACCTCTCAGCTCCCTCAGTGTGCCTCTCATTCTTGCCTCAAAGCATTTATGCCAATGATTTCCTCTTCATGACATGTTTATCTCTTGCTATGTGCACCCCTTCACCTCCCCCCTTTATTTTTGGTTCTTGATATAAATGTCACCTCTTCAAAGTGTTTCAAGGAAGGCTTTCTACTGTATACGTGTTCATTCAGCTTCTAGAACATATGCTCAAAAATATTGAATGAATAAATAAATTATGCCTATGCAGATGAGAACATTGATGCTTGAAGAATAAGTTACTCAGAATTACACTAGTGAATTGCACATCTGGATTACAATTCCAGGTCTGTCTGGCTTGAAGGCATCTGTTCCTAACCACTACATCCTCCTGCTGGGACTAGATTCCTGACTTATTCCTATGCCTATGTTTTCTTCCCTTCAAAACCATTCTGCTGATAAGCTTTTAAAAAAACTATTTTGATACCTCTACTTTGAAACCTTTCCTAGCTCTCTATTGCCTACAGATTAAAGTGACAGCTAATCTTTCTAGCATTTAAGGATCACCTCACACCGTCTTCAGCCCACCTAAGAATTATTTTTTCTGCTACTGTAAAAATCCAAGTCTCATGGTGTCCACAGTCTCCTGCTTGCTGTGGTTAACCCTGTAATTTCCTGCTTTTAACTCCCATCTTTGAAACTCTGGTTCTGTTTCCTGAATTCTGGGTTTTGGCTTCCACCAGTGGGACACTCATTCATGAAGTAGATATTCTTTGAGGGTCAACTCTGTGCCGGACATTGCTAGGATTCAGGGCCCTACCCCTGAGCACAGCATTAGCAAAGGCTGTCTTCTGGAACATCTCTGAATGCACATCTCTTTGGGTGCAATGCTTCTGAATGCAATCCCTGATAAGCCCACTATTCTGATGTCTCCACTTCTCATTTCATAAATTAAGGTTCCCCCTTGGCCTTGATTCTATAGTTTTCAGAAAATCAATGGCAGATGGTATAAATCCTGCTACAAAGTTACTGTGAACCCACAGTTATTCTCCTTTTCTTTATCAGTGATTGTAGGGAGTGAGTTAAAAAGAAGAGAAGTAAAAGAAAACTTCTAAGTGCTCTCAAACTTCCTCCATAGAAACCCACTGCCACATGCTGAGGCAAACTTTAAGAAGTCTATACATATAATGAAGTCCCATTAAAAACATATAGCCTGTGCTGGGTAGCTTTTATGTATTTCTTTTCACATCATTGTTGATTTCCCAAGGTACTTGTGTTCACAGAAGCTCCCCCTTTTCCTGTCATCCTGCTCCTCCTGTCAAATGCATTCATTGAGGCCATAAGGCAAAGATTTAGACAAATTGCTAGCATGGAAGCAAAATGATGCCTCCAAAACAGCACTGTAATTTTAAATCGTAGGAGGGGAGCACATTGACTGAAAAAGAGAGAGAGTTCATTTGTGTTATGCTTGAGGAAATTATGTTCAGTAATACAGAACAAAAAAGAAGAAGAAATGAAAGAATAATGCATATATTGCTTTATTATTTTTCTTTTGAATACCGTTGGTCAGAATTTGGCCATCCTGTGACTCTGTTGGGACATTTCTTCCATTGTTTTCAAAGAAACTATAAGATGTTACATTCTAAAACAGTTACGGTGGCTCCCAAATTCTTATTCCTGTGCTCTAGGCATATCTTGAGATACAGGGAGGTACCCTGGAGATTGATTCCTCAGAAATAGGAATCCTTTTGAGTCCTTCTAGGAGTTTTCACTTCTAGTAATTACAGCTAAAACACCAGGGAACTTGTGTCTTGGTTCTTCAATCACTACTTACAACATAAACTGGGTCATTTTCCTTTACCTTTCTAGGATTTATTTTTTCTATTCATTAAACAAAGCACATAACATCTGTATTTTAGGACCATTATAAGGATTAAATGAAAACTGACAGGCTTCATCCTCTCCTTCTCCCTCTGAAGTTATGTATTTTCTTATGAACTACAATCTTCTTTGGAGACAGGACCTTGTTCCTGATATCTTATGTCTGCCTCTTTTTGTTATTTATTTTTGGATTGATGCAATTACCTGCTTCCTGAGATTTGTGTCTATTTATTGCTTCCTGATACTCTATTCCTACATAAACACCCTCTGGTTGCTTATTGCTAGATTCTAGATAGTCTGCTTGCTTATTGGAACTTCATTCATTCATTCTACAATTATTTAATGTCCAGATGTTCTATGCTGGGGAACCGGTCAGGCACTATGGATATTAAGATGAAAAATGCAACTCCTGCATTGAAAAAGGAATTCTATTAATCACTACAAGTCAGTACCAGATATTGGGAAGTTTCCAGTAGAGCCTTGAAACAGAAGGTAAAATAATTTGGGAATAATTTATTATAAGAAAGTTTTTGCTAGTTATCATTTGGATTCCTCACAAAGCAGACAGAGACAAGGACTTTGTTACAGGAAATATGTTTAAGGGTCATTCCAGGAAGGACATGTGAGAAGTGAGGCAAGTGTGGCTTGGAAGGGGGAAAGCCAATCATGAGTGTGTAGATGGGTGGACTGCGGGTGACTAGGGCTCAATTCTTCTGGGGATACTCCAAGGAACCTTGCAGGAAGCAGCTCTGAATTTCCCCACTAAGCTATGGAAAAGCTCGGGTATTTATCCCCTGATTGCTGTCCTTCTTTGCTTAAAGAATGTCCTCAGGGTGTTGAATCCTGGCAGTTCCAGGTTGCCCTGGACTTGAGCTTAGAAAACTCCCCTGGGGCCAAAGAAAGCTTTCAGCCAGAGAAGCACCTGTGGGGGACGCTGTCAGAGTGCCTGCAAACTCTCCCTCAAGGTCTGAAAGTATGTCT
Source organism: Homo sapiens (assembly GCF_000001405.40). Taxonomy (NCBI): domain Eukaryota; kingdom Metazoa; phylum Chordata; class Mammalia; order Primates; family Hominidae; genus Homo; species Homo sapiens. Next base: position 27,493,310 of record NC_000018.10, on the reverse strand, counting down.
AGAAATGAGCTTAGGGGACATGGGACAAGGCAACTAGGGTCTCCTGCATACTTCTTAGTCACTTGCCTGATATTCCTAGTTTATATTCTTGCTCATCTAATCGCTGCTTTATCATTACTTGAATTGCCGTGCCTACAGAAGCAGCTAATTCATCCTAAACAAGCAAACATTTTCAAATTTATTTTATCTTAGATTTCTTACCTATAACTTATCTTAGTGGTAGGTCTGAGTGATTTCCCCCGCAGAGCTGAGATTTACGTGCTGGCCTGGAAAGCAGCTTCCCATTGGATCCTCTGCTCCAACAGGCAGGAACTGGTGGGTTTTTCTGCTCAGGAGTAGATAGTATGTAGGGTGATTTTCTATAACCATTGACTATGATAGAACTTCCCCCTAATCTAAAGTTCTTTTATGGTTTGTGCCACTTTTCCTAATGTGAAAATTATGTTTTGATATGTTCGCAACTGTTTCACTTGTATCAAATTATTCGTTCTCTCTCTTGACTTCAGGAACACAAAATATAGTGAATTTTATCATGTCAGTGACCTTAGCTCCCACACTGTCTCTTTAACCTTCACACTGCTACCAAAATCATTCTGTTAAAATATAAGTTCAAAAGTAGCCTCATTCCCTTCCGGAAAATGTTCTTGTGGCAAGTTAAGACTGGAATAATACTCAAACTCTTAAGGGTCTGGCTTCATTTTACATTTCCTTCCAATGCAACTCAATCTATATTCTCTAATACCTGTTTTCTTCAGCTGATGTTCTCATTGTTTGAAATCCATACTCACTTTCCTTATGGACACTTATTGAAATCCCACTCAATATAAAAGACATGAAATAGTCATGACTTTCCCACTTGACTGCTACAGCCTTTGCCGTTACACACGATATTATAATGTCCATCATCACGTGATGACAGTGCAGAAAAAAAAATAGAACGAAATGAGGCAGCATGGAATCCAATTCTCTGTACTTCTACAATTCCAAATCACTGGGTAATCTCATGGCAAAATGAATGCAACCCAAAATCTGGGTTTTAAAACGTATTTTCTGAAACAACATATGTTCAAAGATGAGGAATCAAAAGAGGTGGCAGTTATGGCAACATAACTGCTCTGAATCCTGCACAAAAACAGACAGAAAAGTAGGATAGGTAAACAAAAGTCCCATAGCAAATATGTATAACAAAACTGGGTGACAGGGAATTCCCATGAACTGCAAAAGACAAGCAAGTAGAAAATAGTTAAAAACAGCAGCAAGATCCATACGGCATCAGGCATGCAGGAGGAATGCCTCATCTCAACACAGCTCAGATGCAAATCTGAGGTCAGGAGCTGAGTCAGGGAGGGGGTCGTGGCAGTCCCCACTTCAGGGGTGAGTGAAGGGGGAACCATAGTATGTTGATCAGGGTTAGAGTGGCTTAAGCCCCAAGCACTTCTGAAAGTAAATGAAGGACAAAGTCTCCTACTGAGGAGAAACCTCTGAGAGTAGAGTAAAATCTGATCAGGACTGGGACCATGAGGAAAAGAGAAGGGATGATTTGGAGAGAAATGGTAAAGGAGAATAGAGCTAGAAGATCTAGCATGTACCAGAGTATACATTTGAATACTTCATAGACAGAGTAGAAGAGGGAGTCCAGAGTGATTGAACTAGTAAACCCATTCTGGCCCAGCCTCATCTCCTAAGAGAAAAAGAAAATTCGTCTATCTTAACATAAGAACAGAAAAGGACGATAGAACAGTTATACAATGTTAATATAAACGATAGAACAGAAAGATACAGCTGCAGAGCAGTTGAATTTCTGAGCCTAATATTTGAATATCCTATAAAACTTAAGAAAATGATAGATATGAAAGCTTTGGATAAACACAATAAATGACAATTAGAAAAACTCAGAAATAAAATAATTTGGGAAAGAAAAATTTAAATAGAGATCTGTCAAAGCTCAAGAAGGATTTAGAAATAAAAGAAAAAGTCACATCAAAAATGAACAACAAACTATAAAGAAACTCAGAAGTGAACAAACTCCACAGATAATGCCTTAAGAAAAACCAATGATTGACAGAAAAAAATCAAAACACAAAAAATAAAGAGAAATACAAAGAATGCAAGAGAAAGTGAAAAACATAAAACACAAAGAACTCCTATGCATAAAATAGAAATTGCCCAAGAATAATTAAAGCAAAAGAATAGAACAAACGCTAGAAATCAATAAAGATTCCCTGAGATAAAAAGACCAGAAGCCAGAAACTGAAAGGGGTTAGTGAATATCCAGGAAAATTGACCCAGAATGGTCAACATTGATTCATATTCTAGTAAAACTATTAGACTTTAAAGAAAAAGAATATAGAGTGTCCTTTGAGCATGCAGTCAAAAGGACCAAGTAACTTGCAAGGGAAGGAATATCAGAGTTTTTGGCCATTATTCCAGAAAGCAAATTGAGTAATATATTTAAGATACCCAGGAAAAAAAAGACGTGACCCAAAATGATCTTTATGTTATAAAAGCTAAAATCAAATGCTTCTGAGCTTCTGAAAATTTGAGAAATATTGTTCCTATGGGCACTCTCCAAAAAGTATATTGGAAAAGAAACTTCAAACAACCAAAATTGTTGGAGTGACACCTGCATAAGGAGTGGTGATGAGCATTAAAACTATGTTTTGTTGCAGAACTAGGACTAAATAATGCTTATAAAGAAAACCATGTAGCATGCAGGGATTGTATTCTCTGACAATCAATAAAATATGGAACAAGTTTGGAGAGATTATATGAAAAAATAGAGTAGGCTGAATAATAGTCTTACAGGTATTAATAGGGAATAAAAGAATAAAAGATGCTGGAAAAAGAATAACATCTTTTCCCAGTGGGGAGGGGAGAAGGGAGTTACTGGATCATTTCACTATTATTCATAATAGGGAACCAACAAAGAGAACCCTTGGGTTCACCCAAAAAGATGGAACTAAGGATATTTCACAGTATAATGTAAATCTTCAGAAAAAACACACAGTACTCTTTAAATACTTTAAGGTATACAATGCCAGTTTTAAGACTCCATCCCAAAGATATGCTGCTAGTATTGTAAACAAATAAAAATCTGCTCAAGGCCATTTACCGTAGCAAGATTTGTGATGGCAAAGAGTGTAAACAACCTAAATGATCATCAATAGGGAACTAGTTGAATAACAGTGGTACATTTACACAATCAAATACTAAGCAGCTCTAAAAGGGAATATACATTAGTTTTTATACTTCTATGGAATAATCACAGGACATATTCCAGAGTGAGTTTATATATTCAAATTTTAACATTTCCAGCTGTTTGTACTTGTTTGGTCACAAAATTAAATCCTTGATATCAGGCTTGTGCTGGTTTTCTTAGACAAGACCCATTTTTTCCAACTAATGTATTATGGTAGGTAATATTAATACTTGATTCCAGTAACTGAGCCTACTGGTTAGCAAGTTAGATGTCTAGAAAGATATCTGAACATTTCTAGACCATTAAGTCATCAGGTTGGTTTTTGGGAAAAGGATTGCTATAAAGTAAGTATATTTTGTCTCTGGTATTCTAGCTTCCTCTTTCTTAGTACTGTTTCTACCTGCCATACAATTTAGTCAGAGTCAGCACCCTAAGGCCCCCAGTTAGCATACTGGCTAATCAGCACTCTGATCATGCATTGCATCTGTCTACTTGAACTTACTAGTATCAGGTGTAGAAGAGGTAGCTAGATGCCTTCCAATATCCGTTCTTTACTTCTTACATAGTAATAGAAGTTATATCTAGGATATGATAGCCTAGCTAAAGATTATATTTTTTTATCCTCATTTGAAGTTTCATATGGTCATGTGACTAAGTTTTGCCAATTGGAATGTGAATTAATTGGATAGGTGTTATTTCTGGGTCATGAACTTCAAAGAAAGAACCCTGAATAATCCCTACAAAGACCCTTTCCCATGGGGCAGAATGTGGGCATGTTTGCTGTGTGCTTCCATCCCTCCTGAATAGTGAAAAGCAAGCTCTGTGTTGAGGATCCTCGACACAGTAACAAGATGGAAGGAGTGTAGGCTTCTGTTGAGTGTGGTACCTCCTTCTAGCCCTGGTCAACCAACCCAGACTTTTACAAGAAGAGAAGGAAGTTCATCTTTTTTAAACCACCATTATTTTGAGTTCTCTTTTATGGCATTCAAACATATACCCTAATTAATTCATCAGGAAATGACTTAGATTCTGAGAAGAATGAAGTCAGTTTCTTTGTCCTAATTAGAATTCCACAATGGCTTAGACTTTTCAAAGACTAAAAGTTTAAATATTTTAAAAAGTTATGATATGGTTTGGATTTGTGTCCCTGCCCCAGTCTCATGTCAAATTAGAGGAAGGGCCTGGTTGAGAGGTGACTGGCTCATGGCAGTGAATTTCTCTCTTGCTGTTCTCATGATAGTGAGTGAGTTCTCACGAAATCTGATGGTTTAAAAGCATGTGGGACTCCTCCCTTTGCTCTCTTTCTCTCCTGCTCCGCCATGGTAAGACAGACTTGCTTCCCCTTTGCTTTCTGTCATGATTGTAAGTTTCCTGAGGCCTCCCAGCCATGCTTCCTGTACACCCTGTGGAACTGTGAATCAATTAAACCTCATTTCTTTATAAATTACCCAGTCTTGGGTAGTTCTTTATAGCAGTGTGAGAACAGACTAATACAAGTTTAAAGACTAAAATGTAAAATAATTTTGTAGTTTAAAAATCTATGCTAATAGAGACTGCTTATATCTATAATCCTGAAGGTTTTTGTCCTGGTGCCCTTAATCTTCTAGGGCTTTCTCTCTGAATTCTAAAGTGTGTGAAAATTGAGCTAAGGACCAATATATAAAAAAAGTATTGGCTGAAGCAATTTACTGACACCAGTTTTAATAGCAATTGTAATAGTGATATCGCCAATTGGCAGAGCAACGAAATGAAATCCAAGGTAAACCTTTTCTTAAAAATAATTGTCTAAGATGTTGAAGTTCAGAAAGACTGTGGATAACCTGAGGCCTTAGCCATACTTGGAAATTGAAAATGGCAGTTGTACTATGGGGGGAAAACACGTTTGTGTAATTTTTCAGGCTGTGAGAAAGCAATTATTTTCTTTGGTCAGAAAGATTACACTCGATAGTTTTTCACTCCTGTTTTTCAAGCTAATAGCTTCCAGGTTGTTTCACCAAGGCACCTAACTTTCAAGACAGCAGGCCTTAAAATACCATAATATTGTAATACTTAGTAGAGAGTGAAATGCTTGAAACTCTGGAACTCTCAGGAATATCGACTGGAAATATTTTAAGAATAAGGTTGAGTTATGAACAATTTGACTCTGCTACAGCATTTCTCAAAGCAAATTTCGAGAATGACTAAAGTCAGACTCTTTAGGGCTGGGTCCTAAGAAGGTAAATATTTAAGGAGATCCTGCTGCACACAGAAGTCAAAGTCTACTGATTAGTTTTGTAAACATACAAAAGCAAGTGAATAGTATCATACCGGCTCTAATAAGAATCAGAATAAGTTACCATTGATAGTTACCATTTATAAAATATCTTTTATGTACCAGTTTTGCCCACATTATTTTATTTAATACTCGTAATAGCTCTAAAAAGCAGGTGGCAATTCATTATTTTACAAATTTGGAAACTGAGAGGTAGAGACCCTAGGTAAATGGCAGAGTCAGGCTTTCTACTCATGTTGATTCTCATAATATATTGATGGTCATTTAAAGTGGCTCATGTTTAATTTTAATGGTAATGCAGCTCTTGCAGTGATCAGATATTTATAAAAGCTACTTAACTATTGAGTGCTCAAGGTCTCTAATGCCTAGATATGCTGGCCCTTTGAAGATAAATAGAAGTATAAAACATAATGCCTTTCTTCAATGAGCTTACAATTTAGAGGGAGAATGAAAACATGTGGGGGCATAAATGTAAAACAACAATGTAGGATAGCTCGGAGGAGGGACCCTTCATAATGGTGGACTTGAGAAGGTGGCCAGGAGACATCTACGTGAAGAGTAAGAAGGAGGACATTCCAGACAGTTAATATTTAAGACAGTTAAATTTTGCAATCCTGCTCTAAGTCACTTATATTTAAATCATGAACCCATTTGTCATCCTAATCTTTAAGAGGTCTCCAGTTAGAATTGTAATGTCATATACAATGGTGTATATAAATCTGTCCATAAGAAATTACCCAGCTCCATTTGCTTGACATTTTGGTGGATCTTGAAGGTGGGTGAGAGATTACCTGTTCTGACTCCATTTTTCATAGATGAAGAAACTCAAGTTTAAAAGGTAAAAGGACTGTCCAAGGTCATTCAATTTGCCTATCACAGTTCAGTGAAACAATGTTAGTTATTGTCAGCACTGGAATTGGTTTTCAACTTCTGCTCATTGCCCTTTAGCAAGAAAAACCGTAAGGGATCTATGCTTTAAAAGAAAACACACTCCTAAAATCTTCTAGGAACACTCAGCTGAAATGTGTTATATTTTTATATCACTTCAGATTATAGATTGCTTTGTTGCTTCCAGTTCACAGTAGCATGGGATTTATAGTCATGACCGAGGAGAGAGCAGAGATGTCACATTACTGTCCACATAACACAATTCCATAGCATCTTTATTTTGAAGAATTCAATAAGCTTTGCAAATATGGTTTAACTAAGCTTCAATGCAAGGCAATCTAAGGTAGAGGAAGGCAAGAAGGATTGTAGGAAAGAAGCATATGGAGTTTGGAAAATGAAATAGTTGTGAGGATCTCCTAGATTTCATTGTCATTTAGCGATCTCAAACATGGGCTGGTGTCCTTCTAGAAGTGGTACACTGCACACAAAAAAATGACATTTTTCTCAATAATGCCATAATATTTTAAGTCAAAGATATGTCTTTAAATAATTATTTCATTCTGTTAATTCAGAAAACATCTACTAAGTGCATATATAAAGCACTCTGGTACATATTGTGGATTAAGTGAGTAAAATAAAAATGAATGTCATAGTTCCTGATAACAAGGAACCTACAGTCTAATAGAGGAATAAGAAAATGTATAATAATCACTGTTATTCAAAGTACAACATGAGAAGTGTTATACTGACTCTATGAAAGAATAGTTAAAAGCGCTATAATAGGTGGAACAACTTTCCCAAAGAGCACTCATTTTTGGCCTGATATCAATTAAATTCATAAGGTTGAAGCTTAGGAATATTAATATTATCCTCTTTTTATTTTCCTGTTTGTACAAATGAGTTTGATGAAGATTTAGATTACATGACAATCAGAATTGTGAATAGTACGAGGCTTGGAGGGATAGAAGAGAAGTTGGATGATACATTTGGGATCTAAAGTGATATTAATAATGTGAAAAGATTAGCTATGTTTAACATAAGATATGTAATGAAAATAAATATAAAGTTCTGTATTTGAACGCAAAAAAATCAACACTATGAGTTTGCAATGCTATAGCTTCATTTGGTAAAGAAAACTGCAGTAATAATATAATAACTTGCATTTATTGAACTTAAAATATGTGCCAGACACTCTACTATATGCTTTATATATCATCTCACTTAATCTTCACAATAATCCTATGCAGTGGGCACTGTTATTATCCTTGTTTTATAGATCAAGATACTAAGCTTTGGATAAGTTAAATAATTGGCCCTTGGTCAACTTAGTCACTGTGTCTGTATTTGAAGCATGGTCTGATTTATAGCAGAGTAAGGACTTTCCTTAATTTCTCAGTTATGATAAGTAGAAGTATTCTCTGGGCACTCAATTATAAAATAATAATAATAATAAGTCAATTCTGAGCTCCTTACCCAATCTTTATAGTGTAAAATGCTAGTTAATAACCTGTACATTAACTTTATGTAGTTTTTTTAAAATTAAAAAAGTTATAAATTAAAATTTAAAAAGTTATAAATACTTTACAATCATTTATTTAATATGTTTAAGGGGTTATGTTTTTCTAGATGTGTTTGATGGACAGAAAATTTTATGTCATTAACATTTTTAATGAAAATAATCCTTGATAGAATGTGTTATGATTTTTAAGTAACCACTATTATTATTTCTGCTAAATGACCCTAACATCTTCATTAGCTTGCATTACCTTTCTAGGGCTTTTACCTTCTCATCCATTTGTTCTTCTATCCATGGGAGAATGAACCTTACTTAGGTTGCATAACATCAAATATGTTTTTATAAATCTCACTAATGAATAGGATCTCTGCCTGGCACTGTGATCATAGAGTCAAATATATTTTAAAGTAGGATTTAAAATCATCTTCCTGTGTGAAAAAAAAATAGTATTTAAAATATCTTTATAAGGACCAAGCATTTAATATATTGCAATCTATTAATAACTTTCCTGTGGTTATCTGTCTCTCCATAGTAAGTCTTACACTGCCTTTCTACTAATGAAAACATTTATACTTCATTTGTATAAACAAATACTTGTTTAAACATGACCTTGGAAAACAAGTTCAGGAAAATTGGTACATTTTATGTGACAGCATAACATAGATTTAAAGAAAATCTTTAGTATAGTCAAACACAATCTACTAACTTTCAATGCCCAATTGAAATAAAGACTAGCTCTTGTAAATAAAAGTGGCACTAAATGTCCCAGTTATCAAGCCACAGAAAACTAAGTTAGTATCAATAGGCCTAAAGCAAAGAACTTTGCTCTCAGTAATGATAGCCCTGGAGCTCTCCACAACCCACTCTCTTAGGAAAGAAAGAGATGTTTATAGGTGATAGTCTAAATCACCATTTGTCCTTCCTTTTTCGCTCCTCATTCCAAGCGTAGATTTGGGCCAAGGCTGAATGCTTAAGCTGTTTAAAAAGAATTTCCTTCCCAGATTTGGTTCTCTAAAAGTAGCACAGTCCTGAGAGAAAGAAAATATTAAACTCTATCTTGGATGGAACGTTTTTAAAATTTGATCATAAAATTTTCTGTCTATCAAACACATCTAGAAAAACATAACTCATGAAACATATTAAATAATTTCTTTGTAAAGTATTTATAACTTTTTTAATTTAAAAAGATAACCGCATAAAGTTATTCATGTGTAGGTTATTAACTAGCATTTTACACTAAAAAGGTCTGATAAGGAACTCAAGAGATCATGAAGCCCTTGAATTGTGTTGATCCATTTCTACACACATGCACAGGAATGTGGCAACATTCAGAGATGCCAGAAGAATGGTGTCTCTGTGAGGCAGGACCACATGCATTCATTCATCCAACATTCACTGAAACTTTCTATGTGCCAAGCACTGATATAGACACTTGGAATACATCACTATACAAATTAAATATCACTGCCTGTCAAGAATGTATATGCTAGTTAGAAAAGACAGTTAATAAACAATGATAGTCATAAATACAATTAGAGCATGTTCAAATGCCATAATTGCAATAACAAAAGCAAGGTGATAGGGACTGACAGGGACAGCTGACAATTTTCATATAGAACCATCATAATAGGCCTCACTGAGCCTTCATCTCTTTGAAAAGGTGGAACTTTAGTAGAGACGTTTAGGAGGCAAGTTGCTTAGCTATGGAGATCATCTGGAGAAAGAGTGATTTAGGTAGAGGAAACAGCTAGCAAAAGGCCCAAAGAAAAGAATGTTTTTGAAGTTTTTGAGGATGAAAAGGAGGCCTGAGTAGCGAAGGGGAGTGTGTGTTTGTGGGAGAGAATGCTGAGATAATGCTGGTCTTGCTGCCATTGTAAAACTTGGTTTTTATTGAATGAAAGAGTTTAAGAGGGTTTTGACCTGAGGAGTGGTGACATAATCTTTGTTTTCAAAGGATCGTGGTGGTTGCTGTTCTGAGAATAGACACTGGGAGCACAGGGAGACAAGGGTAAAAGCCCCAGGGGACTAGTTAAGAGACTAAACCAGGAAACATATCATTGCAGCTTTAACAATGTCCGTAGCAGTGAAGGTAGAGAAAAATGGTTAAATTGTGGATCTAGATGAACGTAGAACTATTGAAGGATTGCCTTGGATATGAGATGGGAGAGAAAGCCCACAGTTGATAATAAAGAATCAAATACCTCGGCTATAGGGCTCTTAGTGTTGTAGAAAAATCATATCAGTTTCACAAGCAAGTAGCAGTGCCTGAAAGGAATGCACTAATTTGGAAAATGAGGGCGTCACTGGTAACGACCCAAAGATGAAAAGTCTTTTTGAATTTTGGGGGTACCACAGAAACCCCTCAAATTTTTCCATGACCCAAATATGGGGGAGGGGGAAACTTTAATAAGTTAAATTGCCTTTCCCTGTAAAATGTCAAATGTATGTAGTCCAAGTAATACATGCTAACATGTGTCATAAAGGCACAGTTTGTGAAAACATTCACAAACATTCACAAACGGAGCACACCTGTGAGACATAAACAGCTCTTTGAAAGCATTGCTTCATCCTCTCTTCCGCTTACCACCCTGGTCGAGTGTAACCGCCAGATTGACTTCTAAGACCATAGTTGAATTTTGCCTGTTTTTATATAGCAGGTATGCTTTGGGGTATAACTTCTTTCACCCAACATGTTGTTTGGGAATCTATCCATATTGTTGCTTGTAGTTATTGTTTATTCATTCTCTTTGCTGTACTTGGGGAGAGCAAACTTTTTCTATAAAAATCCAAACAGTAAATATTTTAGAGTTTGCAGGCTGCATATAGTCCCCAGTTGTTGTTATTCTTGTTTGTTGGTTGATTTTTGTTGTTGTTTTTAAAACCGTTTAAAAATGTAAAATTCATTCTTATCTCAAATGCCAGTAATAAAACAGGCCATGAGCTGTATTTGACCAGGAGGCCATAGTTTGTCAACCCTGCTCCATAGCAGTGTGATGTGGCTACACTGCCATGTACTTATCCATTCAACTGTTGAAGGGCATTGGGAAAGCTTCCAGTTTGGGGCTTGGGAACACTATAGTATATGTCTTTTGGTGCAAATATATACACAATCTTAATAAATATACACCTAGAAATAGAATTGCTAAGTATACAGTGGGATCTCATTGTGCATCTTCTTAGTAACGAATGAAGTTAAGCACCCTCTCATACTGCTTTCTTGGCCATTTTCATACATAAAAATCAAATTAAAGTAAAAAATATGAAAATTATGAAACACAATTTTTAATTTTTGGGGGGTAAGATTATTTAATGTCATTCCAGTGGCTTCCATTTCACTTAGAATAAAATCCAAGCACCTTATTTTGGATTACAAACCTTGATAGGATCTGGTCCCAGTCCCTGCTGACCTCACTGACCTAATTTCATGTCAGTCTCCTTCTGGATCACAATCTTCAGCTATTATGACCTTTAAAAAATTCTTAAACATGTCAGGTTCCTTCTTGTTTCGGGGCCTGTGCACTAGCTGTGTCCTCTGCCTGGAATAATCTTACCTTGATCTTCCTATGATTAGCTCCTTCTTTTCATTCAGGTGCCTGTTTAAATGTCACTTGCTCTGGGAATCCTTACTCTGCTCACCCCATCTAGCCAACCTGCCAGTCACTCTCCTTCCTATCCATCTACAGTAATTCTCTGCCTGCCACTCATTATTACCGAAAAGTTTAGGAGTCATATTTATCTTATTTACTAGAATAGTGCCTACACAGAGGATGCTGTCAATAAATGAGTATGCATATGAGATATGTCAGTTATGAGTTTGAGCCCTACTCCACCATTTATTAGAAAAATGTCTCTACCAATGGTCCCAATGCATAGTCACTGGGTCTGAGATGTGACTTGTTACCAAGGTGGACTGACTTGAAAAGATGACTTTGACTAATCAGGTTTCCTCTAGGAATCTGAGCCAGGAAACAAAGAAAGAATTGCCAAAAAGCAGTGAAGTCTGCCTCTGAAAGATCATGAAGCAGGACTGTGATTGGGGGATACTGTGAAAGGAGTAGGGAGGGAAGAAACTAGAAGTCAACAGAGGAAGGCAACTGTGAGTGAAAGAGAAAGAAGCATTCCCACTTTGAGTAGCTGGGAAGCAACCGCAGGTCACCAGAATGAAGATCTCTCACAGCCTAGTTCTCTAGAGTCATTTTGGATCTAGAACAAATCCCCAGATCCCTGAGACCCACACTACTGTGGCTTTGCCGTGAGAGTTCCATGGGATTTTGCTTGGATTTAAAGCAAATCGTCCTTTATTGGTAGTACCTTAAACAAATCTTCATTCCTCCAATGCAAACAGTCTGACTATAATATTACAGTGGCCTAAGGGTGAATACTTAATTATCAGTTGATTAATATTTATTTATCGAACATGAGATCAGTTCACCAATAAGCAGGAATTGAAACAATGCCAAGTTCAAGCTATTGGGTATAGGAAACTGGGACATGACTTTACAACAAAATAATAGAGTACAGCTGCAATATTTTTTTTTGCTGCAAGTTCTTCCCCTCTTGGCAGTCAGTGGGCACCTTGCATTTCAGTGATAATCTACAGCCCCCTGCAGCGAGCCCAGCAGCCTACACCTAATCAGGGGCAATCATAAGTAAGGTTATTTTGCACCATTTGGCTATAATTAGACCAGCTTTCTTTTTAGTGATTCATTAGTATGATACTTTGCTTTCAGAACAAACTCAATCTAAATTCCTCTGTAAGTAGTGGCAGAGTTGTGGACCAAAATGAGAACTATTGATAACAATAAGAACAACCAAAAACAGAAAGGGATATTGCCCGGTTTCCCTCCATTCCCAAATTGCAAATTGCAAAGGAGACAAAAGCAGCAACCTGTCTGCTGGCACTGTTTAACAATAACCTTCGTATACTCTGCTCCCAAAGAGAGCTGGCTGACAATTAGATCCTCACAGCACTGTTAGACTTGCTCATGAAATTATTTTAATCCCAAATTTTCCTTTCTATTTCAAGAAGGGAAATATAATAACATGAAATCCACATATCTTTCACCTGACCATAGTCTCCTGTTGTTTTTAGTGTATGAATCATATAAATTGATTAGCTCTTAATGGAACCAACTTTCACACAGAGAGTATTTGCAGCCATTGCCATTTCAATATGGAAAAAGCAGTCACAGTAATAAGAAAAGGAATATCTGTTTATTTAGTGAAATAAAGATTAAATATTGAATAAGCCCTCAAATGAAGGCATATTGTAGGTGCTAAGGAATGATGATTGCAAAGATATGGAGAGAAAAGAGAGCAGTGTCTGCATTGAAACACTCCTAAAGTCAACAAAGATCTTCTTCAGCTGTCATATGAATACAAATAGCTTGGGCATCTTATTATCTGATTCAGTAGTTCTTGAGTGAGGCCCAAGATTCTGCGTTTCTCACAAACCCCTACTGATGCGATGCTGCTCATCAGAGGAACATGCCCTGAATTGCAAGGGTCTAGGGATGTGCTCTCCAATGGAAATATAATGTGAGTCACATGTGCCATTTTAAATTTTCTAGCTGACACATTTGAAAAGTAAAAAAAAAAAAATAAATGAAGTTAGTTTTAATAATATATTTCGGCTGGGCATGGGAGCTCATGCCTGTAATCCCAGCACTTTGGGAGGCAGAGGCGGGTGGATCATGAGGTCAGGCATTCGAGACCAGCCTGGCCAACGTAGTGAAAGACCGTCTCTACTAAAAATACAAAAAATTAGCTGGGCGTGGTGGCAGCCGCCTGTAATCCCAGCTACTCGGGAGGCTGAATCACTTGAACCTGGGAGGCAGAGGTTGCAGTGAGCTGAAATCGTGCCAGCCTGGGCAACAGTGCAAGACTCTGCCTCAAAAAAAAACCACAAATATATAGATATATATTTTATGTAACATCATGTATCTAAAATATTATTTTATATGTAAACAACATATTAATTAGATATTTTGCTCTTTTTAAAATACTACACCTTCAATATCTGTTGTGTAGGTTATACTTGCAGCTCATCTCAATTTGGATGACCCACATTTCAAGTGCTCAGTAGCTTCCTGTGTCTGGTGGCTTCCATGTTGGTGGTGTGAGTTTAGAGGATAATTTTTACTTTGAACTCCAGGAACATGCATGAACCTATAAATCACTGGTCAGTAGCTCCCTATCCCAGTGAGTTCCATAAACTATTACAGCATGCATTTGGCTCATTGACTTTTATGTGAAGCTGAATATTCAAATTTCACCATGAAAAGTTATTTAGTGGGTGTGCGAGGTGAGTTTATTGAGTCATTAGTACTCTGTGACACCCTATAATTGGGGTAATTAACTTTTTTCAGATTGCTAAATCTTGAAAAGCAAAGAGAAGGACAAGACTAGGTATGTTTTCATAGGGAATAATAGAAATATGGAGGAAATGAGAAATGGTATGAAAAATAGGCCAACTGAAAAAAGTAAAATGACATGAGATTCCACAGTAGGCTCTTTGGACAATGTACTAAACCGGAAAAGACTGAGGATGTTTTCCAGAGCGGTGAAAGGCAAAGAGGAGTAGTGAGCTACATGGAATACTTAGAATTAAATTAAGGTGCCACGTGCCTTAATTTTGAAATCAAAGAAACAATATGCTGTAGCATATCATCATTGTTTACATTTAAAGTAGTGCATGTAAATCCAGAGTGACTAGTGTCTAAGAATCATCAGGGAGGACTTTTTCAAATGACATGCAAGCCTACAGAGATTCTAATGACTCCCTTCTCCCAACCCAACCAGATTACAGAATGCAGTAATGACTCACTCTTGGTAATTGTTACATGATGTATCTCTAGAGTCAAAAGCCATATATTTTAATGTATTCTTAATTAGATTTCATTTATTGTAACCAATAGTTTAGTTAGTCTTTGGGGGTAGAACATATACCAATACTAAATTACATTTCTGTTTTCCACTTATTCATTGATTCATTCATTCCTTTTTAAAATTATTTTTATTTATTTATGTATGTATTTATTTATTTATTTTGAGACAGAGTCTTGCTCTGTCTCTCAGGCTGGAGTGCAGTGGCGTGATCTCGGCTCACCACAACCTCTGCCTTCAGAGTTCAAGCAATTCTCCTGCCACAGCCTCCCGAGTAGCTGGAATTACAGGCATGCGCCACCACGCCCAGATAATTTTTTAATTTTTTTTAGTAGAGATGGGGTTTCACTATGTTGGCCAGGCTGGTCTCGAACTCCTGACCTCAGGTGATCCGCCCACCTTGGCCTCCCAAAGTGCTGGTATTACAGGCATGAGCCACCACACCCAGCCTCATTCCTTTTTTTTTTTTTTTTTTTTAACATATGACTGGATGGATACTACATAAAGAGTAAATCGGTTAGTTTTCACCATTTCAAGAAATTTATTTTCCAAACCTTTGAATTTAGGTATCATTTAAAGATCTTATTCTGTTAAGTTTCCCCTGCCTTCCACCCTCGAGAATTTTTAGGGTACATAATTTCATGTCGTAGCTAGATACTTCTTTGCAGCAATTAGAAGGCACAAATACCCATGTTCAGTATAATAAAGCCTCATGGCTCCCAAACATGCAAATTTAGAATGTGTATGAATTCAGACTTACTTAGAACTATCATTTATTCTTGTGGCACCATGCATTCTTATTGAACGCACACAAATTTAATCTGCAGGTTTAATCACACATTTTAAATCTGTTTCAGCATCTTGATCACACCAAATTTTATATAAAATACTTGTTCATAAATAATCATCTTCCTTATATTAAGGCCAGTGTGGAAGGACCTCTATTTTTCAGCATTCATTAGCCATTAATTGTATGCATATATAACTCTGGGTCAGGAAATGAAATTTAATTTAAGACCTTCTAGAAAAGTGATATCTATTAATTTAGTCTGGTTTCCTTTCCAATTGTGTTATTAGAAAAGTTTTATCTTTTCTGAAATTTATTGTTCCATGCAACATGGTTTGGAAAGAAATCCCCTAAACATTCTTAAAAATGTGTGGTATGTTGACCACCGAAACCCACACACAATAAGGGTATAGGCCTTTTGATGCGTTAAATGCTATGAGGCTAGAGTTAAGGGTCTTATGTCTTGTGCCTAAGGTTTCTTGACTTTTTCTTTTTATTCAGCTGAAATGTTCCATAGAAAACAAACAATAGGAAAACAAGAAACTAAATAAACTGTATTATCTAGAGTTTTAGTGTCTGTGCTAACCACGAAACCAAGACTAGGCCTTTTAAGTAGACTCTGGTCAGTAATTAGCCTACCCACCTTCATGCTTTTGCTCATAGGCAATCTAGAGTCTTAACTTACAATTTCTTTTGCTTGATGGAAAATACCCAAGTAGTCATCTTCACATGTTCTTTTATTTGTATCATCCATTTTTGATTATGAATATTTTCATCTAGTATGATGGATCAGTATATAATTTCTTTTCTGCTTATGTGTCCAGTTCCTGAGGTTTATAAAAATCACTTTTTTAAATTTATTTATTTATTTATTTATTTATTTATTTATTTATTTATTTATTTTATTGATCATTCTTGGGTGTTTCTCACAGAGGGGGATTTGGCAGGGTCATAGGACAATAGCGGAGGGAAGGTCAGCAGATAAACAAGTGAACAAAGGTCTCTGGTTTTCCTAGGCAGAGGACCCTGCGGCCTTCCGCAGTGTTTGTGTCCCTGGGTACTTGAGATTAGGGAGTGGTGATGACTCTTAACGAGCATGCTGCCTTCAAGCATCTGTTTAACAAAGCACATCTTGCACCGCCCTTAATCCATTTAACCCTGAGTGGACACAGCACATGTTTCTGTTGATCTGTGACCTTACCCCCAACCCTGTGCTCTCTAAAAATCACTTTTAATCAAGGGATCTGTTGCTTGGCCACACTAGGAGAGTTCCAGGGTTATATAGCATTTGCAGAATTTGGTTGCTTTCTTCACTTCTACTGTGGCTTAATGGGTTATGTTTTAGAAGTTCATTCTCCTCTCACCTAAGTTATACACTATTAAATGATTTTATTTTAATTATCTTATTCCCATTTTTATCACATTGCCATAATTTCTCTTCATGCTTAATTTGTTAGCTACTTTAATGGGGGGGAAAAAAGCATTCCCTGGTCTTTCTGTTTCTAAGCATCAGAATTGGATGGGTCATGGTAAAGTTGCTAATGAAGACCAGCTGATGGCAAGTTGTTGATTGTGAATTTGTGAGCCTGCCAAAAGAGGGCAGAAAAAAAATCCATAGCTTCAACATTTTAAAGAGATCGAATAGTCAAATCATAAATTGAGGCAGTTTTCAATATAAGCAGAGATGTGACAACCAGAATGACTTCAAATGGCTTATTTTATTTTTCCAATTGATATTGTCAGAAAACCGTATCACTATACTATCTCTTACCTAATAGTAGTAATTTTGATATAGTTATTTTTGACAAATGGACAAAAAGATAACTAAGTTGAGCTATTTTAATAAAACTTGCATCATTTCTCTCATACACACATAAATATTTTGTTTATTGTGATTTCCTTGTATTTTGTCATTTGGTTTTTATTTCATTATATTATCTTGATTATGAGGAATTTTTTTCTTCTAAACAAAAATAGATAAAATCAAAATTAGCCTATATTCTTCCTATGTTATAATGTAACCATTATAGATATGTATGTGCAAAAACTATGTCTGAAAAATGTAAAAAGCAGAGGCTGTGACTCTGACAGATGTGGTTGGAATTTTGTTCCTGCTGCTTTGATCTGTGTGGCAATGTGTACTTTTCCTTACTTCTGTGAGCCTCACCTTTCTTATCTATGAAGTGGACATAAGCCCTGTCTGACACAACTTTCCTCTCTACTTGAAAATCTATGTGCCAGAAACATTTAGTTTTTTCATGTTTTTTTTTTAATTTTAATTTTTAGTTCTGGGGTACATGTGTAGGATGTGCAGGTTTGTTACACAGGTAAACGTGTGCCTTGGCGGTTTGCTGCACCTATCAACCCATCTATGTACTAAGCCCAGCATGCATTGGCTATTTTTCCTAATGCTCTTCTTCCCCTCTCCTCACCCCGACAGGCCCCAGTGTGTGTTGTCCCCACCCCATGTGTCCATACGTTCTCATTGTTCAGCTCCCACTTATAAGTGAGAATACACAGTGTTTGGTTTTCTGTTCCTGTGTTAGTTTGCTGAGGATAATGACCTCCAACTTCATCCATGTCCCTGCAAAGGACATGATCTCATTCCTTTTTATGGATGAATAGTATTCCATGATGTATATGTACCACATTTTTTTTTATCCTGTCTATCGTTGGTGGGCATTTGGGTTGATTCCATGTCTTTGCTATTGTGAATAGTGCTGCAGTGAACATATGTGTGCATGTATCTTTGTAATGGAATAATTTATATCATGTTCTTTTTCACTTCTCTTCCTTTAAGCTGTGTTCTGCCTGAAAGGCTCTCCTCCACTCTTCCACCAATTCCATGCCTGGCTCAGTCCTAAATCTTTTAGAGCTCGCTGTTTCTTTCTGCAAGAAAGCTTTACTGTGTGCTGGTGACCCTCTTCCTCTTCTGCTTAGGCCCCCATGTTGCAAGTGCCTTTGCTGTCTTCCCACACCTCCAGCACCATTGCCATTATTGGACCTAACAGAGTGTACTGAAAATGTGTTTATGTGTCTGTACTGCTCAACAGCCTGAGACCACCTGTGCCTTATTCATCACGTTCTCCTCTTGGTTTAGCCCAGTGCCTGATCCTGGACTGATGCTTGTTAGAAACCATCATCTCCCTGCCAGCGCTCCCTAGTCTCTCTAGATCCATGCAACCATGTTGTGTTCCATGGTTTCTAGGGCACATTAATCATAGTGCCCACACATTTTATGTCTTTTCAACTTGTCTCCTCATCTACATTGTGAGATCTTTGAAATTCTAATAATTCCAATTCTAATTGAACAATTCCAACTCGCTCATCCTGCTATCTTCAGAGCCTTATATAAGACCTGGCATAGAGTGGTCTTATATAAGACCTGGCAATTAGAAAATGCAAATTGAGCCAGGCACAATGGCTCACACTTGTAATCCTAGTGCTTTGAGAGGCCGAGGCAGGCGGATAGCTTGAGCCTGGGCAGTTCGAGACCAGGCTGGGCAACATGGCAAAGCCCTGTCTCTACAAAAAATACAAAAATTAGCTAGGCATGGTGGAGCATGCCTGTAGTCCCAGCTACTTGGGAGTCTGAGGTGAGAGGATTGCTTGAACCCAGTAGGCAGAGATTGCAATGACCTGAGATCGTGCCACTGCACTCCATACTGGGTGACAGGAAGAGACCCTGAAAAAAAAAAAAAAGAGGAAAGAAAGAAAAGAAAGAAAAGAAAAGAAAAGAAAGAAAATGCAAATTGGAATGAATAAATTATTTTGAAAGCTTATTCCTTAAAGACTAGCCTTTTTAAGGCCTTATTTTGATAATAATCATTACCAGTTCTCCAGTTTAGGGAAGTTAAACCACATTCTTGTTTATATGAATCCGGCAATAGTTAATTGATAAAGATACTATATTATCTTTATATATATTATATGTGGACATCTCTATGTACATTAGAAGTTCATTGAAATAAAAAACCATATTATTTTTTCTGTGAAAACAAAGTATAGCTTTTAGATTGAATGCTAAAATTCTGTTCATCGGTCTGTAAACGATCCCTGTTTAAATGCTGTCTGGAGGCAGCACTTAACGTTATGAAAGGAACTTCAGATATGCTTTCAAAGATTAACTTCCAACTCAATGATCCATTGTGAGGTCTTATTGCTCCACATAAAAATAGACTCTACCTTATTGGGTCATTTGTTAAAATTATACCACTTAATTTGGTGCAATGCCATGCGTAGTTATTACTCAACCTCAGCCAGGCCTTCCATGAGTTCATCATTCCTCTCATTCACTCCTACTTAACTCCCTAGCTGATTCTTTACAACAGATAATCCGAACATTTTACACTCATTGCAAATTCATAACTGCAGTTCGGTGCTTGCATGCTCAGCTGACTTTGCCTCCTACTTCATGATACAATCAACGGCAGCTAATGTGGATTTCTGCCCTTTGTAAACCTCTCTGACTTCACATATTATTTTTGCTCACCCTCTCTTCTCTCTTCTTCTCTTTCTTCCCCCACCATGCTACCATTCCATCTTCTTCTTTCCTGACAACTTTCTAGAAAACATTGTATTTTAACACCATATATAATTCCCAAACTCCCCTCTCATTGGAAAGGTCACTTACAGCCATTTTGTTAAAATCAACTGTGGTCCGTCCTTATTTTCATACAACCCAGCTTGCCATTGAATAGCTTTGGCATCAAATATGGCTTGGAGGCTTTTAGTCTTTATCACCATGATTTCTGCTACCACTCCCCACCCGGCTCAAGTTATACTCAACACAATGCAATCTAGATAAAAATGGTATTCTTCTAAAAATACAGTGAAAAGGCTAATCTGTCAACTAGCTTCCCTTCTTATTGCTAAGCACCTGGTACATGAAATTCTGTAGGCATTAGAACTGCAGTATTTGATATTGAAGGATATCTACTTCTGGAAAATCTTTCTTGCCCCCAAGATGAAGCTCTCTTCTATTTGTCTTCCTGTGCGCTCTCCTTATATGGCTTTTTTGTCTCTGTTGGTCCCCATATTTAGGCTTTCTCTTAGGATCTAGCTGGGCTCTTTGCTCTCCTGGGGTAATTTCATTCATTCCTTTGGCTCCAATGATCACTTTTCTCCTAATCCCTCCTACATTGTCAGCTCGAAATTTAAACTCACTTTCTTTTAAATTAACCCCTAAATTCACACAGGAGATTATGTAACTATAGGTGTTCTTTAAAAACATACATGACTTATGTGAGTATCTATAAAAGAAAAGAAAATACATTTTATGTAGCAGTGCTCTTCATGAATTTAATCTGGTTCTCATTTTTATTCAAGAGCCATTGAGTTTGTATCCAAATATTCTCAAAATCTTCTGCAAACATCTGGATTTTTTTCCTTCAGGAATCCCTAACACAAAATAAAGAAATACACTTAAAATGTGTGGGCTATGTATCCAACTGATGTCCTATTTAATCCAGAACATGGTAAATGTTGTTTATCTTGCACCATGATCCACATGAATTAGAACTGAAGATAATAGAACTTCTGATATCTTAAAGAAAGAAACCATTATTTTGATAACAATCAAAAAACTTTCCTTAATCTCTAAACAGGGAGCAAATTTCACTGTGATAATCTTGTTTTGAGATTGCTGATTAACTGATTTGTGGGAAATTAATCAGCTTATTTTATCTTTTATACAGAGAAGCAAGCTTATTGCTCATGTCTGGGTGAAGAGAGTGCCTAACAATATTAACATCAATGACTACTACTATGATGATTTTTAGGTGCTAAATGATGGCACTATACTGGGATCTTTAAATATTTTCTTATTTAATTCTCACACTAATCCAAAGAAGTAGACTCTATTATTATCCCTAATTCCTAAATAAGAAAACTGAGATTAGAGGATCACCAGTAACTTGCTAAAAGTTATCCAGCTAGTAAGTGGCAAAGGCAGAATTTGAATTCAGATCTGACTAATTTCAAAAACTGATGTTCTTATCTAGTTATGGGATAAAGAACATAGAATTATGTATCTAAGAAGGCTCTCATTTCAGCTCTGCCATTATTTACTGTGTTACTCTGAGCAAATTACATAAACTCAATAGGCCTTAATGTGTATACACACATAGACTGAACTAAGGCCCCTTTATTGTTCTAAGTATTTTCAACTTCTTATTTGTCTCAGTTTTTATTCTTCAGATCTGTAGAAATACATTAGAACTTCAGGCCAGTGTCAATTCTGGGTGATTTCAAAGAAATCACAAAGATTTCTTTACAAAGAAAAGCTGATTCTATACCTTGTACATACAATGTGATAAGCCTTGGATATACAATGGTGAGCAAAAGTAGGTATGAACTTATATATATAATATATATATCAAGATCATATGTATGGAATATATATATTATATATATGAAGACAGGGGTGTGTGTGTGGGTGTGTGCATATATATATGTGTGTGTGTGTGTGTGTGTGTGTGTGTATACACACACCTGCTTCTCTATGTTAAAAAGTCAAATCCTGGGCTGGGACCCTGTACTTGTTGGTCTAGTAATAGCCTAACCATTAACTGCAACCACCTTCCTAGATTATGTGTTTAGGAGTTTCCTTACATTTCAGCATTAGGTTTCTGAACATATCTTCAAAATAAGCAAGCAAAACTAAGACTGTGGTACTAGAATCTTGTCTGGGTCATGCCCTCTTGAAAGTTACACTGACCAAATTCTTTCCCATTTAATGAGGAAGAATAATTTTCCTCCTTCCTGCCTTACCATCTTCATTTAATGATAATTCCTTGGGCAGCTTTGTAATGATGTATTCTCTATTCAAATGATTAAAAACTATTAAAGTCTTGAAAATATGATATATGATGAGTTCATTTCTACCAAATATATTTAAGCATGTTGAAGAAAAGTAGTTCTATATATTGTTTTCATTTATCTTTCCTCCAAAAAATGCTTATCTTAAAAATTATTTATAATGAATATGAAAATCATCTAAGTTTTCTAGATAAAATGTCTATACTCTTTAATTTTAGTACCTATAGAGGAAAGAAGCATGAAATATTCCTTTTTAAGGAAAAATATAAACTTTAAAATTATTATTTTAGAAAATATAAAATTATTAAACTGATCACACTCAAACTAAGATTGAGAGCAACGCAGAATAGCTTTTGTAACATTTTTTTTAACCCATTAGAAAGCTAAACAATAAAAAAGCTAAATAGTGGGATGAATAATTTCAAGAAGACAATCCCATGGCTGCTTTTATTCCCTGGGGGTAATGGTAATAAGGAAAAGGAGAAATCATCCCAAATTTACAAAGTTTTACTAACAGTGTATGGGCTTGGCATGAGAGAGAATATTGAAGAGATCCAGCCACAGAGATTGTCAGCACCCAGTGAGCCCTCTGAGGTATGTGAAACCGCCCACTAAGTGCAAGGCAACAGCCCACCTAAGACAAAGGGCAGAGCAGGAGAGCAGAGAGAGCTTCCTACCTTGAGGAGCCTTAGGAGCTCTGCATCTCTGCAGGGCTGAAGGCTGTGATGGGACAGCCAATTTCCGCCTCTCTGCCATCTTTGCCAATTACATTGCAGAAGCCTGCTGAAGGATGGGCAGGGCCACAGGAGTGAGGAACTTTTCAAAGTCGGAAAGCTTTTCTTTGATGGGTGGCAACTTCATCCCAGTTCTGATTTTTCCACCTTTATCTAAACACTGCTTTGAACCATACATACACGTGTGATTTATTGAACTTTGAGGGTTAGGGCTTCAACATACCAACTGGGGGTTGGGGAAGACACAATTCAGTCCATAGGAGTTGGGGTTGCCATCCTCAGTTTCTCTCTTTCCTGAGACTCCCCTTTACTTTTGCAATGGCCATGAGTGCCCTTAGTCCATCCTCTGGTAACCTAGACAGTAAAATGCTGAGTTTTGCACAGGGGTTCCACCTTCCTCGAGTCGTGCTTCAACTGCAGTCCGCACTTCAGCAAAAACAGCAAAAGCAGGGAAATGACACTGCAACAAATGTTTATTCTCTCTAAAATCTTTATGACCTTTTTCTTTTTTTAAAACTTTCCACAGCCTTTAGAAGGTTGTTTTAGTTATTGTTCTTGTTTTGTTTGCTATTGCATACAGAGTTGATAATTTTCATTGCCACTGATTAATATGGCTATCGTTTTGTTAATACCACACTTTCTCTATTTCTCTAGTTCAGGGGTTCTTAATCAAGGGTAATTTTGCCCCACAGAAGATGTTTTGTAATGCCTGGAGTCACTTTGATTGTGGCAACTTGGTGGGGAGGTGCTACGGGCATCTAGTGGTCAAATATGCTGCTAAACATTCTACATAGCACAGAACAGCATCTCACCCTCACCCATGACAAATACTGCTGAAAGCAATTAAAGAGGATCAGAATAAATGAAGATAGATACTATGTTCTTTGGAAGACACAACATTGTTAAGCTGTCTGCTGTCCTCAAATTGATGTGTAGATTCCACAGAATTCAAAGTCACAGCAATCTCTCTTGAAAAAAAAAAAGACAAGCTGATTTAAAAATGTACATGAAAATGAAAGGATCAAGAAGAATAAAACAACTTGTATGATAAGAACAAAGTTGGAGGGTTCATATTACCTGATTTCAAGATGTACTATAATGCTATGGTGTGGTATTGCCATAAATGTAGGCTAATAGATCAGTGGAAGTGAATAGGGAGTCCAGAAATAAACCCAGCTATGCACAATTAATTTTGAAAATGGAGATAAAAATTCAATAGGGAGAGCAAGGTATTCAAACATATCCTATTGCCACAACCGCACATGGAAAAAATAAACAGTGTCCCAATCTCATTCCCATGCATACAAATAATTCTTGGTTGAATCACAAAGTTCTTAAAAGAAATATAGTTTTACTAAACATTGCCAAACTGCTGAACAATGTAATTTTACTAATTTACACTCTCGCCAGAAGGTATGAAATTCTATTTCCCCACATCCTCGAGAATACGTTGTTATTGTCAGGTTTTAGATGCTTGTCAGTTCTTTCACTTTCTGAAAATAAAATCTTCAGGGACCCCAATACTCAGATCTATGTTGACTTTCTCAGGTGTCTGTACTCTGAGAAAAGGGGATTATCCAAGCATTTCAAAGATTAATGGACACAAGGTCTCAGCCGATATTAATATCCAGAGACCTGAAGCATCATCATGTCTCTCCTGTTAAGAGCAGGACTTAACAAGGACTGGTTAATTCATGGCAGGTATAAATCTTCATGACCTTGAATTTGGCAATGGATTCTTAGGTATTATGCAAAAATCCCAAACACAAACAACAACAAAAGTAGGTAATTTGGACTTCATCAAAATTAAAAAGTTTTATTCTTCAAAGGACATCATCAAGAAAGGGGAAAGTTAAGCTATAGAAATGGGGAAAAATATTTGCAAATTATGTATCTGATAAGGGTCTACTATCCAGAAGATATAAAGGACTCTTACAATTCAACAACAAAAATCACAAACAGTCCAATTTAAAAAATGGGCAAGGGCTTGAATAGGCATTTCTCCAGTAAAGACATACAAATAGCCAAGAAGCACAGGAAAAGATACTCAGCATCATCAGTCATTAGGAAAATGTGAATCAAAACCACAATGAAATAGTATTTCATGCCCACTAGAACGGCTAGAATCAAAAAATTGGAAAATGAGTGTTGGCAATGATGTGCAGGATTGGAACCATTGTATATTTTTGGTAGGAATGTAAAATGGCCCAGCTTCTGTGGAACACAGTTTGGCAATTCACAAAAAGTTTAAACAAAGAAATACCACATGACCCAGTAATTCCACCCATAGGCATATACACAATAATTCAAAACAAGCATTTAAACAAATACCTGCTTAAATACACACACGTTCGTAGCAGCACTGTTTACAATAGCCAAAAAGTAAAACAGCCCAAATGTCTATCAATAGATTAAATGATAAACAAATTGTAGTATATACACAGTGAAATATTCTTCAGAAGTAATGAAATAATGATCCATGCTACAATGTGGATGAACCTTGACACTTTGGGAGGTCAAAGTTGGAGGATGGCTTGAGACCAGGAGTTCTAGGCCAGCCTGGGCAACATAGCAAAACATTTTTTTCTACAAAAATCAACATTATAAAAAAATTGGTGCACCTGTACACCTTGCTACTCAGGAGGCTGAAGCAGGAGGATCATGTGAGCCCAGGAGTTATAGGTTACAGTAAGCTACAGCCATGCCATTGCACTCTAGTCTGGGTGGCAGAGCAAGAACATGTCTCAAAAAAAAAAAAAAAAATTGCCAAATCTGTTTTGTGAATTTTGCCTCAATATTTTTTAATGAAATAAAATGGAGAAAAATAATCTCTACTTAATATGTCACTGAATATGGCTCTCCAGAGTTGTAAGGTGGCTTTCTGCAATTGAAGCAATATCTGAAGTGACTAAGAGCTGATGGGTGCTCATTCATTGCACACTCAGCAGACAAGCCCTTCCTTGAAACAAAATCTGAACAGCACATCTCTGTGTCTACCACTTAAGATTACTCATATTTTTCTGTCTTCTTATGTTCCTTTTTTTCCCAAGATTTTTCCCCTTTACCTAAATTCTCAAATTATTAATATAAAATTGTTCATAATATTATCTTTTTATTTTCTGAAAAATATCTAGAATTCTCTCATAACTTCCTGATGTTGTTTGTATGTGGTGGGGGAGAGGGGGCAGGAGGTGAGTGTGTGACCTTTCTTTTATTTTCTAGAATTTCATCACAATAAGTTTAACAACTTTATTTTTCAAAGGATCCATTGATGGCTTTGTGGAGCCCATCATATTTTTTCCACTAATTCTATTCTTAAAGTTATTACATTCTTTCTTCTAATTTCTCTGGTTTTAATTAACTTATTCTTCTAAATTCTTGAAATGCATGCTTACTATTGACTACTGAGCTGTTTATTTACTTATTTTGTCTAATCTATGTATTTAGGTCTATATGTTTTTCTCTCAGCAAAGTTTTAGGTTTATCCAACAAATGTTGCTATAGTGTATGTCAGTTATAATTAAATTAAAATAGTTTCTAACTTCTACTGTGATTTCTTCTCTGCTCCATGGGTTATTTAGAAATTTCTAAATATGGTTTCTAAGCTCATAGGTTTTTTAACTTACCTTTTTGATATTGATTTCGAGCTAAATTTCAATATGATTGGAACATACTATGTATGATTTAAATATTTTGAAATTGAGACTTACTTTATATCTCAGCAGATGTTCAATTTTTATGTTTCATGAGTACTTGAATAAAATATATGCTCTAGTATTTGGTTGTAGTGATCTACATATGTCAGGTAAATCAAGATTATTAATTATGTGCTTCAATTTTTTTTTGAAATTTTAGTTTTTGTCTGCTTCTTTTTATCACTTACTGAGAGTGGTATATAAAACTCTATCAGGAGTGAATATTTGTCTATTTCTCCTTGTAGTATTGTCATATTTGTTTCATACATTTTGAGGTCATATTATTAGACAAATTCAAATTTAGAATTTCTGTATGTGATAGATGAATTAAACTGTCACTGTAAAGGATATTTTGTATTGTAGTTTTGTTCTGTGCTCTGTCCCATATTAATACAGATACATCAGATTTCTTGTGACAAATAATTGCACGGTAATTTTTCCATCGTTTTACTTTCCACCTCCCAGTATTTTCATATTTTAGTTTTGTCATTTTTAAGCATCATGTAGTGGGACTTTTCAGTCTGATAATCTGTCTTATAATTAGAGAATTTAGTTCGCTTACATTAATGTAATTTCAGATTTATTTGCTTATATATATGTACTTTATTCTTTGCTTTCCATCAGTCTTATGTTTTTTTAAAAAGATTTCTGTCTTATTGTTACTTGATTATTTTAATTATTTCATTTTCCCTGTACATTATCCTAGAAATTGTATACTATTTTCCTTTCAATGGTTACATTCAAGATTCAAACATGCATCCTTGAATTATCAAAATATAATTTAATTGGTATTTGTATCTTCATTTGATCATTTCATCTAACTTTATATACTTCCTGATTTAGTATATTTTAAAATGTAATTCAATATTCTATCTCACTCCCTCTCTTTTTCCTTCTTTCTATATATGTATTATATGTATATATTATATTTATATGTGTATATATTTATATAATAGCTATACAGAGATAAAATTCACATACCACGAAAATCACCCATTTAAGGTATATAATTCAATAGTTTTTAGTATATTAACAGTTATGCAACCAACACTGTAATCAATTTTAGAACATTTATCACTCCAAAAAGGAAACCCTATAGCCATTATCAGTCACTCCTCATTTTTCCCCAAACCTTTCTCCCTAGAAAACCATCAATCTACTTTGAGCTTATGTAGCTTTACCTATTCTGGATACTGCTCATAAAGGAGTTGACAATATGTGGTCTTTTGTGACAAGTTTCTTTCACTTAGCGTAGTTTTCAAGGTTCTTTCAATCTATATCATGCATTAGGACTTAATTCATTTTTTCTGACTGAATAATACCATAGTATGTACTTATTACATTTTGTTTATCTGATCATTCATTGATGGGTCATGAATGACCCTCAGTTTGTTTCCATGTTTTCAGCTATTATGAATATGCTGCAGTGAACATTTGTGTATAAGTTTTTGTGTGGACATATATATGTAATTCTCTTGAGTACGTGCCTAGGAGTGGAATTGCCGGGATATATGATAATTCTATGTTTAACTTTAAGACCTACCCAACTATTTTCCACAGAAGTCAAGTCATTTTACATTCCCACAAGGAATATACAAGGGTTCCAGTTTCTGAATGTTCTTGTCAACCCCTGTATTCTGTTTTTTGTTGTTGTTGTTTGTTTGTTTTTTTAATTCTAGCCACCTTAGTGGATATGAAGTGATCTTTTTTTGTGGTTTTGATTTGCATTTCTTCAATGACTAATTATGTTGAATATTTTTTCATGTGCTTTTTAGCCATTTATATATATTCATTGGGGAAATATCTACATAGGTTCTTTTGCCATTTTTCAGTTGGGCTATTTATCTTTTTGTTGTTGAGTTATAAGAATTCTTATATATTTTGGATACTAGATTATTTTCAGATATATAATTTGCAAATATTTTCACCATTCTGTGGGTGTTCTTTTTTCATTCTTGATGATATCCTTTGAAGGTTTTAATTTTTATTAAACCCACTTTACTTACATTTTCTTTTGTCACTTATGATTTTGCTGTTATAGCTAAGAAGGCTTTGTTCTGCAAAAGGTCAGGAAGATTTATGCCTACATTGTCTTCTAAGAGTTTAATAGTTTCAGCTGTTACATTTAGGTCTATGATCAATTTTGAGTTGATTTTTATACATGATGTAAAGAGGGGTTTTGACTTCATTTTGTTGTTGTTCTGCATAATCACTTGTCCCAGCACCACTTGTTGCAAAGACCATTCTTTACCCATTGAAATTTTTGGCAGGCTTGTTAAAAATCAATTTAATGTAAATGTGAGAGATTATTCCTAAACTCTTGATTCTATGTCAATGATCTATATGTCTGTACTTATACTAGTACCATGTAGTCTTGATTACTGTAACTTTGCTATAAGTTTTGTAAATGGGAAGTGTGAGTCCTCCAACTTTGTTCATCTTTTTTCAAGATTGTTTTAACTATTCTCGGTCTTTGAAATTTCCATATGAATTTCAGAATTAGCTTGCTAATTTCTGCAAAGAAGCCAGCTCTGATTTTGATAACGATTGCATTGAATCTGCAGATCACTTTGAAGAGTATTGCCATTTTAAAACAGTATTATAACAATATCAGAACAATATTAAGTCTTCTCATCCATTAACAAGAGAAATCTTTTATTTATTTAGATCTACTTTATCTCAGCGATGCTTTGTACTTTTTTAGAGTCTAACTTTTGCACTGCCTTAAATAATTTTATTTCTAGGTATTTTATTCTTTGGGATGGCATTGAAAGTAGAATTTTGTTCTTAATGTCATTTTCAGATTTTTCATTGATTGTGTATAAAACTTCATTTGATATTTGTATATCATCTTGTGTCCTGCAACTCTGATGGACTTACTTATTAGTGATAAGCTTTTTTAGTGAATTCCTTGGAATTTTCTATATACAAGATCACGTCATCTGTAAATATAGTTTTACTTCTTTCTTTCCAATTTGGGTTCCTTTTTGTTTCTTTTTTTGACTGTTGCCCTGGCTAGAGCCTGTAGTGCACTATAGAACAGAAGTGTTGAGAGGAGATATCCTTACCTTGTTTCTGGTCTTAGAAAACAAAGGTCACTTTGACTATTGTTATTATATGTTTGCTAGTAATTTGTTGAGGATTTTGCATCTATGTGATATTGGTCTATAGTTTTATTTTTTTGTGTGTGATATCGTTATCTGGTTTTGGTATCAGGATAATACTGGCCTCACAGTATAAGTTTTGAAGTGTTCTTCCTTTTCTATTTTTTTGGAAGAGTTTTTTGGAAGAGTTTCATTTTGTTTTGTTAATTTGGTAGAATTCAGATTCACCAGTGTAACCATCTCATTCTGGTCTTTGTAGTTTTTAAATTCCTAATTCAATTTCTATACTTGCTATAGGTCCATTCAGATTTTTTGCTTCTTTTATTGTCAATTTTGTACCTTGAGTCTTCCCAGGAATTAATCTATTTTATCTAAGTTATCTAATTCATTGGCATACAGATTTTAATTTTATTCCTTATAATCTATTTATTTGTGTTAATTTGGTTGTAATGTCCCATTTTTCACTTTTGATTTTATTAAAGTATTCTTTCTTTTTTTCTTGCTCATAACCACCTAATAGTGTGACAATTCTGTTGACTTCTCAAAGAATCAACTTTTAATTTCATTGATTTTTCTCTATTGTTTTTCAATTTTATATTTTTATCAACTTGTACTCTAATCTTTGTTATTTCTTTCCTTCTGCTTGCTTTTATTCCAGTGTTTTAAGGTAGAAAACCGGATTATTGATGTAACATGTTTCTTCTTGAATATTGACATTTACAGACACATTTTCCTCTAAGCACTACTTTAGCTGCACCCCATAATTATTGGTACAGTGTGTCTCCGTTTTCACTTCTCAAGTATTTTCTACTTTCCTTTTCATTTCTTCTTTCACTTACTGGTTATTTAGAAGTGCACTGTTTAATTTCTTCATATATTTGAATTTCCAAAATTTCTGTTATTCATTTATAATTTTATTCCATTGAGGGCAATCTTTGTTTGATTTCAGTCATTTTACATTTATTGAGGTTTAGTGGCTTATCACCCAAATTCTATTGTAATTAAGAGCTCCCTCTGTTTTGACTATCTTGACATCCTATTTTTTAAAAAAGACCATTACTTTGGTGAGGGCTTAGGAGCTCTCTGTTCTTATGCTGTTGCTTCACCTGGGTAAAATGTCTGAGTCCTGCTCTGGAGCTGGAGGCAGGGACAATGGCCCACTTCTCTTGCAGTGACACTTCTGCTTTATAATCAGGACACTTTGTGGGGGAGGTAGCCTCTGGTGTCTTATCTTAACTCTCCAGATGTGGACCTCTGACCTATGAGCAAGGTGGGGAGGAAGCATGGATGAGGACAGGGTAACTGGGGTCACAACATTCTTGGCCTGAGTGAGGTTCTTGGGGTAGAGCCACCACTCTATGAGTTGGAACTGGATAGAGAAAGCAAATCTGCAACATAGAACTAAGGCAGATGAGAAATGCTTGCCGACTGCCTCTGCCCAAAAGATACCATAGCTTGGGACTGAGGGACATGGGAACTCTGTTTTCTTGGTCACACCCATCCAGAGTGGACGTTCTGTCACACTGAGATGTCAGAGGATAGAGAGAGGTGTAGGCTGTGGCTCAAGAGCCATAGACTCCTACTGTTCTTACCAAGATTTAGTAGAAAATTGATGTATGTTTTTGGAATAAATTTCAGAGGCTTTTATGAATGGAGCTTTTAAAATATAATTTTCATGAATTACGGTTGTTTCCCTGGAAAGCAAGTCTATGGAGTTTCTCATGCCACTATTCTGGAAATGGATCTCTCACTGTATATTGAAACACAGTGTCATTGTTATTATATTTTAATACTGCCAATATTCATTTAGACATACCGTTTTTCTCCCAGCTTCTATCAAGTATCAGTTTATTTCTCTAAACACTCTTTTATATTTACTTTAGTGCAAGTCTTCTGATGACAAATATTCTGTTTTTTCTTTGTCTTAAATGTTTTTATTTCATTGTTTTTTGTAGGATATTTTAAAACTAGATAGCAAAGCATTGTTAGCATTATTGTTTTCAACATTTTGACAGTATCTTCATTGTCTTCTGGATTTCACATTTTTTTTTTTTGAGATACCAGCTGTCAGTCTAATTTTACTTTTTTCTTGCAAGTTAATGCTACATTTGGCCTTAACCATGAACATCCAAATTTCATTATTATTTTCTGCCTTTCTCATTTATGATTTATCTCCATGAGTTTACAATTCAAAAAAAATTACATGATTTACTAGCCATATTTTTAAATGTAAAAGCAACAGCAGTATTTGTAAAAGATACAAAGAACTAAAAGCTGTGGAAGGAAGGAGAATGTCCCTCATAATATGCTCAAATTAGAATAAATGGAGAGAGTTTAATAAAATGAAAATATATTGCTAGGGTGTAAGGACACCATGAGGGATATAGTTGCAGTACCACCAGGGCTGGTAACTGCAGAGTTGTTACTACCCTAGAAAGGAAGTGGTCACAGGAACCTTAGAGGATTGAGTTCTATCCAGATAGCTACCTTGAGAAGAACACAGCTTTCCCTGTGAAAGGACACAGCTAGCTTGAAGGCATTCCACAGGGAGAAAGACTGAGAATAAATATAATCTAATCTTACAATTTTGAAGATCATTTGTCATTCTCTTTATTTTCCTTTAGGTAATTTTGTTTTGTGTTTATGTTTTTGAGTGTTCTCATAAGTGTGATTTTCTTTGTTTTGATGCTGCTTGGAGTTTACAGGGTTTTGTGAATCTTAAACTTGATGTCATCAGTTTTAGAAAGTTATTTGTTCACATATTCCTTATGTCTCCTCTATTACTTTTTCTTCTGGAATTCAAATTCTTATATTTTATACCCTATTAATATATCCCCTATACTCCTTACTTTGTTTTGTATATTTTCCATTCTTTTGTTTCTCCCGCATTCTAGATATTTTAACCAACTTTCTCTTTACTTATTCTGTTTATCTGTGTGTAAACTGTTGTTAAGCCTGCCATCTCCTTAACCTATTGAGAGCTAAGTTATTGTACCTTTTAGTTCTAGAATTTTCATTAGTTTCTTTATGATTTTCAGTTCTTTGCCAAGTTCTCAAATAGTCTGTGTCTTTTAAAGTATGTGTTTGGCTGGACGCAGTGGCTCAAGCCTGTAATGCTAGCGCTTTGGGAGGCCAAGGCAGGTGGATCATCTTAGGTCAGGAGTTCGAGACCAGCCTGGCCAACGTGGTGAAACCCCGTCTCTACTAGAAATATGAAACTTAGCCAGGCATGGTGGCGGATGCCTGTAATCCCAACTTTGGGAGGCTGAGGGAGGAGAATTGCTTGAACCCAGGAGGCAGAGGTCACAGTGAGCCGAGATCACGCCACCGCACTCAGCCTGGGTGTCAGAGCAAGGCTCTGTCTCAAAAAATAAATAAATAAATAAATAATAAAGTATGTGTTTGATAACTCCATATTTTGGATCCTCTGTATTTTTAATTCTATTATCTTCCATTATCTATTATTTCTCATATTTTTACCGCATTGTCTTGTCTCCTTTTTTTCTGGTATGGGACTGTATATGTAAAGTTGTTACAAAAAAATTGAAGCCTAGGATAATGTCATGTTAATCTAGAGAAGGTTTGCCTTTGCTTCTGGTAGACAGTCTGGGGCACTAGCAGTCACAGATCATTTTGATCAAATTTTAGGGACTGAGACTTTTTGAAGCTGGGCTTTAGTAGGTTTCACAGCTGATTTCTTTCTGGTTCACACTTACAACTAAGATATTGAGTCTATCAGAATCTCTGTCTAAAGTTGTACATTTTATTAGAGTTCCTCATCTTTGGCAGACATTGAAGAGCAATCTTTCTTCTCTTAGCTCAGAAGACTTTAAAATGTCTACTCAACGTCTCACTCTCCCAAATGCTTCTTCTGGTTTAGCAGATGCTTCTTGCAGAAAAGCTATCCCCAGATGTCTGGCTTATTTACCTGGGTTTTCTTCCTCCAAAGGGTTTAAGACCTGTAATTTCTCATGCTTTGCTAGCTCTGTTATGTATTCAAGCAGATGATTTTTATATCTTGTCCATCTTTTTTTGTTATGATTTTATTATTATTTTTTAATTTCCAACTTTTATTTTAAGTTCAGTGAAGAGGGAGAGGATCAGGAAGAAGAGCTAGTTGTCCTTCTTTTCTTGTGTGCTCAGCAGGGGGATTATTCTACAACCCATTGTCAGCCATTCCTCAAAACAGAAACTCTGCAATCTGCCTTCCAAACTCAACATAAGCAATATTTTTAACCTAAAAATAAACTAACAAAAAAAGTTAGTGGCTTCATGATACATTTAAAATAAAATCCAACTACCTAATTATTAGTATTTCTACAAGGTCCCACAAAAGCTGGACACAGCTTGTTTATTCAAACTTACCTTAACTAATGTCCCCTGAACTTACTGACTCCTATAAGATCAGCCTTTCTGTTCCTCATACACACCAAAGAACCTCCTGTCTCTCAGACTTTGCATTTTTGTTCATCTTGGAACACTACTACCAGAGCTTTCCAAATGATTTATTCCTACACAACCTTATCTTTGCTCAAATAGTTCCTCCTCAAAACATCCTAGCCTGCCCACCCAACTTAAGAGACTTCTCCACTCCCCACTCTCTGTTATGAACAACACCATCTTTACTTGTTATACTGCATTTACTACAATCTGTACTTATCTTTACTTTTATTAGATTTTTATTTTAACATAGACAGAACTTTGTGAGTCACTGTTGTGTGTTTAACACTAAGAATAACGGCTGGTACATAGTAACTACTCATTAAATATTTATTTAAATAAATGAACTATTGCCCATGACTATAAGCAAATTCATTATCTTCTTTGACCCTCTTTTCACCTTTTATTTTAAGTGGTGGTGATCATCATCATAATATCTGGCATAACTAGTTGATAAAATATTAAACGTGAAAATATCTGATGCCTACAAGGCAGTCAATAAACTGATTTTTTGCTTCCCTCCTTTTTACTCTTTCCTTTTTCCGGGTAGTTACTGAATGATAAAATAAACACCATTTTATTTTTTGGCATAATCTATTATTCCCCTGAGGAGTCTAGTAAGGTGTCATTACTAATGCAACACATTTATAGAATGGGGCTGGAGGCTTTCAAATTTCCCTGGAAAAATAAGTGATTTTTTCTTTTTGGTGATTTCTGTGTGGTCTTGATAAAAACCTCCTTGCTCCTTGAAAATAAATGTTTGCATAAGTAAAAAAAAAAAAAAAAAGAAAGAAAGAAAATGAATATTTATCTGATTTGAGTTTGGCATTAATTTGTGTAGAGCAACTGTATTGGAAATATAGCAAAATGCTTGCCTTTGCTGTGAATCCATTACTGTCACCTCCTGTTCCCCAGTCACTATCTAATTAAGGCATTGCCCAGATTTTATGTCCTAGAAGTGAGGTGGACAGAATTTATTTACTGCAGACCCCTGGCTACATGATGGTTAAATGATCTGAATACATGTGGCTACTTACTAAATATGATTTGACTATTATTTATTAGTGTTGAGACATTTTGGAACTTCAGTTCCCATGTATCCCATTATTTCTGTTCTTAGGTTTTTAATGAACAAGCATTTCACCAAGTAGATCTCATTAGCACAGACATACCAGGATTGGTAGATTTGTTCTATACTTCATTCCATGGGGGAGCAGTATGACCGCATTCTGCAGAGGTTGGCAGGGCTCTGGTCTGCTGCCATTGAGTTATAGAATATAAGATAATGCATGCATAATAGATTAGCAATTTGAAACATTTCCTTCTTGATTTTATATATCCATAATACGTTAAACCTTGTTCCAGGAGAAGTCTTACTATTAAGGAGGACTCAATTTATTCCATCAAATTATCTTCACTACCTGTATCTGGCATTAGGAACAAGAAATTCTTACTTATTAGGATCTCACACTAAAATTCTGTGCACTCTGTTTCACTCGTAGATGGCGGAGTGACTACAAATTTCTTGTGTTTAAATACTTTGTGACCCCATTAGACAGAGAGCACAGAATAAAAATATTCCGTGTGTCATAAACATAGTCATTATTTCTAGCACATACTGAAAATTACCAGTATCAACAAGGATATGAAAACCTTCAAATTAAACTCACAAGCTAAAACAGTAAATAACCACTCTTTTTACAAGAAATGTGAGGCTATGAGTCTATCAAATGTGAAACTGTAAGAACTGCATACACGACGAAGTTTAATATGTCTTGAAAATTTCCCTTCAGGTAGGCACGTTGCTTATAATGTGTTCACTAGAACCACATTATAATTAGAAATATTTGAAAACTCCAGCTCTTGATGGAGGATATATCTAATAGTACGAATTGATTTTGAACATTATTAATGAATTTATTCTGCTGAAGCAAATACTGCTTTTTGAGATGAAAGATATGATTTTTAAATTTCATTAGTTCTCTTAGAGACACACAAAATTGTCAAAACCAGATGCCTTTGAAAGTTCATAATCACATAACCTGAGTTATTAATTAGGTCTTCTTTTTTGAACAACTTTAGTTATTGTTTTGTGGACTACATTTCATTTTCTTAGCTGCTGTATTGGTTTGTATTTTCATCACAATTGAACAAATATTTATTTGTGAATGCTCTTGCTAGCAATGTATTTCACAAAAATTATCTTGTGCATTTAAAATGTTTGATGTTTCCAGTAAACCATAGTTATTAAATCCAAAATAGTGGCAGAACTGCTTATATTTATCTCTTTATCATTCTTTCATTTATTCTTTAGTGACTAATTCATTTATAACATTCGCTACCTCTTGAAGTTTTTATTTTTTATGTTTTATTTTTTATTTATTTATTTTGAGATAGAGTCTCACTCTGTCACCCAGGTGGAGTGCAGTGGCGTGATCTTGGCTTACTGCAACCTCCGCCTCCCAGGTTCAAGTGATTCTCCTGCCTTAGCCTCCTGAGTAGCTGGGACTACAGGCGAATGCCACCACGCCCGGCTAATTTTTGTATTTTTAGTAGAGACAGGGTTTCACCATATTGGTCAGGCTGGTCTTGAGCTTCTGACCTCGTGATCAGCCCACCTCGGCCTCCCAAAGTGCTGGGATTGCAGGCATGAGCCACCGCGCCCGGCCACCTCTGAGGTTTTTAATCACATAAAACATGTATATGGGTTTAGAATAGTACCAGCATGTAATCAAAGCTCAGTAAATATTAGTTATTATTATTTGTATTAATTTAATTATTCAAACAATTGTTAGAATCCATTACGGACAGGTAGATGCTATGTAAAAATGATAAGTAAGACACATAAGTATTCACACCTATGAAACATATTCCATGGATAACCAACTATACAAACGTAAGTGTGTGCTGTGTAAGATGCTTTCCTATCAACCATGCCAGCAAAACACATAAACATAAAATGTCAAGCCCTTTTCAAAAATATCTCTTGTTAGTAACATGTCTCCTTTTCTTAAAAACTAAGAATTCAGGGATTTAACAAAAGTTTTAGAGCTGTTTTCAATCATCATAGTCTCTATAATAGAAAGAACCCTATAGTGAGAGCTAGGAAAGTTAGTTCCAGCTGACAGCAAGTTGTCTGTATGACCTTGGGTAGGTCATTGAAACTTACTGGGTCGTGATATCTTCACTTGAAAAACTAAAAGCAAATATCCGGAAGATAAGGCCTAGGAATTTGCAGTTTAAGAAAGCTCCTTAGGTGCTTTTATTACTAAAACCTAGCCAGCCAGTGTTACAAGGACTGCTAGCAATTCTCCTAATTCTTTTACACTAACAAGAACTTGAAAAACCAGTGAATGAGTGGATGATAGGGTTCCGCTTTTTTGTGCAGTATATAAATGTTACATCTAGAAAGTCCCTAGTCTTAAGATGAGTGTTATTAATGCATTTTGTCAATTAGGCATTACTTTGGATTCAGAAAGGCATCAATTAAAATGACATCCATTTTGTGGCAATTAGACATGTCAGTTCTGCAGCTTAGTATGAATGACTTTACAATCTCATAATTTTAATATCAATCTCAAAACAATAGGAAGCTTTGGCCATGAGAGGAGGAAACACAATTTTGAACTACAGAGTACAGATGAGATTTTTAGAGGCATTGTGACAGCCAAGGGGTAGAGTCAAGTATCCAGGTACTTGGTAGGCAAAGAAGAAATTTTTGAAGTTGAGACCTGATGCCAGAAAGAAGATGGGAATGCAGAATCTGTTCATCTGCTCATTTATTCCACAAATAGTTACTGAATTCTGGCATTATGCTAGCCACAAGTTTGCACATGCAATTATAATATAGTCCTCAGTCTTACAGTGATTAGAGCTTACTGACCAGCAATTTCCACTTAAAAAATTTGGCCTAGATCATGATTAAACTGTTAAGCACCTTTAAAAATTATCTTACCAGGCCGGGCGTGGTGGCTCACGCCTGTAATCCCAGCACTTTGGGAGGCTGAGGAGGGCGGATAACGAGGTCAGGAGATCGAGACCATCCTGGCCAACACAGTAAAACCCTGTCTCCACTAAAAAAAAAAAAATACAAAAAATTAGCTGGGCGTGATGGTGGGCGCCTGTAGTCCCAGCTACTCGGGAGGCTGAGGCAGAATGGCCTGAACCCAGGAGGCGGAGCTTGCAGTGAGCCAAGATGGCGCCACTGCACTCCAGCTTGGCCGACAGAGCGAGACTCTTGTCTCAAAAAAAAAAAGAAAAAATTATCTTACCTTTGTAATTTGATAAGACTAATTTATTCCAAAGTTTAGTTTCAGCGATGGTATCCTTCATGACCTTTGCCAAATCACATATAATCTCCATGATTTACTTTATATATTTTTCTTTGCATCAACTTGCTATTTGTACCTAAAAACAATTGAGACAGCCAGGTGGGAGGCGGTCCCTGGAGAAACTCCAACCAGCCTCCCCACTGAGGTGGAGCCTTGGGAAGTTCATGCCCTTTGCAGTGGGGTGAAGCTTGGCCCCTCCTCTTCCTGTGCGGAACCTAGGATTCCAACCCTCTGGCAGGAAGTGCTGTAGCGGAGGGTTTCTCCCTTGGTTTTTTTTTCCCCTTTTTCACCCAATAAAACCCTGCTTTACTCACCCTTTAAACCATCTGTGAACCTAAATTTTCATGGTCGTGGGCCAGACAAGAACCCCGTCTTTAGCTGAAGTAAGGAAAAGTCCTGCAACACAATTATGTAAAATATAAAATTTAAATCAGTACCGTAAGTAAGAAATTAATACCGTTTGCCATGAATGTTTGGTAAATACGTAAAAATAAATACAATGAAAACCAAATAATACTGTTAAGTCATACTTAGATGCAGTTTCCTGATCAGTGGTCAATAATGGCTTTCATGTTTTTAAGAATGGGTACTAGCAATCATTAGAAAGGTGTTAAAGATATATTTTCAACAAATTGTTGCTTTCTCCTTAACCCTAAGTACCTGAAAACAACAAAAAAAATTATAAAGTTACTAATGCTTATTCAGTTATACATTATACATAATAGGGAGAACACTAGGTTTAACAAATACAAAAATTTCCTAACAGACTCTAAAAAATAAACATTGACATTAAAATGTAAACCCATATATAGGAATCCCCAAAATCTCGCTCTCGCCTGCCTGCCTGCTCTCTTGCTTACTTGCGCTTTCACTTGCCCCCTTCTCGAGGATCCAAGGTGTGCTCTGACCACAGCCTGCAGCTGGGATGGGAGACAGAGGAGGTGGCTCAGGGAAAATGAGGCTGCACTGCTGGTGGTAGGAAGATGTTGGGCAGGGATGAGCAGCAAGAGCAAACTATCGCTGAGGACCTGGTCATGACCAAGTATCAGATGGGTGGGTGACATCGCCAGCTGGGTACTTTGGTCCTTGGTGGAAGCATCCAGCTCAGGTGTGTGAGTACTGAGGCTGTGTGAGGAAGGTGATGCCATGATTATGGCAGAAACAGGGAAAATCTTCAAGAAAGTAAAGGAAATGAAGAAAAGTATTGCTTTTCCCACCAGCATTTTGGTAAATAACTGTGTGGGTCACTTCTCTCCTTTGAAGAGTGACAAAGACTGTATTCTCAAGGAAGGTAACCTGGTAAAAATTGACCTTGGTGTCCAAGTGGATGGCTTCATCGCTAATGTAACTCATACTTTTGTGGTGGATGTAGCTCAGGGGATCCAAATAACAAGGCAGAAAGCAGATGTTATTAAGGCAGCCCACCTTTGTGTTGAAGCTGCCCTATGCCTGGTCAAACCTGGAAACCATAACACACAAGTGACAGAAGCCTGGAACAAAGTTGGTCATTCATTTAACTGCATGCCAGTAGAAGATATGCTGTCACACCAATTGAAGCAACATGTCATTGATGGTGAGAAAACTGTTACCCAGAACCCTGCAGACCAGCAGAAGAAGGACCATGAAAAAGCTGAATTTGATGTTTTCATCAGCATAGGAGAGGGCAAGGCCAAGGATGCAGGACTACTATTTACAAAGGAGACCCCTCTAAATAATATGGACTACAAATGCAAACTTCACGTGCCTTCTTCAGCGAGGTGGAAAGGTGTTTTAATGCTTTGTTGTTTACTTTAAGAGCATTTGAAGATGAGAAGTAGGCTTGGATGGGTGTGGTGGAGTGCACCAAACATGGACTGCTGCAACTATTTAATGTTCTGTATGAAAAAAAGGGTGAATCTGTTGACCAGTTTAAATTTACAGTTCTGCTCATGCCCAGTGGCTCCATGCTGATAACCAGTGGTCCCTTTGAGCCTGACCTCTACAAGTCTGAGATAGAGGTCCAGGATCCAGAGCTAAAGACCCTCCTACAGAGTTCTTCAAGTTGAAAAACCCATAAAAAGAAAAAAAAAGAAGGCCTCCCAGAGAACACCACCAGTAGGGAAACATTAGAAGAAAAGGAAGCTGGGGACTGGGGTGGGGCCTTCTCCCCAGATTGCTGCTCCTGCCTCATCCCCTTCCCACTGTATCCCAGGCTCTGGGAAGTGCAGTTCTTCTACGCCTGGGACCACCAGCAGAGCAGGGGTCTCCTTGCCCCCATCCCAGTTCCCCATCCCACCCCCTTCCAGCAACAACCAGCTCCAGCTGACTCTGGTCTTGGGAGGTGAGCCTTTCCAACCATGGAAGACTACTTTAAATGAAAAAAAGAAACTGAATAATAAAATCAGGAGTCAAAAAACAAAAAAGAAAGAAAGAAACTCCCACAGATTCAACAACAAAAAAATGTCTTGGAACAACATAAAGACTTCTTGAAACTATTAAGGAATTGTAGCAAGGTTGTAGAATACAGGTAAATATACAAACATCAATCACTTTCCTATATATGAGCAAGGAACAAGTGGAATTTCAAATTAAAATATATCATCTACATTAACAACCAATACCATGAAACACTTAAGTATAAATCTAACAAAATATGTTCAAGAGCTATATGAAGAAAATGACAAAACTCTGATGAAAGAAATTAAAGAACTAAGTGGAGGGATATTCCATGTTTATTACTACAAAGACTCAATATGATTTTTCCCAACTTGGTCTATAGATTTAACATAATCCCAATCAAAATCTCAGCAACTTATTTTGCGGTTATCAAAAAACTAATTATAAATTTTATATGAAGAAGCAAAAGACCCAGAATAGCCAAAACAATATTGAAGGAGAACAAAATTGGGACTACTTGACTTCAAGACTTAGTATAAAGTTACAGTAATCAAGACAGTATGCTATTGCAAAAAGAAAAAATAATAGCCTGGTGCAGTGGTTCATGCCTGTAATCACAACATTTTGGGAGGCAGAGGCAGGAGGATTGTTTGAGGCCAGGACTTTGAGGCCAGCCTGGACAACATAGTGAGACTCTGTCTCTACACAAAAATTAAAAATTAGCCATGTATGGTGGCTTGCAACTATAGGCCCAGCAACTCAGGAGGCTGAGGTAGGAGAAGAGCCCAGTAGTTTGAGGCTGCAACGAGCTACGATCATGCAATCTCATCACTGCACTCAAAGCTGGATAACAGAGTGATACTCTGTCTCTAAATAATAAAAATTTAAAAAGACAAATAGTTTAATGGAACATAATATAGAGACCAGTTAGAGACAAGAAATAAGCTCACACAAATGTCAATTGATCTTTGACAAGGAAACAAAGGCAATACAATGGAGAAAAGATAGTCTTTCAACAAATAGTGCTGGAGAAAGATGACATCTACATGCAAAAAAAAATTTAAAAAGGAATCTAGGCACAGACTTTACATGCTCCACAAAAAATATTTTGAAATGAATCATAGATGTAAATGTAAAATGCAAAAACTACAAAACTACAAAAAGATAACATAGGAGAACATTTAAATGACCTTTGACTTGGTAATGACTTTTTATATATAATGCCAGAGGCATGATCCATGAAAGAAATAATTGGTAAGCTGAACTTCATTAAAACTGAAAACTTCTGCTCTGCAAAATGTGCTACTAAAAGAATTAGAAGACAAGCCACAGACAAGAAGAAAGCATTTGCAAAAGTCACAACTAACAAAGGACTATTATCCAAAATAGACAAAAGAATCTTAAAATTCAACAATAAGAAAATGAACCACTCAGTTGAAAATGGGCAAAAGGCCTGAACAGACACCTCATAAAAAAGATACAGAAGACAAGTATACATATGAAAAAGTACTCAACATCACATGTCATTAGAAAATTGCATATTAAAACAACAATGACATACCACTACTCACCTATTAGAATGGCCAAAATACAAAACACTGACAACAGCAAATGCTGACAAGGATGTGGAGCAACAGGAACTCCCATTCATTGCTGATTGGAATGCAACATGGCACAGCCAGTTTGGAAAACAGTTTGGCACTTTCTTACCATGCAATTTAGCAATTCTGCTCCTTGGTATTTATCCAAATAAACTGTAAACTTATGCCCACACAAAAACCAATACATGGATGTTTACAGTAGCTTTAATTTCCATAAACTCTAAATTTCTTTAAATATAAATTTCTGTAAATTTCAGTTTAATTTTTATAAACTGAAAGCAACCCTGATGTCCTTCATTAGGTGAATGGAGAGATAAACTGATAATCCAATTTAACGATGGAATATTATTCAACACTCAGAAGAAATGAGCTATCAAGCCATGAAAAGACATGGAGGAACTTTAGAAGCATTCAGATTGGTGAAAGACGCCAATCTAAAGAGGCTACATGCAGTATTATTCCAACTACATGACATTCTAGGAAATGCAAAGCTATGGAGACAGTAAAAAAAATCAGTGATTGCCAGGTATTAGGAGGAAAGGAAGGTAAATACATGGAGTATAGAGGATTTTTAAGGCAATGAGGTTATCCTGTATGATACTATAATGGTGATCATGTCACACATTTGTCAAAACTTATAACAATGTACCACTTCTATTTATCCATAGAATTTTCCTTTAAGAATCCATAGAATATACCACACCAATAGTAAACCCTGCTATAAACTATGGACTTTTGAGTAATAATGATGCATCAATACAGATTCATTGATTGTAACTAATACATCACTCTAGTGTCAGATGTTGATTACAGAGGAGGCTGTGCAAGTGTAGGGACAGCCAGTGTATGGGAACACTGTACTTTCTGCTCAATTTAGCTGTGAAGTTAAAACTGCTCTAAGAAAATAAAGTCTGCTTAAAAAAAAAAAGATACAGGAAAAAGATGCATCCCCATTACCTTCCTCTATTTGTTTTAAAATGTAAACGGATTCATCTTATTTTGTGGAGTTTCAGTAATTGATCAATTCATGGAGGGGTTGTGTTCCCAGGTCAACTTGTAAGTCAATTGTTGGAACTCAGAACAAACTTTTCCAAAGAGACAGCTGTTAAATCGAACTACATATGGCCTGAGAA
Source organism: Homo sapiens (assembly GCF_000001405.40). Taxonomy (NCBI): domain Eukaryota; kingdom Metazoa; phylum Chordata; class Mammalia; order Primates; family Hominidae; genus Homo; species Homo sapiens. The sequence continues at coordinate 27,449,530 of NC_000018.10, read as the reverse complement.
CGACTCCATACTTCTATATTTGAGTCTGTGGAGGAACTGCAACCTAAGTTAATATAATAGGTAGACAAAATTGAGAACCTATCTTCGGAGTGTGCACCTGTAACAGTGGCTGAGTCTTGGCCAATCCCAGCAGCCAAACTTCAACCATTCATACACTGTCGAGTGTTCAAACTGTGTTCAACTAAGGCTAATGCTGAGCTGTACCTCACTTCTGATTTCTGTAGGTCACTTCCCTTTTTTTGTCTATAAATCTTTCACCACGTGGCTGTGCTGGAGTCTGTCTGAATCTGCTGTGATTCTGGGGGCTTCGCAATTCGCGAATTGTTCATTGCTCAATTAAACTCCTTCACATTTAATTCGGCTGAACTTTTTCTCTTAAGACAACATTCTCAGAGTGTTTAAATTCCTGTTCTCATCTACAAAAGCCTTTTCAGCTCAGTCTATAACTGAGCATCTCGACTCAATATTTTTAAAAAAACCAATATGTTAGGTACACCAGTTAGAGCTTTCTACCCATTCTCATAAAAGTAGAACTGTATGAGTTCTGAGTTGCATTTATTTGGATCTCTGCCCCAGCATTTTTTGAATTAAAAAAAAATAGGGTAAGAATTCTAGATTTATGGAAGGGGAGGGGGGGTTTCCTGGATAATATACTGTACTGGGATGCACAAAAGGTGGTAGTTTTCAGGGGAGACTACAGCTAGGTGTAAATCTTTGGAGGTTACAGGTTTGGAAGTTGGAGAAGGCATTTATGTATGGATTACTATTAAGTGTTTTTTTTTTCTTTAGCTAAGCGTTTCTAACTTACGCTGGTATTCTTCCAAATATGAGAATCATAATCATGGCTCATATTTAGTGGGTGGTTTTATGTGCATGAAATTAAACTAAAGACTTGGTATGGATTATCCAGTTAATCCTCAAAACAACCCTAAGAGATAAGTACTGTTATTATCCCCATTTTACAATAAGGAATTTTAAGCTTGGATAGTTTCAATAACTTGCCCAAAATCTCAGATGTAATAAGTGGATATGTCTGGATTTAAATTGACTTAGTCTGCTAGTAGAGCTCAAACATCTAACTGCTGCTTAAGGAAGTGGCTCAAATAAGAAAAAAAGAAAGAAAATGCCTGTTTAAAAATCAGCCTTGCTATTGGACTTGTGTCTGTTAAACACATAATGTGACCAGAAAAATATACTGAAATAATTTGGGGCTCTGAATAATTCAGGTCATGAAATACTATGCTAACCCAAAGAATCCAGGTAAGTCTCCAAAGCTCAACACAAGTTTACTTACCTGAAAAATTGTACATAGTCACCTCAGTTTTAATTTGAAGAACTGAAAGAGGAAGCAAAAATTTATTGCCTTCAAATTGACATGTGCATAATACTTTTATATGTCACATCAACTGTGCTTTCGCTTTTACTAAGTGAACCTTGGCTGAAACAATACTTTGTTTCCTGTTTGATTATTTTGTAATAAGCCTGGGCTAAATACTGGAAAAAATGCTGTGAAGAGAAGAGAGCAGTAAGCAGAGAACAGAGTAAATGACCTATCTGAGCAGTAGCATCTTCGATTCTTTGATCTGGGGAACCCTCTGATCAATGCAACATGCAGAGGCATAGGTCAGGGGTTCCCTCTGCATCCAGTGGTGAAAGAGACGCTTTGCCTAACTGCCACTCAGGGGAAACAATTGGGCTGAAGCTGGAGGAGCAGAAGAGAGAGGTAGTGAGAGACCCAGTAGGGAGCCCGCACAGAAGCATTCACACCATGGGCTATTACGGCATGACCCGGAAGGCAGTGATGTGAAGTGCATCACAGAAGCAGGACTAGCTCTGTAAGCTTCTAAAACTGAGTTTTAAGCACCTGTGATCTGCCTCCTGAACATTTGTATCTCTCCATAGGAAGGAGGATGAAACAGCTGCACATGTTTTCTCCAGTGCTATAGACCTGTCATCAGCACTGCATTGTTTACATATGGCTATAAGGTCTTTAAGCCCAGGATCCCTTAGCTATACAGCAGGGACAGATATTTACATGACAGCTGTGTCAATTGGAAGCCGCCTTGTGAGCTTGTTTGTTTCACTGAAGCTCCAATCACCACCACCTGCCCCCTCCCACAATGCCCCAAAGACACAAATCTAATTCTTCCCTCTTTTTAAGATGAACTCCATGTTAATAATAGAACTGCAGTGCAGATGCTCAAAATGGAAATAGCTGGCATTTCCTTAACAAGACTCATAATTCTGCTAGAAATAATGGATTTCAAGTGAAATAGCTCGAGTCCAAGAAGAGTGGTTATAATTCATGACCAGACGCCCAAATGAAATCAAAATCTGGGAAACATGCAAAGTGCTAATTTTCTACATCAGTGGAATTTATCAAGTTCCTACTGATTAATTTGAACAGTGGTTTGGTTGTTCAATTGATAGAGCTTTGTTTGCCTTGCAAAGACATCTGAGTGACATTGATTTAAATATTATTGCAACTTCCTGGTTTTATGAAAAGCTTTTAACACTGTAAAAACCCTCTGAATCACAAGTGGCTAACATTAAGTGTTTTTATTTTTATTTTTATTATTCTTTACTATTTGAGGCAAGATTCCTATTTACTTCACCAATGAGGTGAAGAGCGCTGTATCTTTGAAGAACAATTACCATGTGTATTTCAAGAAGTGGTTTCTAATTTATCCGTGTTGCTTTAGTTTATGATTAGTTTTTCCAAAAAAAGTACTTATTCTATAATAATGACTATTTACAATTAGCTTAGTTGAAAAATAAACCACTCCTAAAATGCTTACCGATAGTTCAATATTGATAATACACCCTGATGTGGTTTGAATGTGTCTCCCAAACTTCATGTGATGGAAATGAAGCCAGGTGCAGTGGCTCATGCCTGTAATCCCAAAACTTTGGAAGGCCAAGGCAGGAGGATCACTAGATCCTAGGAGTTCAAGACTAGCCTGGGCAACATAGTAAGACCCTCATCTCTATCAAAAAAATTAAAATTAGCTGGGCATGGTGGATGTGGTGGCACATACCTGTAGTTCTAGCTATTCAGGAGGCTGTGGTTGGAGGATCACTTGAGCCTAGGAAGTGGGAAGTGGGGCCTAATTGGGAGCTGTTTGGGTCATGAGGACACTGCTCTCATGAATGGATTAATGCTGTCATTGTGGGAATCAATTCATTATTGTAGGACTGGGTTCTTTTTAGGTCAAGTCCAGCTCCCATCTTGCTCTCTGTCATTCACTGTTACTCTTCCACTTCCACCATGGGATGAGGCAGCAAGAAGGCCCTCACCAGATGCTGGTAATTTGATCTTAGATGTCCCAGATTTTGGACTGTTAGAAAATAAACTTCTGTCCTTTATAAATTATCCAGTCTATGGTTGTTTGTTACAACAACACAAAACAAACTAAGACATGACCTAAAACCTCTTTTCCACTATCTTAAAACGTAAAATAGAAAAATTTTGTCTGACTTGGTATGTAAATAATCCCTTCTTCTCCCACACTAAGATGTCTATGTCCTAACCCCAGAACCTATGAATGTTACTTTATCTGGCAAAATAGACAATGCAGATGTAATTAAGTTAAGGACTTTCAGATAGGGAAGTTATTCTGGGTTTTCTGGGTGGGCCTGATACAATCACAGGGATCCTTATAATGGGGAGGCTGGAGATTAGGGTGACTGAAGGCTACAGAATATTGAAAGCAAAGAGACTTGAAGGTACTCCACTGCTAACTGAAAATGGAGAAAGGGGCATGAACTGAAGAATGTAGCTCTAGGAACTGAGAAAGGCAAATAAATATGTTTTCCCCTAGAGCTCCCGAGAGAGCCCAGTCTTGTCAACAATTTGGTTTCAACCCATGTTGGTTTCAGAGCTGTAAGATAATAAATTTGTATTACTTTAAGCAACTAAGTTTGTGGTGATTAGTTACAGCAGCAACAGGAAACTAATAACTAATAACACTGACTAACCCCAGGACTTAGACCAATTAATGCCCTTAGATTGGTGGAAGGAGTAACTGTTTCATTAGAACTAGACAATATGGACTAAAATTTAGTATATTCATTTAGCTTAAGGTACAAAATTTCTAGTCATTTTAAAGTGAAACACAATCATCCTACTCCGAAGCCATGTTAGGTGATTTAGGATTCTGTTCAGCTGAACATGGCTGGTCCCAAAAGCAGTGTGCCTTTGGAATACCCAAAGGGTGCTGAAGGGACTCAGATAATAAATGAGCTGTCCAATTATTCAGGAAATTATTAACAGGTGCTGTACAATTCATGTTCTATCATTATACATCATTCATCAAGTTAACAGCTTCAAATTGTTAATTGAGGGTCGTATTTCTCTAAGTCTCTTTTTAAAATTCCAATATATCAATACACAAAATCCCCATTTGTTACCTTACTAAAGTAGCGAAGAGATTTTCCAGCAGGGCAGTAATGTAGAACTTGGGTTTTGAAGTCAGAGAGAATGCAGGTTCAAATCCCAGCCCTACCATTTGTTGACTTTGTGACCTTGAGGCAGCAGCCCAATCTCTCTGAGCCTTGGTAAATGGGGAAAGAATCCTTTCTGTGGGCTTGTTGTAAAGATGTAATCAGATGAAGATGATCAGTGATTATCTGAGAATATCATCAAGGTGGCTTCATCTTCAGCATTGAAAACCTCATCCCAGAGAGTCTTGTCAGTCCTGAAGATCTAGGGCTTAACTTGAGGTCCGAAATCTATATTAAAGTTTCTATAGAAAGAAGAGTGATCTGGCTAGGAAAATATATCTCACCTGCCACTGAGTTGTGAAGAATGTGAAGTCCAGAAATGGACAAAATCAAGGCCATAGAAGCTGTATTGTTCTCCTGATAGGATCTTCTCACATGCCACCACCCCTTGTTTCTTGCTTCTTAGTAACAGAAGGTAGATATTGCTATGGAAAAAACTCATTCTTTGGAAATCTATGGTTTAAAATGAAAATAGCTTTGGGAAAGTCATAGAAAATTAGGATCTTGGGTGAAAAAAAATCTCTAGGCTTTCACCATTCTACCTAGAAGGTGGGTTAGAAACCACAGTAATTGCTGGGCATGCTGGCACACACCTGTCGTCCCAACTACTCAGGAGATTGAGACTGGGGGATCCTTGAGCCCAAGAGGTCAAGGCTGCAGTGTGCCATATTCATTCCACTGCACTCCAGCCTGGGCAACAGAGCTAGATCCTGCCAAAAAAAAAAAAAAAAAAATAGAAGAAGAAACTGCAATAAATCATATCTAATTACTTTTCCTTGGCTAAGTCACATAATCTAAATTAGAAAACAATTAGGTGATTATTTACTGATGTTTTTCTTCCTAATCACCTATAACTAGAAGTCAAACTAGGTTCGAACATAAAATGTTTCTTATCTATTAATTCATGATGTTTAGTTTTTGTTAAACTAGTTTTCAGAATGGTTTGAGAATGACTATTATGAAAAGAATAATAAACCAGACATGAAGATTCCTGAGATTTAATTTTAATTCTGCCACTTTATATGTGTAGAAACTCTATGTATATAAATCTATGAATTTCTAGTTTCTTCATTCAAAAATTAAAACAAAAATTTCTCATTCAAGATTCAAGGCAAAAATGCCTGGCATGTAGTATGCCTGCTTTTCAGGGCATATTCTCTGCTTCTGCTTATAAAGCAAATACAGACTTTAGTCCACAAACAAACATGTAAGAAATATAATGTAGATTTATTAGTTTGTCAATACTCGGTGCTGAACTCAAGGGTACTGAGTTCCTGTGGGATAAAAACTATAATCTGAGTTCATCCTCAAGGCTTACTTCTCAAACAATGAAAATGTGTTCTTTTGGGAGCCAGATTGCCTGAGTTTCAATCCTGGCTGCATCAGTAATTATTTCTAAGATCTTGTCCAAGGTATTTTACCTTTTCTGCTTTAGGGTACTCATCTGTAAAGTGGGTATAATAGCAATAGTTTCATCATAGAATTGTGTGATGATCAAATGAGTTAACATATAAAAAGCACTTACAATGGAACTAACACACAGTGAGCCCCTTAATACATTCAATACATTCTAGCTATTGTTTTTGTATTATTATGTGACACTACCAAGTTAATAGTTGGTAACTGAAAGTTGATGGAGTTAGGACAGGGAAGACATCTGCATCTTAGATGTTGAAGATGCTAATTCTCCATATGGTTCTGAATTCGGCTCCTGAACTTCATGGTGAATTCCATTGTCTCTCATATTACCGGGCCCAGCTTATACCTAGAATCTAAGTGTTTGCCCTGCCTCTCAGATACGCTCACACTTAATCCAGAGATACTCACTGAGATTGCCTGAGACCACACGTGCCTGGACAAGCCATATAATGAGTTCTTTTCCAGGGGCTGTCTATACTTTGTAAAGCTCCACCCAGATTCTCTTCCTCATCCTTCGTAGGGACGTCAATTAAGATGGAAAAGCAGACCAAGTGGCTGGGTTCAGAGTGCTTGGCCTTTAGGGATTCATCATTTGCTAAATTTTTATTGCTTCTCCTTCACTTGTCCTCCTTTTCCCACAAGGGTGTCAAAGCTTTATGGGATGACGGTCATGTTTCCAAATATACTGTTAGAGATATCTGTTCTTTTCAGATCATCTCAGACCTAGAGGTTATAAAGGTATTTTTCTGCTATTGTTAAGAATACTTCTTTCACTTTTTGCATTTATACCTGAGTCCATCTGAAACTGAATTTTTAGTGTGCTGTGAGGTAGGGTGTCCAGATTAATTTTAAAAAATATGTCCATCCAATTGACCCGGAATGATTTAATGAAAAAAGATCATCTTTTGCCTACTGTGGTGCAATATAACTATTGCAATTCTGCTCTATTTGTACCGTAGTGATCTATTTGTCTATGCTTGCACAAATACTACACTATTTTGATAGCTAGAGTTGTAAAGAAAATATTGATATATGATAGTGTATTTGTTCTTCTTCAGTGTTAGTGTATTTGTTAGTGATAGTGTATTTGTTCTTCTTCAGTATTACTCAGACTACTCTTAGGTCTTTGTATTACCATATACGTTTTAGAATCAGCTTGTCATTTTATACACACAGACATACTCTTACATACACACGATACTGATAGGAATTTGATTAGGCTTCACTGAATCCATAAATCAATCGGGAAGCCATCTATAACTTTACAATAATGAATGTAATCCATGAACATGATACAAACCTCCGTTTACTCAGGCCTTTAAAATCTCACTAAATTTTGTTACATTGCAGAGGTTTTCATTCTATTGATTCCTAAATATTTGATGTCTTTGATGCAGTGTAAAAATGTTAAAATTTTATTTTCTATTAATTTGTTGCTGGTATATAGAAATAAAATTGAAGTTCATATAATATCTTTCCTCTAGTGGCCTTGATCATTTCTCTTACTGATTCCAATAGTTGTCTGTAAAATCTTTTTGCATTTTTGATGCACACTGTATACTAGCATGCCATTTGTAATTAATAAGCATTATATGTCCTCTTTTTCAATTTTTATGCTCTTTATTTCTATTTCTTGCTTTATTGCACTGATTAGAATCTCCAGTACAATGTTAGATAGAGATCTCTTTTGACATCGTCTTCTAGTTCACTAATCTTATCTTTTATTGTGTTGGTTGCTATTAACCCTTTTAAATAATTTGGGCTAGTGTTCTGTTCAGGCCTACAATTTCCAACTGATAATTTTTAAGATTCCAACTTTTTGATAAAATCATCTTCTGTGTTTCTTTGTGTCTATTTTCTTGCACATATGTATTATAATTATTTTTAAATCCTGTCTATAAATTTCTATTCATTTATTAGTATACTAGGACAGAATGCCTACTTACTTTAATATCTGGATAGTCACAAGTCTCTTTTCATTCTCTTGGTTAAATGGTCTCATCCCTTGGCATTTCTAGTCATGTTTTTTAATATGGAATTGTAGACATTGGGTGTAAAAAATCTACAGAGATTACAAATAATTCTACCATTTTCCAAAGAGAAATAACATTTTCTCCTGCTCAGGAGGTGGGGTTAGAGAGCTAATCACCTTAGTCTCATCAGGCATGATGGTAGTGATGGTGTGGTAGTGATGCCTCAGTCTCTTGCCCACCCTGATTCCTAGGCAATAGCCCACCAGGTTTTTCAAATAAGGCCTTGGGGTGTTTATTGAGGTCTTTACCCCTGACAGATTCTGAACTCTAATCTTTGTCTTCTCCATACTACAAGATTAAGAAAATTCGACTCTGCTTCTCAGAGGTCTGTGACTTAGCTATTTATTCTCCCACTTTGTGTACCTTCAGAATTGAGCAGAGGTTAGAGGTCAATCAACTATCCAGTTTTATCACCCCACCTCCATAAACCCTTTGGGAGCCTTCACGGTTTCTCTATCCCCTGCATTGACTCTCTACCCAGATAAATCTTAGATGCACAGCCTCTATCCCACACTCAAAATGGGCAAGTGCCTCCAGGGAAAAACTGCTGACTGCAATTCTCTTCTGTATGGAATCTCAACTCCCCTCATACTCCTTGCTTAGGGAACTCTCTGGTACCCTTTAGAAGATAACTTTGGGGCTGAGCATGGTAGCTCATGCCTGTAATCTCAACACTTTAGGAGGCCAAGGCAGGCAGATCACTTGAGACCAGGAGTTCAAGACCAGCCTGAGCAACATGGCGAAACCCCATCTCTACAAAAAATACAAAATTTAGCCAGGTATGGTGATACACACAGGTGGTCCCAGCTCCTCCAGAGGCTGAGATGGGAGAATCATTTGAGCCCAGGAAGTTAAGGCTGCAGTGAGCCATGATTGCACCACTGCACTCCAGCATGGGTGACAGTGCAAGACCTTGTATCAAAAAAAAAAAAAATAACTTTTGTATTTTGTATTTACATATAGTTGTTCATAGTGTGTGCATTGATCTGCCACAAACGAATCCACCTAGTCAGGAAATACACACTTCTATGGATTTTGAGAGCTACTCTTTAGACCTATTTTAGAGAACAGTTCTTTTAAAAAGTAGATTGAAGTGGAGGGGTTGGGCAGAGCACTCAGGCATGATCCATCCTATGGAAGAGTAACAAAAGTAAAATAACTCCGAACTCTAAGGATAAATAAGACTAATCTGGAGGATGGCCACTGTACATGATCACCCTAGACCTATATCCAGCTGAGTTTTATGTGAAGTTTCATTTTTAGTGATATTATTTCTTTTTTTTTTTTTTTTTTTTTTTTTTTTTTGAGACGGAGTCTCGCTCTGTCGCCCAGGCTGGACTCGCTCTGTCGCCCAGGCCGGACTGCGGACTGCAGTGGCGCAATCTCGGCTCACTGCAAGCTCCGCTTCCCGGGTTCACGCCATTCTCCTGCCTCAGCCTCCCGAGTAGCTGGGACTACAGGCGCCCGCCACCGCGCCCGGCTAATTTTTTTTTGTATTTTTAGTAGAGACGGGGTTTCACCTTGTTAGCCAGGATGGTCTCGATCTCCTGACCTCATGATCCACCCGCCTCGGCCTCCCAAAGTGCTGGGATTACAGGCGTGAGCCACCGCGCCCGGCCGTGATATTATTTCAACACCTATGTAAAAAGTTTCTGTGGGGTTTAGGCTGAAAATTGCCCTATTTTCTCCCTTCCCTACTTGTCTCTTAAGAAAGCATTGTCCTGAACATGGATTATATTGCCACTGAAAATGGCTAATTAATATAGTATGCAACCATTTTATCTGGGGCACAATCTTCAAATTTATAGAGCTAATTATAAATTATCTAATGCTTTTGATTACAGTTTTTTTTTCCTAGGAGTCATTCATTATTACACATTTTACCCCCTTTTTTATCCCCTCAAAAATTCTCTCCTGCCTGGATTTTGAAGTTCTCACACAATGTAAAAACGTAGTATGCCGCCTTTACCAGTCAGTCAGTTGAGATGGTCTGGTTTTAATTTTTATGCACCAGCCTTTCCTTAACTTGAGCAAATAAATTATTATTTTTTGTATGTTCTATGTCCTGTCTTTAAGCTATCAAATTCTGACTGTCAGGAACGTTGAATGATGCTGACCTTGTACATAGAGTAGCTGTCCAAAGCAATTCCCATATAATTCTTTCCCATTCCATTATATCTTGGCATAGTGATAGCACGTGAAAAGTAGATTTACAATGACTATTAATATCATTTGAGGAGCAAAGTCAGTGTCCATGCAAATGAGGGATTAATGCTGATCCCTAAATGAAGTGTTGGTGCAGCCAAATGCTGTGACAGCATTGCCTTGCAACCTGTTTAAGAGGCATTTCAATCATGATATGATAAATTTCCTCACATTGGTCTATGTAAACTCACTAAAGCAGGAAAGGCCATTCATCCAAAACATAAGCCATTTGGGAACCTGAAAACATTTTGTTTAGCTTCTAAGAGATAAGCCTACACTATTTTGCTTAGATCTTAAAAGAAGAGGTTTGGCCCCTATCACTAGCAGTAAGAAGTAGTGCTTAGCTTTCATGTTTAAGTAATGTTAACGATGACCACAGTCACTGTTAATCATATATTTTTCATATTCTAGGTTGGGCTGTAAAGACTTTGGCAGCAGAATAGCCCCTAGATATTTATGAAATAGTACTGTATAGCACATAGGAAATTTGAACTTGGAAAAAGTAGGAGTAAGTCTCTCTGGCTAGTACATTGTTTAGGGAGTATTGAATTTATGTAAACAAATAGGTCAGTATGATTGGCCCCATCAAAGTAGCAAGCCTTATTTCTAATTCATTTTGGTGATAGATTACAGTAACTTGGGAGCAAAAAAAACAGACTACTTACTTGAAAGTGTCAAATGCAATTATCACTTAGTGATTTTTCACTTTTAAGGGTCACAGAGAATACCTGGGACCTGGAATAACTTGTTCTCGTCACTGTTGCCATTTTGCTTTGAGATTCTGCTGTGCTTCTATGACCAAATAAAATGTAACAAATCTCTCTCTTCTTTCCAACCTCCCACCTTCTGCCTCCTCCATGCTCACCAAAGATACCCTTCAGTCTTTTCAGGCAATCCAAAGCAAATAGAGATCTGAGACACTGCCTCATTTGAGCCTCTAATTACGATGATGTTTGGTAGATCATAAGCTGTCTTTACTACGCTAATCATAAACACAAAGAGTTTTATAAATGACCAATGTTTAATCTACATCTTTAAGTTCATGTATTTTTCTTCCAATCTGTGAAACAATTATCTGCTATTATAATTTAAATATGAATTAATTCAACCAGAGACCCAGCCTCTCTCTTAGAAGGCATTGTAGATTAATGAGTAAATATGTATTAGCATGTCTTCAAACTGTACATTATTGACCTAAGAGACAACAGGGAACTATAATGACTGATTATGTAAATCCTCAACTGCAAATTGTTGCTAAACTCCATAACGTCATTAATTTACATTAATGTCAGTCTTTCTTTACCAGACCCTTATTAATTAGCTGTTCCTTGACACATACTTTGATGTAGACTTTTTGTGAGTCATTAAAGTCCTTTGTGTAGAGACCTTCTCATAGACCTTTTAGTTTGTATATAATTGACAAACCAGATGACAGCTTTTACTGTTGATCTTAAAACTGCAGCCAATTCACTCAGACATTGAATTTATGTTTTGAAACCTTTCCTTTTAAAGTTTTCATAGAGAAAAAGTATAAATACAGGTACACTTTATTTAATAGATGGTCTAAAATATGCCCTTTTTTGCAAGGTCAAGTTTACAGGAGTTTTCTAACCAAATGCACAACTGCTTTTAGAGATTTTGTAATAGGAAATTCTTCTCAGAATCACCCACTATGTATGAATTCTCTACAAAAAGTCTCGTGCTTTAAATTAGTTTTTTAAACTAGTACAGATTTTCACATGTTCGATATGCCATCTAACTGAATTCAGCCCTCTGAACATCCAATGACTGACAGCAGCTACCTCCTGGAAAAGTCCAATATCATTTAGATTCAAGGCAGTGCTTACCAACTAAGGGAACTCCAGGTCACAGATTCTTTCCATTTTGTGTTTGTTTCATTTGAACTAATTATATTGTTATTCACTGTAATTCATTCATTTATTTATGCATTCCAAAATACGTATTAAGCACTAATAATTCTACACCCGTAACTATCTAGACAGCAGTGAATAAAAGAGACAAAATCTTGCCTTGATTCAGTTTACTTTCTAAGGTGCGGAGGAGCTGGACAATACACAAGAAAATCACATAGAACTTTAGAAGATAATAAAGTAGAGAGAGCTGCAAAGCTGGAGTAGAGGAAGTGCAGTAAAAGCAAGGATCACTATGGGGAGAGGGGATTGCTGTGGGGAGAGAGGAGGGGTAATTTGAAGTCAGATGTTCAGGGAAAAGGCATTGGACAATGGTTTGAATGAGAATAGGGAAGGAACTCTTGCAGACATCTCAGGGAAAGGGGTTCTAGGCAGAGGAAACTGTGCCTGGAACTTCAAGAAGGCTAGTGTGGTGGAGCAGAGTCAGTGAGGATATGAGGAGGAGACAGGTTCAGACAGGAGGTAGGAGACGTACAGGTAGAGCAGGAGGGTCTGGGGGCCACTGAAAAGATTCCAGCTTTGGAGGGCCTTGGGGACGTTGAAAAGATTCCAGCTTTTAATCAATGGTGAAGAGCCCTGGAGGGATTAGAGCAGAGCAGTGACAGGTTCTGAATATATTAACAGAATCTTTCTCCTTTATATAATAAAATAAGCTGTTTGGGATAGGTGAGTAGGCAAGGGCAAAAGCAGGGAGAACGCTTAAGAAGTTATTGCAATAATTGAGGCTAGGATCAGGGGGTAGTAATGCTGTGTTGAGAAGAGGACGGATGCTAAATACGTGTGGAGTATGTAATACAATATGTATAATATAATATATAATCAAGATTTTCTTATTGATTCAGTGCTACATACAAGAGAAAATCAAGGATGACCCAAACTTTTTGGCCTGAGCAACTGGGCTATAGAATTGCCATTAACTGGCCGGGCTCAGTGGCTCATGCCTGTAATCCCAGAACTCTGGGAGGCCAATGTGGGTGGATCGCCTGAGGTCAGGAGTTTGAGACCAGCCTGGCCAACATGGTGAAACCCTGTCTCTACTAAAAATAATTAGCTGGGCATGGTGGTGGGTGCCCATGATCCCAGCTACTGGGGAGGCTGAGGAAGGAGGATCGCTTGAACCCAAGAGGTGGAGGTTGCGGTGATCCACAGTGGGAAGAAGCATAAGAGAAGCAAGTTGAATGGGATAGAACTGAACAAGACTCTGTTTTTTAAAACATGAATTATATGATTTCTATCAGATATCTATTGGAGATAGCCAGTGGCAGTTGAATATTCAAAACAAGAGTTCAGGGGAAAGTTCCATGCTAGAAATGTTCACTCAGGAACCATGAGAATGAAGATGGTGTTTAAAGCCATAAAACTGAGAAAGGTCACCAAGATACAGAGGACAGAGTAGAGAAGACCCAAGAATGATCACTGGAGAATTCCAGTGGTAAAAGGTTAACATGAATATTTAAGAACCAGCAAAGGAGACTAAGGAGGATTGATTGTAAAATAGGAAAAAAACCAGGAAAGTGTTGTGGAATCTGGTGAAAAAAGTGTTTTAGGTATGGAATGTTCAACTATTCCAAACTGCTGATGATAAGTCAAGTAGGAAGATTAAAGGTTAGTCACTGGATTATGTAACATGGAGGCCCTTGGTGACTACGGTAAGAGAGCTGTAATGTAATGGGAGTAAAAGTCTAATTGCAGTCAGTTTAAAGAGGATGGGGGAAAAGGAGTTGGAATCCATGATTATAAGAAACTATTTTGAGAAATTCTCTTGTAAAGGGAAGCATACTGAAATCCAGGATAAGATTTAGCTGATTACAAGAAATGATAGGGCTCTTGAACATGGAGGTTGATGTAACATTTTTCTTGAACATGGGTGTTGATGAAATATTTTCTTGGTGTTAGAGAAAGCTCTATTACAGATATTTCTCACTCTGTGTTCCTCCCATGCCCAGAAGTACACCTTCTGGAGCTTTTAGAAGCAACAGAAGCATTCATGTAAGAAGAGATTTAGAAAACTACCTAAAGTATTAGGGTCATGTACTTCCTAAATAACCCCCCTTACCTCTAGGAGCCAGAGATCACCACCATCCTGGGTGTTGTTATCAATGAACAGTGCTTGAAAACTCCAGGTCCTTCATCTTTGGTTTTATTTTTGACTCTCAGAATAACCTTAGGGACCCTTTCAAGTTTCAGTTGGTTCAAATTAAAATGAAGAGGCCAAACTAGATTGTCTCTGTGGTTTCTGTGGGGCTGAGACTCATGATGTTGGATGTTAATGGCAATGTAGATTTCTAAATAGTGTGAACAAACTTCATTTTTAGATAGGCTAATGTTTTCCTATTGTAGTTGGAGCCTTGATCTTAAAATTATGTCATCTGGAAAGTGATACTTGAAAGGTTTTAGGCCCTCAATTTATTCTGGGAACAAGCCTTTTAGTCATATTCATAAATTTTCTAGGTAAAAAATATTCATTTGCTTTATTCTCAAATAGCTCCTGGGAAAGCCCCAAGTGAGGAAAATGATCCAAATGCGGATGCTTAAGATGAAGGTTCAAAGTACCAACTTTAAATCATTCTCCATAGATTTAATTGTATCAGGGCATCCCTGCATGAATTTTTATAATGGTAACTGTTTTGATCTTCTCTTGGCTAGGGTAGAAGAGGAAAAATGGGGTTTTCTAGGTTTAATGAAGAAAGATCATGGGAAAGGGGCTTCCACCTATACAAGATGATCTGATCTCTGCAATGTGGTATCAGGCAGGAAATTAGCGGAGAGTTACGCCAGGAATGAGCACTTAAAGGGACATGGCTGTTAGACTCTAGGAATAGTGATGTCTGATATCTCACATAAGGTCTTCATTTCTGAGCTGTAAGATTCTAATGTTAATTCAAGCCTCAGTTAAACCAAACAAACAAACTAAAAAAGATTTAAAGTATAGACTTGTGTTAACTGTGCTTTGGGGAAATCAGTGGAGAGAAACTGTGTGCATGTCTGAAAAAGCAGCTGTGAACTAGCTAGAAGTGATGAGAAGAGAATCTCCAGACAAGGTCTATGGTAAAAGACAACCAAAATAAATCTGTGAAAAACATCAGTGGTCTTGTGGGATTCTCAGAAATGATAATAGAAAACAAATTCCCAGTAGAGAGTGTAGAGTTTGTGAGGTCATTTCCTCTGAAATTTAGATTGTTTAGCTAGACATTAAATAGACAGGTAACCCCTGGGGGCTGGAAAACTTGGGGGCATTGGAGTTTACTCCCATTTGGATCTCTGAGCCTATTACTCACAAGAGAATATAGATTGTAAAATAATTGGAACACATTATTCATTGAAGGAAAAATGTTGACAAGATAGGAGTTTTTGATAGACACTGTTAATTATCTATCCCAGATCCTTTCTCTTCTTCCTCTTTCCTAACTGACCCTAAATATTTTCTTGGGTAGCATTATGGCCAGTGGAAAAACCGAGCTTCCCAAGCACTCAGGTAAGGAAGCCATGTGGCATGTAAGTTAAAGTCACCAGATGGCACTTGTGGGAAACTCCTTAAACGAGGGACACTCACAGCATGCACCATTTTGCATTTTCCCCTTTGCCTTTGCTCTTTCACTTTTAAAATATCTGTAGGGACAGATACCTGGGGATATAGCAGACACCTTGCAATCATGAAGGTGACATCTGCTCATTAAGTGCGGGGAAGCAGAAAAAGAACAGGAGTCTTGTCACTTATAGTGTTGTGGAGCCACAAGGCAAACTTCGGACTTCCAACTTCTGGCCATCTCATTGTGTAAGAAAAATAAATTTTTGCTGGGCACAGTGGCTCACACCTGTAATCCCAGCACTTTGGGAGGCTGAGGCAGGTGGATCACTTAAGGTCAGGAGTTCGAGACCAGCCTGAACAACCTGGGTCTCTACTAAAAATACAAAATTAGCCGGGCATGGTGGCTGGCACCTATAATCCCAGCTACTTGGGAGGCTGAGGCAGGAGAATCACTTGAACCTGGGAGGTGGAGGTTGCAGTGAGCTAAGATCATGCCACTGCACTCCAGCCTGGGCAACAAGAGCAAGACTCCATCTCCAAAAAAAAAAAAGAGAAATAAACGTTTTTCCTACTCAATTAAGACATTATTTGTGTTTCTGTTATATGAAGCTAAACAGAATCCTAATGTTATACTTTTTACTTCAGTGATTTTTTTTTTAATCCTCAAACTTCTACTTATTGTTTCCTTTTCTTTCATTTCCAAAGGGAGTGATCCTGGTCTGGCATTTCTGATGTCTGCATTTAAAGTTGCCATCTAAATCATCAATCTGTTTTCTGCTACTATCACAGAATACCACAAACTGGGTAACAAAATTTATTTGGCTTATGCTTCTCGAGGCTGGGAAGCATGGCACTGGCATCTGGTGAGAGCCTCATCCCATGGTGGAAGGCAAAAGGCAGAATGCAAAGGACAAGCAATCATGAGAGACAGAGAGAAAAAGTAGGGAGACCCCTGCTATAATTAACCACTCCTGAAATGAGAGCATTGACCATCTTATGAGAGCTCTACCTCTTAAATGTCCCATCTCTCAACACCATCACAGTGGCAGTTAATTTCAACAAGAGTTTTAAAAGGGGGGATGTTTAAACCATAGTAATCATGATAGAAGATTTTTTTGTTTGTCTTTATTACGCATATGCAGCCCCCTTGTTAGTAACAGTAACATGGCCCCCTGGGCTTTAGCAGGGCCGGGGGATAAAACCAAGGTGACTTGCCTACCTGAGAACTGTGTCCTGCTGGCTAATTTCATTAGCCTTGTTGCTTGACTTTATGAAATGACTGGTCCAGGATGAAATTCTGCTAGTTTTTCTTCCTAATTATGTTTATATATTAGCTGTTTTACCACCCTTTCAAAGTTATAAGTTTCTGACTCTGTAATCTGATTTCGAAGTCCTGAATTATGTTATCTCCAAGTAGTTGTACTTATAATATCAAAAATTTGTTATTTTCTAAGTAGATGATATGAAACCTTTGAATTTATTTTTTGGCTGTTACTGTCTTTATGCTGATAAAATATGTTAATGAGCAGAAATGGAGGTGAAATAAGATTAAACTTGTGATAACCTGAACTAAGCCCACCTTTAAATTTTCAAATGTGGAGAACAATTGGATTGTTGAACAGGCTTATCAATCCAGTTTTGTTCCATGTCACCACAAGAGATTCTTGAGGAAACTGGGTGAGCGTTGATTACTGTTTGAGAATTTGATCTCTCCAGGACATAACCTTTTTGAGAACACCATCTTTCAGCACCATTTTTATAGTCCAAGTGATGAAATACAGCTTTGCATTTTATTTTAGTATGTTATCACTGAAGCACTTGTCACTTATCTGAGTTGAGTATTAGTCTCTTTGATAGGTTGTTATGTATTTATGTACATACATAATGTATTTACATATGTAATTATGTATTAGATTATGTTCCAAATTATTTTGTAATAAATTTCATTGTGTAAATTTAAGTTATATAGCATAATATTATGGGACATATAGATAGTTAAAAGGTTACTATAGTGAAGCAAATGAACATATTCATCAAAACTGTTTTTCTAATAAATTTCAGTGTGTAAATTTAAGTTATACAACATATTATGGGATATATATAGGTAGTAAAATGGTTACTGTACTTAAGCAAATTAACATTCATCATCTCACATAGTTACCTAGTTTTTTTGTGTTTTTGTGATAAGAGCAGCTAAAATCTACCCATTTTGCATAAATCCCATATATAATAAAATTTTATTACCTATATTTCTCATGTTGTACATTAGATCTCTAGACTTATTCATCCTATATATCGGCTACTTTGTATCCTCTGACCTATGTTTCCACTTCCTCTCTCCACCTCTGATAACCACTGTTTTGTTGTCTCTGTAATTTGGAATCTTTCTTAAGATTTCAAACATAATAGAGATCATGCAATATCTCTAGCCACTTGTGAAACTGAACTGGAGTAATTGGGTAAATAATTGTCTCTTAGTTTTTAATTAATTTTTCTTAAATGTATGTTTAACTCACATTTATTTCAATGTTTAATATTAGAAGTGTTTGGGGTCTTTATTTAGAAGTTTGGTGATGCTTTTATGACCAGAAATATGCCATGGGAACTTAACTCTTGTTTATATCGATCAGACTATGGTAAAATTGGTTTTATAATATATCATTTCTTTTAAAGTCAGTTTCTAATAACTTATCAATGACATTAAGTGAGGACTTATTGTATTTTAAGCTGATAACAAATTAACTTATGTCACATACAAAAACCTTAGACCTTTATCCCTCATGCACACAATTTACATTTTGTATGTCACAATTTACATCATCATATAATACTTCACAACTTATTGCTGTTTTGACCATTTTTCTTTTTGGCTTTTGTACTTGAGGTATGTATTATTAATATGCCACCATTGCAGTACTGGAGTATTCTGGATCTGACTTTGTATTCACTTCTTCTAGTGAGTTTTATTATGTCATATGTATTTATACTAGCAATTGTCATCTTTTTATTTCCCTTGAAGAACTCCGTTAAGCACTCTCGTAAGACAGGCCTAGTAGTAATGAATTCCCTCAATTTTTGCTTGTCAATGACTTATTTTTCCTTCATTTCTGAAGAACAGATTTGCTGGGTATAGTATTCTTGGCAGAGAGTAGTTTTGTTTTTTGTTTTGTTTTGTTTTGTTTTTATCACTTTGATCACATAATCCCCTTTTCCCCTGGCCTGCAAGGTATCTGCAAAGAAATTCACTGACAGTCTAGTGGGGACTGACTTTTATGTGACTTGATGCTTTTCTCTTGCTGCTTTTAAAATTCTCTTTGTCTTTGACTTTTACCAGTTTTATTATAATGTGCCTTGAAGAGGACTTATTTCAAATAAATCTATTTGGGAGGCTTAAAGCTTCATGGATTTGGATGTCTATATCTTTCCCAAGACTTGAGACATTTCCAGCAATTATTTCATTAAATAAGCTTGTGTCTCGTTCTCTGTCTCTTCTCCTTCTAGAAATACCATAGTATAAATACTTCTTCACTTAATGTCCCATAGGCTCTCTTCATTCTTTTTTATTCTTTTTTTCCCCTCTGACTGGATAATTTCAAAAGACCTATATTCAAGTCCACATATTCTTTTTACTGCTTTATCTAGTCTGTTGTTGAAGCCCTCAATTTTATTTTTTATTTTATTGATTGAATTTTTAGGCTCTGAGATTTCTGTCTGGTTCATTTTGATGATATTTATCTCAGTTGAATTTATCATTTAGACAACGAATTGCTTTCTTGATTTTATTGAATTGTCTGTTTGTATTCTCTTGTATCCAGGTTTCCTTAAGATCATCATTTTGAATTTATTTTCAGGCAATTTTTAAGTTTTTACTTCTTTGGAATCAGTTGTTGGAGAATTACTGCGTTTCTTTTGTAGCATTATGTTCCTTTGCTTTTTCACGTTTCTTGTGTCTCTGCCTTGATGTCTGTGATCTGGTTGTGCAGTCTTCCAAATGTTGCAAAGTAGTTTTCATAGGGGAAGACTTTCACCTGCAGATGAACCTGAGGGTGCACATTGGGCAGGGTGCAGTGATTTTGGTTCCATGTGGGTGCAGTGATGTAGTCTCTATCTCTGTGCGGCTTCTTCAGTTGTGATCAGTGTTAGCAATGATGGGAGGTTCCTCAGTCATCTAGTTTGCAGGAGTTTGTGGCAATTATGGTGGCTGCCTAGATTATTAGGGCCAGGGTTTTAGGGATTATCCTGTTCTTGTCTTTCTCATAGTGGTGCATCTTAGCTGAGAGAATCTCCTTGGATTCTGGGTCACATGGCTCACAGGCAGCCACAGCAGCACTGGGATCCAGGGCACAGGTGCTCAGAGCAGCTATGAATCTCAGTTCCTGGGGTTGGGGTCTTGTAAAACTACTATAGCACCAAGGACTTGAGGCACAGCCACTAGTGAATGCAATTCTACTAAGCCAGGATCTGTTGTTCTGAGGCACACCTAGCAGCTTAGGCCTAGTGGGCTGGGATATAGCTGTAGTGCTGAACTGTAGAGGGCAGGGCATGGCACTGGTATGGCTTCAGGGAAGAAGTTCTCTGGAAGTTTGAGCCCTGGGAACAGCTGTAATTCATGTAATTCATGATGCAGAACTAACAGGGCACACTCAGGCTCCAGGAAATGAGGTACCATCCAGTGGTGAATCAGGACCTGGGATGGTGGGATATGGCAGCATGTTAGGCTCTGTGAGGCCAGCTGCAGCAGGAGCAAAGACCCAAGAATGGCAAGATGCCACTGTGGCTTGGACCCTAGTTGTCGGAGAGCAGCACAGATGACTGCTCTCAGGAGTGGGGTGCCTCAGCAGCTTGTACTAGGGGAGCTAGTCTAGTTCTAGGAGGCAGGGTGCTGCAGTTATTTGTTCTGGAGGGTGGGTGGCACAGGTCAGCCAAAGTTCTAATTCCCTGGAATGCAAGGCACCGCATGTGGTTGGATCCAGAAAGTGGTGCTACATGGGCCAGTGGAGCTTCTGGATTCTTGTGGTTTGAAGATGGTGACTGTCTGGTGTGTAGCAGGCATGAGGTCCCTGGGAATTGGGGTGTTGCCTCAGCTATGACACCAGAGGCATGACTGCTCTGGTAGTTTGAGGCTCTGTGTGCTTGGGGTAGGGCACACTTCAGGTCAGCCATAAAGGGAGGGTCCACCAGTGACTGGGATGGTGGGGAGGGACTGGCTCTATGGAAGTTTAACCTTAGGGAGTTGGCAATAGCAAGAGCTTGGTCTGGGGATGATGCACTGTCCGTGAGAATAATGCAGCGGAGGCTGAGCCTCAGGGATGGAGGGATGCAAGGGCTACTTGTCTCTGAAGCAGGATGCACTGTAGCAGTGGCTCCAGTTCCAAAATGGCACAGAGCAGTAGCAGCACTGGCCAAACAAGGGGAGACACAGCATCACTGGCTCCTTCTCGGAGGGTAGCTTGGCAAGTAGACTCTGGGGAACTCCCTCAGCTGGGCTCCAAGCCTGTGAGAACTGCAGGTGTCTGCAGCAGTGGTGGGGGCTTCTGGGGTCCTCTTGCTTACCTTTTCTCCACAGAGAGAAGTCCCTCCTGGTGCTGAGCTGATCTCAACTAGAGCAGTAGGTGGCGAAAGCAAGCTGTTCCCTGCCCTTCTCTATGCAGCCATCCTAGATTTCTTGTTCTACAGGATTTCTGCTGCTGCTTTGCTAGTATTTGGTACTCCTTTAGATATGTTGGGCAAAATGTAGTTGTTTATTCATTGTTTTGGGTTATTTTACATGGGAGGAGAGCACTAGGAGCTTCTAGTCAGCCCTCGTGCAGACATCACTGTCAATTCCAAATCTTTTGTGTAAGTATTTGATGATTTAATGCAATGGGATCATGTAATTATTAAATATAAGTTTGTGAAAATGAGCACTATGATTTTTGTTTATCACTCAATTGTTCTTTTTATCTTCTATGGATAATCAAGACTGGCTAAGAGATAGGTTCATCTCTCCTCTTATTTCCCTAAACTGTCCCCCTCTGATTAACTCAATAATCCTTACATCTCCCTATAATAACCTACCATCTGCTTCTAGTTTTAGCCTCTTTCTAAAAGTAAGTTGAAAATAATATCTGATTTCTCATACTTTTATTGTTGATAATAGATGAGTATGCCACCTTTTTTGTGAGAATAAGACATTGTGCTGAGCATGGTTTGTAAAAAGGTATGACAAATTCTCTCTACATAAGTGATTTGCAGTTTAATTAAAGAGAAGGGATGACTATAACAGTGGAACAGAATAAGTGACAAGTTGTACAGAGCCTTCTTCCCAACATGACATTCTCCATGTGGAGTCTGAGGGTTCGGATAAGGTGAGACTTAGATGTGCTTTGCAGGAAGGATATAAATACACCACTAATAGGTGTGATAGTACTTTAATAGTAATGACAATAATGATAGCTAGCATTGATTATTTTCTATGCAAGGCATTATATTAAGCATTCTGTGACAATTATCCTATTAAATCTTCATCACATCTCTATGGTTTAAAATGAACTTTCATTATTACCCCCATTTTAGAGAGGAAAATATTGAGAGTTAGAGATGTATATAACCTTCCCATGATTACTTAGCTAATAAGTGGTGAAGATGAAACAGATATAAGCCCAAGACAGTATGACCTCTAGATCTGTCTCAGTTGTAGGCAGGAGGACCTGCAAAGATAAATATGTCTTATTTGGATCTACTTACCATAATTTAGAATTGTTAGCTTTTAAATTATGCTCAAATTAGTGAGCCAATTTCCCTGGATTTCAGTATGATGGCTTTAAAATCAAGGAACTCTATATTTTGGTTTACTTAATGGGCTGATAAACCGCCAGGATTGTGAATTCATTGTTAAACATTAGCCTGGAAGTGAAAGATAAGAATGCACATGCTTTGTCTACAGATGGAGCAAGTTGTCATTCAAAGCTGCAAAATATAGCTAAGGAGTTTAAGAACTGAGGGGAACATAAGTTCAAGACTCAAGAGGAGAACATGAGACCAGACAAAATGCCAATTAATGGAATTAAACTGAAAAGATTTAAAATGAGGTCCCCTCAGGAGACAATGTAAAAGAAAAGGAAGTTAATTCAATAAGGACAGAAGGATAAGTGAGCTAACTGTGAGAGGATCAGAATATTTAAAGTTGATAGTGTCTTAAGAATTAAAGAACATTGGCTTGTGACTGCTGTGAATTTATTATGCCCCAGTAGTTCAGTCTAATTTGGTCCCCTTCATCCTCTGAACAAATATGCTCATCCTGAGATTCCAGGACAAAAGAAATAATCCTTTTCGTTGCAGTCAAGCTATAAAAGTGATTATGATCAGCAGCCATTCACAGAGGAATAAATAAAGGACCCATCCATCATGCTAGTAAAGTTTTCTGTCCATCTGCCATGTTGCATTTCAAAGACTGTTTCACCACATTTTGGTTGTTTTCAAAGATGTACTTTAAAAAAAATAAATTTTATATTTGGAAACTCCCCAGGACACTAAGAGTTTAAGTGTACAAATATAATTTATCTTGTGCTAAGCAGGTTTTAAAGTGCCAAAGGCATGGTAGGGGGTAGATAATAGGGTGCAATAAAGTGGATCTGTATGTCTCTGTAGCAAATAACTGAAAATATGAATTTAAGAAATTCTGTTATGGGATATATTCTCTAGAAAAGCAGTTGTGCAGTGCCGTTATTCAACCATGTCTCAACAAATGTGCCTCTAAAGACCAACATCTAAAGACCACAGCAGGGAGTGGGTTTAAAATGTTACACCAAGGCATCCAATCCTCTTAACCCAACTTTGGCAAATGCAAATGGGGAGGGACAGCATTTCCAAAGACATACAATCAGTAGCAGCAAATAATATCTGAGGACACAGGTATATAAACTTGAGGAACCATTTATGGGCTAGAATGGTTTTTGCCAATTGGTGTCAATAAGGCCGAAACAAGCACCATCATATTATGGAGCTTTCTCATGTGATATTTATATCTGGAGACTAGCATGCTTTATCATTGTTCTGTAGCTAATAAGTCACATTGTTTTATCTTTTATGAAACCCTGGTTTACACAGATTTTATCATCTGAAAAATTCATTATAAAACCATTACAACTTAGAGTATTTGGGGTGGATTTTTTTTGGGGTGTGTGTGAATGACCTAGATTATTTAGCAAATCAATTCTACATTTAAAATATTTGGGTGGGGGCGTTCTGCTTCACTAAACCTATGTATATGTACTATGTAACTAAAATTAGTTTCTTAAAGGTAGCAACAAAAAATGTTGTTAGTTCATAATGAAGTATAGTAGTGCTTTACACTCTGTAGTAATTCTCTGTTGTAAAGCATTTCTTAACATATTAGGTTCAAACTGGGGTTGGAGGATGGAGATTCTGCTCTATTAAACAGGCATTCCTGCCTCCCCTGTTTTTTGCTAGCTGTATTTTAAGAAACTCAACATTCAGCTTACTGGTGCAAATATGTCATGACAGAATTTCTGCCACCCATCCATGCTAATGAATTGTAGCACTTAACTAAGAATAAAAAAGGATACTAGTGGGGCTCCTGGAATTCCTAAGAGCTTCTTAAAGAGGTCCTTCGCAGGACACAGTAAGTCTGACATTGCCATAGATTTGCTGTCCTAGAACTTTTTTTTTTTTTTTTTTTTTTTGAGACGGAGTTTCGCTCTGTCGCCCAGGCTGGAGTGCAGTGGCGTGATCTCGGCTCACTGCAAGCTCCGCCTCCCGGGTTCACGCCATTCCCCTGCCTCAGCCTCCCGCGTAGCTGGGACTACAGGCGCCCACCACCACGCCCGGCTAATTTTTTTTTGTATTTTTAGTAGAGACGGGGTTTCACCGTGTTAGCCAGGATGGTCTCGATCTCCTGACCTCGTGATCCACCCGTCTCGGCCTCCCAAAGTGCTGGGATTACAGGCGTGAGCCACCGCGCCCGGCCCCTGTCCTAGAACTTTTAATATACTTTTAATAAAAGCTTAGAAATGTATACTCCAAAGGCCAGGGATGAGAAGTTATAGGTAAACTTCAATAAACTATACCTGAAATTTGAATACACATTTGAAACACATTTATGTTTGACATACTGCTCACTACTTTATGGCACAATCCATAGGTGAATGTCACTTTTCATGTTAGTTAATATTTGTTCCATTTCATGGGTGGCACCAGACTAAGAATAGGGCCTTTTTATAATATTGATCTATGGCAACATTTAGTCCAACACTTCTCTGCAATTCAGTGTCACGGTGGAAATGGAAGCTGCAGAAATTGATAATTAAAATACTCTTTATATTTGTGGAGGATAGATAGTAGGTACGAAAGAAAAAAAAGTTAGAAAACATGATTCTTAAGAAGCCATAATACACAGATGTGGTACCCTATGCTAAGTGCCAACAGAGAAGGAGATCGGGAGGGAACTAACAATTTTATGAAGGCTTTAGACTTTAACTCAATGATCTTTTCATGGGGTGGGCTAGAATGTACCAGGAACCTTATAGATTTTAGGTAATTTAATTCCTAGTACAAATAATAGAAGTTCTAAAAGTTAGTGTTGAGAAGATCGAACATTATTGTGGGTTTGATTATTTGGAGAAGGTTTCATGGGGTAGCTGACCCTACAAATAGGTCTTATGAGACAAGACAGAATTAATTGATGTTGGAAAAATGTGTGTGGTGGTTGTAGGGGAAGAAGTCATTTGAGATAGATTGATATAAGTAAGGCTAGGTGGGAGGAATTGGTGAACAGTATTTGGGGAATAAGGATTGTGACAGTTTTACTGTGCTTATCATTTGTCATTCCAGTGGCATTTCATTGATCCAAAGCCTATCAATAATTCATCTGACTTGTTTACTTTGATAGCCCCAGACACACCTAAAGAGAGATCCTTTCATTTTTTTGAGATTCATGGAATCCAACAAATGATCATTCAGCAGAGCTATGGCAACTCCTTGTTCTGCAAATTGCAAATGTTGTAGCAAAGATGTTTGGCCATTGTATGGTCAGTATTGAAAGGTCAATGTTCTCTTTTTATATTTAGAGCAACCAAGGCTGCTTTAATTCCAGAGAAGGTGTCTAACTTATATTGTACCATGATTTGTTTAGTCAGCAAGAAATTATCTTCTAATATAATTCTGAGATTGCTGACTATGAAATCTATTCAACTGTAAAGAAGCTACTGCTCCTTCAGCCAAAGAGAATTATGTGCCATCCAATCACGTGCTTGAGAAAGTCGCTGATCTCCCTATGAAGCACTCTTGAGCACCATGAGTGACGTGATCAAGCCAGGAGGAAAAGAAAGATCACTCTATAAAAAATAGGTGTCAGAAAATTCAGACAAAGGGATCTGCAGCTTTTGTTTCTTCTTTTTTTGTTGTTGGAAATGAGGCCAGCACATGGCTGCATGGCATTGTTAAAGTGATGTAGAAGACCTGACCTTTTCCAGCTTAGCACTGCAAATCCAGAATTTACAAATGCACCCTAAGTTTCTCCAGATTTTCTTGTCTTCTGGACAAGAAAATTATTGTGGGTTTGATTATTTGGAGAAAATAAAATACTCTAGTCCCTAATTCAGAAGATATCCTGGGCCCTTTCCTAAGAAATGTTAAGAATGCTTAGGGAGTACCTAGTGCAAACTGGGTGTCACTTGTCACCTCTCCCTCCAGACTGCCATCCCGGCATCTTCTTTCATTTCTTCCTGCTGTCTCCTGACTGCTTCTTGTATTGCATTACTTTCCTTGGTCTGCTTTGCCCCACCTGCAGAGCTCCAGCTTACATTTCCCTAAACCCCACTGAATTTAGACTTTTGTGTTCAAAAAGCTTTAGAAGTGACTTGAGACTATCATAAGAGAATTAACAAAAAAGCACAACTCAGAATTCAGCTGCTCCTAGAGGGCCCCTAAACCACTGTCTGTCAAAGATGGAGAGATGTCATGCTAGCTGTCTCTCTCTTGGGCCTCAGCATATTGGCACATTGCAGAGCCCCTCTCCTGCTTAGGTACACATGGTTTCTCTTTTCTTCTCACTTCTTAGTCTTTAGGCCCACCAGCAAAAACTCCAAATTTTTCACATACCTTAGGAATTTCTGCAGAAATTCAACCCCAATCCTTACCATGAAAGAGACTTCTTTCATTATTTCTAGATAAATTCCTGTTAGTTATTTCCATCTTTTCCTCCATCCAAAGTTTGGGAGCAAACAGCCCTGAAAGTACACCTCTTCTCCCCAGAATGCTGCCTGTACGAGCTGAAGTGCAGAAATACCTATTGGCATCTGTTGTCCAAAAGACCACCAGGATGGCTAAACGGTAGAAAAGAGAGCTTTATTGGTGATAATGGTTTCCAAGCTGGGAAAAGAAAGTCTCCAGTGTGGAACAAAGGTGCTCTCTCTTTGAAAAGGGGAAGGACAGATTGGGTTTTATGCATTACAGTGTCTGTATCATGCATATTCAGCATGTTTGGGGAAAAAGCTACACATATTTATGAGGGGAGCTGAGCACATGCATAACCGGTAAACATACATGTAACATACATCACATGTTCACTTTAGGGCAGGGTTTTAGCATTAAAATGAGGTGCAGTTTGTCTCTTTACATCAAAATGTGAACCGTAAGACACAAAGACAATCTGTGCACACGGCCAGGCACGGTGGCTCATGCCTGAAATTCTAGCACTTTGGGAGGCTGAGGTGGGCGGTTCACTTGAGCTTAGTTCGAGACCAGCCTGGCCAACATGGTGAAACCCTGTCTGTACTAAAAATACAAAAATTAGCAGGGCGTGGTGGCAGGCGCCTGTAATCCCTGCTACTCTGGAGGCTGAGGCAGGAGAATCGCTTGAACCTGGGAGGAGGAGGTTGTAAACCACGCCCCCCCCCCCAAAAAATCTTAGTTTTTATCCTAAAATGACTAACCTAAAAACAAAATGATATATGTATTTGGAAAAGGGCAAAAAATTTTCAATTTTCTCTGTTATTATTACCTATATCATTGGTACTGATTCTTTTCTAAGTTTACTGCTTTCTAACTACATTTGTTACATTTAGTGATGAACATTGTAAAACTTCACATATGGGCATCAAGTCCAATAAATGATGTTATTTTGGTGATCTTGGGAGTAAGAAATCTCCCCCACTCCCTGTTTTTATAGCTGACCTTTTCGGAAAGAAATCCCTTTTGAAAAGTCCCACTTTAATTTGTTATATTTTTCAAACTAGACTGTCACATATGCTCTAATGACACAGTATTTCTTAAAGCCCCAAAATGAAACCAACACCATTTCTGTGATTTTTAACATTACTCATGTGGTCTTATACATTGAGTACAATCTTCATTAATAATGTACTGTTTTGTACATGTTTTCCTTTTAAGGGTGTTTATACCCATCAGGATGGATCTCTTGCTACGCATATCAATAAAAAACATCTTGGAAAATGCTCCATTAGATATTACTTCAATGGAAAAGATCTCCTTGGTCAGAAAGGTTAAATGAAGTTCACAGAGAAGTTCTTTTGTGACTCCTAATATGGGGCTCAGTGGAGTTAAACACTTCTGTTACTTCATGAGAGCATTTAGTTTAGTGCTGAGCTGAAGTGAAGAAGTATGAAGCTTGGAAGATATACTTCTTCATTTATTTTGCATTTGCAGTATCCTCCCACACCTGATAGTAGGAACATCTGGATGCGAGTCTGTTTCTGCCCCAAATCAATGATCTATCATTTCTCTTTTAATGTCTCTAATCCTCGGCACACATTTATGAAAGATGGAGATTATGCTTGTTGATACTTAAAATCCTGTCTAGCTGCAAATCATATATATGATAATGGACTGGTATCCAGCATATATAAATAACTCTTACAACTCAATAACAAAATAAGAGGAGAAGAGGAAGGGCAGAGGGAAGGGGTGGGGTGCACCCAGCTCCTGGAAGGCAAGTATAATCATAGCAACCCTGAACAGGCTGTGACAGGATCCCAGCCCCTTGCTGATCTGTGAGAAATCAAACTTTGGACACAACTAGTCACAAACGCAGCATTTCACGGAGACACAGTGTCACAGTGACAAGGTTCCCGCTATCTGAATACAAATAGTGATGAGGGTAACACTGCTGCTTTGCTGCCAAACAGCATCTGCCATCATTTTTCTTCCATCTCCATTTATAAAAGAAGTACATGCACTAAAAAAAAAAAAAGACAAAGCGTACAGATCTTTATAAACTGAAAATCTCTTCTTTCATCCCCTTCTCTCTACACTCACTTCTGTCTTGAAACTATTGTTAACAGGGAAATTAATCTCATATTGCATAAAGTCACTTATGAAGAAATGGGACTCCAAGGTCATCCATTTTACTATTCTTGCAGAAAAATCATGAAATTTAGGGCTGGGCCTGATGGGATTTGTGTAGTGGTCCTCTCTCCCACCTCCAAAGCTACCACTGCCTCCAGATGCTTTCAAGATGGTGACCTCTCTGCGTTTCCACACCTACAGCAGGAAGAACTGGGAAGAAGCAGACTTCCCCATTCTGTGCTAGGCATGTCTTGCAGAAAACCCAGATATCCAAATAACCAAGGAAAAGTGTGGGAAGGAATGCAAAATCTGTGCCAAACCATTCAGTGTTTGGCTGATGCTCTGGGGTTCACATGCATTTCAAGAAGACTGAAGGGTACCAAAGCTGCAGCAAATTAACTAATTTCTGTCAGATCTGCCTCTTAGTGGCAGAGTATGGCCTGTCCATCCAGGTTCATGATGCAGGTCTATCCTTAAAAGATTACATGCCAAAGTTGGAGGTGAGCAAAAGTACTCCATTCAGAATATGGAAAGAGAGGTTTCTAACTCTGATGGAACACAGCCAGTTGGTCTGCTGGGAAAAGTCACATCTAGCAGTGACATGCTGAACAATCTGGCCCAGACCATATCCTATCACCTAAAGGCCCACATTTGCTCCTTCTGGATGAAAGGAGAGAATGAGAGAGGAGGCGTGTCCATACAGGCATGAGAGGCCTACAGATCCAGATAATACCCTTGCTGATAAGCATATTAAAGACAAGAATTATGGAAACAATGATGCTGGAGCTGGAGCATAGAAGCTTCTAAAGCAGGCTTTAACGATGCCTCATCTAGATCCACCAGAGGATAAGGCTATCACCACACTATATGTTGATGGTCTGGAGGATATCATTACTGAGACCAAGCTAACAAATCATCCCTACCTATGTAGAGAGATCTGGATGATCACTGTACAGAGACAGCAGTGTGCTTTTATTTTTATTTAATTATTTTTATTTTTATTTTATTTTATTTTATTTTTTGAGACAGAGTTTCATTCTTTGTTGCCCAGGCTGGAGTACAGTGGTGTGATCTTGGCTCACTGCAACCTCTGCCTCCCAGGTTCAAGCAATTCTCCCGCCTCAGCCTCCCAAGTAGCTGGGATTACAGGCATGTGCCACCACGCCCAGCTAATTTTGTATTTTTAGTAGAGGTGGGATTTCACCATGTTGGTCAGGCTGGTCTCGAACTCCTGACCTCAGGTTATCTGCCCGCCTAAGCCTCCCAAAGTGCTGGGATTACAGGCATGAGCCACCATGCCTGGCCAGCAGTGTGCTGCTTTTCCACAGGGCAGGCTGCAGAAGTGGCTACTGAGAAGTCCTTTAATAAATTGACTGTCAATGGCTGCAGGCTCAAGGTAAAATGGGGAAGATCACAAGCAGCCAAAGGAAAAGAAAAAAAGGACAGAACCACAGACTCTGGGATCCAGCTAGAGCTCATTCCAGCTCTGCTAGGAGCTCCTTCTCCTGCAGCAGCAGAAGATGCATCTGCCAACTCCTTCCACCTACTCTCAAGCGGCTCTCCAGCTATGGTGAACATTGCCCCACCTCCACCCCCAGTATTTGGGCTACACACATTCTACCCGACTGGACCACCTGCTCATTTCAAGAAGGCTCCAGGATCAATCTACTGTCTCAGGACCACCAGAGGATGGGAGCTCATGCCAGAAAACACAGCACTCCTGGCACGTTATCACTGCTCTGGTTCTCTATGGGAAAAAAGGGGCACTTAAAAATCTCAATCAATGAATCTTGGAATGAATATACTTTTTTGTTTCTTTGTAGTTTCCTTGGCATCTGAATGTGTTCAGATATGTGCAGGTGAGAAATGACAGTCATGCTTTCCTATTGCATATTCAAAGCATCAGTGGACCTCAAATAAGCTGCCATCAAAACATCTGGTTGCTATGATATAGCCTGACTAATAAAACCTACTGCCTGTTCCCCCCACCTCTATGGTCAACAAGGGGCTGGGTGAATTGAACGATCCAACAGAGTTCCCATCCTATGTATACGTTCATTTTGTTTCTTTTTAAGGGGGGACGGGGAATTGATCTGCAGTAAAAAAGCTTTTAAACATTCATAATAATAATAAAATGCGAACCTAATTTTAAAATGGGCAAAGTATCTGAATAGACATTTCTCAAAGAGTATATACAAATGATAAAATATGTATCACTAATAGTGCTCAACATTTTCAGTCACTAGGGAAATGCAAATCCAAATTACAATGAGATACCATTTCACATCCCCTAGGAGGGCTATAATCAAAAAGACAGACAATAGCAAGTGCTGACCAGGATATGGAGAAATTGGAATTCTTGTACGATTGCTAGTGAGAATGTAAATTTGCAGCCAGTTCAGAAACAGTTTTGCAACGTCTCAAAATGTTAAACCTGAAGTTATCTCATGACCCAGCAATTCCATTTCTATGTATATATACCCAAGGGAATGGAAAACACACACCCATACAAATGCTTGGACATGAGTGTTCAGAGCAGCATTATTCTTAATGGCCAAACATGGAAGCAAGTCAATTATTCATATTGATAAGGGGATGAACAAAATGTGATATATCCAGAAAATGTAATCCTATTCATCTATGAAAAGGAATGAAGTACTGATGCGTGTGGCAACATGGATGAACCTTGAAAATACCATGCTAAGTCAAAGAGGCCAGCCACATATCGTATGATTACATTTGAGTAAATCAATTAAGACAGAAATTAGATTAGCCATTGCCTGGGTCTGGGGAGAATAGTAGGAGGGTAGGATTGGGAATGATTGTTAATGAGTATTAAGTTTCTTTTGGGGTGGGTAAAATGTTCTAAAACTGATTTTTTAACTATTGGGTTTTGACAATTCTTTTCATATTCTAGATACAATTCCTATGTCAGATAGATGGTTTGCAAATATTTTCACGCAGTTTGTAGCTTGGCTTTTTATCTGCTTATCAGGGTCTATGTGGAGCAAAAGTTTTTAATTTTGATGAGATTCACTTTATCAATTTTTCAGTTTTTGCTTTTATGGATTATGCTTTTGGTGTCAAGTTTAAGAACTCTTTGACTAGCTTAGTCCTGAAACATTTTCTTATATTTTTTTCTAAAATTACTATAATGTTATGTTTTACATTTGGTATGTTATCCATTTTGAGTTAATTTTTGTATAAGAAGTGAGGTTTAGGTCAAAATTCATTTTCTTTTTGCCTGTCTGTAATAGCCCCAGCATCATTTGTTAAAAAGACTATCCCCCATTGAATTGCTTTTGCACCTTTGTCAAAAATCTAAAATAACTTCAGCATATTGGTATAGGTCTATTTCTGAGTTTTCTTTTCTGATCTGTTGATCAATGTGTGTATGATAGGTGTTGATTTTACTGTAGCTATACATAAGCCTTTTCATCACATAGAGTTATATTTACCACTCTATTCTCTTTTTCCAAAATTATTTTAGCTATTCTAGCTCCAGTGCCTTTATATATAAGTTTTAGACTAAGATTGTTGTGTTGTACCAAAAACCACTGGTTTGAACTTTA
The DNA here is from genome assembly GCF_000001405.40 of Homo sapiens. Taxonomy (NCBI): domain Eukaryota; kingdom Metazoa; phylum Chordata; class Mammalia; order Primates; family Hominidae; genus Homo; species Homo sapiens. The sequence goes on along the minus strand of NC_000018.10, from coordinate 27,417,033 downwards.
ACAGGTGTTTCATTCAACCTGTAGATCAACTTAGGGACAATTGGCATCTTTACTATATTAATTTGTTCAGTCCATTAACTTTGTATGAGTTTCTACTTATTTAGATATTTGATTTCTTTCATCAGCATTTTGTAATTTTTGGAATTCAGATTTTGTATATGTTCTGTTAGACTTATATCAAATATTTTATTTTAGAGCAATTATAAATCATACTATATTTTAAATGTCCAAATGTTCATTGTTAGTTTACAGAAATGCTATTAATTTTTTTAGGATGATCTATCCTTTGCTTTTGATGAACTCATTGGTTCTAAGAGGTATTTTGTAGATTCCTTGGGATTTCCTACATAGACAATCATGTCATCTGCAAATAACAACAGTTTTGTTTCTTCCTTCTCAATACGGATGCCTTTTTCTTTTCTTTTCTCTTTTTTTTCCTTATTGTGCTGTCTACAACTTCCAATACTTTGAATAAGAATGATGAGAGCAGACATTCTTCCATTCTACCTACCTAATTTTAGGGAAAAAACATTCAGTCTTTCACCATTAAGTATGATGTTCACTGCAGGGTTTTTGTATAGGGCTTTTTTCCACTTAAAAATGTTTCCCTCTCTTTCTAGTTTTCTGAGAGCTTTTATCATGAATGAGTGCTGGATTTTGTCAAATGCTTTTTCTGCATCAGTTGATATGATTACATGATTTATGATTTTTTCTTTAGCCTGTTGATATGGTGGATTAGATTAATTGATTTTTTAATGTTAAATCAGCTTTGCATACCTAGAATAAATCCCACTTGGTCTTTGTGTATAATTATTTTTACATACTGCTGGATTTGATTTGCTAATAATTACTTGAGAATCTAAATTCATGAGAGATACTCATCTGTAGCCATCTTTCTTTTTTTTCTTTATTAGTTTTTTAAAACTATCTTTACCTGATTGTCTAATTTTAGTATTAGCAAAATGCTAGCCTCATAAAATGAGTTGGGAAGTGTTTAGTCCTCTTCTATTTCTGGGAGAGAGTGTGTAAAATTTATGTTAATGCCTCTTTAAATGTTTAGCAGAATTATCAAGTGGTGCCACCTGGGCCTGGAAATTTCTTTTAGGAGCTTTTTAATATTAAATTTAATCTTCAATGGTTATAGGGTCATTCATGTTATCAATTTCACTTTGATTGTCTCGGTCTGGTTATTTACACAATGATCATGATATGTACATTTCAGTACAGTTTCTACTCAGTTTCCCTACAGAGGCCTTTTTACCTTTGGATCTGATGCACAATTGTTAGGGTTCCCTAGGTCCAGGAGTCCAGGTACAAAGAAAGCACTTACAGCCGTTGTTTTCTGCTTCTGTGGCCCTCTGATGAACTTTGCACTACTCACTTGTTCGAGTATGAGGTGCATAGGCATGACGGCCATAGTTTTCAAATCTCTGTACCAGTAGGCACAGTTGGCCTTTAGAGCCTTTTTTCTTTCAAATCTTCAGATGTCTCAGAAGTCTTTTTATGCAACTTTAATGTGTTATAACTTCATAGAACATAGTAGACTGGAGAACAAGTAATGGGAGATAGCTCAGGCTGCGCTTTTACATTGGTCTGTAAGGAGCTATTTTCCTTAAATTAAGGGGATCCTAAAAAAATTATAGCAGATCAGCATGAATACGTGCACCAGTGTTCTGACTGCTACAAATAGTGTGTTTTCAAAGACTGTTTGAAATGAATTTGAAGGACATTTTATATCCATGCTCAACTATAGGCATAAATCACATTTAAAAAATAAATATATTAAAATTTTTTCTCTACTATGTCGTTAATAATGCACTTTCAGCTGGTTTAGCCATCAGTGCTAACTGCATTTTTTTGCACAAAAAAATAGCAACTTTTTTCAACATGAATTATTTTTAATATAAATCTCAAAAGATTTTTAAAATATACTATTGTAGACCAAGAAAAAAGAATGCATTTCACTAACCCTCTTGTATCTAATACATAAGAATGTCCAAAATGGTGACTCTGCCATAAAAAAGACTAAAAATATGTACCTGTGGAAAATATGATTGCAGAGACTGAAAATCATAGTAACACACCAGTTTCCAACAGGTTCATGGGCATTCTCTACTCTGCATATGTATTAGGCTGACCCCACAGCACACTGTTTGGCCACCTGCAGTGTCTCCAGCTCTGGTTCTTTATCTTGCCACAGAATGTAAGGAATCAGATCTATGAAGACAGAATTTCAAAAAAAAGATATTGCATATAATATCTTTGTGAGTTGCAAATGATTAAGAAAACGTGAAGTATTCCCTCTTTAAGAGATATTTACATTTTAAGACAAAGTGTCTATTTGGTATAAACAAAACAAAATAAAAGAATATACTTTTGACATTTTGAACATCAGAGAGCAGGGTAAGTAGGTCACTGTTTAAGCAAAGGGACCCTCCAGTGGGTTTGAAATGATATGTATGACTTCCCCCACACAAGGCCAGCCCTGACTCTTCACCATTATGAGTGGACTAATCTTTTTTGCACCAGCGATCCTGGGAAATATATTACCTTACTAAAATCAAAACACCAAACTACATAGAATTTAATCCACTGTGATAGTGAAGAATCATCATTAGCATTTAGGCAAACAACTAGTTTTTGCTTACCGTTAGAATGGTTTGAAACTGCTTATGGTGAGGATAGTTCAATTTTATCTGTTTTGTCGGTATGTAACAAAGAGCTAAGAAAATTGTTTTGTTCTACTCTGCAGGCTATGTCCTTTGCCCATGGTTTGAAGTAAGACTTCCTCCTTTGGCATTGTTAGAAATTATATTCAGAATAGGGGACAAACTACTCAGGCTCTCTTTCTATGTCAGAGTTTCACCATCTGAAAAAAGCAGCATTCAAACGATTTTAATGGGCCCTCAATTTCCCAACAGTCAGCCCTCTAAAAAGTCAGGATTCATTCGTTCCTTGGGGGTTTTCATGGCTTTTGGCCATGGATCTGGCTCCTAGGAACTTTTCCAACATGATTCATGGTGTTTAGTTATGCAGCTGTCATAACTGGGTGATTCCTTTCTCCAGGCGCACGTATAACTCCCATTACTGTCACTGAGGCTAAAGCTCATATTTCAAGGGAATCTGAAACTTGTCAAGGGTGAAAGGACTTTCTGGTTTTTCCTGCTTTGATTTAGGCCTTGTCTGGTAATTTTAATACCTCTGATGGTTTTTCGTTTCTTCCAATTTGTTAATATGTTATAGAAAATTAACTGTCTGGAAAACAAAGCAAGCAGGAGTTTCTCTCTCTTTCTCTGGAAAACAAAGCAAGCAGGAGTTTTTCTTTCTTTCTCTCTGTCTCTCTCTCTCTGTGTCTCTCTCTCTCTCTCTCCCTCTCTTCCTCCCTCTTTCTCTTTCTCTTTCTTCCTGTCTGTCAGAGCATTGAATTTTTTTGAGTTAATTTCTTTCCCATTGTTCTTTAGGTCAGCATCTTCACTATTTCTTAGTTCTGTTCTTCATTCTAGACTCTCACTCCTAGAGAAAACATTTCTATGATCTTCAGTTTATTCTGTCCAATTTATTTTTAAATGACTCAATTCTGTCTGTTGATATAACACAAAATTCTTAACTTAAACCTTTAGAGAGGCAATCTATTTTATTTAGTTAGTTTATATTAGCCTCAGAACTATCAGGTAAAGGTTCAAAAAAAGTTTGTCTCAATGTCATAAAAATTTTATCTGGACTCAAAAATTAAACTGTAATTTTGACATCATTAGGTTCTCATACCTTGTGAAGTCACAACTTTAAATTTAAAACATAGTCAAAAATATAAATTCTCTACTTTTCCAAGTCTCTTAGCTTTTAACTAAAGACTTGAAAGTCACTGGAGGCTGGCTTCTTAACCCAACTTCTATGGAATCTATATGACTTCATGGATAAACTTCAGAAGATTTGGAGAATTTCATAAAATTGCTCATTTTTGTTTTTATGAATTCTTCCAGGGAGAAGATTCAAACCTTTCAAATGAATTCATAACCTTAAAAAAATCTATTAACCATCCATTAGAAATGCATTCCAACTTCCTTATGAAGATAGCCTCAATTCCAGTTTTCCTGAAAAGTAAATGACACCAAAAGAAAGTGATGAATTTTAAAAGTTCTCTCCATCCTACCTCATGCTTTTGCCTCCTGGTGAGCTACCTCTATACCCTTTAATAGAGACCCAGAAATTACCACTTCCCCCAACTATTAGTTCCTGGTTAATAGGATTCATTGGAATGTCTCCTCATGTCAGGATACCAAGGCTGTAACCCCTTGTTCCTCTCTGCCAAATGACTAGAGGTTCAGAAAATTCAGCGAGGCATGGCCCATCTCTGACCTATAACAAGGCAATCAGAGTTTACTCAATTCAGTTTACTCTGAGATGCCTTATTATAGTTTCAATATTATGCATTTAGGCAAAATAGGGTTATCTAAATACAACTTGAGCTGTGGGTGAACATAAAATTTTATATAGTGAAACTAAATATTATGAATTATAGTTTTTTTATTTTCCAAAAACTAATTACATCCATATCTCTGTCAGTTATGATCTGGTAATTTAAATTTGGGGGTCCACACTGATGGTCAGTAACAGTTCATTAGGCAGCCTGACTAGGCTAGTGCCTCAAGACACTGCTGATTTTCTAGGTTTTCAAATGTTTCATTTGCTCTGTTATTTATGTTGCAGAAAATTGGCATACTCTTTGCAATTCACTTGTTGTTTAATTAATCCCTTATGAAGTCTGTTTCTCTTGTGAATTCTCTCTCCTTCATACTTTCCATACATTTTTTTCTTGCTCTCTACAAACTGGCCATTGTTTCCTCTAATATTTGCTCTCTGCTTCTGGGCCCCAGGCCTTCAGAAGGGCTTTCAGTTGCTGGCTCTCTTTGTTTGTGTCCTTCCCAAGGAACCACTGACTTCATACTTTTGAGGTTGTTATCATTCACATTAGGTATTACTCACCGTAGTTCATGATTTTCCATTTTATTTGTAACTGCTGATTGGTTCTTCCTGGTAGGACAAACTATTTCTGTATTTCTTGCTTCTTTTAAGCACTCTGAGATCTGCAGAGCTATTATATCCTTCGAAGATATCTACCATGCCTTCCAGTTCCTGTTTGTATGTGTTTGTGTATGTTTAGTCAATTCAACAGACACTAATGTGTTAGGTATTGTGCAAGCTTCAAAAGATAGAAACTTATGTGTGTGATATAGTTTGAATCTGTGTCCCCACCCAAATCTCATGTAGAATTGTAATCCCCAGTGTTGGAGGAGGGGCCTGGTAGGAGGTGACTGAATCATGGGGGTGGATTTGTCCCTTGCTGTTCTCGTGATAGCGAGTGAGTTCTCATGAGATCTGGTTGTTTAAAAGTGTGTAGCACCTCTCCCTTTACTCTCTTCCTCCTCCTTCAGCCCTGTAAGAAGTGCCTGCTTCCCTTTCCGCCATGATTGAAAGTTTCCTGAGGCCTCCCCAGCCATGCTTCCTGTACAGCCTGCAGAACCATGAGCCAATTACACCTCCTTTCTTTATAAATTACCCAATCCCAGTCTCAGATATTTCTATATAGCAGTGCAAGAATGGACTAATACAATGTGTCATGGTTCCTGCCCTCAAAAGAGCTTACCATTTAACTGGAGAATAACTTTGCCCTTAACCTTTTACTGAACAAGGCATTTAGATTACATTTACACCTTCCAGCATTAGCTAATCACTTTATTTTTTTTTTCAGAGTTTTGACACTGCTTATGTTTAGTATGCCACCTGGAATTACCATCCATTATGCATGCTATGGAAGAACTTTCTTTTTTCTTCTATTTTGCATTTTTATAGCTACAACTCTGGACATCTGTTTTCATTCCTGTTGTCTCCTCGGGGACTTATTCTTCCTGGCTTTCTTATTTTGTCAGAATCCTGCAAGGCATTCCTCAATCCTTTTTACCTTTTCACCATTTCTTCCATCAAAGACACCAGCTTGCATTTATAGCATGTTACATTGATGAGAGCCTCAGAGAGAAAAACAAGCATAAAGCTGAGACTGCACGTTACTGCCGTCATTCTGTTCCCCTCTGCTCATACCTCCTGGGAAAAAAGGAGGGACACAGTTCTTTGTAACTCCCTCAGAAATTTTTCCTATAAATGCTTGAAGCAAACTGCCTTTTGGCAGTGCCTGTTTATCTCTGGGCACCTGGGACCACTCTCTTGAAATCAGTCTGGACACTAGCCTCTATTTCTTCCCATTGAGGCTTTATTATTCTGCTAAAATGATAGCCTGAATTGCTAATTTATATCCTAGGTGTCTGTCTTCTTCAGATACCAAATAGACAAGGAGCTTTTGCTCAAATATTCGAGAAACATTTGTTCACCTACTGAATTAGAGTTCTCTAAAGGGACAGAACTAATGGGATAGATGAATTTGTGAAGGGGAATTTATTAGGAGAATTAACTCACCCAATCACAAGGTGAAGTCCCACAATAGGGCATCTGCAAGCTGAGAAGCCAGGAAGATAGTCCATGTCCCAAAACCTCAAAAGTAGGGAAGCCGATAGTGCAGCCTTCAGTCTGTGGCCAAAGGCCCAAGAGCCCCTGGCAAATCACTGGGGTAAGTCCAAGGGTCCAACAGCTGAAGAACTTAGAGTCTGACGTTCGAGAGCAGGAAGCATTGAGAATGGGAGAAAGATGGAGGCCAGAAGATTCAGTCAGTCTAGTCCTTCCATGTTCTTCTGCCCGCTTTTATCCTAGCCATGCTGGGATAATGAGAAGCATTCATCCATGTTGTCACAAGGGTTAAATAAACTGTAAGATGGAATGTAAAGCACTTCACTTAAAATATAGTAGATGTTCTATAAAATATTTGTTGAATGAACACATGAACAAATGTCATGAACAACAGCCTGGGGAGCCTATAACATATGGCAGTGTTTTGGGTATCATAATAATATGGGTTTGAATCACAGCTCTCCCATTCACTACCTTTGTGATCACAGGTGAACAACTTTTCTGTTCTTCAAATTCCTTCTCTATGAAGTGGGACAATAAAACTTACTCCACAGATATGTCAGAAGAATAGATAGAATGAGATAATGTACATAAATCAGTTATCATAATACATAGAATACAAGGAGTATTCAACAAATAATGGTTTTGATATCATGTAGATTTTCCTAAGATTTTAAAATGTTTAAAGTAGTAAAATCTTTCAACTGGAAACCCAGGAACTCATTGTCTGTCTTCCATTGCAACAGTTCTCCAGAATATACTAGGCTAAAAGATAGTAAAGATAGTCGTGTATGTAGAATTCACAATATTTTCAAAGGAAATTGGTTATTTTTAGGATTCACTTTTCATAACACCCCAACATCTAGTACATGTCATCTTACCTTAATATTCATTTACCCCATGGAATTTGTTTGCATTATATATGATGTTCATAATCTTGGTTAGATTTTCAAAAGTAGACATAAATTTTTGAGAAGTTAGTCTCACTTTTTCCAGACATTATAAATTCCAAAATTTATTTATGGCCTTCTTCTGGGCATTTCATATTTTCTTTTCAATTTGGATTCCCTAGTTTGGTATTTATACCAGAGGTGCTACTTTCCATTTAAATTATTTCTGTAAGCACTAGGACTCCATGTGGATCTATTATATTTCACCAACATTTCAAATCCCTCATGTGAGCCCCATGGGTAGAGGGTGCTGTGTTATTTACTGATAAAACCCTAGGCCCAGAACAATGCCAGACATGTCATAGATGGCTAAAAATATGTTTGTTGAATTAAAGAATGAACGTGTTTACAGAAAAGGAAAATGCATAAGCTCCCAGTTTTCTTTTTTAGCGCTTTGCAATTATATAATACATATTTATGAACTATAGAGGTTTTATTATACTTTTATTAAGCATTTCTAGTAATTCTTTACTAAATAATTTGCATATGTAGTTAAGTTATTTAAATAACAATAGTCTGGACCATTGCTTTTCCTTAGCTACCTCTTTTTCTGTTTCCTGTTATCTGCTTGTCTAGAGCATTCAAGAGTTTGCATAGCCTTTTTCCTAAAATATAAAGAATTTCATTAGGAAATAAATCATTAGAATATAATCCATTAATTTTTTGAGTTGTATTACTAGGGATATGATAAAATGAATTTGTGCTTTTAGTAGAGAAGGAACTCTATTCCTATTAACATCCTCACCATCAGAAAAGCACAGCGTTTGTTAGAAAATCCCATTCGAAAATAACAGGTAATATTAGTGAAGATTTAAAAAATGTATTTTATTGATGTGGTGGTTAATTTTATATGCCCACTTGACTGGATGCCCAGATAGTTGGTAAAATATTATGCATTATTTCTGGGTATGTCTGAGGATATTTCTGGAAGGGATTAGTATTTGAATCAGCATACTGAGTAAAGAAAATTCACCACTACTGATACAGGTGGACATCATATAATCTGCTGAGGACCTGTATAGAACAAAAACCAACCTTTAGAAAAATGGTTTTCTCTCTCTCTGTCTTCTTGAACTGGGACATCCATCCTCTCCTGCCATGGGACACTGAAGCTCCACCCACCATATCTATCAAAGCAGAATATCGGGATGGGAGATGGGTAAAGGGAGCTGTGGAATCAGTGTTATCATTTGTTTTCACTTAAAAGCTGAAATTCAGTGTGCTTTAAAATTTTTACATATAGCAAAATGCACTGATCTTTACTGTGTAACTCAGTGAGTGCTGACAAATGTTTACAAATGGTTTTTCTATTTTGTGTAGCCAGTCATTTTAATTGTAATTGTTTTTTCCCTAACCTGTAGATTGCATTTTTATATTTTCTTTATAGTGTCTTTTGATACACAGATTTTTTTGAATTTTAAAGAAATTATTTTTCTGGTTATTTTTCCTTTTATGGTTAGAGACTTTTGTGCCTTATCTAAAAATCTTTGTTTACCTCAAGGTTGCAAGGATATTCTACATTTTGTGCCAGAAACTTGCCATTTTAGCTTTAGGATGGAGATATGAGATTCATCTAAAACTTTGCAATGTCAAGGGTGGGCAAAAACTACAGCCTGCCGACAAAGTCTACCCCATCACCTTTTTTTAAAAAAATAAAGTTTTATCGAAACTGTTTTACTCAGGTAGTTACATAATGGCAGCTTTTGCCCTATAATGACAGAGTTCAATGGTTGTAATAACTGAGATCATACAGGTAAAAATATTTACTTCGCTAACCTTGCAGAAAATGGTTGCCAACCCCTGGTATACGATATGAGAAAGAGATCAAGTTTACTTATTCATACATTTACTTTTCCACAGAAGTATTTCATAACCATTTATTGAAAAGGCTGTATTTTCTTCACTGAACTGCTCTGAAACATTTGCTGAAAATCAGCTGGGTCTATGTCTGTACTCCACTTTGTCCTATTAATCTATTTGCCCTTACACACTGTACTTCAATTTATAGTACCTCTTGATATTAAGTAGTATAAATACTCCAATTTAGATGACCTTTTTCAAGATCGTATTGGCTATTTGAATCTTTGTTATTCCATGTAAAATTTAGAATCAGATTTAGAATTCCTTTGAAGTTAGAATTGCGTGAGTTTATAGATTGCTTTGAAGAAAATGTACGTCTCAACAATATTGTGTTTATCCATCAATGTACATGATATATCACTGCATGTATTTAGGAAGCATTAAATATTTTACTATTTAGTGGTAAAATATTTAGCTGTACATTTTTCATAGATGGCCTTTATCAGATTGACAAATTGACCTCCCATCTTAATTTCGCTCTCTTTTCAGGAATAAATATTGAATTTTGTTCAATGCTTTTCCTATATCTATTGAAGTGATTATAAGACATTTTTTCCTTTTTCTATTAGCACAATGAATTGTATTGATTCACATTTGAATTAACAAACTAGTTTTGCATTCCTATGAAAAAGTTTAAATATAAGTTGTTTTAGATATTTTAGGGTTCATTTATGAATACTTTGTTAATAATTTTTGAGTAACATTGGTCTGAGGATTTTTGAGTAATATTGGGCTCATGAGTAATACTGGTCTGCAATTATGATGACCTCATAAAATGAGTTGGGAAGTGCTTCCTCCCTCCATCTCTGTTTTCTGAAAGATTTTTGTACATTAGTATTATTTCTGCAGTAAATGGTTGAAAGAATTCACCAGTAAAATCATTAAGGCCTGTAGTTTTTTTTCAAGGTTTTTTTCTATAATATATAAAAAGTTTTTAGCTTTCCTTTTCTTTTGCGTCAAATTTGATAACCTATGGTTCTGAATTGTGGTTCTAAGTTGTCAAATGTATTGGTGTAAAGTGTTTTATTGTTTTAATATCTATAGGCTCTTTACTAACATTTACATTAATTAGTGTTTCTCATTTCTTCTTGATCATCTTGCAAAAAGTTTGTTAATTTGTTAATCTGTTCAAAATATCCAGTTTTGACTTTAATTTTTTTTTTAGTTTTTTTTCTTTTTTATTTCTGCCCTTCCCTTTATTATTAACTTTTCTTGACTTTGGATTGTATTACTCTTCTTCTTCTAGATTCTTCACGTGGAAACTTAGATTTTTGTTTTCAATCAATTTTCTTTCTATAATATATGCATTTAACACAAGTGTCCCTTTAAGCACTGTGTTACTGGATCCTGAAAATTTAGCCATGCTGTCTTAATATATGTATGTGTGTGTGTGTGTGTCTGTGTGTCTGTGTGTGTGTGTTGATATATGTATGTTTTTTATATATACATATACATATACATATACATAAAATCCTAATATTATTATACTTGGTTTTCTCTGATGTGTTTTTAGATATATTCCTTTATGTAATTTTGAGTGCTGTTCAGGAATTACAATATGCATTCTTCTCATTGTCTACTTAAAATTAATATTATACTAGTTTATGTGAAATGTATGAACCTCATAATAGGCTAACTCCATCTATTTCCTATCCTTTGTGCTATCATTCTTATATATTTTATTTTTATATACACTGTAGATCTCACAATAAATATTAATTTTTTAAAATAGTCTTTTAATTTTTAAATAAAGATAGTTCTTTTTATTTACTCACATATTAACCACTTCTGGGGTGCTCTAAATTCTTTTTTAATTATAAATTTCTATGTAATAATATTTGACTTCAGCTTCAAGAATTCCCTTTATCATTTCTTGTTAGTGCAGATATGCTGGGAACAAATTTTCCCAGCTATTATTTAACGTGTCTTCATTTCACTATCATTATTGAAGGAGAGAGTTTACAGTATCTTTTTTCACCACTGTAAATATGGCATTTCATAGACTCCTGGCTGCCATTATTTCTAATAGTAGCTAGCCATCATTCATATCATTGTTCATTTGCATATATGTTTTTATTTCTGACCACTTTTAAAATTTGTGCTTATCTTTTGTATTTAGCAGTGTAACTATTACATGCCTAGATGTGGTGTTCTTTGTTTGCTGAGCATGCAGCTGAGATCCAGAAAGGCTATGTAATGAGAATAAGGACTTATACCTTAACCATGACTTAGGATAAAGAAAATAAAACACTATATTCCTATTTTAAGACAAAGCTTAACAGATACAATAGGATATACTAGCAATTTAACCAGCTGCCAGAACAAAATTCAGCACCTTTCTAGCCAGCCTAGACCACTAACCTCTCCCAGACATTCATGGCCTCTGGGATTTCTGTACAGCAATTGGGCCTGCAGCATCTGCTCTCTGCTGGGCCTGACAATCTCCCCTCTGCACATGCAGAGCAGCTTTTGGCTAGGGTGTTGCAGGGAAACTGTGCCATTTTCTGGGACAACCATCTACATGACTCCCTCTTCTCTTGCATCCTGCTCCACAAGCCCGAATTGCTTCAGCAATCCTAAGCTGCATTCTCTGTCTCCCATCCTAAGCCCGGTGGCTCAGAGAGGCACCTGACCTCTACTCACATTCCATTTTCCTGTTCTTAGATTGGGAAAGTACTACCAGGCAAAACCTGGGGCAAAATGAGTCATATCTCTTAAATTTTCATCCTCTCTAATATCACAGTCCTCTGACTCTGATTGTCTAATGTATGAAAACAATTGCCTTGTATTTTGTTCAATTTTATACTTCTTTACAACTTACTTAGGGTAAGTTCAATACCAGTTGTTGAATTATGGCCAGAAATAGAAGCTCTTTTTTGTTGGACTCCTCAGGTGATTTGGAATGTGTAGCTAAGATACAGAACCCCCATGTTACAGCTCCTGAATGGCGGACAGGCAAGGCTACTAACACACTTGTCAGCTGGGAACTCCCAGATTGGAGACCAGGGCAGGAAGAAAGTTTACCAGAGAGGAGATTCCAATAGAACAGTACCCAGTTTTTCCTTCCTAGAAGTCTTTTTTCAGAAGACAAATTCCTGAGACAGCGTAGTACAGTACATACTATTTCAGAGTAAATAGCTTAAATTTTAGTTCCAGCACAGCCAATAGCTATTGGATGTACATTGTTTGGCTTGTTTTTCTTCATGCACAGAGAATTGGATATAGAATGCTTACATTTTCTTCTATCATCTAGAGTCTATAATGATTTCTATAACCACGTGACACAGAGGAAGGCATTACAAATCAGCTATCATGAAAAGAAAAAAAAAACCTCATGGAATGGACTCATGTCTTTAAAAAAAGAGATTAAGTGTAAGTTAAATGGGTCTATAAGAGGCTACAGAAGCTTTAATATATTGTCAAGAACTCTTTGCTAAATTTCAAGGTTTTCCAAAGCAGGACACATGCTGAATCCCAAAGGCCTATTTTCTGCTCTCAAATCTGCTCTATTGTTATGAGAACCAGTGAATCCAGTTTTATTTGATTATAGCCAAGTGAAACCATGGGCAATGAAGAAAAGGGGCATGCACAAAATGACTGTTAAACTTTAAACAAATTAATTTAGTTTGAAAGTGCGCACAGTAGAAGACTTACACTTTGTCTGCATGCATACACTCACGTGCTTTCTTACCGAGTGTGCATGTTAAAATAATAACCTTTTCTTTTTTTCTTCTGGTTTCTATTTCTCGTCACATATGGGCTGATCATTGAATCCCTCTCATAAGCATTAGAACTGGTTCTTGGGCTGAATTTTCTGAGAGGTATAATTTATTTCCAAGGAGAGAATAGCCTAGAAACTCTAGCTAGGTAAAATTTTTGGTGCATGTTGAACTGTAAAACTAAGACATATTTGTCTTGTAAGGCAAGACTTTGACGACAAGACTAAAATTCTAACAGAAAGTTTAAGCTGGGGTTCTGTGCATCCTTGTCTCTTAAATATCCTGATTTCCAGCCTCCCTCTTATAATAGCATAAATCACAGACTTCCCATCTTCTTCAGTCCTGCTTAGACTCTGATTTTGCTTTTGCTCATATTGTGTTTCCTACATCAGTAAGAAACTCATTCACAATGATCCAGACAAATTCAGTTGGGTTTTCATGGCTTTTGAGAATAAAAGCAAGACAACACAAAAGGAAATATTTATGGAAATTCATTGTGAGACCCATCCCAGGCTGTCTGTAGAAAGAGCACTTTGTGTATAAGTAGGGTGAAGGGGTCTAAATGTGGCATAACCTTGGTAAACTCACACACTTTTAAAAAAAGGCATAGGTGTTAGGGTTAATGACAATTTCACATCAATATCTGGCAGCATGCTATTTACAATAATGACATATTATAAGAACCTGTATTTTAATTACAAGAAATAAAAATTGATGTCAGCAACAAGTAGAAGCAAATTATGCTCTAATGATTTTCTAATAAAGTAATCTGCTCATACATCACAGGGAATACAAGCAAAAACCTGTTAATTTTGAGCCCAAGTAATTATTTTTTAACCTTTAAATATTAAGCAACTTGTATGAGGCTTCTCAAGGAGTACAAACCAATGGTTTCTTTCCCAAGAAGTTTTTGGGGAAGGTGAAAAGGTCAAATGTGGAATTTCAGAGATAATTAAATGCACTTAAAATACAAATGTTTACCTGGAAGGGACAGGTTAAGTCTGTTTTTACCCTGTGCCTAAACCAGTTTTTTTACCTGAGGCCTATGTGATAAATTAAGAGACCTGTGCAGATTCCTAAAATTCCAATATTTAAACAAGAAGAAGAGAACACACAGCAGAATCTGTAGAACTTTCACAAAATCTACCCCACCCCATCCTCAACTACAAGCTAATTTAATCCCAGAGAAGGTAAATAGGAGGATTAAATCTAACGATACATATAAAAGTGCTTTGGCAATTACAGAGTAGTATATAAGTAGAAGTTATTCAGACACTTTTGACTGGAAAAGAGAAACTGTTTTCAATACTTAATTACATTTCCCGCTGTATTTCTAAAAGTAAGCCATCTTGCAATTTTATATTAAGAAATAGTGAATGATTGTATTGGCATACAGGCAGTAGCATAGAAATTATGTTCCTATTCAGTGGACCTCCAATCAAGCAAAACAAATCGACAAATTAAAAACACTAGGGATGAACGTTGTGTCAGTGAAGCCCTTGGCACATGTTTTTCTTCATTATTTTTCTTTGCCTTACGTGGGGCTGCTTCTAGAGTTTATTTTCAAAGGTAAAAAAAAAATGATAAAGGAAGCAAAGCTAACAAGGCAGATGGCTTGTCAAATTAGAAACAGGAAGCTTTTCCAAAAACAGAATAAAGAATGTGGAGACTTAAGAGAGCTAAATGTTCATTGTGGGCCTGTGGTGCAGTGCCTTCGGATGTAAAAATATGGCATCACCATAGTTCAGCCTTTAATTGTTCTTCCTTCTTAGTGGGTGGGAGTGTTCATTGTGCATCTTCCTATACTCTTAAGGAATTCTGGGCTTTTGCCCGTAATATCTCTCTGATTTTTCTGGAAGATGAACTCTTTAGCAGGTGAACACAGCTTACACAGTAACTCACAGCTATGCCAAGGGCATGAGGCAGGCCCAGCTCTGCACAGCATTGCTGCAAGACAGTGGAAAATAGATCTGGGTTCGAAAATCACCAATTTGTACAATAAATGGGTATTTCTATGGCAAAATTAATTAACTTATTTTAGGATCAGTTTTCTAATCAATAAAAAATAATAAAGACAATAAAACTACCTTGCTAAGTTTTATTCAGAATTGAACATTATCAGGATTTGTTACTTACATACAATTTAATAGCTACCTCTATTGAGTCCTACATACCTTCCATTAAGTACTTTGTATGTAGTTCTCATTTAGTACCCCCAGACAACCCTATCCCATAGGAAATATTATCTCTTTTCAAAACAGAAGCACTGGAGCTCTGCGAAGTTCGTGCTTAGGTTCTTATAGCTAAAAAGTACAAGAGTCAGTGGGAGGGGCTCGTGTAATTCAGAGCCTGCTTGCTAATTACTATCGTATATAGCTAGTCCAAGGCCATAGGAAAGAAAAACTCATTTTTGTATCTTCAGTCCTTGTGTGATGGAGAAATAAAAAAGTTGTCTCCATGGTCTTCTGCAATGCCAAAATTGTTGACACCTAGAAAAGAAAAATGATGATTCCTTTAAGCAACAGGAGATAAAGGAATAAAAGAAAGGAACAAGATTAAATGAAAGAACATCTTGGCTACTCTTATGAACTAAATGTTTGTGTCATTCCAAAATTGAGTTGAAATTCTAATTCCTATTATGATGGTATTGGAAGGTAATGCCTTTGGAAGGTAATTCGGTCATGATGGTGGAGCCTCATGAATGGTATTGGGGCCCTTATAAGAAGGAGCAAGAGAGAAATGATCTCTCTTTGCCATATGAGGATACAAGATCATCGCCTTTAAACTAGAAAGAGAGCCCTCACCAGAAACTGGATCTGCTGATGCCTTGATCTTAGACTTCCCAGCTTCCAGAACTGTGAAAAATAAATGTTGTTTAAGCCACCCAGTCTATGGCCTTCTGTTTTAGCAGTCCGAATTGACTAAGATTGGCTAAGTGTTTTAAGATGAGGGAAAATGTCCCTTAATTTATCAATCCTGCATTTTAAACAGGACCAGTCTTTTTAAATAGATATCTAAATTATAAAATATGCTAGATGTTTACAAGAACTAAAAAAAAGCTGCAAATTTTGCCTTTTAAAATCTGAAATTGTAGACACTGGTGCTTCTAGAGAAACTTTGTTATTCAGACTGAGAAGGATGAACCACATGAAGAATGACTAGAGATGAAAGATGATGTTAGATGAGTTTCTGTTCTCTTCGGTAACTTTTCCATCTCCTTCACCTCCAGCACCCTGGGGTGAAGGATATCCAGCACCCTGGGGTGAAGGATAAGCAAGAAGCTGACAGCATTGCCAAGTTTGGGAACATGGAGTCAGATTTTCTTTCCATTGTATTCATCATCTGATGCTATTTCTTTTTTACTATCTGTCTCCACCTCCCTTTTTGGGAGCCTCTGGCTTTTACCTCTTCTATCTTTCTCCTCTCTTTGATGTTGTTTCTCTGCCAGCCCTTTGAGTACCATCTTCTTTTTTCTATTTCCCTTTCTCTGTTATCCTTTAGTGTATTCTTTCTCTATATAGACGTCATTAAAAACATAGTCTTTATCTCAAGAAACTGTTTCAATAATAAAATATAACTCTGTATTTGTTAGTTTTTGTCCTTTGAGAATCAGATATCAAGAATTAAACATGCAAATGACCTATTATGGAAGATACCAGGGAGAGAAAATGGAGAGGGATACCGGGGAGACCTGGAAAGCCATTAGACCGCGGTGGCGGAGGTCTCATCCTGAGAGGAGAGACGGGGGTGAGGATGCTCCAGGTGGAAGCCCCTAGCCTGCCGTGTAGTTCAAAGGGAAGTTCCCTAGGGGGAGGTCTTGAGCCAAAGTCATCGTCAAAGGAGTTCTACATGTATCAGGAATGGGCCTGCTTTAGCATCCCTGATGCGATCAGGCACAGGCTGGGTGCAGCCGGTGGAAGCCATAGCCTCAGTCAGAATGTGGAGATAAACTTCAGAATACAGAAGTGAAAGCCATCAGAAAATTATGCTCTGTGATTTGTGAAATGCATTCTCATGGCCACCATATTCTTCTTAGAGATAAAGTCTGAGAGTGTGTGTGTGTGTGTGTGTGTGTGTGTGTGTGTGTGTGTGTAAAAATTATCCCTCCATTTTATTGACGTAGACCTTACTTTTTGAAAAAGGATTTGAAACATGTAAATAAAATACCTCTGTGGGCTATTTACCAAATTAGAGACCTGCTCTGAGAATTGCTATCAGATCCACTTTTGCTAAGTTGGTAAAAGTTAAACATATTTTCAGCAGGAAAATAGTTATTTAACAAGCTATGGTGAGACATTTGTGCATATTCCAATAAATGTCAGCAGCCATCACTGCCGCTCTTATATTTTTATCTAAAAAGACATTTATCTGATTGACAAATTTCTTTTAAAATATGTATTAGTACAATTAACTTAGGAGCCAGAAAACACAATAGTTGGTAAAAGTTGTCTTTTATGTGAATGTTGGTCTTATATAGCTTTATAAAATCGACTAAGAGAAAAAAGCAAAAACTGAGAAATGTGTTTAGTCTTATGAATTTTGAACTAGTCCAGTTAGGATTAAATGTAAAATTTAATAGCTGTTACTGGATATAAAACTCAACTAAAATAAATGTATTCTATGTACTATACTTTCTAAAGACATTAGGTAAATGGATATAAAAGAGTCATGATAATCAGGAAGCCAGAATTATATGTTCCAATCCTCATCCGCTATTGAATAATGCTATATCTTGTCATATGTTCAATGGAGGTAGCATATTTAGCAAGAATATAATGAAGAATACAGCAAAATGCAGAAAGGAGAGGGGAAAACTGAGGAGCAGACTAGTTTAAAGATACTATTACAGGCAGGCACGGTGGCTTACGCCTGTAATCCCAGCACTTTGGGAGGCTGAGACAGGTGGATCACCTGAAGTCAGGAGTTCAAGACCAGCCTGGCCAACATGGCAAAACCCCATCTCTACTAAAAGATACAAAAACTAGCTGGGCATGGTGGCAGGTGCCTGTAATCCCAGCTACTCAGGAGGCTGAGGCAGAAAAAATTGCTTGAACCTGGAAGGCAGAGGTTGCAGTGAGCCAAGATCATGCCACTGCACTCCAGCCTGGGCAACAAAGCAAGACTCCGTCTCAAAAAAAAAAAAAAAAAAAAAAAAGATACTGTTGCAATATTGATTTCTAGAAAATTTTGATTGATTTTTGATGACATCCCAGGTTTTGGCCCTTCTGAGTTCCCAATCACATGATATTCTCAATATGGTTTCGTGATTTTGTCTATGCACACCTGTTATTTCAGTAAAAACCAAGCAGAAGTAGAGAGGATTAATCAGAAGGAAGGAATGGACTTTAGGCGGAATATAGTAAGGATTGAGATGTGGTTTTCTGCCATATTTGAAGACAATCAGACAGGACAGACAGGGCTGTATAATTAGTAAAAGCAATGGTGATATTGAACTTTTGAGAGTGATAAGCTCTATTAGAGTTCTCAAGAGAACACAACCAATAGGATGCATGTGTGTGGGGGTACAAGTGTGTGTGTGTGTATGTATGTATGTACACATACATATATATGTAGAAAGTGTGTGTGTGTTTGTGTGTGTGTGTATACACAGATGTTCTTTGACTTATAATGGGGTAATATCCTGATAAACCCATCATAAGACAAAAACGCATTTAATACACCTAACTTAACAGACATCATATCTTAGCCTAGCCTACCTTAAATGTGCTCAAAACACTTCCATTAACCTGAAGTTGGGCAAAACTAACACAAAACCTATCATATAATAAAGTGTTGAATATCTTATATAATTTATTGAATACTGTACTGAAAGTGAAAAACAGAATGGTCCTATGGGTATTCAAAGCATAGTTTCTACTGAATTCGTATGTCTTTTGTATCATTGTAAAGTCAAAAAATCATAAGTCAAATCATTGTAAGTCAGGAATCATCTTTGTGTATGGGAGCGTGTATAAAAATATTTATTATAAAACATTGGCTCACATTACTATGGAGGCCAGCAAGTCTGGAATCTGCAGGATGTAGGATGGCAGGCTAGAGACTCAGGAGAGCTGATGCTGATATTCCAGTTCGAGTCTGAGGCCATCTGCTATAGAATCAGGAATTGCTGATGTTGCCGACGAAGGCTGAAGGCAGTCTGCTGAATTCTCTCTTGCTCAAGGGAAGCTAATCTTTTTGTTTGATTCAGGCCTTTGGCTGATTGGATGAGGCCCACCACATTACAGAGGGTTTTCTGCTTTACTCAAAGTCCATCAACTTAAATGTTAATCTCACCCAGAAACATCCCACAGAAACACCCAAATAATGTTTGATCTTTTCAAATATCTGGGCAACCCATGGCCTAGCCATGTCAACACATAAAATTAGCCATTATACAAGCCTTCCAAATTTCCCAGCTCTGGCCGCAGGAATAATTAACTAGGTGATGTATGGCACACTCTGATGCTATGTAACAGTGAAAATACGTCAGAGAAGTTGGGTCAGGTACCTCATAAAAAGCTTTTGGAGACATATGCTCTCTTCTTAAGCTTAACTTCTTGCTGAAATTTAAAGGGCATTTTTCTATAGGCCTTTCTATTATGCAATATTTTATTGAGGTATAGCATACATGCAGTACACTACACAAATCTTAGGTGATAATTGAATATTTATATTCATGTAACCACCATCTAAAGCAATATATAGATCATTTTAAACACTCCAGAAGACTTCTTCCTTTCTCTTTTCAGTTCGTATACCCCAGAGAAAAACACAACTCTGATTTCTATCACTGAGGATTAGTTTTGCTTTTTCCTGAATGTAAGAGAAATCATACAAAGTTTTCTCCATTAATGTCTGGTTTCCTTCATGTGGTCTGAAACTATAACAGAACTGTGATTACCTCCATGTGTGATATAACAAATTAGTTTGTCATAGTTTTATATACCTGTGCTGACAAAAGAAAACAAAGCTCTATGTAAGAGACACAGACTGTTTATTACTTATAGGAAAAGAGTAGCCAAAGCAGCATCTCAGCAGCAGTTTCCTGTTCTCCAATCCCCACAAGCTGATGCAGTGACAGCCAGATGCTTACCTACATATGCAATGGGCTTGCATCACAAGGGAGGAACCCCAAATTATGAGACTTGCAACTTACATATACTGGCTGGCACACCTGTCACTCTCCTTCCCAGAGAGAAAGGCTTTTACTCTGCAATTTAAACATATCTTCTGGGAAAGAAGAAGAAGATAAGATTACTAACCTGTAATGTGAACAAATGTATCTGAAAGAGAGGAAAGAGACTTTATTAATTTGCATGTCTCTATGGGTTTGTATCTTTAGGGAGACGCCATCTCTAGCTTCTAGGGCATGTTTGCCAAAACATCTCCTTTACTCAGAATGCCTAGGTCATGCATACACCCTGAGATATCCAAGGACAATTGTCTCCCAACCGCATTATTTTTTCTTAAGATTAACACATGTGTTTGTATATAGCAGTCATTTATTCTTTTCTTACTGGTGCCTACTACTATTGAAGTCTATTTATTTAGAAATTAGTTGTTGAGTACCTTCCATGTGCTCAGACATGATATTTGGCACTGAGGCTACAATAATAAAAAGATTGATGTGCCTATATTTATGAGTCATGGCCTCTGGTGCAAATTTTAATATGTAAGTTCCATAGGTCTCTTAGTAGTCTATGTTTGGTGTTCAGGTAGCTCATGATTCTTTCAAAATTCTATGTAAAATTTTGTGCCATGTTATATACATTCTTCTGGAGAGAGGAGTGATTGCTTTTATCAAATATATAAAGATGTCTATAACTCAAAAGACTAGGCATTGGTGATGTGATAATTCCATCTCAGAGAGATCTCAACAGACTTTCTTTAGTCTTGCTTCCTCCACCTTATTCCAGACCCCAAGTGTGATGATTAATTTTATGTTTCAACTTGACTGAGTAAGGGATGCCTAGAGAGATGGTAAGACATTATTTCTAAATATGTTTATGCAAAGAGATTAGCATTTGAATCATAGCCAGAGTCAAGAAGATCCACCCTCACCAATGTGTGCAGGCATCATCCAATCCACTGAGGACCTGAGCATAAAGAGGAGGAATGGTGAATTCTCTCTCTCTCTTCTTGAACTTGAACATCCATCTTCTCCTGCCCTTGGACATGGGAGCTCCTAGTTCTGGCGCCTTCAGAGTCTGGGACTTATACCAGCAGTTCCCCCACCCCTTTCTTAGGCTTTCAGAGTGGGATTGAATTGCATCGCCAGCTTTCTGGTTTTCTAACTTGCAGACAGCAGATGCTAGGATTTCTCATCCCCCACAATTTCTGGTGAGCCAATTCTCTATCTGTCTGTCTATCTATCTATCTATCTATCTATCTATCTATCTATCTATATCTTATTTGTTCTGTTTCTCTGGAAAACCCTGAGTAATACACCAAGCCTATAGTTTCCTTTCAGTGTCCCCATTGTCTACCTTCTACCTTGAGCAGTAGAATTTCCCAAGAAAATATGAAAAGAATAATTGAAAAAGGAGGTGGTTAAAAGTGGTCACTAAACAGCATGCCAAATAAATAATTTCACAATGTTTCTGACTCCTTTTTATTATTTTTTTCTTCTTTTTCCCTTGGACTCTGTTGCTAGGAAAATCTGGCTTCTTTTTAGTGTCTTAAGAAACACTAACACAAACACTCAAGACTAATAAACAGTAATAAAAAAACACTCGAGGCCTACATTAGCACTGTAATGTTGCCAAGACTTAATCCAGAAAAAAACCCTATTGTCACAAAATGCTCAGAACTGCCCTCCTTAGCAGGACACATTTATAGCAAATCTTCCTAAACTCAATACTCACCTGCCTGTGTTCAATTTCTTCCCACCTAGCATTAAAAATAAATGTAACAAATGGACTCTCTTCGTCACTTGAATTTTTGCCTTTTTGGAATATTTGCATTTTAACAGGGGTATGTGTGAAAAATAAGTCTTTGCTCGAGGGAATGTATTACTAATGTTAAAATGTTAGACATTTGTTATAGTCTAGTTGAAGAGGGATTTAAAGATGAGTGAGTTTTTCTGTCACGCTGTCACATAGCAGTGCTCAAATCATATCCTGTCATTGTCTCCTTATGTAGGCCTTTATAAAATCCTCTTTCCTTGTTGAAAATGTTGCTTTTGGGAACAAAATGGCTGTATAGTCACAATATGATGTAGTAGAAAGAGCACCTAACTAGACCTCAAAGAACTAGCCCAAATCATGGATCTGCCAATCAGTCCAGCATGACATAGCTCATGTCAATTAATCTCCTAGAGATCCAGTCTGATTATTGGTAATACTGAGATAATTAGGCTTGTGATAAAACCTTATTAACTGAAATGTGTTTTGCAAACAGGTATTGTCAATGCCACCATTATACCACAATCACCCCATGTGACTTTATCTGGACTTTATCTACTAGTGATAAAGATAATTCTTAAAAGCTTAGAATTACAATGCTTTCAAAATAAAAATATCAAAATGTGGTCCCATTGGACTTTGGGTAATAGTTGAAAGGTTGAAGGAAAGCGGGGAGAAAAAGAAGAGTTGAGGACAAGAGATTCTGCTGACTTGTCAATGTGCCATAGTTATTTTCGCTGGAAGAAATGTTATAGTTACAGGTACCTCTGCGGCATAGAACTCATAAGTATAAAGTTTTGGTGCTGCTATAAATCAAGAGCATGTTGCATACCAATTTAGAGATCACTTCGAGTGTCTCCTCATTAGTCAATGGGATGAGAAAGATCAACCATTCAGTCACCAAGATATATGGAGTGACTTAATAATGCTGGTCTTCTAGGCACATTGGTTAGAGCAACTTGGTGGAATGATGAGTGTGTTTCACATCATAATCTATATGCTAATAAATTTTAGAGTGTTAAAAGAAAGCAAACACGTTCACTGCTTGTAGAAAGCAGGACACAATATTTCATGGACAGCATTAACATTGAACAATTCATGAGCTGTTGGAATCCTATTGTTTCCAAATTTATAGTAACACCTGTTAAAAGGTGGAAAACAATAGAGAAAAGTAATTAATCATATTCTTTGGCTTAGAATATTGCCAGTTAAGTCAATTGCTGTTGTAGTCACGTCTTTGTCTAGAAGAACTGTGGTTTTAACTTACTTCATAGGTTTTCAGCTGAGAATTTTTCTCAGTGAAGAATGTCTCCTATATTTCTAGATGATAATGAAAATAGTAGCATGTCAGCTACTCTTTAGAAAGACAGAACAAATACAGAATCCAAAAGTGGCATACTTAATGGAAGGAATTGGAAAGACAATATTCTTGCACTTGGAAAGACAAGAGACATAGGGATAGGGAAGAACATAACTAACCTGTTCCTTTCTTTTCCCTCCCATTTCTACCAAATCATGTATAATTTGGAAAAAAAAAGAGATGTGCCATTTTTATGCTTAATACTCCATCATATATGAGCAGCAAACAATTAGAGAACATAATAAATGCCTTTTGGTACTTGAGGAACAAAAATGGAAGTATAGAGTTCAATGTTTCCAAAAACACTAAACTGTAACTTTATGTTTTCTTGTCATGATCACGTCAGTTTTTGGCTCCAAAGGTGATCTAGTTTATTATTCCTCCAACCTAACATTCTTCCAGTTAGGTTTGAAACTCTGACGTGTCAACATCACAAGAACAGACGAAGTATTTATTAAATAATACAAGGGCCAACAGAAGACCATTACTCAGTGATATACTACTTTGAAAAGAACTAGAAAATTAATATGCTCTTAGATATGACCCAAGAGATGTTCTACTGAGATATATGAAAAGCTGTAGCTGGTGGGCTTTGTAACCCTCCCTTCATACCTGCAACCCATAAAGTTGACTTATAGAGTTTTAAGTAATGTTGATAACACACGTTATTTTTTTCTTGGCCTCTCAGATAAGTCTCATAAGAGAAGAAGTAAAAAGTATCATGGCTCATACAATAGTTTACTAAAATTCCAAAAGAATGCAATAGCACTGTTCTATTCTGTAAATGCTAACTGCATTTTGTTTGTGAGGGAATTTGGAAAGACTTGCCTGGGATTCAAATTGAGCTTCCTCTTCTAGCCTCTACTACTGTGCATAAAACTTGAAGAGTTGGAGGCCATGTTCACCAGCCCAGAAGATATACGTACACTTGGGATTTTTGAGGTATGTTGTAATCAGGTCAGGTTTCTGAGTGTTCTTGGTTGGGAGAATCTAGTTTGTAGGTTTACAAAACGTATAGAACAAGTTCTGTTTTAGTATTCGGAGGTTTCCTGTGAGCCCAACATTTTATGGGATGCTATTTCCAAAAAAAATTAATATTTAATGTAATTTTAAAAATTCTTTGCTTCTTGTAATATTATTCAGATACATAACTTCTAGAGCATTTGCTCTTAACTTCTGATCCTCTCCTCTATAAGTCATATATATAGAAACATAGAAATGTAAAAGTTTCATAGACCCTCTGAAACTTATTCTTGGTTCAACAGATCCATGGTCTCCAAGTTAAAAACCTTTGCTCTGGAAAAACTGGAGTTGTATCTGCTTAAATGTATTAGTGTCATTTCCTAGGTAGTGCAGGGACTTGGTAAGCACTTCTTAAAACCTTTTGAAGAAAATAGCAGATAGAATATTTTCTATTCTCTGCCCTAAAATCACGTTTACTATACCACTCAGAGTCCCAATAAGGTCATAAGTTGTCACTTCAAACATTCTTTCCTTTCATTGCTTGACTACAAGGAAGAAGAGTCAGGAGAGTAAAGTTCCTATTTCAGCATTTCACGAATCTGATCATTACATGACCTCAGAAAGTTACATTACGGTCTTCTCCCTTGTATTTTGTTTGTGACACTGGGTTAGCTAATAAAGGGGACTCAATGAATTTTAAATGGTTTTGTAAAAGAGAGACAAATATTTTGTTTGCTGTTTTTAAATTTTTATTCAACTCTCCCTCCCTCTCTCTTTCTCTTGGCACACAAAAGGTTGTTGGACATTACAAAAATTCTGTAATACAGTAATGAAACACTTTGCTCATGAGAGGCGAATAAATGCTTAGTAATTCCACTAAAACAAATAGAATCACATGAGTTTTATAACATGGTTTTAGCTTCAAATATCACATCAAAATTCATCTGCCTGCCCAGCCTCATCTGTCATAATTTTACTTGCCTTGTTACTTTGTCATTGAATTAGTCTGGTTTTAAATCAAATGAAAAACAATTTTTTAAGATGAGAACTATAAAGAAAGGTTGTGTAACTCAGTTTTTCCTGACTAAAAAATTTATATACAAATTCACCTCTGTAAATGAAAAGCTACAGAAGTAATAATTTTCATCCCTGATTGACTCTAATATTTTTGTCATTAATATGAGAAACAGCCAAACTAGACAAAAGAAAGGAAGGACATTTTATTTTCACAGTGAAACTTGGGCACAATATTAAGATGTTCTTGGACTATATGTATGCCAAAGTTTGGTCTTTTATTCAATAACTTACAAACTAAGTGTTTTAAAAATTTGTCTTAAGGAAAATATTAAATATATACAAATGTAGACAGAATAGTATGATTCTGTGACCAGCCTCTAAACTGATTTTGAACTCACTGATTGAGTTATGATATTTCAGAAAGAGTAGTTACTGCTTTATTTCCTTTCCATTCACATTTCTTCTCCTACGTTATTAGAATTGAAGCTAAGTAAATGCCTTTTTGTGTAAAATTAATAGTTGCTTGTTTAGAAAAAGCCAAGCAGTTCAAAAAGTATAAAGAAAACATGTTCTTTAAACCATACGAATTTTCACCACCTCCACATTACTCTAGTTATTATTTGCTGAGCACCATTTCCTACACCTCCTTACAGAGAGATCAGTAGGAAATGGAGCAAAAAGTATTATCCAAAACAGCATGGTACTGGTGCAAAAGCAGACACATAGACCAATGGAACAAGATAGAGATCTCAAAAATAATGCCACACACCTATAACCACCTGATCTTCTACAAACTTGACAATAACAAACAATAAGGAAAGGACTCTGTTCAATAAATGATGCTGAGATAACTGGCTATCCATACAGGGAAGACTGAAACTAGGCCCATTCTTTTCACCATATAGAAAAATTAATTCAAGATTGATTAATGACTTAAACGTAAAACTGAAAACTATCAAAACTCTAGAAGAAAACCTAGGAAACACCATTCAGGATATCAGCCTTGGCAAAAATTTATGACTAAGTCCCGAAAAGCAATTGCAACAAAAACAGAAATTGGTCGGGCACGGTGGCTCACGCCTGTAATCCCACCACTTTGGGAAGCAGAGGCGGGCAGATCACGAGGTCAGGAGATCGAGACCATCCTGGCTAACACGGTGAAACTCCATCTCTACTAAAAACACAAAAAAATTAGCCAGGCGTGGTGGTGGGCGCCTATAGACCTTGCTACTCGGGAGGCTGAGGCAGGAGAATGGCGTGAACCCAGGAGGCAGAGCTTGCAGTGAGCCGAGATTGCTCCACTGTACTCCAGCCTGGGCGACAGAGCGAGACTCTGACTCAAAAACAACAACAACAACAAAAAAAAAACAGAAATTGACAAATGAGATCTAATTAAACTAAAGAGCTTCTGCAAAGCAAAAGAAACTATCAAGAGTAAACAGACAACCTACAGAATGAGAGAAAATTTTTACAAACTATATATACAACAAAGGTCCAATATCCAGAATCTATAAGGAACTTAAATCAGCAAGCAAAAAACAAATAACCCGTTAAAAATGGGCAAAGGATGTGAACAGACACTTTTCAAAACAAGACATACATGTGACCCACAAATATATGAAAAATTCTCATCACTATTAATTATTAGAGAAATGTACATAAAAGCCACAATGAGATACCATTTAACCCCAGTAAGAATGGCTATTATTAAGTTGCTGGTGAGATACTGGCAAGGTAACAGAGATGATGAAACACTTATGCATGGCTGGTGGGAATGTAAATTAGTTCAGCCACTGTGGAAAGCAGTATAATTTCTCAAAGAACATAAAACAAAACTACCATTCGACCCAGCAATCCCGTTACTGGTTATATACATAAATCAGTCTACCAAAAAGACACTTGCACTTGTATGTTCATCACAATGCTATTCACAATAGCAAACACATGAAATCAACTAAGATGCCCATCAACATGGACTGGATAAAGAAAATGTGGTATATACACACCATGGAATACTATGCAGCCATAAAGATAATGAAATCATGTCCTTTGCAGCAACATGGGTGCAGCTGGAGGCCATTATCCTAAACAAACTCATGCAGGAACAGAAAACCGAAAACCACATATTCTCACTTATAAGTGGGAGATAAACAAGAATACACATAAAGATGAGAATAATAGATCCCCCTACTGCTTGAGTGTAGGGGGTGGGAGGAAACATGGGTTTGAAGATTACCTTTCAGGTACTATGCTCACTACTTTGGTAATGGAATCATTCATCCATCAAGCCTCAGTGACATGCAATTTACCCATGTAACAAACCTGCACATATACTCCAGAACCTAAAATGAAAAAAATTATGTAAAGTATTATCATACTATATTTGCTGTTTAAAATAAAAATTGTGGAATTCAAATAAAGAAAAAGAAACTAAGTAAAACCGAAATAATGGTTTCTTCAAGAGTTATTCAATCCCTTAAAAATCTTTACATTTTAATATAAAAGGATTTATACAAAATTACTTTTCTGTTTTAAATTGTATCTATTTTTATTTTTGATTTGAAACCATAATTTGGTGCTTAAATTGATTCACTATTTACAGCCAGTCTTTTTACCATGTCTTCTCCATATGTAAGTTTTTGGTTTTTATTTTGAGACAGGGTCTCACTCAGTCACCCAGGCTGGAAAGCAGTGATGCGACAATGGCTCACTGCAGCCTTGAACTCCTGGGTTCAACCCATCCTCCAGCCTCAGCCTTTTAAGTAGCTAGGACTAAAGGCACACACCACCATGCCTGGCTAATTAAAAAAAAAAAAATTGTAAGAACAGAGTCTCGTCATGTTGCCCATGCTGGTCTCAAACTCCTGGGCTCAAGCTGTCCTGCCTTGGCCTACCAAAGTGCTGGAATTACAGGTGTGAGCCACCATGTCTGGCTCATAATTGAGTTTTTATTATGCTTTATCTCTTGTCTGACTGGTATCCATTCTACTAAAGAGTGCTTTGGTCCCTAAGTTGTTAACAAAGTTGCTGACTTCATGGAAATGTCTCTTGTGTTTTGTTTGAAGAGAAGATGGCATAAACTACTGGGCCACTCATTCAGGACTTTTCAGATATTGTCTGCTGTCTTCAGGAATTGAATGTTGCCTTAAAGACATCTGTAGCCAACCGAATTTTCCCATTTGTACACTATTTGCCTTTCTTGTCTCATGCTCATTGTCTTAGTCAGTTTATGCTGCTGTAGCAAAAATACCACACAATGGTTGACTTAAACAGCAGAGATTTATTTCTCACCATCTGGAGTATAAAAAGTCCAAGATTATGACACCAGTGGATCCTGGTGGGTATCTAGTGAGGGCACATTTCCTGGTTGTTGATGGTCTTCTTACCTCTGTACCTTCTCATGAGGGAGAGCAGAGAGAGATAAAGGAAGTGCCCACTTGTGTGTCCTCTCCCCGGCCCCTTGTCTTTTTATAAGGGTACTAATCCCATTCATAGGGCTCCAGCTCCATGACCTAATTACTTCCCAAAAGACCCACCTCCTAATACCATCACATTGGGGATTAGGATTTCAGCGTGTACATTTCAGAAGGGACACATTCAGTCCATAGCATTCATGTTATGTTTTTCTGCATTGTTGAAGTCCAGTTTCACAAAATGTCTCAGATGATTCTGTGTCAATTTTTCAGGGTGCACTTTCAATTTGCAGATTTGAGTTTGTTCTCATTTCTGTGACATTTCACCTGTGATATTGCTTTATAATTTTAATTGCTCCATTTTTTCCATACTCTTCTTCAGAGACACCAGTTACGTATAGACAGGATCTCTTTTTCTTTCATACATATCAACTTCCAAGCAATCATTGTTGTTTCCATGGATCATTTTTTTTTCCTAATATGACTTTTATCTTTATCATGGTTTAGTTTTCTCTTATATTTCCTCTGGATCATGCCAAACCATTTTTTTCTTCATCCTTTGTCTTATAATTTCTTCTTTGAAATCTTACATCTACCCTGAGATCTTTTCAGAGATCTTTTCAGAGATCTTTTCATTGAAACCTAACAGGTTGAATGCTTCTGTGATACAGGAATATTTGTTGCAGTATTTGGTAGGTGTGCTTATAGTTTGAAGTTGTGAAAACTTCCTTGTTTCATTGGAGGTAAAAACCTTTTTTTCTCTATTAGTTCTCAGTAGGAGTGGCTTCCTTTCCCTGGGAGAGATCAAATGCTTAGAACAGACTGATTGTAGGAACTAAGAACACGGGATCATTTTTCCAATTCTTCCAACTACCTCTGCCCGAGAAAATTTGGGGTAGAAGAGGATAAAATCATTTGTCCTGATACCAGAGGTATGGCTACAGGATAAAACACAATAAATATGGTTATAAAGAGCTTTTTCTCTGCTCACACAAGAAGAGAAATAGAGTCAGGAGCTTGACCGTATGTCCAAAAGACCGGGCTGGTTTTGCTATGTTGCACTCTTTATAAAATAAACTTTTATTATAGAGTTAAAATATGAGCAACACACTTTGGAGGTTCTAGTTCTGTTCAAACTTTTATTAAAGGTAGCTAGAAACCTCGCCAGGTGTTTGCACCAGCAATAAGAATAAAGTTGTCTGGGCACGGTGGCTCACGCTTGTAATCCCAGCACTTTGGGAGGCCGAGGCAGGCAGATCACAAGGACAGGAGATTGAGACCCTCCTGGATAATATGGTGAAACCCTGTCTCCACTAAAAATAGAAAAATTAGCTGGGCATGGTGGCACGCGGCTGTAATCTCAGTCATTCAAGAGGCTGAGGCAGGAGAATCACTTGAACTAGGGAGTCGGAGGTTGCAGTGAGCCGAGATCATGCCACTGCAATTCAGTCTGGCGAGAGAGCGAGAATCTGTCTCAATAAATAAATAAATAAAGTCTAGCTGGAAACATTGACCAGATTATAAATTTCTCAAGGGACCATAGTTTATTTAAATAATAAGCTAACTTTGTATTTTCAGTACCTTACACAGTGTCTAGAAAATAGAAGGTGCTTAATACTAACAAGAATAATAAACAATATGGCTAATAGGTTATTATTCTTGTTACTGCAGACTGGTACCAGACGCTATGCCAATCACTTGATATGCATTATCACATTTTAATTCTCACACAAAATGAACAACTTATTTACTCCTCTTGATCTTCGTGATAAGGAAACTGAGCCTCAGAAAGGTAAATAACCAAAATTACACTACTGTTTAATAGATATAGCCAATATTGAACAAATGCTATCTTACTCTAGAGTGCATGTGTTTAACCACCATGAATGGAAAAAAGGAGGAAGGGAAGGACAGAAGACAGGAAGCTACAGTGAGAGTAATGATTGACATAAGCAAGGATTTTAAGGTTCTAAAGCATTATAGTATGAAAAGAAGAAAGGTTGATCTTGGAGCAGCAATGGGAAAGCACAGATTTGCTGTACAGACTCTGGCACTAGGGGGACAGGGAGCGTGAAGCACACACAAAAAAGTCAACACACAAAAACAGTTGATTAGAAACCAGTGCCAGCCTGCCAGTGGTGAGCAGGTAATTATGGACATACGCAGAGTAGACAATGATATGGGGAGAATATTTGCCTTTAAATTTTTCAGTGTTTTTCTTAATCCCTGCCTTCCTAACTACCATTGGCTTTCCTTATCTTTTCTTTTCTTTTAAATATGTAAATAGGGACAGATCGAATGACTGATTGATTGATTGACAGTTTTATCAAGATACAATTGATATACGAAAAACTGCACATATTTTATATATATAATGTGATGAGTTTGGACATATGAATACAACCGTTTCCATTAACACAATCAAGCTAATAAATGAATCCATCACCTCCAAAAGTTTTCTCATGCCCCTGGGTTATTTTTGTTGTTGTTATTGTTGGGGTTTTTTCTTTACAGTAAATATATTTAACATGGGATCTATCCTCTGAACAAAATTTTTAAGGCCATGATGCAGTATGGTGAAGTATACTTCAAGATTGTTCAGCAAACCTCTAGAACTTATTCATCTTGGATATCTGAAACTTTACACCTCTTGAGCAATTCTCCATCTTTCCCTCCCATCAGCCCCTGGCACATATCATTCTACTTTCTGCTTCTATGAGTTGAATTATTTTAGCTCACATGAAATGAGATACACACATACAATGGGTTGTTATGTGGCCTTAATAAGAAAGGAATTCCTGTCATATATGACAACATGGATGAATCTGGAAGACATGCTAGTGAAACAAGTCAGTCACAGAAGGACCAATCATTTTCTTGAACACTTGGAGAAAGTGTAAACATGGGAATAATAAAACAGTACTCCATATGGACCAAAATAACTCTTGGAAACTCAGTCACCTTGACTCACCAAGAATAATTAGCTGCAGCAGGCCCGAAGTTGGTGGGATGCAAGTTTGATGAGAAGGAAGATCAACGACCCCATAGTCCGTTCCTCAGTTAATTTTCTGTATAGCTTTAAATTGGGATACACATGTACAAGTGTGTATCTGTATATGTATCTGCAAAACCACAAAATACTCAGTCTACACTAGGAAAACATAAGCCAACAATGCTTAATATCCTCTAGCTTCAGTGCTAATATTACTTACAAAAAGGAGGTATTCTGTGGGTCTGGACAGTGAGATCCCAGCTAAAGGGAAATAAGTTCAATGAGTCAAAGGAGTGTGCTCCAGGTCTGGCTTTTCTTTCCTCGGTAGAAATGAGTGATGTGACCTTTCTTGGCTTCAATAGCTCACTATTTGGGGACAGTTCTATTTGCCCTATCTGTGTTTGCTCCACTGAGTCTAAAACCTATATAAAAGAAATCACATTGCAGTCACTCCTCAGAGTCCAGATGCACCGGACTATTGCATTAAGCAACTGAAGAATCTTCCAAGTTCCAGATCTTCTGAGTTCCAGATTCTCCTTCTCATGTCTCCTGCTGTGAGGCTGGCCCTGCTCAGACCTTACTTGCTGTGCTTTCTAGTTCTAGTCTGCCTCTACCACAATTCCACTGTCTATTTTCATGTAATATAATTTGATTCTTGGGAGACAAGACCTGAGGTAGCTCCTTGACACTCATAGCTAGTTAACACCTCTGTATTCTGCATATCAGAAGGTGCTCTTATTTCCAATTCTTCAGGATCTTCTTAAAGGATCGATTTCTTTATTTTTCTCATTCCTGTGTTTATTCTTGTATATATAGGCTCATTCCAACTACCATAATAACAACTTGTCACACCTTTCCTTTTTTATGTCAGGCAGAAATTATCTCTTAACCCATACCACCACCACATACCCACCCCCTATATTTTCTTTTGCAAGCATCTGTATTCATACTGAGCTTACATAAGATAGATTTTTTGGCAATCAAAGCCCAAAAGGCATATTTATACATCAAGTGATTTATCAATGAAATATACACTATTACTCCTAATTATTACTACTTCCATGTCCCAGTGACAATGCCAATATTTATCTGAGCTCATGACTTACAGTTTAAACTGTTTTATCTTTCACCAGATCCTGTTCCCTGACCCATATATGATCAGCAAAAGTACATAATTCTTAATTGATTCTCAAATGCAGCCAGCCTGAGATGAAAGAATAACAGGCATAGATGTCTCCTAAATAAATAGGGACTTTAGATTTAAAGAGGAAAAAATGTAGTATGACTTATTGAAAGTAAAGGAAGTTTTGAAAATGGATATTCCAAGAGGTATTGAAATGAAAATCCACAAAATCTTTGATCTATCAAGCCTTCCTCTAGCAATAAGTTCTTTAGAAATACTTGTGTGATTGCACAAGTAACAGCATATATAAGCAAGGGTATTAATTGGAGCTTTATGTTAGTGACATTTGAAGGTAACAAATACCCATCCTTTGGAGAATAATCAAATCAACAGGATATACCTAAAGAAAGGGCATGTATAAAGTAGATCTCCATGTACATGTAAAAGTGATCCATGAAGCAATGTTGAAATTTTTTCAAAGCAAGTTTCAAACACTGAGTAGAGACATAATCCCATTTTTTATAATTCATGCTTCATACCCAGGAAGGTGCCTATGGTTTTAAATTATTCAATAGGGATGTAGATGTTTTATAAATGTAAAAGATTCTTAAAATTCATTGTAGGCTTAATGGTTTGAGCATTTCAACTGTCAAGGTACATGCTCAGATTCTGAAGGTTACTCTTGAAAATGTTAATGGTAGTTATTCCAGGAAAGAGGGAGATTGGAGAAGGATGGTAAGGAGACACGATTTTTATTTTTAAAACTAGTATTTAATTAATAAGGAATACTATGCAAAATGTATAGTAATTTATTTAATTAATAAATGTATTTAATTAATAAGGAATACTATACAAAAAACAACAACAACAACAATCTCTGAACAGTGCTAGCTACACTATCTCTTCCATTGAGGAGCCAGGCAATGTATTTTCTCTTATCTCTTCCCACCTTTCAGACTTTTTTTCCTTCCTTGACTGTGAAAATATACATTAAAAGGCACATACATAGCATATAGGTTAGGTGTTATTGGAATGAAGTTTGAATTCTAATTAAAGTTAGGTGTTTGACAAATTACAGGAGGAATAATGTATTTGAGTTCTTTGTAGTTGCTGTTCATATGTTGAATGACGATGCGTAGGTCATGCGAAACCACCAGACTTATGATAGCAATGACTTAGACTCAAGCTTTGGCCCCAGAAGAGGTGATGTTATCCATTTCAGTTAGTGTGTATCCACATGGTTTAACAACCCCATGTAAAATCATTTCTATGAAGAGCAGCTGTTCCTTCCTATCTGCCTTTCCCCTGTTGTCCCTAAAAATGTTTTCATATATGCTTTGGTCCCTGTGCTTTGATATCATCGATGATGGACAAAGGTGTCTTGCAAATATGAAAGACTATTTTCAAAAAGTTATTTTAAGGCTTAATATTTTGAACATGATTTAAACTTGTAGATGCTTAGTATTTTCAGTGGCTTAATGTAATAAAACCCACCTGTTATTTTTGGCTGCTTTATTTAGACCATCTGCTCCACAAAAAAATGAAAAGCTCAACAGTGGATGGAGAATTGTCTACTCCTCATGTGTGAATAACTTATTTATTCTCTCTATCCAAGCCTCCAGGTCATTGCAAAACTGTTTATTCATTTTCCAACAAAAGGGAAAGCCAATATTTGGCATTTGGCTTTATTAAAAATCATCACAGGGAATTATATTTTTTGATATTTCATAGTTTCCTATTTTTCTCTATGTTAGAAAAGCTTGCCAGTTGCATTTATTTTAAGGACCCTGATTCTTTGTTCTTTCTGTGGCAGGTTGGGTATCAGCTGGAGAGGTATTTTTGGTGATGGTTAACCCAATCATGCATCATTCATATTTCAGGTAGTTATGTGAGCATCACATAGTCTTGTTCCTAAATTAAGATGGAGTTTCCACTAGAGATGAGAATTACAAAGGTCAAATACTTTGGTCACCAACTACTTTCATTTGAATGAAATGGCTTTGCAATCCTATCCTAATCTCTTGGCACCTTAGGACACAGAGGATCACCTCTTAGTTTACTGGTTTATGATCATGACATTGTTCTTGCCAGGGTTCATTCTTACACCTTTGATCATCTCTAACAATAATAACAACAACAATAGTAACAGCTAGTTTTTACCGAGTGATTACATACTAAAGACACCACTTATGTACTGCTCATCTTTTTATGTAGTGCTTCTCTTTTTTTTCTCATCTTAAGTTTTCTCTAAATCTTATGCACCTTTTCTTCTTTTCCTTATTTAGTTATTTCCTCAACACAGTTGTGGACCTTACTTCTGATTCAAACTGCCGCCTCTTTTTAGATGGTGGTTAACTTCACTTCTAGCCACTGAACTTCAACCTGATTTCCAGTTTCTTGTTTCTAGCTCCCTGTGGCATGATTTAGGATTACCTAAGAGAAACAAGGCCTAATGTTTTTTGAATGCCTACTAGTGTTGGGCATTTTATGTGTTAGTTTGTTTAATCCTCACATAAACAACTTTGTTCTCCTTTTAGATTTGGGAAAATTTAAGTATAAATAATTTAATAATTTTCCTGAGATCACTGTTGGTTGTTAAGAAGCAAGCTTGGATTCAAACTCAAGTACAATTCTAAACTCCATAACTTTTACAGCATTTCACATACATTTCAAACATAACACTTTCTTCACATCATTGACTAACTACACTTTCTAAGCATTTCAGGATATCATCCATGCATTGCAAGATATTCTTTTTAATGTATCTCTGTTTATCTCGTCTCCACCCACCTCATTTGACCCTCATCCAAGTCTTCAGTAACCTCACCCTTAGGTCATCCCAGTGACCTCTCTCCTTACTCTTCATTTCCAACTTTTCCTGCACAAAACTACCCAATCCATTTTCCTGAGGCTCTGTTTTCCTACAGTCATTTCTAGAACCTAGAATATCACCCATAATCTACCCATCAAAGCCAAATTATAGATTCAGAATTTTTCTTCAACTTGCTCTAAGCTACTTGTCCAAAGTGTTTGCTATTTTCTTAATTCACTTCACTCACAGCAATTGTTTTACTGGGTTCTTCACACTCTGCTCTTTGCCACTCCTTTCCTACTTCCAGGAATCCTTTCCTTCTCTTTTTGGCCAATCCAATCTTACTCTGGTTCAAAGCTTCCAGTGACTTTTTTCTTCCGAGAAAGTCATTTTGCTTGTCTACAGCCCACTGGGATCTCTTCTCCTCTGACCTCCTGCAGCGTTTGCAGATGCACCATGCGTTTATCTGTTGCCTTATTTTTGCCTTTCATCATTCGAATGTCCTGGTATTAAAAATAAACTTTTGAGGACAGAGGTCCTTTGTGCTACTCTTTAGAGCTTGGCATATAGAAGGCACTTGTGGTGTCCTCAATACACTATGACTGACATGAACTGGGTACTTAGAAGGGACCATCATCCTGCCACACAGAGCCCACAGCCTCCCTGAAAATCTTGACTATAACCTGCTTGTCCCACAGGTGGATGAGACACCCCATCTTTGATATTATATATGCCAAATAGGAAACAACAAACGCTGTTTATTTAGCTCTTACCTAGGTTTCATATCTAATACAGTCATGTACGAAAAATGAATTGGACTTACATGCTACCATTCTTCAGAATCTTCATATAATAACTGAAAATGTAATGCCTATTGTTTGCAGTCATGGGGGAGAGAGAACGCTATGAGATGAACAGTAGTGTATCACTAGGTTTCTTATGTGTAGTCACAATTCTCTCTTCTTACCAAAGGGCATGCTTACAAAGTAGTATTTGAAGGATATCTAAAGTCCTCTCTGTCTCTGAAATGGGATCTCTTATGAAATAGGCTGGAAAGATTCTAAAGAGCAGAAAAGGTATGATTTACTCAAGTTCTTCTTGGGCTGAACCCAATACTTGAACTATTTTCAAGATAGTGCCCACTGCAGAGATGTTTATTGTACCCTGATGAAGATGGATAATGTGACAATAAATAAGGTAAATGGCTGGAAACCCAGAGTTCAGACATCCTGATGGCTCTTGAATAGTAATCTGGGCAACTCAACTCAGTGTAATATGAGACAAAGATCAGGGCCTCTGATGAGATTCAGCTTCTCAGCGAGAGCACGCATGATATGTAGGAAGCACTGCTTTACCTTTCCAATATTTTAAAACACATTGTCATCATTAGTGGAAGGCCATTTAAAGGTCTATAGAATTCCAACAGAAAAATCAATGACTAGTATAGGATAATACTAAGGTCACATAAAAATGGACATTAAATGGTCAGATAATTCCCAGAGATTTGCTGTGTGATTTCCAATGGGGCATCTAATAGAAGAGTGATTAAGTAGAATTTTAAATGCTCAGCAATACCTCTGCTTTGTTTGCAAATTAAAATTAGAACTGGATTTTAAATAGAATTTTTAAAAAATTTTATTTATTCTTACTTACTTTTAGAGAAAGGGTCTTTCTCTGCCACCCAGGCTGGCGTGCACTGGCGTGATCATAGTTCACTATAACCTCGAACTCCTGAGCTCAAGTGATCCTCTCACCCCAGCCTCCTGAATAGCTGGAGGTGAGAGGACACATGCCTGTAGACCCTGCCTGTAGACCCAGATATTTAGGAGGCTGAGGTGAGAGGATCACTTGAGCTCAAGAGTTCGAGGTTATCATGAACTATGATCATGCCAGTGCACGCCAACCTGGGTGACAGAGCAAGACCCTTTCTCTAAAAGTAAATAAAAAAATATAAAATTTTTAAAAATAAAGCTGAATCTACACTTTGGTATGCCAAAACATAACCTAAATTGTATGATGATGTAGAAACACAGTGATACAAAATACACCTGAAAACAAATGGCAAAAATTATCACTTTTGGTATTTTATTTTATTTAATCCGCTGACCAATTCTGTGACATAGATATTTGTATCCTCATTTTACAGATAAGTATATTAAGCCTTGGAAAGATTAAATAACTTGCTCAAGGTAAAAATTACAAAGAGGTAGAGCTAGGACTCAGAGCTAATTCACTTCCCTCACTTCGCTATTTGAAGTTTTGAGAAATCCTGGAGTAAATAAATCCATTTCACATTGTTTAGACCAAGGTTTTCCATACTCATTTAACCAAAAAAATCTTGTCTTTCATAGAATAGCTTCTAAAAGCTCAGGTCACTAATGTTCTGTAGCACATACTTTGGAGAATTCTACACTGGGAAGATGAGTAGTTTGGGATATCACATCTCACTACATTGAAAGGAACTGTCTGAGTAGTTGATTACAATTCAGTGTGTGGTCAAGCATGAACACACAAGTCAAACTGCATGCCTTGGTGTGACAGTTTAAAAGAGGATCAAATCTAGTTTAGCTTCTAAATCAGAAGTGCACAGAGCTATTTGGCCAAAAGTAACCCTTAGGAACTATCAACCAAGTCAACAAATCAGTTGTTGGTCTCATTTGAGATTCTGATCAAATCAAGCAAGAGAAATTGTGGGTGAAACCTTTCTTCTCCAAGGTTGCTCTAGGTTTAAGGCAGATGCAATCATTAACTTTTTCAACATTAAGTATTTGCAAAAACAGTCAATGGTACTGCACCTCCCCCGCTGGAAACCATAGCTCTGAATCATTTCTCCTGGAAAACCCAGATGACCTGGCTGACAGCTTCGTGTTTCTACTGAAACCTGTGAGTCAGGAGGCCAAGGAAGTTCCCTGTAAACAATTTCATGCAGCCATTTAGATGTGGTTACAATGAAACAGCTAGTTTTACATGGCCTCAACAATTAGCCATTATATTTCAAGCTTTTAAAATTAAAAAATGAGCGCTTCTTTTCCTACTTTTGGCTCCACTCCATTACTGCCCAGTGAGTAGGAGGAGAAGAATTGGGAAGAGGGGTAGAAATTAGGTAAGGTGTGATTAAGAATATTATTGCTATTTTAAAATAGTCATTTTATATTTCGACGCAATGACGCGACAAATGCCCTGCAAATCAAAATTTCCTTGATAAAAAAAAGTCAAATTAATCAAGATAACTTGACCACCCTTAGGGCAATGCCTAGGTCTTATCTGTTTTATGTTCCAAGAACCTAGCACAGTTCTTCACACTATATAAAATCAACATAAAAAAGAAAACACTGCCACAACCAATAAAATCAAACCCTAACCTTGAAAGCTGGCCATGGAAAAAGACTTTCCATCTGAAGGAGGAAATAGACTCTTCTATCCCCAGCTCTAATCCTCTGACTACACCTTTCCCTTGAGGACCCCTCATTTTTCCTGCCATTAACACTTTCCTGGCCTGTGGGGACATTTCTTCTTTATCATCCAGTATATCTTTTTGTAGCAAAATTGAAAAGAGGCTACATATTTAAATAAGACTTTTATTTAAAGCCTATTGATAAGAAAATGGAGAGACCCAGAGATGAATGTATAACTAGATACAAATCATTTTCATTTGGGGAATACTTTAAGATACATTCTGCTTAGTTCTTAACCTGCTTCTATATTATAAAAGTCATCTTTCTTCACTATGACAAACGAAAAACCTCAATTTCTACATTCCTTAAGACCTAAGGAAAAAAAAAATAAAATTCTCTTTCTTAACTAGTACCTGCTTGACCCTGTTTATTTTTTTATAGCTGTTGGAAATATTACTTCATTTCCCAAAGACCTAGAAGAGTACACCATACACAGCAAGTACTCAGTCCGGGGGCTGGCTGATTCAGAAAATCCTTGGGTTAAACCACAAAAACCTGAAGGCAGCAACTTAGCTGAAAACAATGAATTCAAGCTGGAGTTTGATTTTGTGGAATGCTGGCTCCTGGTCAGCCTGCAGCAAGGGTGTCTACCTAAGTATTTCCACCTCCTGGTAACTAGTTTCTATCCACTTTCCTAAGAAGCTCCCTACCTGCAGGTTGGCAGATTCTGAATGTGAGGATGTTTTCACAACATTTAATACTCCTGGGGGTCATTTGCAAAGGTGATTTGACAGAAAATGTCAATTAACAATTTATGGGAAGATCTCTTTCCTGTAATTGATCCTTTTAAGGAAATACTTTGCTTCAGGTTATAGTTTCCATAGCTAACTTACAAGAGTATCATGTTTTTACAAAAAGTCAACATAATAATAGTAGAGATGAACTCTTTTATATGACTAATTCTTTCCACATATTAAAAAGACTGTTTTGAAGTAATTCCTGCCCTTTGAGCTGTGACTTTTCAATTCTTTATAAAATTAACATTTAAAAATATATACAGACAATTGAGAATTTTTTCTATAATGAGAATGCACACATATATGTATGCATATAATACATATGTGGAATTAATGTCAAGAACCAGTATAGTAGGTGGTGACAAAGCTATTTGCCAAAATTTGTTCCATACCGTAACTTCCTTTTTAGAATATTTATATGTTTGATGTGTTTAATTAAAGATAGCCCTTTGAGATGCAAAAATATCTTTTCGCAAAATTCTGAGGATTTGGGGGATCAAAGGAGCGCAGTTTTTTGGATGGAAAAGCGAGGTTTCTTCAAGGAGGAGTCTCACTGACAAAGGGTAGTTAAGTAACTCTGCCAAGGTCAACGTCAACTTCAGTTACTGGTTACATATTTTACAGTAAACACTGACTGCCCAAGTTAACATTGCCCATGATGGTTAAATGGAGGCCCTCCATTATCCCCTCTCCTGGTTCATTTGGTAGAGGTAACGAGAGAAGGCTGTGCATGCACTCTGGTTCATTTCCCTTTCATCTCTCTCATGCCTTTTATTCCCTCTTTTAGTCTTATGTTTGAAAACTGAGAGTCTGTCAAAATCATATCTGTGAGCTGTTGCCACAAAGCCTCAAATTCCACCTTTCTGTTCCTGCTTCATTCATTTTTCTTTCACCCATTCAGGCTTTCAGGTAAGGAAGTTTCTTCCTGAGCTATACCCATGGGCCTATTCTTTTGTTTCTTAAACTCAGTACTACTCTTCATGTATTGATTTAGCCTGCATATAACACAAGCAACTTTAAAGTGGGTGCAAATGTTCTCAGGCCACCAAAGATCCACTCTCTGATCCTGCGCAGGTCTAGAGGACTTGCCAAGCCTTGACTGGTCATTTCTCTTTCCCAAATCCAATTCCCTCAGGCTAGAGCAGCTAGAAGACCTCCTTATTTGTATAGCCATCCCATGCTGAAGAGTTGTAAATCAGATGTTTCTTTAGAAGTTGCCTTGGATTCCCCAGCAGGAGTCTAGGATCACAGTGTTTCTGGTGTGTCTGCAGAGAAAGAGTCTCAGTGCTGAACAGGACGTGATAAACCCAGTTATTGCTGGAGAAGGTGGAAGAATGGATATTGGCTATGCTTCTCTCCCTTTTGGTAATTCCCAAGAGATATGTATGTCCCTGCAGCTTAGTATCTGACCAGGCTATATTTCAGGGATAACTAACAAATAATGCTCAACTTATTTTGAAGATGTCTTTCTTACTAATCACTGGCTTACCAGACAGCTGTTTAGTTTCTTTCTGTTGGTTTCTAGTCTCTTCTCTGAGTCAGGTCTCCTGGTGTCCTGGTGCAGAGACTGCAGGCCCCTGAAGTACACAGTCCTGCCCTATCCACTCCCTTCCTTTCTCTTTTGCTCCCTTTTTCTAGATAGAAATCTTATGTTTTCTCTGCGGATTCCTGGGTTCCAATCTGCCGTGGTAGTCTAGGGGTGAAGAGATCCTTCTACCACCATTCCAGTGGCACTATGACACTGTTGCTAAGCACTAGTGATTCTGTTTGCAGGCTGATGTTTACTGGGGAGGACCTTCATGCCACAGGCTCACTACAATGAACACTTCAACCTAACTGCTGGCTCTTTTGGGGCTACCTTTAACAAAGGCATTTTCTCAGCCCAAAATGTTACCATGGTCACTGGAATGGAGGTTGATAGAACTATATATAGTTCCAATCTCTATGGCTATGGGTTCAAGTCAAACACTTGATTACAATATGGATCTTTGACTTTTCTGTAAACAGCATAGCCCAAGAATGCCATGTTATGTGCCCATTTTTTAAGCTGTGTTATGATTGCACTTTCTTAGTTTTCCATTACCCATCGAGTATTACTTTGTCTATGTGGATCACAGAAGAATTGACACCTTATGAAAAGATTTTAAAAGGGAAAAAAATACATATACTCTCTATATACATGAATTGCAGAAAGATTGACATTTTGTGCAAAACGTACCAAAGAAAACACAGTCCATGAAGAGTTTTTCATCATATATAGAGAGAAAAACAGAATGTGATCAATAAGGCTATGTAGTTATTGACCTGCAAACACTTGGCTAAAGAAAATGCTCTTCTGATAAATCTAGAAAAAGAGCCAAACACCACAAAGGAAAGGTCTAACAAAATAACCCATCGAGTTCCATTCACATGTCTGAGGCACTCAGAGGTGAGGGGGTAGCATGGGCCACGGGCATGCTGGCAGCCTGCCTTCCCCATCATGTTCATGCTTTCTAACGTGATCATTCTTCTAACCGGAATCAGTTTTCAACTGCAGGAGCCTGCCCTATTTTACAAATGGTTGAGATATTTTGCTGCCATCTTCAGAAGCACTGAAACCTCAGCCCTGGGGAGAACCCAAAGCAGTGGCTACTGCCTGAACTCATGGATAACTGGAAGCATTCCCCGCCAATGCTTTGAGCTCTCTCTCTCAGGGCAGGTTACAAAGGTTTTGCTCCCTAGGAACCAAAGTGTTTCTCCTTCCTCAT
This sequence comes from Homo sapiens, assembly GCF_000001405.40. NCBI lineage: Eukaryota > Metazoa > Chordata > Mammalia > Primates > Hominidae > Homo > Homo sapiens. The sequence goes on along the minus strand of NC_000018.10, from coordinate 27,374,466 downwards.
GTTCCCACGAAACCATTTCTGAAGATCCAGCTCAGGATTGCCTTCAACTTGGTAGAGGGAATGAGAAATGTATTAAATGCTTTCTTTTTAGGTTCTGTAATGGACTCAATATAACTGACAAGACATTTTTGCCCAGAAGGAACATTCAGATTGCCATATGTTTATCTTATCTATTGTCCCTTGGAGTTATTAGTGATTAAATATTCCATGTATTTGCAGTTGTGTGGTGGACGGAGGGGTTAGTCTTAAACACTACTGATGAACCTATGTGATTGCTGCCTGTTTCCCGCCAAATAACAGGTAAGACTTAGAAAAGCAGAAAATGACTAAATTCTGAGGTGCTACTCAGAATAAGGAAAAAACATATGCCAAAAATTAGTCCTTAAAGGCTGCCTAGAGGCAACGAGTTCTGAATCAGGTTTTAGAAAAAAATAATTGATACTTTTGCTTAAAGATATAGGCCACTACAGGACATGCAGCAGACCAGTCTAAACACTGTTAGGTAGAAATTGCATAGAAATATAAACATGCCTTTTCAATCTTAGTCTTTAAATTGATTTCCAAATGTTGTTAAATCATTAGTTATATTAGCATAGGACTGAATGAGCTATTAGAAGGAATGTGTAAATTGCAAATTAAAAGACAAGAAAGTTCTAATATTGGCAAGGTCTTCTTTCTGATTAAATACCTGTTTATGATTTTAGAACAGGAAGAATAATGCAACATTTGATTTAATGCAAATGATTTCTTTGAAATGTAACTAGCATTTGATATGAAATAGACATTTATAATCAGAGACAAAATAACATAATGTAGTAATTTAGAAAAGTAAAAGATTTTCTATCAAACTGTCTTGTCATTTAATCTAACAAATCCATACAAAGTCCTTAACATAGAATAAAAACAGGCAGGTCTTGGGACAGTATATTATCTTGTTCTAGATAATAATACACTGTGTGAATTATAAACAGCTTGACTCAGTCTATCAAAAATACCCTAAATATGCATAACAGTCATCATTGGATAACTGTTATCTGATACAGTTTATTTTTAAGTCAAGTATCTGCTTAAAACCGGGCTGAGTTCACCCTACAGTACATGGTCTTCATCTCATTCTTAAATAGTCTATTAAGTATGATTAGAATTTGTTATAAAATGAAATGTCCCAGTGACCATTTCACTGCATTCGGAATAAAATCCAAAGGCCTTATCCTGCCTTTCAAAAGTCTTCCCAATGTATGACTTATTTAAAGATTAGCTTCATTTCCCATCACAAGCAGAAAGACCCCAGTGTTAAATTAGACAAGCTGGCCTCACACCCTCCAACCTGGAACATCCCAGCCCTGGCTCAGCTTGTTAGGTCTGCTTATCCAGCTGTACCCTTGCTCTTCAGTCTCTGCCTCTAAAAAGTTTCCCCATCACTCATGACCAAACTCAAATTCCATCTGCTCTAAATAGCCTTTACAGACCTTCTCCCTTTTCTCCTGTTCCCCTAGCAGATTGTTAGTTATTCTGTGCAATGACCAACACATCCTGTCAAGCTCCAGGTGCTATGGATTTCACCTCTCAAGACAAAGAATAGTCGCTGGCATATAGTAGGCATTCACTTAATATTTGTTCACTGACTAGCTCAATACTTCTTAAATTATGCTTTCTTCTCCAAAACTGCCCCCACTGATAGTCAGGTCTCCATCTTCTTTGATCTGCTCACAGAACCAGTAACCTAACAGACCAGTTGGCCTTCAATCTTGTCTTCTACCACACTGGTGTCAGAATGATTTCCCCAGAACAGGAAGTTGAACATGTCATGCTAGTTTAAAAACTGCAGTCGTCTCTCTCTCTCACTCAGAGGCTGAATTCCATAGGCTTTATATGACATACAAAGCCCTCATGATTTGTGCCCCCTTCTCCAGCCACTTGTCTACAACTTCCTGTTATATGCTTTAGGCCTCAGCAGCACTAGGGATTTTTATCTTACACAAGTGATGAATTACTGAAGTCCTGTGTAATTCAAAACTGTTATGCAAAAATTAAAATTTTCCCATGTGGAAAAAATCTAAACTTGGTGGGGCATTTTGAAGCAGGTGGTTTTTCGCCATTATAAGTTATTTTTCCTTTTACGTTCTTCAACCCAGCATTGCATCTATTATCATTTCATAACATACATTCTCTTACATTTACAAAAGAACAAAGGATAGTGTTTTTTTTTAACTTCCTCTTGGTATTTTATAGCATTTAAATCTTGTTTCAAAGTTACGGATTTTCAGGCATTATCTCAGGCCTGAATTTTAGCCTTAGCCCTAGCAGTACTATTTAATGAGGACTTCAATTCTATTGTTAAAGGGCATAAGGAAATAACTTAAATTCTAGAGTGGGAAATACTAAAGTTACAGGATGAAAGTCACTGAAAGTATTAACAGAAGTATGAATGCAGGTAAACATCCTGTGATCAGACACAGGGCAGAAGTTATTTCTGTTTACTGGCTAAAGTGGCCACGTGGCAATAATGGAAACTATCAGTTCATCAGCATTGAAATGAATCTTTTAAGTTTAGGGGATTTTTTTACTTTTCAAATTTTGTACGTAAGGTCATACTTCATTAATACTTTTGTATTTTACTATTTTAAATTTACATGATCGAAGTTATGTAAAATTAAACTGAATTGCATCTACAGTTCCCCAAACATACCCAACAGTTTCTTGCCATGATGTTGTTCCCTATTGCCTGGGCTCTCATCCCAAGCTCCTCTCCCGTTACATCTCCTCCACATTTCTTTATCTGATTCATTCTATCACTCGAATCAGTTATCACCTCCCTGCTGTATCCATTAGTTTTTCTTATACTTTGTTTCCCTGTGCATAACTCTGTCATTGACTTCACACTTATCCTGGACTGACAACGGTTTATTAACTCATTCTTCTGGTCTCAGGAGTCAGTACAGTGCTTGGCACATATGTGTTTAAATACTATTTGAAACTAACGAAGTTTCATTTGTTCTTGAATGTCTAGTTACTCTAGAACTGGAATTTCTGGAGAAGAGGAACTGGCGTACAACCCTGAGCATATACTACAAAGCTTTATATTTAATTTAAGCCCTATATATATAGATGGTTTTGGAATTGACTTAAATACTGTCTCTTATAAGAATTGCTGCAATAACTCTATAGGTACATTATAATGATGAGATAACTCTGATAACTAATTTCTAATGTTTTCTGTGAACCCTGAAAATCTGAGACAGGTTTCAATTAATTTAGAAAGTTTATTTTGCCAAAGTTGAGAATATGCGCCCTTTGACACAGCTTCAGGAGGTCCTGATGACATGGGCCCAAGGTTGTCAGAGCACAGTTTGGTTTTATATGTTCTAGGGAGACATGAGACATCAATCAACGTATGCAAGATAAACATTGGTTTCGTCTGTAAAGGTGGGACAACTTGAAGCAAAGGTGGGAAGATTCGAAATGGGGAGCCAGTTTCCATGTCATAGGTAGATAAGAGACAAATGATTGCATTCTTTTGAGTTTCTGATAAGCCTCTCCAAAGGGGGCAATGAGATGTGCATTGATCTCAGGGAGCAGAGGGGTGCCTTTGAATAGAATGGGAGGCAAGTTGACCCTAGGCAGTCCTCAGCTTGACTTTTCTCTTTAGCTTAGTGATTTGGGGGCCCCAAAATTTATTTTCCTTTCACACTTCTTTCTGCCTTTTTTATAAACACATTTTTTATTCCTTTCTCTCTATACATTGACCATTTCACCATATTTTCCCATTTGCCTTTCAAAGCTGCACCCAAAAATATGTTCAAACAAGTTTCAAAAGTTGTAGGCATTCAGTTATAAAGGCACATCCCAAGGCACTGCCTTTCTTTATGAGCTTGGTCATGCCACCTTCCTTGTTGAACTGTGAGCACCTGCTTCTAAATCATTGATTTCATTTTTCTTTCCTGGAATCAGGTGTCAGTCGATGAACTTGCACTTTGCTCTTTATCTTTTCTATTTCTGTAAAGAAGTTCATATAAACCTCTTCAATTATGTACTACAATTTCTTATTCAATTCCATCCACAATTTCTTATTCAATTCCAGCCTATACAGCTTCTTTATATTCTTTATTGCTTTCACCTCTGAACTGCACTTTATGTTTTATAGAATCTAAGGCACTGTCTCTTAAACTTAAGGGTACTTAAGAATCACTGGGGATAATTGGATAAGATGTACCGAGAAGCAGTGTTATGACTTGGTAAGTTTGGGGTGGTGTCCAGAAATTTTTATCGTAACAAATGAAACAGAAGATTCTGATGTTGGTCTCTATAACCTCTGAGCTTCGCTCAGAGACTCTCCTCTCTAGGCTTCTTAGCAGGCTTGACCTCTGCTCTTCATTGATTCTGATCTATGGTACCTCTTTGTTTTTTGAGGTTCATTATTTATCTTTCAACTTTTCTGCATTTTTTCTTAACTCTGTCTGAAGTTGGAAATTCCTATCTTAAAATGTTTGTGTTCTTTTGCTTGAGAATTATCTCTATATTATTGCTTGATGGTCAATCACTAATATTTTGAAAGTGACTTGATTAATATCTTTATAATATTTTGTATGTCATCCTATTCTCTAAATGCATGGGTCATATCACAACCTAATTTTTCAACATTTATAAAATGAGTTTGAGGTAACTTCATGATCATAAAATGTGGCAATTTTTATTTACGGGTCGCAAATTTCAAGTCCCCCATGTGTAAATCGCGTGGTTTCTCCAGGTCATTTCCCTTCATTAAATTGTATTCAGAACCATAAGTACATACATACAAATAAGTGCCTCTCAATCTTAATAAATTTATAGGCTAGCTCTAAATATTTGTCTTCATAGAGTGCATTGTCCTAGTTTATGACTCTGCTATTGTAAATTCTGTTTATTCAACATATTTGCCTTTATTTCCTTCTTTCTTTTCTTTCTTTCCTTCTTCTTTTTCTTCCTTTATTTCCTTTCTCTCTTTTTCTTCTTTTTCTCCTTCCTTCTTTCCTTCCTTCCTTCCTTTCTTCCTTCCCTCCCTCCGTCTCTCCCTCCCTCCTTCTCTTCCTCCCTCTCTCCTTCCTTTTCCCTCTCTCAATCTTTCTTTTGACAGGGTCTGGCTCTGTTGCCCAGGCTGGAATGCAGTGGTACAATCATAGTTCACTGCAGCTTTGAACTCCTGGGCTCAAACAATCCTCATGCCTCAGTCTCCTGACACCTGACTAATTTTGTGTGTGTGTGTGTGTGTGTGTGTGTGTGTGTGTGTGTGTGTGTGTGTGTGTATGTGTGGAGACAAGATCTTATTATGTTGCCCAGGCTGGTCTCTAACTCCTGACCTCAAGCAATCTTCCTGCCTCAGCCTCCCAAAGTGCTGGGATTATAGGTGCAAGCCACCATACCTGGCCAACATATTTATTTTTATATTAAGAAAAGTAGTTAAAGGTTTCTTCTTAATTTATTGGGGAAGGTAGGCAGGGAATAGGCAGGAAGTGCAATGTGTTCTGAATTGATATCCCTGATCTTATATCATGCAACACAGACCTACATTTTGCCTTCCTTTTCTCTTCTAGAAGCTATTGTAATCTCTACATATTTAGCACAGATGCCATGACTTCCCTATTTATTCCTTATTTCAGTTGTTCTGTCCCATGTTTTCTAACATACACTCAAATTTTTTGCACTTTTTCATGACCAGTGATTGTGCATAATTCCAGTTGTACAGAAACCATTTTCTGTCTTTTTTTATCTAAACCATAAACCTGTTTCTGAATTAATTTTATTACTACTTGACAAACTTTCCTTACTCTGAGTATAGCTTGGAAAGAGAACTTTAAGAGGCACATACATCAGGAAGTATTCATTTATTTTATTATTAAGATTTTCCATATACATGTTCCACATACCTAAAAACTATTTTATTTAAATCAGTGATATTTAATCATATGTGTGTTGCCCCAAGTAATTTCCCCTTCTATAAAGGAATCTAGCAAGTAAAATGTTTCACTTGCTTTGATAAAATGTATGTCTCTGCCTTTGTGTGCTTCTTTATAGTTGCAAATGCCCTTGACCTATTCAGCCTTGCTTGACTACCTGAAAAATATTGCTGCCAGAATTTTTTTTAAATGTAAAACCCTTAGGTTAAGTATTATACAATAGGTTTCAAAATAGAGTATTTTTCTACAGAGCTTTTGATTAAAATAGAAGAATATCATGAGATCCTAATCCAAATTCAAAGAGGCATAATTTTAATCATAATGATTAAAGTGGGAATCAAGAGAATGGCAGTTTACATAGATATGTGAATGGTTTATTCATGGTCCACTCTGTCACTTAAAAGTCTCTAGACATCTCTAGCCCTCAGTTTCATCTTTTGTAAAACAGGAGAATTGGAATGATTAACCATTAGTTCTCAAATGTAGCTATCTCCATATCACCTAAGTGATTCTCAAGTCCTACTCCAAAATCTATATTACGGGTTGAATCGTATCCCCCCCAAAAAGTATGTTGAAATACTAACCCTCAGTACCTGACAATGTGAGCTTATTTGAAAATAGGGTCTTTGCAGATGTCATTAGTTAAGATGAGATTATTCTGGAGTAGAGTGAGCTCTTAGCCCAATATAACTATTATCCTTATAAGAAGAGAAGAAGAAACACAGAGACACACACAGAAGGGAAAAAGCCATATGAAGATAGAAGCAGAAACTGGAGCGATGCAGTTGCAAGCCAAGAAATGTCAAAAATTGCTGGTCATCACCAGAAACCAGGAAAAAGTAAGGAAGGATCCCCTACAGGATTCAGAGGCAGCATGGCCCTGTGGATACCTTAGTTTCAGGCTGCTAACCTCTAGAACTATGAGACAATAACTTTTGTTTGTTTGTTTTAAGCCACCTAGCTTATGGTACTGTATTATGGCAGCCCCAGGAATTTAACATAACAGCTAACTCGGAATGTTGAGGAACGTGACAAGAAAATCTGTATTTTAAAGTCTCTACCCTTCCTGGTGATTCTGCTATGAGTAAGATTTGGTACCAATGTGTAGGTGATCTCTGAGGTTCTGTCTAGATCTCAGATTCTGTGATTCAAGAATACAACAGTAGAAAAAAATATGTGTATATATTTCAGTGATGAAGTAAGGTTGAAAAGGATTAGCATTTCACAACAATGTCAAAAGTTTCCCTCCTACTTATTTATGATAATGAAGCCCTAAATGATGCTATTCTATAGTCGCTACTCTAGAAGTACAAGGCACTTGAAGGTCAATTCAATTTCATCTTGACAAATGCATATATTTAAACTTATTTTCTCTTGGAGATATGATGCTTATTCAGTTTTCAGTTGGTAAGTGTTGGGGTACTCTGTGATAGATTTGCCTTATAATGGGTAATATATCTTCTGTGTATGAACATCCAGTTCTCTCACAATTGTCTGTGATGATTGATATTAAACTATCATTTCTTGGTCTGTGGCACCAAGTGCAAACTTATCTTTCATACTGCCAACTCCAGACGCTCCTCTCTCCTGCTTGGGTCTGCCCTTGAGACACCGTAATGGGTGGTGCAAAGTGCTGCGGCAGCATCAGGGATTTGCACTATACCCAGAGCTGACAGAGTGCTCTTGAGTGATGGTGCAGGCTTCCCGAACACGCTGGCAGGGCCTCCATCTCTAACTGCACCAGACAACAATGACCTCTAACTCCACAATTCATCTTGTTCATCATCATTCATGGAAGCCATTCTTCTACATTTTTATCTTTATTCTGTGTCTTTGCTATGGACTACCAATGGGAATCCTGTAGAAAATGCACTTCTATGAGGAGAGACATGCACAGGAACAAAAGAATAACTCTTCAGCATTTTTCTCTCCTATAGGAGATTATTGAATGAAACAGGATTAGCAGTTAGTCAAACATGATTGGGCAGTTGAGAAACAGAAAGGGAAGCTGTTTTGCAAAGCCCTGTCTACTGAAGTGGTTTACAACACACTCGGTGGGTGCCACTGGACTTCTGTCTTCATCATAGACACATATACACACACATATATTTATATATATTTGTGTCTAGGCTTATTACCCACAACCTTTCATGATCTCATTGTCTAGTCTATCAAAACTTCTCAGATGAGAGTTCACCATCATGGTTGCTTAATAACTATTCTTTCTCAATCTCTTGCCTCACAAATGAATAAACTTACTTATTTTTAGATCATTGCAGCAAATATATTATCTTCTATCTCTCCTACTGGAATTGACAATATTAGTGTGTAGAAGGTATTCATTATGATATTAAAATGATCACTTTATGACTAGGCTACCTGCAGTATATTGTAGGGTCTCCAAGATTAGGGCTCTTGTTTAAACCTACATTTGTATACCCATTCCTTAGCTTTGTACTTGCCACATAATAGGAACTCAATAAAAAATTTCTTTGCGCTGGAATTTTCTCCTTATAAAGCTTAGCTATTCTGGCTTCTCACGATAGAGTGAAGAAAAAGCATACAAAATCATGTACTGTGATGGCACTCAATCCAAAATAAGTGGGAAATAGGTTTCAGATGGGGATCAAATCATGCATAATGCTGGTGCATACGACTGGTAGATTATAGATACACTATGAAAGTTCTGGTGAGCTAAGCCTAAGAAGAAAGGAGTAATGGTCTCAATTGTTTCTAAGCATATTTAGAGGCAGAGAACTAATTGGGGGAAAGTCTAAAATAAAAGGGAATGCACAGAAACCTCAAGTCTGAGCAGATCCATAAGCTGGAATTTAAGGTAGATAGGTAGGGTGGAAACATATTGTCGCTAGTCTCAAATATCAGCATAGATCTAAAAAAAGGATTGGGCAATGGGAAGTTAAAAAGTCCATTCCTTTTCCTTTTCCCAGACAAGGAAGCTGAAACTCAGAAAAGTGATCTGTCATTTGGGGCAGCAAAAAAGAGGTAAATGGTTTCGTTTAAAAGAGCAAATTATAGCATAAAAAGCTTGGGTAGTTTGGAGGGTGTTTTTTTTTTTTTTTCAGTATACATAAAGAATTTCCCTGAAATAATTTTATTCAAACTTTCAATTCCCAGGTTTTAGATATTTAATGAAATGGCTAAACTCAGCTTAAAATAAAAAACAAAAGCTATGGCTCATATTTAGTGATTGGGCTGGTAGTTGAGTGTTTAGAAACTCAGTTAATAAAAATAAAAAAGCCTTGCCTCATATTTAGTGATTGGGCTGGTAGCTGAGTGTTTAGAAACTCAGTTAATAAAAATAAAAAAGCCTTGCCTCATATTTAGTGATTGGGCTGGTAGCTGAGTGTTTAGAAACTCAGTTAATAAAAATAAAAAAGCCTTGCCTCATATTTAGTGATCAGTCTGATAGGCTAGGTTGCAACAAAGGTCACCCAGTAGATCGCATTTATATCTGAGCTTTAGGAGACCTCACATACATAATTGAATTTAAGCAGTGCTTAAATGGAGTATGCTGATATTTCTGCTTTAAAGAAAATGATAGAATTTAAAACAACTGTTATTTAGTCAATAGTATACCTGCTCTCATCCATTAGATCTCTTCATTCTCAAAAGGCCAGTGATTACAACCAACAAAATGGCTCCATATCAATGTAAACATCACCAGAATGGTGTTTTAAATATTAAATTTTAGTCCTTATTGAGTGATGAGCAGTCCCAAGATGTGGGAATTAGCCATGTGGCATACCTTAATACAAGCAAAGATCAAATGGATTCAGAATTCATTTGACTAACTACTCGAAAATGCTATGTAGAGTAATAACTTAATCACAGAATATATGCTTACAAAAGCAAAAAGCCGTTGGAAGCAACATTAAGATGAAGAATTGTAATTTTTAGTAGTGTTTTATTGCAGTATAATTTTTACACAGTAAAATGTCAAATCCCAAGTGGTCAGCACAATGACTTTCTTCAGCTGTACACTTCCATGTATTATTTTAAAATACAGAACATTTTCACACGATTAGAAATAATTTCTGTCTTATGCTGAATTGTAAATATCAGGAGGAAGGAGTAGAATTACATGTCCAAAATTGTAAAGGAAGTCAATGAGGAAGCTTAATTCAGTTTACAAATATTTTATTTGTGCAATTTTCAGCTGCGCTTCAATATATATAGTCATGATCTCTCATATATTTGAAAGTTACCTTACTATTTTCTTTATAATTCATTAAAATCTTTTACAAAGACCTTTGTCTGATCTGATTTTAAACAGAGAAGCACTATTTGCTGAAGAAACAGTTCCCATTGTTGCCAGGAATGCCTATATTTCTTCATCAGTCTACCTCAGTTAAAGTTCCTCTGAAGGTATAGATAATTGTAGTTGAGAGTATACTAGTGACACCTAGTGCTTATCCACTAAAAATGTCTGCATTTAAGAGAACATTTATTTCTTCATGGTTAGCTACAGTTAATCAAGTTCTTGTTTATGTGCAGAAACTGACAATGATAATGTAAGTGCTATTTCATGCTGTTAAAGACTAAATGGATAACCTTCCAGCATAACCTCTTAACATAATTAAAGCAAACAAATTTGACATTAACATTGTGCATTAAGAGCAAAAGCAGAGAATTAGAGGATCTAGAATGAGAAGACATATGTTTGAATTGCATTTTTATTATTCATAAGCAGATATGAATGCCAAAATGTTGTGGCATATTGGCTTAGTCCATTCATTAGGAGCTAGTAGATGAAATGAGAGACAGAGGTGGGGTCTCTGACCACAAGGAAAAAAGACATAACTAAAACTCTTTGTTATTAATGAGTTGATTCTGAGAGGATTCTTTGTACCTTAGGTCAGATTCTGAACTATGACAGAGCCCAGTAGGCAATGCTTTCATTGCAAGGCTTGTCACTGAAATTAGGTAGACAATTCGCAGAATCTTCTCTGCTTCCCCAGCCTAGGAAGAAAATCTCAGCTCCCAGTCCTAGGCTATATAGTCCATAACAGTGCCAAAATGTCTGCCCACACCCAATCAACATATCTCCTGATCTGCTTACCATTCCTATTACACCATGGTTAGCGATTCTATCCCCTTAACCTATGAAAACCTTGGTACAGATTGAGCATCCCTAATCTGAAAATCCAAAATCTGAAATGCTCCAAAATCCAAATCTTTTTGAGTGCTGAAATAATGCCACAAATGGAAAATTCTACACCTGACTTAGGTGATGGGTCTCAGTAAAAAATGCAGTCAAAACTTTATTTTAGGCACAAAATTATTTAAAATATGTTTATAAGGTACATATGAAACAAAAATGAATTTTGTGTTTAGAGAGGTCCCATTCCCAAGATATTTCATTATCTATAAGCATATATTCCAAAACCTGAAAAAGTCCAAATTCCAAAACACTTCTGGTCTCAAGAATTTCAGATAAGTGATACTAAACCTGTATGTATGTACGTGTGTATGTATGTATCTGTCTATCTAACCCTACCATATTATACACGTTTTATTTATGTGTATATATATACATATATATATACATATATACACATACATATATACACATACATATATATACACACATACATATATATATCATATGTTAGGTTCTAGATTCTGGAAATAAACTAATAAACAGAATAGATATCTTTCCTTACGGAGGTTGTGTACAAGTGCGATACATGGATAATTACTATAATAACAACAATAACAAAGATAACTTTAGATAGTGATAAGTACTAAGAAGGAAAAAAAGGTGGGGTAGTGTGAGACAGAGTGATGAGAGAAGAATGAGAAAGCAAATTTATCCTGAGGTGGCCAGGGACAACCTCTCTGAGGGAGGTGACGCCTGAATTGGGAGCTGAATGAGAAGGCAGATGAAGGCATGGGGAAAATGAGGCCCCAGCAGGTAGAAAGGCCCAGAGCTAGGAATAATTCTGGCTTACTTAAGGAACAGAAAGAGAACCAGTGTGGCAGGAGCAGTGTGCACAGCACGGTGGCAAGAGAGTAGTTGAAGATCAGGTGTGAGGAAAAGGCTACAGTGAGATCTTGCAGGTCATTACAGGCTGCAGTTTTGTGCCTTTGAAAATTCATGTATTGAAGCCCTAGCCCCTAGTGTGATGGTATTTGGAGGTAGGGCCTTTTGAAGGTGATGAGGTTTAGATGAGCTCATGAAGGTGGGACCCTCAGCAAGGGGATTAGTGGCCTTATAAGAACAAGAGAGAGAGGCCATGTGAGCACACAGACAGAGGGCGGACATCTACAAGCCAGAGAAGCAGGCGCTCACCATGCACTGAAACTGCTCTCGCCATACACCAAATCTTTGATCTTGGACTTCTCAGCCTGCAGAACTGTGAGAAATAAAGGTCTATTGTTTACTTCTCCCAGCATATGACCCAAAACCTGGTATTTAGTTACAGTGACCCAAGCAGATTGAGACACAGGTAATGGCCTGAAATTTGAAGTCAAAGGATATGAAATCTAAGGAAAGCAGCAAGCCACTGGGAAGGTTTTTAGCCAGAGAAATATCTATGTCTAAAATATATATTTTTCTGGCTAAAAACTATATATATATATATATATATATATATATATATATATATATATATATATATAAAACCATATATGTTTATATATTACCTATCATATGTATATAGAATGTGTGTGTATCTATATACACATACCTAAGTAAAACATATATAGTAGTATTATATGGATATGGATATGAACAGAAAATGTAGCATTACATGGATATGAATATAAAATGTTTTGATACCCAGCACAGTACCCTGAACATCCTTGGTGTTTAATAAGATTTGCTGATGGTGACAATTCTAAGAGTGAAAGTAACTACATGGTTATGTATAGATATATACATGTTATCATTTTATTTGAGAGCACTATGGCTATCATGCAGATAATACATAACGGGAGTAAAGATTGGAAGCAAGATGACATGTCATTTAACATCTATTTTAGAAGAAAGGACAAATAAATAACAAAAGCTAAAAGGCGCAGAGAGTATAGCCTACATAGGCTGCTAGGCAGCCTTGATACTAATAAAGATTTTCCAGTAAGTACGTGTATTGCATGTTTAGAATGCCTTTAAGGAGGGAGCCAGGATAAGTCAGTGGACTTGGAAAAGCTGTATCTTGCAATTCTACTGTCTTTGGGGAATTTATGCTATTACCCTCCTTCTGGTCTCATATATCAAGTCACTTGAGGTGTCACCTTACATAATTTAAGGCTGCAAAAGATAAACCCACTCCATCTCTGGGCACCACATATTGAGTGTTTGAAGGGCAGGCCAATGATTATTTATTTCCCTGAAAACCTCCATGCCTGGAGACGTAACAAGAAATACCTCTAGCAACTTTGTGGAAGGACTAACAAAAACTTCCATGCAACATCAAAACTGTTTTTTTTTTTTAATTTTCCTGTTTTTCTTATATGCCTTAAGTTGAACTTAAGGACACAAAGTATAGTTTTGGTTTTATTCTTGCTTTTGTTTTTATGTATCATTTTGTAATGTTTAGGAATACCACCATAACTTCCACTCATTGTTCAGTTTAAATTTAGCATGTTAATAATTTTTGCTGTTTTCTAAACACACACACACACACACACACACACAATTACAGTTACACAAGTTTCAGTGACACCAACAATCCTGTCATTTATTGGCTTATTTTTCTTATTCTACTCTCTAGTTAAATGTGAACCCACTGAAGTATCAATGTTGTATTATAAACAATTTGGAATTCTAGATGGCAGGACCTCTTTCTTTCTAGATCCCTTTTGTTTACTCATCATTGATTACTCAACGTCTGACATATATGTTACTTTTTGGATGACAACAGCTGATATGACATGGCCCCTGTCCTCAAGGATACACAGCCTCATGGAGAAGCTTACTAGGACAAAGCTCAGCTACTCCATTATCTACATAAAAAAGATGAGTGAGGGTATTGTAGTGGTGGTCGAAGTATCTAGATATTATTTAATTAAGAGTTGCATGACTTATTACATGTTCCAAACATTCCCATTTGGCCTTCTGATTCTTTATTCATGAGTCCATTCATTCAAAAAATGTTTCTTCCAACACTGTGCTAGGCGCAAGATACACGTGTGGTGGATTGCTAACAGCCAGGCTGTTGCCTCTGGCAGAATGCCTCCCACTCCTTTTAGTGCCCACCCCAAATGTCACCTCTTCTGTGAAGCATTTCTTGGTCAACACAAGAAGTGTTAGTGAATCTCTCTACTACTCATAAAGAAGTAGTAACTTTGTATCTTTGTACCTTTATTATAACACTTTACGTTACCTAACTTAATAAGGTGTGTCATTGACTTTTTTGGTTATTTACATCCCCATATATTACGAGATCCTTGAAACCAGCAATATTGCTCACTTCTCTCCTTCCATACCTCAAAACCGAAGAATATATGTGGCACATACTCAATACCATAGCATTGATTCAGTGAAATGTCCAGCTTCTAATAGGAGTTAGTATCCAGGCAGATATTTTAATGATGCCTCTCAATTATCTAATTTCTTAATAAAAAATATACAAGTTATTTTCCCAGTGAGTTTATGTTTTTTTCTTGAATTATTTAACAATATTTATATAAAATTTACTGCACGCTATGCACTGTCCCACACACTTAGAAGGTAAAATCATTTAAGACTCACAACAGCCCAGTGATCACCCTCATCAGCCTCATTATGCAGCTAATGACCAAGCAAGGAGAGGTATGGAACTTGGCCAAGGTCACAGAGCTGATCGAAGGTAGAGCCTAGTTTTGAATCTCAACAGTCTAATTCCAAAGTCGATCCTTTTAACCACTACACTACTTGGGCTCACCAACCATGCTGGGCTTTCTCACATTGTTGACTGTTGAATCCATATGTCCATTCATTTATTCAGCAAGCATATTCCTTTTCATACACAGTGCCACCCCGCTGGTCAAGCCCTCACCTTCCTATGCTTGTGTTTGTGGAAGACTCTTCTTTTCCTTCCTCTCAGGCTTTAATTGTCAGAATCACCCCAAGCTGTGTTCTTAGCACTGTCCCTTTTTTTTTTTTTTTTTGAGACAGAGTTTCACTCTTGTTGCCCAGGCTGGAGTGCAATGGAGAGATCTTGGCTTACTGCAACCTCTGCCTCCTGGGTTCAAGCGATTCTCCTGCCTCAGCCTCCTGAGTAGCTGGGATTACAGGCACCTGCTACTATGCCCGGCTAGTTTTTTGTATTTTTAGTAGAGACGGGGTTTCACCATATTGGCCAGTCTGGTCTCAAACTCCTGACCTCAGGTGATCTGCCTGCCTCGGCTTCCCAAAGTGTTGGGGTTACAGGTGCGAGCCACCACACCTGGCCTTAGTACTCTGTTTTAATCTCATTACATTCTTTCCCTTAGGGACCTCCTCCTGCCTTTCTATCTAATACAAATAACTTTCATAGTATTATTTTCTTGTTTACTTCCTCCCCATTCAAGACCCTGCATCTTTTGACTCCAAATTATCTCTGCAACCTCATATCTCAGTTTCTGTTTTCAAATGTTCTGCCCCAAACATACCTTGTAAAAAAACATATGGTCCTTGTCAATCTAGACTCTATGTTCTTTTTTCTGTTTTCGTGGTCTCCACCAACCTCTACTGTCCACCTATGAGAATGTTTGTTATATCTCTAAGGAGATGAAAGAGTCTGCAGGTCATCTTCGCTGTGCCTCCCAGACAACACTGTTCTCTCCATCTCTCTCTGCTGTGTTCCTGTAATTGCCTGTTGCCTACACCTTTTATTTGGTACCCTGGCAGCACCTTGTAGTGACTGAGAACACAAGCTCTTGAAACTATGCTGCTGGACTCATAGCCCAGCTTTGACACTTACTTGGTCTGTGACCTCCAACAAATTATCTCATCTCATTAATAAAATAGGGATAATAATAGCAAACTCATGAAACAGATACCAGGATGATCAAAGTAACTAATATCTTCAATAGTTTAAGGTCATGATTAAGATTAGAAACTACCTGGCACATTGCTTTTAACAGATGTTAGCTACTATTATTACTTAATTATATGTAGAACCTTGTAACATTTCTGCCTATGATATGTAACTACTATTGCGTTTCCTATCTCACTTTCCATGCCTTTATTTCCTACAGTCTGCAATCACCTGACTGATTAGTTTTGCCCACAGTATTGGATTTTCTGAGCCTAATAGCTGAACCAGATCTGAAATTGGACCTGATGAATTGGACTTTCTATCTGCTTTTATGGGTCTTCCACTTGTGCCATGTCCAAACCAGTTCTGTTTCTCACAGTTTTACCACTGACACAACTGATTCTTTCTTCCTATTATCCTTCAATGTCAGGACACCTAACAAACTCTTCTCTTCTCCATAATTTCCAGAGTCTATCCTACTAGATTTTAAGAACATTAAAAAGAGGAACTATATGTTTTCCTTCTTTATATTCCCCACAGGGCTAAGCACATCCTAGATGTTCCCAAAACATTTATTGAATAAATTAATGACATAAAAATAGAGGTATTCATGGCGTATTATTATTTTTCAGTTTCCCAGAAAATACAACTTATATCAGTGAAATTCAACAGACACCTGTGAAAGTCGTATTTGAGTAGGTTCAAAGAGATAATCAGAACATTTCATTTGATTTGACAAATAACTGAGAACTTTCCCCTCCTACTGGCAATAATACTTAAAAGAGACTCTATTTCATTAGTGGGGAGAGGTTTATTTGCTTATGGCTCCTGGAAGACAGGAGTTTGATATTTATTCTCAGGCAATTGGAAAATTGATTCAACCCATTTAGGAATTTAACAATGGATTCATAATAACTCTTCTCAAAGAGTACAAAAGAACAAGTACATCAATTGATCAATAGTACATTTAAGAAGAAAAAGAACCAGAGATCAAGGGAATTTAAAGACACCGCTGAAGAGCTCACTTTCTATTTAGAGAATTAAATCATACAGTATCTCAGAGGATACAAAACAAATAAATTTAGAAGTGTTTCCTTAACTTTAGGACACCAATTTCAGAGAGGGGGGCTCAAAACGCCCTCCTATCAGTGTAAAATAAATGTGGCCATCCCACTCAAAACCTCTGGGTCACTGAAAACGTTTAAATTAGTCCTGTGGTCAGTCTCTGATGTCTGTTTTAAGCAATTCTGAGTTCCCACAAAGTACATGCCCTTAGCCTTCTCTTGAGGCCCACTAGATTCACTGATGGAAGAATAAACCCAGGAAGACTCTAATAGAAAAGGGTTTTGAAGGGAAGAGGCTGAGTGGCTGCATGACAGTAAATTCCACCTAGGGAAAATAAGAAGTTTGCCTCCCTTCTGGTTTCTTCTAGAGGAAACACCAGAAGCCTGGGAAAGAATCTTTCCCATCAGTCACTATCAGGACTTGGTTTAGATCAATACCCAGAAAATTCCAATTCTAATGGGTTGGGTTCAGATTTTACCAGCTCCAGCTCCACTGACTTCATTCTCTCTCTTTCAACATGTTAGCTTCTGGAATACAACCACCCTGTGCTCTGTGATGTGTGCATCCATGTACCTGCCAGTCTTGCTTCTCTGAGAGCAATGGTCCCCCGTGCCACTTGCTCTTATGACATTTAGTGTGACATTTGGGGTGGGTGCTGAAAGGAGTGGGAGGCATTCTGCCAGAGGGAACAGCCTGGCTGTTCACTGATATTCACCTCTGCGTGTATCTTGCGCCTAGCATAGTCTTGGAAGACACATTTTTTGAATGAATGGACACATGAATAAAGAATCAGAAGGCCAAATGGGAATGTTTGGAACATGTAATAAGTCATGCAACTCCTAATTAAATAATATCTAGATATTATTTAGATGGCTGAAACCTGGGGAACATTTTCTTTTCTTTTCTTTTCTTTTTTGAGACGTAGTCTTGCTCTCGATCACTGCTCACTGCAACCTCTGCCTCCCAGTTTCAAGCAATTCTTATGCCTCAGCCTCTCAAGCAGCTGGAATTACAGGCACATGCCACCACTCCTGACTAAATTTTGTATTTTTAGTAGAGACAAGGTTTCACCATGTTGCCTGAGTTGGTCTTGAACTCCTGGACTCAAATGATCCGCCTGCCTCGGCTTCCCAAAGTGCTGGGATTGTAGACATGAGCCACTGCACCCGGCCAACCTGGGGAGTATTTTCTGCTTGACAAGACTGGGCGCTCATCTGCAGACCAGTCCACAGTCTCTGCGTAATGAGCTTCATCCTGCCCACCTAACCCGTGCCAGGCTGAAGGGGGCAGAGCACTCTGAAACTGCTCCTGCCCTGGCTGCTCTGCTCGCTGCTGCTGCTGCCCCTTGGCCGTGACTTTCAGTGATATTGCTCAGCTACCCCCAGCAGTGAGGGCCTCAAATCCTTTTCATTAACAAGAAATTCTGAAGTGTTAAGCTCAGAGTGCAGATCCAAGCCTCAAAAAACCATGGCCCCGTGTCAGGCCTCCCTCATCTCAGGAATGTTTCCCTCTCACAGGGAATACTAGGCGATGTAGTGTTGTGAATATAAAACTAAGGCTCAGAGTCAAGCCCCATAGATTTTGTCTCATCTCCAGCATGGGATCAAGCTCTCTGAGTTTCGATTTCCTTCTCTAAAAAATGGCATAACAATAGCACCAACCTCTATATTTATAGTGTGAGGATTTTAAAAGGTCATCCTCTCCACTGTGTTTCTTCTCTTACACCAGTAGCCAAACAGCAGATCTTT
The DNA here is from genome assembly GCF_000001405.40 of Homo sapiens. Lineage (NCBI taxonomy): Eukaryota > Metazoa > Chordata > Mammalia > Primates > Hominidae > Homo > Homo sapiens. Next base: position 27,355,755 of record NC_000018.10, on the reverse strand, counting down.
GTGAAGATTCTGACAGGCAAGACCATCAGCCTCCAAGTTGAACCTAGTGGCACCATCAGGATTGTCAGAGCCAAAATCTAAAACAAGGTGGGCATCCCACCTGATCAGCAGTGTCTGGTTTTTGCAGGCAGACAGGAGGAGAATGGCTGCCTTCTCTCCAACAACATTCAGAGAGTGTCCACCTGCCCTTGGCATGTGGCTGCGGGTCTAGACAATGATCTAATCTTTCCTCTACCAGCTTGCTCAAGGATACAACCATGCCAAGATGATCCACAATAAGTGGTATGCCCACCTGCTGCACCGTGTTGTCAACTGTCGCAAGAATTGCAGCCACCAAGAAGGTCAAATAAGAGCCCCTTTACTGGCTCCTCTTGCCCTCGCAGGGCAGCCTCCTTCCTGAGCCCCATTGCCCGGGGAATTCAATAAGGTTTCCCTTTCCTTGACTGGAAAAAAAATCATCTTTCTAGAGGTATTGGCACAGGGTCTGCTCATAGCATGACCTCCATCAATGATAATGGCAATGATGATGATGATGATGATGATGATGATGATGATGATGATGATGATGTAGTGGTGGTGGTGGTGGTGGTGGTGGTGGTGGTGGTGGTGGTGGTGGTGGTGAATATATTGCTGCTGCAAAGCCAAGCTGTCTCACTAGGTGCTAGCCTGGAGAATCAGCATAGTGTTATGCATATCATGACTCCACTGCCTGCCAGTGTGAGGACTCAGCTATGACAACACACCTGCTCTAGTCTCATGAAGTCTTGGTTTTAAATGTATTTCCCAGAGAAATGCCCTCTAGTTCCTACTACAACATCTAATTGTATATTTGTGTGTTACATTATTTCCACAGGCTCTGTTAATTATTTTCTAGTGTGTACTAAGTTACTTCCAGTTATATGAGTACCCTTAGTCTTCCAGTAAGGTAAATTACTTGAATAAGACCTCAGGTAATTAACGTTTTCTAAAAAATTAAGTGAACAAATAAATTAGTCTCCTCAGGCACTCACCAAGTTATCTTCCTTGGGAGATCAGAAGAGTTGGGATAGAAGGAGAGAAAAGAAAAACAGATATCTTAAATTTGTAAATCTAAATAGAGACTAAAGAAATAGGCCAACGTTAATAGGGTAAATTAACTTTCTAATACTCACTTGGCAACAAAAACAGAAACTGGAAATGTAGGGGACATACATAATTAAAGAGAGTTATGTGGAAACCCACACAAGTCTTTTAGTAGAATTGTAAGTGCCTATTCTAGAAGAATTAATGTTATATGGATAGTAGCTGAAATAGCTATTTTTGAAGTTCATGCAAATATAATGATAATTGGCAAGCTTTAAAAAGGCAATACAGCAAGAGATGAGGGAACAGAGAATTTGTTTATTGTCTACATTTACAGAAAAATCTTGAGATGGAGACTTAGTTAAGATTGAAGGTGGCAAAACCACTGCCAGCCTGTCCAGGTCACCACCAGCAACCTTGAAGATTAGCTTGAACATGTCTGTGTCTTTTGTTTTTTTTATTTTTATTTTTTTTATTTTTTATTTTTTTTGAGACGGAGTCTCGCTCTGTCACCCAGGCTGGAGTGCAGTGGCACGATCTCAGCTCACTGCAAGCTCCACCTCCCGGGTTCACGCCATTGTCCTGCCTCAGCCTCCCGGGTAGCTGGGACTACAGGCGCCCGCCACCACGCCCGGCTAATTTTTTGTGTTTTTTTTAGTAGAGACGGGATTTCACCGTGTTAGCCAGGATGTCTGTGTCTTTTGTGAAGGCATTTCTGCAACACCATTTTGGCCTGAGAACTATTGGTAGAGACAACTTAGAAGGGAAAACAGCACTGTGAATGGGCTGTTTCACTCTTTCAGAAGGTGCGCTTGGTGGTGGTGGGCGGCGGATGCACACGTGCACATTGTAGGCAGGCTAAATGTTTGAAATGGTCCTTGTCTAATATCTCTCCTTTTGAACATGTTTTCTCCAACATTAGAATTGAACAGTATCTTTGAGTTTCCATTCATCCTTTAAAAAAAACTAAAAAAGCTCGAAGAACTTATTTACGGGTGTCTCTCCTCCTTGAGATCACAAATTTTCTTGTTCTTCAGAGTTCACTCCTAGGTCCTCTTCTTGACTCTCTCCTTTAAACGATCATATCCACTTCTCTGGGCTTGAATTGTCACCCAAAACTCAACAACGTCAAGATTCCATATCCAGTCCTGATCTCTCATCTGTGCTTGAAAAGGGTTTGTGTGTGTGCACGTGTGTGTGTGTATATATATATATATGCCAACTCAGCATGCCCACTTAGATTGCTCAAAGACCCCAAAAACTCAACATGTCCCAAACAACTGAACTCATGACTTCTCCTGTGCTAAGCCTGTTCCTCCACTTTTCCCTATTTTAGCACACAATCCCAGACTAGGAATTATTCTAGATTCCTTCTATTCTCAACTCCCCAAATCCTATTCGTTCCACTTCCTAGTATCTCCCAAATCCACCTCTTCTCTCCATCTCCCTCCAACATCCCATAATGCCCACTACCATCATCTCTAAGAGTACTCAAAAAACCTCCTAAATGGTTTACCTGCACCCATTATCACCTTCTTCTAGTTTATTATTCAGATTGTAGCCAGAGTATTCATTTTAGAAAGCAAGATGTTTTAATGTCTCTTCCTTGCTAAATACCTTTTGATGGTTTCCCATTGCTCTTAGAATGGAAAAAAAAACCCACATTTATAATCCTTAATATGTCTCCTGGGGTTCTCCGTGATCAGGCTGCCTCCCCATTCTCCTGCCTTGTCCAACTCTTCTCTCTACACTCCAGAATTATTGGCCTTAAAAATTTTTCTCTGATGGGTCATTCTTTTTCTTGCACTAGGACCTACTTATATGCTGTCATATAATTTTTATCCTTCTCCCACTTACTCAGCCTTTACTTATCTAATGCCTCCTTTATGGTCAAAACAAATTTCATTTCCTTAGGAAAGTATTTCTGGACTCTCTAGGACAATTTCCTCTCATGGGCTTCCACTGAGCATTTCCCCTACACAGAACTCAATAAAGTTGTTTGATGACTCTCTTCCCTACCAGGCTGCAATCTCTCTAGTTCAGTGCTGTGTATCTAGCAACCAGCACATTTTCGGGAAAGAAAAGTGGAATGCATGAATATATGTTTTAGTGAAATGATTACAGGCTTGAGTTAAAATCGTGAATCCATTTTTTATCTTCTGGCAGAGCAGCAAATATCATTACATACTGGCTCAGCTCAAATTTGTTTATCAGATTAGCAGAAAGCAAGGTGTGAAGGAAGAGTAACACCACAGACAAGTGTTTTCTGTGGATGGTGGATGCCTGAAGGGGTGAAGCAAAAGAGCACACAAAAAGGGGAAAGAAAAGACACAGAAATCAACTTTATAGCATCTTGGAAATAACTTGGGCTTCAGAGTCAGAAATATCTGAACCTGAATCCCAGCTCTGCCATGTATAAGCCAATTAATTAATCTGAGTCAATATCTCCTTGCTGTGATTTGAGGAAAATAATACTACATAGAAAGAGTGAGGATTCTTCTTTTTTTCTCTTTTTTTTTTTTTCTGAGGTGGAGTTTCGTTCTTGTTGCCCAGGCTGGAGTGCAATGATGCAGTCTCAGCTCACTACAACCTCCGCCTCCTGAGTTCAAGCAATTCTTCTGCCTCAGCCTCCCAAGTAGCTGGGATTACAGGCACATGCCACCACGCCCGTCTAATTTTTTTGTATTTTTGATAATGACAGGGTTTCATCATGTGGGCCAGGCTGGTCTTGAACTCCTGACCTCAGGTGATCCACCTACCTCAGCATCCCAAAGTGCTGGGATTAAAGGCGTGAGCCACCATGCCCAGTCTGAGGATTTTTCTTTTAAATGGCAGGAAAATTCTTAGCCGAATTGTTGGTTTCCTTCTCTCTAACTCCAGGAGGACACACTTTCCTCTTATGTTTATTATGCATTCAGTGTATCATGCAGGAAAATTTGTGGTGAATACATTGAATGTAAATTGTGTATTAGTCAAGATTCCAGCAGAATACAAAAACCATGCTATGTAGTTCGAGAGACTTTTTTTAATACAAGGGACTAGTTAAAATGGTATTAACAGAGTTGGAAATATCAACAGAGAAGTCAAGACAGCAAAAAGGTGAGTGGGGATGGGAAGCTGCTCCTCAGGCTGGAGGATCAAAGAAAGTAGGCGAAACCTCTGCTGGAACACAGCTGCTGGGGCAGAAGAGTGGGAGCTGGACCATGGAGGGAGAGGCTGCCAGAGGGAAAGAGCTCCAGTCCACCCAAGATGCCACTCAAAGCACAGAGAAGGGGGAAGATGCCCTGAATTTCCTCTTCCTCCCTCCTTCCACTCTCTAGCTGAAGGCCAATGGCCAGGGGCTCCTGGGAATTGTAGTTTGCAGAGTCAGACTTCTGAGACTAAAAACAGAGAGTGGAAAGCCAGCAAATAGACCTGAGTACAACAGGCAAATGACTGGCACAAATGGCAATCAAGGGTAATGAGAAGAGATTCACTTGAACTCTGCTACCAATAAAAAGAGATCTACTTAGCTATGGTGAAACTCCATCAGACCAACACAAGAAGGAATACTAATAGTAGTAATTTCACTTTTTGTGCTTTACAAAATACTTTCAAAAGGTAAAATGGGATAATGGAAAGAAAACAAGCCTGGAAGGAAATAGTCTTGGTGTGTAAACAATTTAAACACTAAGAAGATGTAAAAAAGTAAAGCAAGTGTCTTATAATATTTTTTCCACTTCGAAATAAATGACCACTGTTACCAAGTTGGTCAAACTCTTATAGAAATTATTGATATATATGTCAAATAGATGTGTATAGAGGTATACAACTTAAAACAAAATGCTAGACATATTGTTTTGAAAATTTGTACCCACTTCAAAATATATCTTTGTCCTCTTAATCACATATATAATTTAATCTTACTACTTTAGTGACTGCAGAGTATGATACCATATACTCAGATCATAATTCACTTACCCAATTCCCTACTGGGAGTCATTTGTAGTGTTTCTAATTTTTTTTTCTACTGCAAATAAGGTTGGAAAGAATACGTTTGTATAAATACTGGCAGGGTAAAGTTCTAAAAGTGGAATTGCTGAGTCAGAGAGTAAAAGGTTGTAAATTTTAATATACATTAGTAATAGGCATTCCAAATTTTGCTTCAATTTATATTCACTTCAAGAATAGACTGAGAATTTTTTCATATACTCCTGACAACACGGTGGTTTTTTTTAATCATATTTGACCGTTTGAAACATACACGCATGAAAACTATTTCATAATTATTATTATTTGTATGTCTTCATTGGTTAGGTTTAACATATAAGAGCACTTGGGCAGTTATTATTTTTCATGAAGTGCAAATTCATATCCTATGCCAATTTTTCCATTAGGTGATTTTAAAAATATATTTGCTGGTTTTTAAAATATAACAAACTTTATCTAAGGTTGTTAGGTGTTGCAATTTTTTTTCTTTATTTGCCTTTAGTCTTCTGGATTTTTATGTTGTTTGCCATGCAGAAATTTGCCATTTACAAGCTGTAGAGCCCTGAGCAAGCCAATTAAATGTAACTTGCCTCTTATTAATTTATTCCTCTGAAAATGGGGAATAACAATATGCTCTTCACATGTTTGAAGGATCTCTCAGATTACCTGTATAAATTTTCTTTGTCTAGAACATAAGCAGCCACTTTTATTGTTAAACTTTATTTTATATTACAACATCTTATTTGAAACATGTAACAACTTTCTGAAGTGGGTATGGTGGCTCTTCATATCCTCATTTTACAAATCAAAAGCTGAGGCTCAGAAACTTTTCCTGAATTTATTATAATCAGACAACTGTAAATGACACTGGTGGGCTGGGGGAGGTCCCCAAATGCTGATGGGACTTTGGCCCCAGCCAGTGTCCAGGCCCTTGGCACCATCACGAGAAGGAATTCAAGGATGAGTCAGAAAATGTGAAAGTATGGAGATTTATTGCAAGTGAAAATTACACACCCAAGAAAGAAGAGCATGGAGTTCTCAAGAGACAGTCATTCAGTGGAGTTTGGGGTTTCTATCTTTATGGGTTTCTTTAACCAAGGGGTGGGATATTCATGAAAAGTCCTGGAAAAAGTTGATTTCTCAGAACTGTGGTGCCACCCTTTTTTTACAACAAATATGAGTGTTCTCGGAACTGTCATGGTGCTGGTGGGTGTGTGATTGAGTATGTTAATGAGCATAGAATGAGGTCCTAGGTGAAACCAAGGTCAAATCCAGGGCCATGTTGGTTCCAGTTAGTCTTAGCCAGCTTGGTCCACACCCTGGTTTTTTAGGATCGTATTAGTCCCAGCTTCTGCAGCTATTTCAACAGTTTCCTTTTGCTAGTAATGTGAAAATGCTGCCTGGAATTTTCTATTCTCCTGCGACCACCTTGTATTATTCTTGTCACATAAAGATTTAGAGATTCAATTTTTGTTTCATGATATAAAAAATAAATGAACTTACCATTTTACCTCTATGCTTTTTGGTGGTTGGATGTTAAGGCCAAAAGGAGAGATCCTCTACTACTTATGAAAAGAAAAGACTCCTTCAGGGCTATTTTAATAGGTGGTTGAGACAGAAGCAAGGTGGACTTTACAGGGGTTTTTTCAAATTTGTTTCAAATTAACGTATTAACTATCACACAAAGACATTTAATCACTGTGGCTATGAATATAATGAAAGGAGGGAGGGATAGTTATGAACTCTTTTTCAGGTGCATTTTATAGCATTATCTTCCATTCAGCTCCTGGTTACTGCCTAAAGCGACAACCTGGTCTTCATACTTGCAAAAAGACAACTATTTATTGTACACAAATTTCTTCAACCAAACTTTAAGAAACAGGATGTCTGAATACAGAAAACTGATATTTTCCAAAAATATCATGTTGGAATATGCAATCATATTTCTTAGCTTTTCATCTGCTATTCCGGGAAAGTCACCTGTGACTGGAAAGAAGATTTAACAATGAAGGTTGATCATGTAGAAAAAGAAAAACATACACATAAAAATGCAAATGCCCGGCATATAAGATATTATCAGTAAGACAGATGAAAGTTTAAGCACTTCAAATATCCTAGGGACTTCAGTTGCTCTAATAAAATGGAAATGCTTCCAGACATATGCTTAGAGAGATTATTTCAAGGTTTATATAGATGCAAAACATTTTAGTTGTAGAGGCAAGAATGGAAGCCTAGGCTGGGCGTGGTGGCTCACGCCTGTAATCCCAGCACTTTGGGAGGCCAAGGTGGGCAGATCACCTGAAATCAGGAGTTCAAGACCAGCCTGGCCAACATGGTGAAACCCCATCTCTACTAAAAATACAAAAAATTAGCTGGGAGTGGTGGTGGGCACCTGTAATCCCAGCTACTCGGGAGGCTGAGGCAGGACAATCACTTGAACCCAGGAAACGTAGGTTGCAGTGAGCCAAGATCGCACCATCGCCCTCCACCCTGGGGGACAAGAGCAAAACTCTGTCTCAAAACAGAAACAAAAAAGGCAAACAAACAAAGAATGGAAGCCTAAATCAGATGAGACTAATAGCTTCTGAAACTTCAAACAGACACTAAAGATTTTTCAAAAATATAAGGTAAGCCCTGTGGCTCTGCACTGAAGAGAGACATAGCTGTTTGGGTACTTGGAAGGTGGCACAAGCCATTAAAAGGAGAAGCCACTGCCAGCAGGCACTGTTATGGTCTTCAGAATATCTTTGGAAACAAGAACATATCTCCATTATGGTCCATTGCACTAACTCTTCCAGAGAAGTGCCACCTTGGAAAACTACCCGACATGGTAGACTTTACAACAAAAGCTAGAGATTTTTAAACTTTATAACATTATTGGAAGTAAATTTTAAACAATTAAAGATGTGTGATTCTTCAGCCAAGGAATGTGTTAACATATTTTAGAAACCTATTTCTCTGGCCAAACATCAGCCTGAGTTTGCCAGAGGCAGGAATATCTGTCAGACAGGGTGAGGTTAGGTGTTTCAGCTTTGATCTGGTCTAGGGAGAATCTGAGCTGGCTCTATTCAGTCTACACAAGTACAGACCTCAGATGCTTTCCCTACTACATCATTACTCTCTGTCTAGGTGTCCAGAAACCTTCTGTCTCCAAAGGGATTGAGTGTCCTGAGGTACTAAAAGATGGGTTGTTCATATAAAATGGAAGACACAGTCTCAGTACATAGATAGGGATCACTATGATTAGATGTGATCCTGCTGTCAAAGAATGGTGGGAGAGCCTTCTTTGATGGCCATGGAAACTATGATTAACTTGCCATCTTGGTACAAGTAATCACATTCCCTCGAATGGAAATGTATGTGATGGTTTATGGGTGATTTCTTGGTTTCTGTGTAGTTTTCAGCACTGTGGAGACTGTGATTGCTCAGGTAAAGACAGTACCTAGATGTTGATGATCCTCCTGTCATTCAGATCTGCTTCTCTAGTACTAGATCACTGATCCCTGCTCACAACATCCTCTTCTGTCTTTTGTCTTCTTCCCCTAAACGCTTCATTTAGAAGACTATGGTCAAGATAGCCGGGATCTTCTGCTATTCTTCAAGAGCCATTCTTTATGTCCCAACCTAGATATTAAATCTAAATGGCAACAATTTTTTGTGTGATTTTTTATTTCTCCTATTTTTTTTCACTAAGGCAATAGCTATAGGATATGGAATTTGTGGAATGGAATTGGACCTGGAAGTTCACAGGAAACAGAAAAATATATGGACTGGAAACACAATGGCTAGTGTATTAAATTTGTATTCTCCCCCATATTCATTTTAAGAATTTGAGGCTTTTTTTGTGATTAAAACGTAAGGAAAATAGTAAACTACAGACTTGCCCAGTTTAGATTTGAGCTTTTAAAAGATTACACTTCAAAAGTAGCATGGACTAATAGTAATGCTTCAAACCCATAAACATCCTCATTTGAACATTATGTCAGAGAGGGTTGGATGGAATTTGTTCTGTCACATGGTTCTTGTTAGAATAAAGCAGAGAGAGAAGAGAGAGTTCCATAGTCTGGATGCATTGTGCTTTTGAAAAGAGAAAGGAAGGTTACCTGCAGTAGGCCTTCCCACCAGAGAGCAATCACAATGTCCAGTTGGTTCTCATGCCTTTGATCGTTCTTGACTATATCTAACTCTCCTGTTGAGTTCTTGTCTCAGGCTCACAGATTAATATTAACTCAGGCTGCAGTGAGGCAGATTTCTCTTATTGAGAGGGAGCTGTTTTGATCTGTGCACTTTATCTTTAAAAGGCTTCCTGAAAGCCTATCTTGCAGCATTTCCCAAATCATGTTCCATAGGATCCTGGTATCCAGTGAGATGTAAAAAGGTGTTGCATAGATAAAAGGGATCTGTAGTCAAACTATTCAGTGATATTCTGCAAACCTTACCTCTTATAAAGATTCAGAATTCAATTAACATATAAAAGGTTCAGAGAAAATCTACATAAAAGAAACCTGTCTAACTTTGATAAACCCCCGTATTTCCCAAATTTTGCAAACACAATGTTAGTTTTATTCATCTAGTATCAATAAATATCACATGAACCACATTTTGAAAAAGGCTGCTGTATATATATGACATAATTTATTCAGATATTTGATTCCACATACCCCTTTCAATAAAGATAGCAAGTATTCCTATGTAGGACAAAACCCATAAAATATTCAGAAGCATGAAAATATTTTTTACTTGTGGAAACTTTTCTACACACTAAGTTCAGAACTTAAGGTGGTCCTTGAACAACCTGGACTGCTAATGTTTAAAGGTTGTGACACCATTAAAATGTATTTGTATTGCAGTCACTTTCATTATAAAAGCCATCGACCCTCTTTAATATAAGGGGCTCAAGTAAGAGGTAGATTCAGTTAAGTCAGGAGCAGATGAACCACGTAGAATTGGGCTGCATGGTACCCTATGCTCAGAGCAAGATTATGAGGATTGTGAAGATTGAAGCCCAAGGGTAAGGCAAGCTGGCAGACAAACCAAGCAGGCAGTCAGGAGCCAGTGGAGCTCAGCCACAGGAAAGCAAGTTAAAGCAACAGAACAAATTCCAGGATCCTGGAAAAGTGCAAACACTAGAATAGAAGGCTAGGCAAGGTGGGGAGAGGGGCAGACACACAGAAATATGGGTGCAGGAACACAGGCAGGCTGAAGAGCAGGCATGTGCACTAACAAAAGAGACCTAGCAGCAAATGTCTGCTACAATAAAGGAATTTCAAAGGCAAGCCTTCCTCTCAGGACAGATGATGATGGCAGGCAGGGCTATTCCAAAGTCGGAGGGCTGTGGCTGTTAAGTAGCTCATCTGGATAGAGAGGGAAAAAGACCAGTGCAACAATTATATGATGAGGCAGGAATCAACTGAATGTTCACTTGTGTTTAGAGGAAGCAGGATTTGATTACTTTTATGGGTGACTCATCATTTTAATTATCATTTATAATATAATTCCAGTTTTACATTTTGTATGTACAAAATTGTAACAAGTTATAGGATAAAAATACCCACATCAATGAACAGGCTAAGTATGCCCATAATATATGTGTCCTTTATGAGAGACGACAAAGTAAATATTAACATATTAACCAATGCCAATGTCAACAAATACAAATGTCAATGCGAAGAGCCAGACTTAGAGTGGACATCATTGTGTGCAAGAATTGCATATAAAATGTTAAGAATTTTTCATATACATAATTGTAATACAATTTATTTTAATGAATTGAGTGGTGCCTTATGGTTTTTAAGTTTTTATTTTTATTTTTATGAAGTTTATTTTTAATTTAGTAAAACATTTGATTCTAACCCACAGGTCATTAATAATACAAATTGTGTGGTATTCACCATGTTACTCTTCTGAGGGATGTGCAAGCTGTACATGACAGTCATAACAATGGCTTTGCCATTAGTCTGTAAGGATGTGTTAAGCAGTATTTGGCAGGGATTGACCCTAGCATCTCTCCTAATCAGTAACTTCATTGATTTTCTGATCAAGAAGTTTATAGTATGCTAATCATAGTACTGACGAGCTTATGTTAAGTGAGTTATTAGAATTTCAGAATTAGGAAATAAAGCCCAATATAATTTTCATTAAAAGAATATACTGCATTTGCCAAACCCCAAGGAAATTCAACAGAAACAAATGCAGGCTGATTTAGGTAAAAAAAATGATCTGAGAGGCTGGGCGTGGTGCCTCACACCTGCAATCCCAGCACTTTGGGAGGCTGAGGCAGGTGGATCAGTTGAGGTTAGGAGTTTAAGACCAGCCTGGCCAACATGGTGAAACCCCGTCTCTACTAAAAATACAAAAATTAGCAAGGCGTGGTGGCATGTACCTGTAACCCCAGCTACTTGGGAGGTTGAGGCAGGAGAATTGCTTGAACCCGGGAAGCGGAAGCTGCAGTGAGCCAAGATAGTGCCACTGCACTCCAGCCTGGGTGACAGAGTGAGATTCCATCTGGGAAAAAAAAAAAAAGGTCTGAGAAAGAAATATAGGATAAGGAAGTAGTAACTAATCATATGTGTAGAAAAATGATCCATGTCAACATGATACTAGATGTATTAATATGATTAACTTATAAAAACAATCTCTGAGTCTCTAATAAGAGAATTCTGAGCATTTTTTTTGGTGAGCAGAATTTGAATAGAGTGTGGTCAAATGTATGGATCCAGATAAAAATGACAACGTCACAAGGGTGGAACCTAAGGCTACTCTGAGATCACCGCATGTCGTGACCAGCACATAGTCCATCCTTAAATTATGCCGGTTGACATTGTATCTGTCAGGGTTTGGTCAGGAAGACAGAGGCCATTTCATGCATCCCAAGCATAAGGGATCTTAGTAGAGGAAACAAGGACTTTAAAACTATTGGAAGAGCTAGGGAAGGCAAGGTCAGGGAAGCCACCCTGGGGAGCTCAGGCTGAGGTGCTGGAGAGGATGGTTCTCAGGACTGGCTGGGAAGACTCAGTGAACCTCTCTTCTGCCCACATTTTGCCTGCAGCTGCCTTCAGAGATTAATGGTCCTTTTTTCTCTGACCTTCCAAATTTTACCAGAGTACTTCTAATTATCCTACTCTGACCCAGAGCCATGAGAGGAAAAGGATTTGGGGGAAGACAATTCCCACTCTAGAAAAGATGGTAGTGATGCCGATTTGACCACAATCCAGCACAACTTTATAAATAAAGATCCTATGAAGAAAGAATAAAGTAGTTGGGAGATTTTCCCAAAATGTTTGGCCTCTTGTGAAAACCAGGTTAACATTCTTAGCTGATTTTGTTTGTAGATTATTCTGTCAACTATTGCCACAATAATGACAAGCAACTCCAACATTTCAATGACTATAAGAGCAGGTATTAACATCTCACCGGTGTGTCTATGGATCAAGTAGGGCCACTCTGCTGATCTCAGTTGGGTGTGGCTCCAGGCCAGGGTTTAGATTCAAATCTGCTTCACACTCTTGTTGTTAAGAGCTACTGGTGGTAGGCAAATTAATGGTCCCCCAACGATGTCCATGTCCTACTTCCTAGAACCTGTGCATATGTTAGGTTACGTGGCACAGGGGAATTAGGTTGCAGAAGGAATTAGGTTGCTAATGAGGTAAACTTGAGATGAAATTATCTTTAATTATCCTGGATTATTTGGGTAGGCCAATGGTAATCATGGGGCTCTTAAAAATGAAAGTTGGAGGCAGGAGACACAGAGAGAGAACTGGAGGGAGAAGCAGAGAACAGGCAGCGTGGGAAGAACACAGCCTGATGTTGCTGGCTTTAAGACAGAAAAAGAGGTCACAAACCCGAATGTGGCAGTCTCTAGAACCCAGAAAGGGCAAAGAAACGACTTCTCCTGGAGCCTCAAGAAGGAACACAGCCTTCCTGACACGTTGATTTTAGCCCAGTATTACCCGTTTTGGAATTCCAACCTCCAGAATAGTAAAGAATAAATTGTTCTGGTAATTATGGTGTCATAGAATCCTCTTATGCCACCAGAGTTTCATTATGTTCCTGCTGATGGCAGAAGTGCAAAAGAGTGAGGAGAAGCCCCCAGTGCTCTTAAAGCCTCAGCCTAGGACTGTCACCTCTGCTTAGCTTACTATCAGTGGGGTGAGGAAATATACATCACCTTTTGTGGAAGGAACGTCAAGGTCATACAGCTAAAGATGTGGAGACAGGGAAAGGTAAAGTCTTGGACACAGTAAAGCAACTTACTGCAGGGGACATCTTACTGCAGTAACATCTTACTGCAGTCATACATTAATAACACTTATGAATGAGATTAACTACTAAATGTTCTGCATCTTAAATTAGAATTCAGGCATTCCGTCCTCTAAAATGAGTACCATGCTGCACTCATTATATTGGAAAATTGTGAAAGTTGAACAATTTTACCTGCTACACGGGAAGGGTGAAAATGATTTGTTTGTGGGGCATTTGCACTGATACAGCCATTCCAAAGAGCAATCTAGTGGCACTTATTGAAATTAAGAATGTATTATATATACTCTGTCTCCCAGCAAGGCCTGTCTGTCCATCCCTCAGAAAAATTCAAAAAGTTGTCAGGCGAGGGGAGATTTATTGAAGTGTGGTTAAATGTTGCAAAGAGTACCCCACTGGTAGGAGAACGAAATATAAGATGTGATAGAGGCATATTATGGCTTATGACATATACTATATAGCAGTGAAGAGCAATGAGTGAGATTCACATACAGAAACATGTATAGATTACAGAAACATATGTTGAGTGGGAAAACAGAGAGAGAGGGAAATCCCACAGCATAATACCATCTATGCATAATTAGGTGCCCACATAGCACTGTGTAGTTTTCAAGCATCTGTAATTATCTAAATAAACATGTAGCCGGTGGATTGGAAGAATATATACTAAATACACAAATAGGTGCCTATGCGGGGGATTGGAAATGGGATTGAAAAAGACAAAGAGAAAACTCAAAAGATTCTTAAAAGAGAGACCCTGACAAATGGATGATGACAGTAGTAACTCATAAACTAAGTACTGGCTAAAGCAAATTCTGCACACCTGATCCTTAAGAAGCATGGGAGAGAGAGAGAAAGAAAGGGAAAGAGAGAACCTAAGGGAAGACTCCAGGAAAGAAGTAGAGGAGGTATTTGGCAGTCAGGTAACAGCTTCATAAAGCAGCTAAGTTTCGATATCACAGTTCTTATTTTCTATTAAGTTTTTTATTTGGGAGGAGATATCAATGCTTTCTAGCCTTCCTTAATAGCACTGTTTGTGTGTGTGAGTGTGTCTGTGTGTGTGTGTGTGTGTGTGTGTGTGTGTGTGTGTAGCAGCACTCATATTTATATAAAGCGTCTGTGAAATTTCTCTATAGCTATTTCGTTTCTCTCAACTATTCTTAGTAAGTAGTTTCTGAGAGCTATTTGACCTCAAGGGTTAATTTTTAAACCTACATTTCAAGTTTTTCCTTTTCAAAATGCATCTTTCTTGTGAATAAATATGGCAGAATGAGGCAGCTGAAGTGATCAGTTACCTTGGGTGTGTCCTCAATCATGGAAACTTTTCTCTGCAGGACGGAAATTGCTTTCATCTTTCAAAGTAAAGCCATGGAGAGAAGGCTGGATCAACCAGGGTGTTGAGATATTAGAGAAAATCTCAGTCTTTCAATGAGAGGGACAATTGAAGAAGTTTCCCAGGCTGCATCAACTGCAACGCCATTGTGTCACCTGCAGAAGTTAGCTGCACCTCATGCTGCTGCTGTCCATGCTGACTGCAGTCCCCTGGGCATGTTTACGTTTTGTCTAAGTTCTTAGCACTGATTTTTTCTGGCATTCAGGTTTCACATCTGTAACCGCTCTTGCCAGAGGTAGAAGCTTTGTTGAGATTGAGGACTATGCTGGACACACAGTAATTCCATTATCACCAGATTAATTCGTAATGAATGAACACATGACGCTCTGCTCTCTCTCTGTCTCTCTCTCTCTTTCTCTGTACATACACACACATATATACATCATACATATATTTCCCCTAGAGATCTATTCTGTCACTTCTCTTACTACCATTCACTCCCTTCCCATTTCTGCTGGAATCCTGGATCACCAGCCTGCCTCTCTCATTCTTGCCAAAGCTCCACCGCCTGTGGGTCTCCACCAGCCTTTCTCTTCAGGTTGCTCAAGACCAAAATTCAGGAGCTGTAGCATTCAGGTAAATTATGTAGGGAAGGGTAGGATATGATGGGAAACAAAAGCAGAGATCCTTTTCTCTTGGAATATCCTGGCCTGGATTACCATTACCAATATTTTTGGCATTTAGGCACTCTCTGGACTGGCAGGGCAGGGCAGGGTATAAATTGGGCTGGCTGCTTGCCAGGTTGTTATCTCCCTTAACCAGTCTGTCGGCAGTTCTCAGGGAAAACACAAGTTCTTTCCCACAAAGGTGCAGAGAACTCACTCTGATTGGATTTCATCATTGTAAAAGAAAAGACGATTACTTAAAAGAGGTATCTATGCTACTGATGGGATTTCAGGCTTTAGTGGACACAATATTTTAAAAATCAAGAGCATTTCCACACATGAGAAGACAGACAGATGTACCCAAACATTGCCTCTGTTTCAACCCATTTCAAATGAGGAGCAGGATTAACACTTCTTAGAGTTCAGGGTAGGTAATCCACTTACCAAGGTGTTCATAAACAATGTGCAGGAATAGGAGGAAGGGTTTCATGTTACCCAGTGGATCGCATTTTACTTCAAAATTTCACCTCTGACTCTACCGTCAGTCCTCCACAAATACGCCTGTGTCCCTTTTCCACATCTCCAAACTTGCCACTGGCATCCCTCTGGCCTAACAACAAGGCTTTCCAAATACCTGGGCTCCCCCTCCTCAGAAGACAAGGAGAGTTTTCCGTCACACATAAAAGAGGTCAGGCTGTGAGATAAGAACTGGAAAGTTGGGCTTTTTTTCTTCGTGTATGTAAATTCTTAGTTGAATATGCATGTAATGTTAAAAAAGACTCTTCATGGATATTTACCAGTTCAAATGGTTTTTCCAGATTGTTTTCCAGCATGAAAAAAAAAGCAATTGGAACCAGCCTTAAATTAGAATTAAAAACAGATACTTCTTGAAAGTATATGTAAAAAAGCTCTAGGTTACTGAGATTTTTTAATCACGACAACTTTAAAATGTGCCATCTGTGCGCAGCAATAGGGTTCTCATCAGTTGAAAGGTTAATCGTAAGCTACTGAAGAGCTGACTCCAAGCTTAGCTCTGAGTGGAGAATTTATTACATAGTCATGATCTTATTTAGCATGCAGGGTAAATCGCCTCATTAGGAATATAATGTGAAGGAGATTCACAACTTTTCCGACAGGTTCAGAGAGGTCAACTAAGGAAAAGAAGGAGGCCAGTCATGGAAATAGGACTCTGGCTTGCTGTGGGTGTATACTTGTCTTGTCTAGTGCCTGTAAACTTACTCATTTTAAGAATGATATCTGTCAAGAAAGGAGAAAAGTCCCCATTAGAAGGTGAAGACCCAGAAAAACCTTTCAGAGGTTTGTCCCAGAGGTCATAGGTATGAAATGCAGTAATAGACATCCAGTTGAGGGAGTCTGAAAGGCAAGGGTGAGAAAGCATAGCAAGAGGTAACAATCTGTTGGATTAACAGTAGCTTTCATTAACCCTGAGCCGTCCCTCAGCACAGGTGGGAGGGAAGGAAAGGTTGTTTTCTTTTGTCCAGTTTCATTTCTTTATCCTGTATGAAATCTTTTCTTTTACTCATGGCCCAGAATAATTTCTACCCTGAATGGCCCAAATCCAAACTTTCAGCATAGGAATCTTTATGAAACTCCTCTGATGGCTTAGGGCTCATTTTGGGTATGATCTTGACCTTTCCATCTTTCCAAAGTTTTCCTGCTTCCTCTAGGGCAGTCACGGCTTATCCTTTCTGGCTCCCCTTTTACCACCTTCTCCTGGAATTTACCTGACCTCCTCTTCTCACAGCTTGGCAGGCTCTAGAGAGACTGACCTCTGCAGATGGTTTAAAGGGAGAAGCTCAAGGGTCCACAGTTCACAGGGCTGCCAATCAGGCCTGTGCAGGTAAGAAATGTATTCTAGCAGTGGTCTCTTGGAGGCTGCGCTTCCTCTGTTGCTTTCTTCCACAAAAGAATGCCTTTTTTTTTTTTTTTTTTTTGAGACAGGGTCTCTCTCTGTCACCCAGGCTGGAGTGCAGTGGTGTGATCTCGCCTCACTACAACCGTCCACCTCCCAGGCTCCCGTGATCCTTCTGCCTCACCCTCCTGAAGCTGGGACTATAGGCATGTGCTACCATGCCCAGCTAATTTTTCTATTTTTAGTAGTAGTAAAGATGGGGTTTCACCATTTTTCCCAGGCTGGTCTCAAACTCCTGACCTCAAGTGAGCCACCCACCTCAGCCTCCCAAAGTGCTGGGATTACAGGCGTGAGCCACTGTGCCTAGCCTTAAAATAATGGTTTTAATAGACATTTCAGAGATGCTGGTTCCATTTAGGTACAAGGGACAAAAGATAATACTCTTGGCATTAGGTAAAAAGGATAGATGAAGAAGCAGTTTTTCTAGGCTAGGAACTATTTTTCTAAGACATGAAAGAGACACAGTTTTAAAGGTTCCTAAGATACCAATAGATATTAAAGATAGTAATGCCTTTTCCATCATGATATCCCTCGGAAAGGAGTATCCAATGATTTAAGAAGTAAATCTCTAATGTTTCAATATTGAGAATTGATAGTATTAACTTATCAAGCAATCAAATTTCTCACATAATATTGGTATTTAAAGATGGTGGGAAACTTTCAGGAACTACTTAATTTTACTCAACTATACCTGTGATTCTGGCAAAACAACTTTGCTAATTAAAAAAAAAAGTGAGGTAAAAATGATCTCACATTTACCTACCGTTAACCACTATAATAGGGTAAGAATGAAGTTAGGGAGCTTGAAGATTGCAGTTACTGCTTTGCGTGTAGACAGGGAACTATAAAAATGTCACCACTGAGTAAAAATGACTGAGACTTTAGTTCCAACTCCTCTGTGGAAGCTTGTCATTTTAATTTCAGTGTCCTGATTTTTAAAGGAGAGTAAACTACAGGTTCTTAAGATTTAATCCATTTTGTCACTTTTAGGCATTTGATATTTTATACTGTGGCATTTGAATAATGTGTTCATGGCACATGATGAGCAAAATGTGTAATATACACAGAAATAAAAATAAGGCAAGTAGGTCTCTATAGAGCAGCCATGGGCCATTTCAGAGTCTGAGGTCTTTACCAGTAAAGAAAACTGTTGTTTGGTTTCCATGGTAGCCTGGTGGCTAGCAGATAATCCCTACCTTATTCTGTGAGAAAGAAAAAAAAATCAGAGGGTTAAGAATGTGATAATAAGGAGATATTATAAAATTATTTTCTGAATCTGGTACTAAACATCTTAATTCCTACTGTAAAGATCATTGTTGGTAGCTAATGTAACTTTTTGTGCCATAGAAAACTCAACAGTCTAAAAGAATATATGAAGACAGAACCTCAACCTAGAAGAAATGGACAAATTCCCAGACACATCAAGGAATTCCTAGACAAACTATCAAAACTGAATCATGATTAGATAGAAAATCTGAACAGATCAATATAAGTAAAGAGATTAAAGCAGTAATAAACTCTCCCATCAAAGAAAAGCTCAGGACCTGATGGCTTCACTGCTGAATTCTACCAAACGTTTAAAGAACTAACACCAATGATTCTCAAACTCTTTTTAAAAATTGAAGATGAGAGAACACTTCCAAATTCATATCACGAGGCCAGCATTACCCTGATACCAACGCCAGACAAAGACACTATAAGAAAAGGCAATTATGGACCAATATCCCTGATAAACATGGATGTAAAAATCCTCATCAAAATACTAGCAAATGAAATTCAACCACAAATTTAAAAAAGCATTCACCATGATCGAGTGGGATTTATCCCTGGGATGCAGGAAGTTTCAACATACACAAATCCATAAACATGATACACCACATCAACAAGATGAAGGACAAAATCTTTATAATCTCAATAGATGCAGGAAAAGCATTTAACAGAATTCAGCACCCTTTCATGATTTAAAAAAACTCAACAAAATATAGAAGGACTGTACCCCAACACAATAAAGACCAGATATGACAAACCCACAGCTAACATTCTCAACAGTGAAAAGTTAAAAGCTTTTCTTCTGAGATCAGGAACAAGACAATAATGCTCACTCTCTCGACTTCTGTTCATCGTAACGTTGGAAGTTCTAGACAGAGCAATTAGACAAAAAAAAAAAAAGAGATAAAAGGCATCCAAACTGAAAAGGAAGAAGTTAAATTGTCCCTGTTTACAGATATCATGATCTTCTGTACAGAAAACTCTGGCTGGGTGCTGTGGCTCATGCCTGTAATCCCAGCTACTCAGGAGACTGAGGCAGGAGAATAGCTTGAACCCGGGAGGTGGAGATTCCAGTGAGCCAAGATTGCACCACTGCTCTCCAGCCTGGGTGACAGAGTGAGACTCTGTCTCAAAAAAAAAAAAAAAAAAAAAAAAAAGAAGAAGAAGAAAAGGAGGAGAAGAAGAGGAGGAGGAGGAGGAAGAAGAAGAAGAGAACAACTCTAAAGACTCCAGCAAAAAAAAAAAAAAAAAGCTTTTGGAATTAATAAATGAATTCAGTAAAGTTGCAGGATATATAATTGAAATGGTTTTAATTTTTGTCCGCACCCAAATCTCATGTCGAATTGTAATCCTGAACACTGGAGGAGGGGCCTGGTGGGAGGTGATTTCCTCCTTGCTGTTCTTGTGATAGTGAGTGAGTTCTTACGAGATCTGCTTTTTTAAAAGTATGTACCACCTCTCCCTTTGCTCTCTTCCTCTTTCTCTGGCCATGTAAGATGTGCCTGCTTCCCCTTCACCTTCTGCCAAAATTGTGAGTTTCCTGAGGCCTCCCTAGTCATGCTTCCTGTACAGCCTGTGGAACCGTGAGTCAATTAAACTTCTTTTCTTTATAAATTACCCAGTCTCAGGTAGTTCTTTATAGCAATGTGAGAACAGACTAATACAATAATCAATGCACAAAAATTAGTAACATTTCCATACACTAATCGCAAACTATCTGAAAAAGAAATCAAGAAAATCGTCCCATTTATAATAGCTACAAAAAGTAAAAATAATATACTTTGGAATGAATTTAACCAGGGAAGTAAAAGACTTACACACTGATTAAAACAAACAAAGAATTTATTAGGTGTGGAGGCACGTGCAAGTAGTCCTAGCTACTCAGGAGGCTGAGGCAGGAGAATTGCAGGAGCCTAGGAGTTCAAGGCTGCAGTGAGCTTGTTCACATCATTGCACTCTTACCTGCATGCAGAGCAAGACCCCTGTCTCTTAAAAAGTTAAAAAAAAGAAAAAAAAGACTGAATCTCTACTCCACTATTTTCCCGCCCAAACCTTTTCCCTCCATCAGTATTCAGACCACGTAGAAACTTGGCAGGCTATAGTACAGATGATATATTTTGAAGTAGCCCCATTACTGCCCAATCCTATTACCTTCAACTCCTTCATGCTGTATACATTATTAGTTCATTCTGTATTCCTGTATCTACTCATGGATCAAAATGCACAGAAATTGCAAGGCAGGAAGTAAGATAAAACAGGAGGTCACACATCTACTCTTAAGAAGTGTATTCTGAACAAGAAAAATGCCTCAGTTAATGCTAGAAATTTTTAAACTTGTGGTGGCAATGAATGTTAGAGATTAAAAATGTGTTTGATTAGTTCAAATGATCAGGAAAGCAATTCATAAGAGATGTAAAAGATCCTACCTCAATTTAGGCAGAGATATACTGCATGAAAACCTTCCAGGCACTCAAATCACTTCTGAGTGACCCCTTCCATGACTTCATTCATCACCGTATCTGACACAAAGTCCCCATTTTGTGATTACTTCCTCCTACACAATTAGGGGTAGCATTCCAGGTAAGAAAGTGGATTTTGGATCACTGGACTTATTGCAACTATTAGAATGTCATGTTCTTCTTTTAGAGTATTTTTTATAAATTCTTATCATTTCCAAAATCCCAAATTTGAGCATTATAATATCTCCCAACTAGTTCAAAGTAAAATTGACCCTGACCACAAGAAGGAAGACAAAAATGTAGATAATAAGCTGTCCTAATTTGGATAAACTACAAAAGTCTGTAAGTTCCCTGTTCTATAAAATGGGAATAATGATACTTTTACAGAGCCACATGATAATAAAATGAAATAAAGCACATAGTGCACCACTTGAAAGAGAATGAAATCTAAATGAAGTTGCAATTATTCTCACTAAAAGAAAATAAACTAAGAAATAATCATTTGATAGTATTCAAAGCAGTATTCAAATCACAGTATATGGCCTTAAACATGTTTTAGTATTTAACAATATGGGATGGAAATAAACTAAGCATTAAACTAGAGAAGTTAGAAAAATATATTAACCATAAAAGGTCAGAAAAGTATTCATAGAAATTATTGCGTAAAAAAGAAAAACTGTAAAATTAATATAGTTTCCATGCTAATACTTTGAAACATCTCATTAAATGCAGAAAGTATTTTCCAGTCTCATCAATCAAACCAAGAAAACTCAAATCTACATTACCATATAAAAAGCATACAAACTTGGATTCTGAGGAAATTAATTATGAGAATAAAATAATATTTAATATTAAATTATACAATATCATTAATAATTTTCCTAGAAAATATTACAAGACTGTAACTGACACAAGAAGCAAAAAACTTGACTAATCCAATAACCGCTCCAAAGTCCACCTGGTTCTGTCAATTTCTACCATTGCTCATCCAGTCCATGGGTTGGTAAGCTTTTTCTGTAAAAGGTCTGATAGTAAATATTTTAAGCTTTGCAAGTCATTCAGTCTCTGTTGCAACTACTCAGTTTCATCATTGTAACTAACATGAAAGCAGCCATGGACACTAAATGAATGAGCTGGGCTGTGTTCTTATAAAACTTTGTTTATAAAAACAAGTGAGAGTCCAGATTTGGCCTGGGAGCCATGACTTGCAGTCTCTTGATCTAGTCCTAGTTACTACCATCACACTGCTAAATTATATCCATAATCTCCCAAATAGTTTGCTTACATCTACCCTGCAAAGCAGCACCCCTAACTAATCTGTTCTTCACAGTGGAGAAAGGCAAAACTAAGTAACAACACCCTGTTTCACTTTGAACACCTTTTCATATATTTGCTCTTAGGATAAAGGAAGAAATGCATAAGAAAGCCCAGCCCCCATCTGCTCCATACTCTGCTTCCTTTCAATTGCTTCTGCCTCTCTGCTCTCTTCCACCACAGGACTTCTGTATATGCTTGTTTGTCCATCTGGATGTTTCTACCTCTCGTCTTCTCTAATCAGCTCCTCCTAAGTTATACCTCAGCTCATGCATCACTTTCTCAGCTAATCATTCTCTGATTTATCTGCCAAATTCAAAACCCCTGGCTTTTCCTGGCACGATTCTGTTTGGGCTGCAATTTCATACGTATTTGTTATATTTGGATCATTATGCATATCTCCACTAGATTATATACCCTTGGAGGGCAGAAGGTATTCCTGGTCTGTTTACCATTTTGTCCTCAGTCCTAACATCATGTCTTTTATGTAACAGAGGCTCAATAATTATTAGTTGAATGAGCAAACAAACTAAAGAATGAGTAAGAAAATAAGTGAACCATGGAACAAATTTAAAATTCATCAAATAAATACCTCTATAAAACATTCCAGCGTCAATTACACAATGATTTGTTTCAACTTTTTTAGTTCCCAGGCTTTACTAAAAATTCTAAAGCATAAAATATTTCAAAAGTCTACCCAATTTATTTCATAAAACTAGCATAGACATATTAAAACACAACAAGAAGAGCTGGAAATTGTCTTTTCACAATATTCTTTCTTGACCTCTTGATACAATCAGCTATATCTTTTCCTCTTCTCAGACAATTTCAGTGCACATCCAAGACTGAAACTCACATGTTTAGGCAGCTTCACCTGGGTGGGATGGGGGGTTCTGAAGGGATGGGTGGGGAGAAGGCGGATGGTTTATGAGAAAAGCGGGTCATTGATGTCAAATGTTGATATTTCCAATTAAGTAAACCTCTAGTCATGTACTTGTGTTATTAAACATGTATTTATAAATAAAGTAATACTGAGATTATAAGACTAGGATAGATTTTTATCTCTCCGGTTCCTTTGAGAACAATAACAGGCTGATCTAAGAATAGCTAGACAGAACAATAGAACAAAGGAGGCCTGCGTTTTATATTGAACTATATAAGAATTCATTTTTAAATGAAAGGGATTTAACAAATCTGTGACAAAATAAATAAGTATTCAATAAATAGTGCTGGATAATTGATATCCTATTAAGAAGAAAGTAGGAATTTCTAATTTGCACAATAATCCAAGTAAATTGTAGTTAAATATAAAAGATGAAATTATAAAACAACCTGCAGATTTTAAAATGGTAAATATTTCATTCACATCAAGTTAAAAATTCCTAAAGCATAAAAGTACTGATAGAAATAGCAAGTTAAAATGTCAATGGCGTTGTCTATATAAAAATATCCATGTACATACATATATATGTGCATGTGTATATAAATGTGGGTATACACATACATAATAGATTAAAAGATAAAACAAAAAGTGAGACAAGTATTTTTAACAAATGCTGTATGGCAAAGGGTTAATTTCCTTAATATGCAAAGAGATCTTAAATTATTTAAACTTAAGGGAAAAAGAGGCAAAGAGCACCATCCAATAATTTATGAATAAAAGAAGAAATTTAAAAGTTGCTGACACGTGTTAAAAACAAATGTCCAATCTCACTAATGTTATAAAAACAGCCAATTTAAACAGTAATGAGAGATCATTTTCAGATGGAAGATTGGCATCTTTTTTCTTTTCTTAATGACAATTCTCAGTGCTGATGAGAGTGAAGTGCAATGTTTACTTCCATTTATGGATAGTGCTAGTGTAAGTTGATAAGCATTAAAGAAAGCAAATTAGGAAATAAAAGCTCTTAACATCATACTACCTTTTCTAGGAATTTATTAATGTGCAATGATATTTATTGCAGGGTTATTTGTAATAGTGAAATTTTGGAATGGCCTAGATAATAGTAATTTGATAATGGTTAAATTAAATCATGTGTTCCCTATGACAAAAATATGCATCCATTCCAGTTCATGCTAGTGAAGTCTACTTCAATGTCATAGGAAAATGTTCATGACTGAATCAGGGTATAACAGTGCATGAGCTAATCAGTATTAAAAACTTTACGCATTGTATGTTTACTGCAGCACTATGTACAATAGCAAAGGCTTGGAACCAACCCAAATGCCCATCAATGATAGACTGCATAAAGAAAATGTGGCACATATACACCATGGAATACTATGCAGCCATAAAAAAAGAATGAGATCCTGTCCTTTGCAGGGACATGGATGAAGCTAGAAGCCATCATTCTCATCAAACTAACACAGGAACAGAAAACCAAACACTGCATATTCTCACTCATATATGGGAGTTGAACAGTGAGAACACGTGGACACAGAAAGGGGAACATCACACACCAGGGCCTGTCAGGGGGTGGGGGACATGGTGAGAGCATTAGGACAAACACCTAATGCATGCAGGACTTAAAACCTAGATGATGGGTTGATAGGTGCAGCAAACCACCATGGCACATGTATACGTATGTAACAAACCTGCACATTCTGCACATGTATCCCAGAACTTAAAGTAAATAAATAAATAAATAAATAAATAAATAAAACTCTGTGTGTGTGTGTGTGTGTGCGCGCGCGTGTGCGCGCGTGCATGCGTGCGCCTGTTTATTGTGGAAAGAGAGTGACTGAAAAGAAATATACTAACATGCCAGCAACACATCATTCTGGATCATAAAAATAAAATTTTTTTATAGATTGATTTTCCACATTTTATTAAGGGTCATTATGTTTTACAATCAGAAAAACATGTATTCTAAAATTACAGAAAATTGCAGCTTCATGATATATTTTCAGACATAGCTTGCCTTTCCTCTTTTTACTCCCTTTTCTGCTAGTATAAATTAGTCCATAAAAGAGAGAGGAAATAACTAGTGAATTCAGATAATGATCTATTTCTGATGTTTGTATCATAGTCCTTTTTCTTTCTTTTTAACATCAAGCTCATGCTTTTGCAGTTATGCTTGGAAAAGAGACTCTATCATGAATCATGCATGTGTGATACTGCTCTTTATCAGACAACAATATTTAACCATTATCTTTCCAGATCCAATTGAAAAAATGTCACATCTCCACACAATATATATTTTGCTTCACACAGTAGAAAGCCATGCCAAGGTTATCAGGAAGAAGCAGCAGTTTGGGCAGATAAGATTTTGGTGCACATTGGTGGGTAAATATACCAGTGACAATTAAGACTCTATATTGTGAATGAAGAAC
The DNA here is from genome assembly GCF_000001405.40 of Homo sapiens. NCBI lineage: Eukaryota > Metazoa > Chordata > Mammalia > Primates > Hominidae > Homo > Homo sapiens. Next base: position 27,330,159 of record NC_000018.10, on the reverse strand, counting down.
TAGATCTCTATTAAGTTTCTTTAATTCTCAACTCAAGATAGTCCAGAATGCTCAATTTACTGCAAAATAAAACTAACTTCCCAGGTATCCCAAAGCCTTGTGTTTCAAGACAAGTTTGAATCTGAGCTCTAGAAAAATATTAAGAAGTGGGGATGTTGTTGTGTCACTTAACTGAATTAACTCTATATTTGAAATCTCTGACATACACTGTCTTTGCAGCATAGTATTGGACCTCAGTCTTATCATTGCCTTTCAGATTATATTTCTATTTATTAACAGTTCCCAGATTTGATTTTGATTTAAATGTCAAAAGAGAAACAGAACTTCTCAACTTTTATCACCACAGCCTCCAGTATCCATAGAAGACACCTTTAACAACAAATGCCTATTACCGTCTTGCAGTGCTGTTATATTGCTTGGCACATTGGCATTCATTCCTTGATACCCAAAGCCCTTCACAGAATAATTCAGCTTTCTGAATGAAACTCATGCAGAGAGGAAAGAAACCCCATGCTTTGGAACCATCCTTTCAATCTAGCCCTGACGGGAGCACATACTAAAAGAACATCATTGCGGTTACAGGATGTGACCCTGTAACTTCTTTTAACCCAGATGAGCCTCTTGCTCTGATAAAGATTATTTTCCTCCAGAACAGCTGATGGGAGACTCCACCTGATCGGAGACCCCAGCTAATCCTAGTCCCTGGAAATAAGAATAAGCAACAATGACCAATGTTGACTGAGCATTTGTCCAAGGCTACACAAAGTTCTCACAATAATGTATGCATCACAACTCATTTAATCTCACAACAACCCTAAGGGTTTGTTGGTATTATTATCTCCATTTCATATGTGGGGAAACAGAGGCATGGACACAGAGACAGTAGTACTACCACTTGAATTTATTTAATGACAAAAATTAATTGTATTTCTACATTGTAGAAAAATGGAAAGTAAAACCATTTTTAAATATTTAAACATTTATATGTATTATTAAACAAAATATTAGGGAATATTTTAATAAAAACATGTAAGACCTCTAGAATGAAAGATTAAACTATTGCTAAGAAAAATTAAAGAGAACCTGAATAAATAGAGAGATACACCATGTTTGTGGCTTTAAGGACTTAGTAATTATTTACTTTTTTTAAACTTTTAAGTTCAGGGATGCATGTGCAGGTTTGTTACACAGGCAAACTTGTGTCATAGAGGTTGTCGTACAGATTGTTTCATCCCCCAAGTATTAAGCCTAGTACCCATTAGTTATTTTTCCTGATCCTTTCACTCCTTCCACCGTCCACCTTGCAATAGGTCCCAGTGTGTGTTACTCCACTCTATGTGTCCATGTGTTGTCATCCTTTAGCTCCCACTATCAGAACATGTGGTATTTGGTTTTCTGTTCCTGTGTTAGTTTGTTAAGGATAATGTCCTCCAGCTCCATCCATGTCCCTGCAAAGGACATGATCTTGTTCTTTTTTATGGCACATAGCATTCCATGGTATATATGTACCACATTTTCTTTATCCAGTCTACCATTGATGGGCATTTAGGCTGATTCCATGTCTTTGTTATTGTGAATAGTGTTGCAATGAACATATGTGTGCATATGTCATTATAATAGAATGATTTATATTCTTGTGGGTATATACCCAGTAATGGGATTACTGACTCAAATGGTATTTCTGTCTTTGGGTCTTTCAGTATTTTCAAGATGTCAATTTTAAAAATTGATCTATGAATTGAAATTTATCACAATCCCAGCAGGATATTTTGTAGAAATTAAAACACTGATTCTAAAATTTATATCAAAATGCAAAGGTCTAGTGTAGCCAAATAATCATGTAAAAACTCAAGTTGGAGAACTAATATTCTCGATTGCAAAGCTTACTGCAAACCTATAGTAATCAAGACAGTGTTGTATTAGTATAAGAACAGACCAATCAGTCAATGAAACAGAAAAGAAATATCAAAGAGAAACTTACAGTTACACAGCCAATTACTATCTACAAAAGCACCAATGTAACTCATTAGACAAACATGAAACTATAGGGTAATGTCTACTCTTGTTGTTGCAGCTATGGCTAAAGCAGAACTCACTGTATCAGCTTTTGAGGTAGGAAGGCACCAGCAACTCTCTGGGAAAGATGCAGGTTCAGCTCAGTTTAGAACCCAGGTCTTTATGATGTGGTCAACTATATCCTAAGTTTGACTTGCAGTATGGGGACATTATTTAATCAAAATATTCTAAACTAAACTCAAAGAAATAACTTTTTGTTTTTTATTTCAGTTAGCAAAAAATAACTGCCATCATTCTTTATCATGAAACAAAAGCCACAAAAGCATGAAAAAATACTAGCTTCAAAAAAATGAATTAAGAAGTGTTTACACCTCTTCTGTTTTCTGAAAAAGATTGGGTAGAATTTGTGTTAGGTCATTTTAAAATGTTTGCTAGAATTCTCCAGTGAAACCATCTGAACCTAAAGTTTTCTTTTTTGGGAAGATTTTTAAAGAACAAATTCAATGTCCTAAATGGTATATGAGTATATAATCTTTCTTCATTGAGTGGTAGCAATGTGTGTTTTTTTAGGAGTTGGTCCCTTTCATCTACGTTGTAAAATTCATTTATGTACAGCTGTCCATACCATTCTTTATTATTCTTCTTATTTTTGCAAGGTTTGTAGTGATATCTCCTGTATTTCTAATACTGGTAATTTGTGTCTTCTTTTTTTTTTCCTTTGTCCATCTTACTAGAGGTTTGTCAACTTTATGCATCTTTTCAAAGAACCAACTTTTTGCTTTATTATTTTTCTCTGTTGTTTCTGTTTATAATTTCAAGATTTCTATTATTATTTTTATATTTTTTCCCTCTGCTCATTTTGGATTTATTTTGCTTTTCTTGATCAAGATTCTTGGGGTGGCATCTTAAATAATTTATTTAAGACTTTTTCTCTGTTCTAATATACACATTTAGTGCTATATATTTTCTTCTCACCACCACTTTCGCTGTGTCCAACAATTTTGATATGCTGTATTTTCATTTTCATTCAGTCCAATTTTTAAAAAATTTCCCCTTGAAACTTTCTTTTTGACTCATAGGTTATTTATGTGTCGTGCTTAATTTCCATGCATTTGGAGATTTTCCTATGTTTTTCTTATTTATTTATAGTTCTAGTCCATTACACTGCCAATTATTTTAAATTTGTTGAGGCCTGTTTTATGATTCAGGTGTGGTCTAGCTTAGTATATGTTCTACAGATGCTTGAAAAGAATGTATATCTGTTGTTATTGGATGGGATGTTCTATAAATATGAATTAGATCCTGTTGGTTGATGGTGTTGTTTAGTTCTTCCATATTCTTTCTAATTTGTCTAGTTTTTCTCTCAATATTGACAAAAGGAGAGAGAGAGAGAGATCAAAGTCTCTTACTATAATTGTGGATTTGTCTGTGGCTCCTCATGGTTCTATCAATTTTCGCTTCACATATTTTGCACCTCTGTTGTTTGGTGTGTACACGTTTAGGATTGCATGTCTTCTTGATGGATTGATCCTTTTATCATTATATAATGTCTTTCTGTGTCTCTGGTAATTCTCTTTGCTCTGAAGCCTACATTTTCTATTATTAATATACTCCTTCTGCTTTCCTTTGATTAATATTTGCATGTTATATCTTTTTTTATCCTTCTACTTTCAATCGCCTATATGGTTGTATTTGAAGTCAGTTTCTTATAGATACTACAAATATAGTTCACATATTCTAATGCACTCTGCCAGCTTCTGTTTTTTAATCTATTTAGATTATTTGCACTTAATGTGATTATTTAAATGTTAGTGATTAAGTCTGATATCTTGTATTTCATTTTCTGTTTGTTCTCTGTTTTTATTTTCTTTGATTTGATTTTTTTTTCCCTGACTTCTGGTGAGTTGCTTGTACCATTTAGAGAATTCCATTTTGATTTTTCTGCAGTATTTTTGTGTATTTTTTAGTGGTTACTTTAGGTAATATTATGTGTTTATGTCTGTGTATCAACACACAAAGTACACAAGTGTCATCATTTTACCAACTCAAATGAAACGTAGAAACTGGATCTTCCTTTGTATTTTTAAACCTCCCTTATTTATGATATTGCCTTAAAACTAAAGAGAAAAAGGAAAAACGATTGTATTTTCACATATTGTTGCTAACCATTTTCTTTCCTCTTGATGTTACAAAATTTCTTCATTTATTATTTTCTTTCTGTTTATACAATATCTTTTAGCCATTCTTTCAGGGTAGGTCTACTAGTGACAAATTCTCTTAGTTTTTCTTCATTTGAGAATGTCTATATTACCACTTCATTTCTGAAAGACATTTTTGCTTGATGTAGAAATCTGGGTTGACAGTTCCTTTTTTTTAGCACTTGAAGAATGTGGTTCCAGGAGAGAAATCCACTGTCAATAAAATTGTTTTTTCCTCTGTAGATAGGGGGTCATTTCTCTCCCACTGCTGTCAAGAGACTTTTTTCTATGTCTTTACTTTTCAGATATTTGACTGTGATGTGTTTTGGGGTAGGTCTCTTTGGGTTTATGTTGGAATTTTTTTGAATCTGTGGGTTTATGTATTTTGCCACATTTTCAGCTGTTAGTTATATGAGCACTTTTTTGCCCCACCCTCTTTCTTTCTTCCTTTGGGGACTCTGATGATACAAAAGTCAGGTCTTTTGTTGTTGTCCCATGGGTCCTCAAGTCTTTGTTCTTTTTTTCCCCCAGCCTACTTTTTCTTTTTTGTTCAGACTGTGCAGCTATCTTCTAATACGCTGTATTTCTATCTTCTATCTTCAAGTTCAGTAATTCTTTCCTCTGTCCATTCCATTCTGCTATTGAGCCCATCCATTGAGGTTTTTTATTGTGATTATTGTATTTTCAGCTCTGAAATCTCCAGTTGGTTTCAAGTATGTTTGTACTTGCTCATAGAAGCATTTTTTATAATGGCTGTTCTGTCAGATAATTCTAACATCTCTGCAATCTTAGAATTATCTATTTATTGTCTTTTTTTCATTCATTTCAAGATCTTCGTAGTTTGGGATATAAAAAATAATTTTCAACTGAAGGCTTAACATTTGGGATACCTTGTAGTAGGCCCCAGCTCTTATATCAGTCTTCTGTTTTAGTGCTTCCTTCAAAACTGCTCCAGCGCTGAAAGGACTGGGGACAGCTTCTGCCTCATTACTGCCAGGTGAGAGGAGAAGTCCACTTTACCCACTCTGCCTTCCCTGACACCTGTGATGAGGTCTCCTCCTTATCTCCGAGCATACATGGGGGGATTCCCCCCATGAGGCCTCCACCAATAGAGACCTGACTGGGAGGGGTAGGAGTGCTTTGCGACTTCCCCACGTGCTTTCCACGGATGCCACAGGAGACGGTGGTGGCCTCATTCTAGGAGCAGTGGTGAACTACTCTCCACCAGGCCTCCTTGGTCACCGCCCGAGTGGTGAAGGGGCGAGGTCATCATTACTCCCAACGGGGGATGGAAACACAGACTTTTCTCTGGGACTCTGCTGACACCATGGGGGAAGATCTCATTATCACCAGTGGTGTGAAAGTCCTACTTTCCTGCGTGGCCCTCTCTGGCCTCACCCCAGGGGGGTGCTTAGGTGCCTCATAACAGCCTTAGAGGACTGTCTATGCTCTTCACTTGGCCTTTGCTGACCTGGACGAGGCAGGAACCAGTTTTCTTCGTGGTGTCTGCTGGAGTATATTTGTTATTATCTAAGCTTTTCTTTCTACCAAGGCTGCCCATTTCCTGGTCCTACAGGCAGAAAGAGCAAGCCTTGTTTGAGAGCTTTTTGTATGTGCTTTTTATTTTTTGGCATTTCCAGGTTGCCTACTTCTTCTGCTCCAAGTATGGAATATATGAGAGAAAAGGATATCCCAGGTAACTCACTACTGTGTCATGGCTTGGGTCCTCCGTCCTGAGTCTGTCTACCTTCTGTGCCTCTCAGAGTCTTAGGTTTGTTTTAGATATAATATATGAGGTTTTTAGCTATACTCAGAAGGTGGAATCCTTCCAACTTTCTGGAAGGGGTAGTTCTGGCGTCACCTGTTACAATAATCAAGCATAGATGTTTCAAAAAATAAAATCTAAATCAAATGTGGAAGGCTGGAGTCACTACTTTGAAATCCTAGCATTCTGAAGAAAAAGGTTTGAAATCACTGCTTTAACCATGCAAAAAATTTGAAAGGTTTTTAAGAGCAGAAGTAACAGGGTCAGACTTCCCTCAGAGTGAGATGCTGGGGCACTGTGTAAGATGCCCTGACCTGGGGAGATGCAGAGAAGCTGGGTCAGAGGCTCTTGTTAAAGTACAGGGTGAAACACTGAGGGTCTGAATGAAAGTGATAGCAGTCAGGACAAAAGGGAACTAATTGGGAGAAAAGAGAGTAGATTTAATAAAACCTGAGTAAAGGATGGATAAAAGAAGGAAAGATATGGGTGTTGAAGTCCAATTGTGAGGTCAAAAGTGTTAACATTCACTTATTCTGCAAGTATTTATTCATTGTCTATTCTGTACTCTGAGCTGAATTCTGGGAACATAACGATGAATACATAACATTCTTGCCCTTTAAAATATAATTGTGCCAGAGATATAAAAGCAAATAACTGCAGTATGTAAGTGCTATCAGTTGTCTTGGCCTGATGTAAATATTTGTTGTTGCTTTTGTTGTTTTAATCTTTATTGGTGGAAGTTTAAAAACTGATATTATGTCAGTAATCTCAGACATTAAGCCATTAGTTAATCTCTGAGCCAAAAGGCTCTTTAGTTTTGGGGAAAAGATTAGAACAAGACTCATAATTCTGCAAACAAAAGCCAGAGTCTTCTTTTACAACCCAGATGTTTGGGACACTGAGCCTCATGAGGGCTGTTCGGCATGACAGATCCCACACAACCTGGTTCCTGTTTTATGTGCTGTAGGCAAAGCCTTATTCCTGTAGAGCTTTCAATGAGAATTTTTTTTCCCTGTCTATAGATTTAAATTATAAGGAAACTACGAATTATTTTCTGTGAACATGGAAAGAGGAATGTTCTTGTTAAGCAAGTGCTCATGGAGATCAATAACAAGACCTGGAAGATAACAGGAAACTCTGTCTTTTGTTTACAAGTGAAACCATATCAGTGGGATTCTGTCTAACTCAACCCAGATTGTCCTGGTGATACTCCACATGGGTATTGAAAAAGTGAATATCTCAGTAAACACTGATGTTAAAGAATAAATTCTTTAAATTGTTGTCCTAGTAAGGGCCACCAATGAAAATGGCATCTCTTCTCTGAATGGACCTTATAATAGCACTGTCAGCCACCTTGGGAAGATGCTAAACATGAACATGAAGTAAGGCCATGGCCTGGAGTAAGGGAGAATTTCCAGGAGCTGAACCTGAAATCTGAGCCACAAGCATGCATGGAAGCTGCTCATTTGTAAAGGGGCCTGGCCTCAGCCCTAGAGATATTCGCGGAGCCAGGCATAGGGGCGCACCACAGAGAAGCTTAAACATGGGTATGCATAGGTATCTGGCTAGAGCCACATCTACTAATAGCAGATGTAAGTTCTACTCACCTTCTGTTACTCCCAGTGTATATTTTGGGAAATCTCAACTGTGGTCTTGATTCTACAGTGTTACAGAAAATCAAGACGTACGCCAGATCAATCTTTGGGCAGAACAAAAAAGTAGGATACAATCTCCAGTCACCCAAGGCCACAGTGCCACTTCATGACTAGTGTTGGTTTAGAACAACACAACCCTAAAGGAAATGGTCTAAGCATGACTGTGTATAACATACCTCTAAACATGGAGGTGAGGGAGAGAGTTATTGAATAGTTAACATGGAAGACGCAACTGGGAAACACTATTTGAGTCACATGGGTCTTGAAAAAAAAAATCATTATCTTTCAAATTTTATGTAATCATGGGGAAGAATTTTCTCTCTTCTTTTTTCTTTTACTCTCTTCATTTTCCTTTTCATCTTTAGCTTTAGCGGCTAAAGATGAAGACTGCTTTAATTTCCTTCTCTCATACTTTCAATAGATTGTTAGAATCTCCAGAAAAATGTAAGAGTCACATGAGGTTCAAAAGTAAAAGATACACCATGGGAAGAAACCAAAATAGGAATATCTCAAAAGCTGTAACAAAGAAGCAATGGCAATGGTTAATCTCCCCAAATGATGAGTATTCTACCCTTTCATGACAAATAATTCTTCTAGCCAGCAGTTATAACTGTCCCTCATTGTAGAGAATGGCACATGATTTAGAATCAAATTCTGCTTTTGAAAATGTACAATAGAACTGATTATTGTTCATCAAATTATAAAAAGTAAAGCTACAGAGAACCTAATGAACATTTAATGGCTCTTTTAGAATTTGACAGTTGAGCTAGCTTTGTGCAGACTAAATAATTCCTGTGGGGGAAGAGGAGCAGGGACTTCTATGAATTCAAGTGATTGACAGTATTGTTAGAATTAAGAGTATAAACCATGTGGAGAAGAGGAGGGAGGATAAAAATAGAATGTAGAACTCCCTGTCAGCAATTTTAATTTTGGAGTAAGGAAAATTCAAAGGAAAGTGTGGAAAGATGGATGCTTTCTACTAATAATATATAAAATTGGTTAAATTTTTATAATGCATATGCTCTGTAAATTCACCACTGCACCATTTATATGGTGTCTAGAATTTGCTTGTAATCTCTCAAGACCTATGACAAGATTCTCTGCTTTTGCATATGCTGTGTCATATACCTAGAATATTCTTTCTCTGCCCCTTTAACTGGCTGAGGACTACTCATGTGTTGAGAAGTGTTTCTAGTTTCTTCTTTCAACATGACATCTGAGAGGTTAAATACAGAAATGGACAATGGCTAGTTTGAATGGACAATTGCCATATATGAATACAGTAATGGACAATGGCTAGTTTGAATGGACAATTGCCATATATGAATACAGAACTCTAACTCACAACCTCTGTATCACCAGTCCAGGAAGTCAGACCACAATCTCAGCAGCCATGGGCCCAAAATAGGCCTTAGGCAATAACTACCCCACCTTCCAATTCAGGACCAGTAAGAGAAAGCCAACTATTTTCCCTAAACAATCGCATAGGATGCCCCACTTCTGGTTAACCCACTTCCAGCTCCCCATACTAATTAAGCTTCCTTTTTTCACTATGAAGCTTTCTCAATCTCCTGTCTACCTTTGAGTCTCTGCCAAACAAGAATGATGATGTCTGACTTCCCTGCTATAACAAGTTCTGATTGAGTAGCTTTTGTTTGTTCTCATTTGTGTGTTCATTTATTTTCATACATTCTTGTTTTTCCTCTTCCTAGCATCAGTATCAAAGGATTCAATCTTAAGTCACATTCACAAGTAAGGCTGGCTTATGTTATGGAATCATAATATTTCTCAATTTAATAAAGCTTCAGCAAAAGTACAACAAACTGTGGATCTAGTCTATGTCTTCATCATATGCTTTTAGTTTTCAGCATAAGATTCTGTACTTTTTTTAGATAAATACCTATTTCAATTTTTGTTGCTATTGCACATTGTACCGTGTGTCAAACTTAAATTCCCAATTGTTCATGTTAGCATACAGAAATATGATTGATTTTTGTGCATTTACTTGTATTCTATGACCTTGGCAAACTCACTAATGATTTCAAAGTTTTTGTAAATTCCTTGAAATTTTTATATTTCTTGCCATAAAATACTACAGTAATTCAAACATTTTGATGGTATCCTTACAGATTTTCAAGTCAAATGTGGGAGAAGCCACTCTAGTCAATCAGTTTCAAATACTTGTAGAGGTACAAATATCTAATAAATTGCTATTTTTTTTCTATTGTCTTTATGATTGTCAAAGACATATACTGTGTTCATGGAATGAAAGATTTAATATCATTAAACATCATTTTACCCCACCTTGATCTATAGAACAAACAATACAAATCAGAATCCTTGTAGATTATTTTGCAGCTATTAGCAAGGTTATTTTAAAATGTGGAATGGCAAATGAATTAGAACAATTTTTTAAAAGAAGAAAAACATTGTAGGATTCACCCTACCTGATTTAAGACTTACTACAGTAATCAAAATGGTATTATTGAAAGAATAGGCTTATAAATCAACGGGATGTAGTGAAAAGTGCAAAAGTGGATCCATACAAATGGCCAATTGATTTTGGCAAAAGTACAGAGGCAATTCAATAGTGCTTAACAATTGGGCATCTATATGCAAAAAAATGAAACTCATTTTGTAGTTTATACCTTATATAAAGACTAACTCAAAATGTATTATAACCTAAATAAAATTTAAAACTATACACCTTTTGGACAAATACATACGAGAAAAATCTTTGTGACCTTGGATTAGGCAAATAATTCTTAGATATGACACCAAAAGTATAATCCATAAAAGAAAAAAAATGATAAATTGACTGTTAAGAGAAGTAAGACTGTTAAGGGGAGTAAATGACAAATCATAGACTGGGAGAAAATATTTGCAGATCACTTAATTGGCAATGGACTTGTATCAGAATATAGAGAAATGTATAAATATAACATAAACAACCCAAGTTTTGAAATGGGCAAATAATTTGAATATCCACTTCACCAAAGAAAGGAGATTTATGGATAGCAAATAAGCAAGTGAAGAGAAGTCTCACATAATTAGATGTTAAGGAATTGCAAGTTAAAAACAATACACATCTATTAATAAGACTAGCTAAATTAAAATAAAGCTGGAAATATCAACTGCTTTCAAGGTTGAGCAACTGGTACTCTTATATGTTGATGGTGGAATGCAAGAGGTCTAACTTTGGAAACTCGTATGTTAGTTTCCTACAAAGTTAAATGTATACTTGACATAAGACCCAGAACCCAACCCCTCAAGTATTTACTCAACAGAAATGAAAACTAATGTTCACACAGAAACCTGTCTGTGAATGTTTCAGCAGCTTTATTCATAATTGCAAAAAACTAGAAACAACCCAAATGCCTTTCAGCTGTTGAAATAATGTTTTAAAATTGTGGTACATTCATGCAATGGAATACTACTCAGCGATAAAAAGTAACAAACCTCCAACAATGTGGATGAATCCAAATGTCTTATACTAAGTGAAGGAAATCAGACCCAAAAGGCTACAAATGCATTATTTCATTTATATAATATTCTGAAAAAGGGAAAATTACAGAAAGAGGGAAGAAATCAGTGGTTGCCATGGGTTAGTGATGGTGAAGAGATTGACTATGAGGAGAGGCAGAAGAGTATGCTTTGGGGGTTGATAAAATCATTCTGCATGGCCAGATGTGGTGGCTCATGCCTGTAATCCCAGCACTTTGGAAGGCCGAGGTGGGCAGATCACGAGGTTGGGAGATCGAGACCATCCTGGCTAACATGGTGAAACCCTGTCTCTACTAAAAATACAAAAAATTAGCCGGGAGTGGTGGTGGGCGCCTGTAGTCCCAGCTACTCGGGAGGCTGAGGCAGGAGAATGGCATGAACCCAGGAGAGGGAGCTTGCAGCGAGCCGAGATGGCGCCACTGCACTCCAGCCTGGGGGACAGAGCGAGACTCCATCTCAAAAAAAAAAAAAAAAAAAAAAAAAAAAATCATTCTGCATCTTTGTCATGATAGTGGTTATGTGACTGTATGCATTTTTCAATTCTCATAAAATTGTAAAACAAAAATGTGAATTATACTTCATTTAAATTTAAAAACTAATTAAAACTTACTTTTTTGTAAGCTATTAATGTGATTGCAGCATAAAGGAAGAGGGAGATGACATCACTACACTGGGTTTTGGTCTTGGCTGTCACTTAAACCATTTGGTCCTAGATGCAATGCTTATGAGCCATAAACAAAGTGGGAAGTTTCAAGTAACAGTTCTCAGGATGTTGAGAATGGTCCCTCTTTTATGCTTCTTATGGGATATATTTCTATAACAGTTATATGCCACATAACAACATGTTGGTTAATGGACTACAAATAAAAGGATGGTCCTATAAGATTATAATACCATACTTTTACAGTACCTTTTTTTTAAAGATACGTTTAAATACACAAATACTTACCATTGGGTTACAATTGCCTATAGTATTCAGTGACATAACATGCCACACAGATTTGTAGCCTAGGAGCAGTGGGCTACACTGTATAGCCTAGGTGTGTAGTAGGCTATATCATCTAGGTTTTTGTAAGTTCACTCTGTGATGTTTGCACAAAGACAAATTTAGCTAAGGTTGCATTTGTCAGAATGTATCCCCAATGTTAAGCACCACATGACTGCAATCATTTTCGGCAAAAGAAAGAATCTGTCATGAGAGATCTGGTTCTCTGTCTCTGAAAGTGATCAATTAATCAGAAAAACCACTCTCAGGGAATTCTGAAGATAGGGGACTTGATGACCTTAAAATTCCTTCAAACCCCATGATTCCAAAATTCTATTAAGATGGGGTTAACATGTTGTTAAGAAAGATAGATGTGAATAGCTGATATACGTAAAGGCAATAATTTCAAAAAGACGGTGGTGGGCTTGCCTAAAACTTTAAAAACTGAGCTTATTTGCCCGGGCATGGTGACTTATGCCTGTAATGCCAGCACTTTGGGAGGCCAAGGTGGGCAGATCATCTGAGGTCAAGAGTTCGAGACCAGCCTGGCCAACACGATGAAACCCTGTCTCTACTAAAAATACAAAAATTAGCCGGGTGTGGTGACATGCACCTGCAGTCTCAGCTACTCGGGAGGTTGAGGCACGAGAATTGCTTGAACCCAGGAGGCAGATATTGCAGTGAGACAAGATCATGCCACTGCACTCCAGCCTGGGAGAAAGAGAGAGACTCCATTTCAAAAAAAAAATGAGCATATTGAAGTTTATAAAATATTTTTATGCATAAAAATTTATATAAATTCTATTGAAATTTGAGATTAAATTATTGAAATTTTTAAATATTTTCAAACTCATTTATGTCTGCTTCACATATTGTTATATCAATATTACTATTTGGTGGTATCATTCCACTTGATATTTAACATGGATATTATTGAATTTAGTTTTAACTTATTAAAATACATTAAAATAGTTTCACAGTTCTGTGTTTAAAAAATTCTATTTTAAAGAAGAAACTTAAGCCTTTGTGGTTAATTTAACTATAAAGCTCAAAATAGCTGTCTAACTATGTTGGGTTACTGCATTATCCCCTCAGGATATATAGAAATGGATAGATTTTAAAACCTGCATTTTTTTTATTATTCCTTATTACTCTTTTATCTTTATTAAGGTAGAATTGATATGTAAACCTCCAGAACTGCATGGGAATAAATTTCTGTTGTTTCAAAACACCACATTTTTGGTAATTTGTAGTGAAGGACTTAGCAAAGTAATACAGCCATGCAGGAAAACAATGGAAAAGAATTTGGGTTCATTTTCATCATTGTGCTTATAACTTTAATTTTTTAAATTGTTATCTATGTATCTTTTTTATATTGAATATCCAGAGGCCAAACTTCATGGACAGTTTCACTTTATTCTCATCTTTATTTTACTGAAAGGTTATTTTAGATTCACTTGAATTTCCCTTAACAAATTACCTTCATTTTCATTTGGCCAAAATGACCCAGCCCAATTCTAAGGTAGAACAATCAAGATAAGTGGATGAACCAATATTTCAGAAGGAGAAAAATGCTCCCTACAAGCAAGGTTACTCTCTTTGTACTTCCCATTCCTAGACTGGGCAAAAAGATTTAATTTCTTTAGCATAAAATATATGAACATAAACACTTTGTCATTCTCCAAATGTCTTCCTCTTTATATTTAGTTTTTCTTTGACTTGCTAATGGATGCCATCTGTTGAATTCAGTAAATTACATCTTACATTTGATTAATTAAATCTTGACTCAGCAATTTGATTACCTTTTTCTCAAATATGTTTACTGGAAGAACTATCTCTTTTCAGGGTAGAAAAGCTCCTAATATAAGAAAATGCTTCAAGTACACAAGCAGTGTAAAAATCTTAAAAAACAGTTAATTGTAGCCTCCTATTTTTTTACATGGAGAAACTGAAGCACATCAGTATTGGCACTTATTGTTCTGAACCTGCTCAGTAAAAAGATGCATGTACACATATTTAATATCTATTCACAGTTTATTGATCTGTTTTCACATTGCTCATGAAGACGTACCTGAGACCAGGCAATTTACAAAAGAAAGAAGTTTAATGGACAGTTCCACATGGCTGGGGAGGCCTCACAATCATGGTGGAAGGCAAAGAGGAGCAAGTCATGTCTTACATGGATGGCAGTAGGCAAAGAGAGAGAGCTTGTGCAGGGAAACTCTTGTTTTTAAAACCATCAGATCTCGTGAGACTCATTCACTATCATGAGAACAGCACAGGAAAGACCCACTCCCATAATTCAATCACCTCCCATAGGGTTAACTCCCATGACATGTAGGAATTGTGGGAGTTACAATTCAAGATGAGATTTGGGTGGTGACACAGCCAAATCATATCACACGGGATTCATAGACACCTTGAAAGTCTATGTTAAGAATTCCTTTAAAAAGATAAAGGACATGGAGAAATAGGTCCTTTCATTTGACAGTTGTAGCTTTCCATGTAAGAATTTGAAACTGAATAGTCCAGAGTAGTTTCTCCCATGCCTTATTTGAAAGTCAGTAAGGATACCATCAAAGAGACTGAATCACTCTGATATTTTCTGGTAATAAATAGTAGAAAACAGATGGTTATAAAAGGACTTTTAAAGCAGAAATGTTGAAGACAGTTATTTCAAAGTTTCTTTTTGTCTGGCGAGAGGCAACAGTCATATTTTGTAAGTTCACCATGGTCAGGCATTTAGAATGAATTCTTCCTGCTTAATCACTTCTCTGATTGCATGATTGTTGTTATTGTTTACACTGCAGTTTCTTTACTTCAACAAGTAAGATGTCATTTCCCTTCTTTATTTGTGTTGGCAAGGGCCTTCTGGAGTGGAAGGCTGTCCTGGCATGCAGTCACTGCTGCAGAACAGAGATATGTGGCATTTATAAAGCATTTCTCATGTGCAGGGTTACATATCCAAATTGTGCACCATCTGGGTTAATACAAATAAAGTTGTAATAAATCATTCATTGCATTGTGAAATTTTATATAAATTTCTATGAATTCTTTTTTTTTACTTACCACATGGATGTTTCCCAAAAGATCTATGGCTCTATAAATGCAAGCAACTTTATTTGCTAATAATCCCATGATTATAGCTTCGTTTGTTAGTTGCTTTATGCCACATGTAAAAATGTCATTTTTTTATCGCTAGCAAGGGAGGCTTGATTCAAAACCTTTTAATACATTGCCTTTTGTGCAGATGGGTTCCATCCATCCACTGTGCTTCATCATGAATACATTTCAGGGTGATTGCATTTTAACATGTCTAATGATTAAAAAAAATTATGATGTTATATTTTAATTGAGTTTTACCTTTACACTAGTGTGGCATATACATATCCCTTCTTCCTTCCTCTTACAATAAAGGAAGTATCCTCCAGTTTCAAAAAAGGAGAGGACTTATTTTTACCTTTCCCAAATATCTTCCAAGAGAAAACCAATGGCAATACTGTATATACAAAGGAAGTAAACAAGCAAAGACACTGGGGGAATGGAGCAGTGGGAAGAGAACAAGTCACTTCCAACTCTGCTAAATTGGAAATGAATTAAAATAGACCTTCTTATTTAATGCCATCCTCTTCTAACCGTCTCGACTTCACAGGAAGCCCCTCCTCACAATTCAGGACTCCTGTTGAGTCCTGATTTTTAATGGATTGAAAGTAAATTATGCTAAAAAAACAAATTAATAATAGCACCTTATTTTTTAAGAAATGGGGTCTTACTATGTTGCTCAGGCTGGACTCGAAGTCCCAAGCTTAAGTCATGCCCCTGCCTCAGCCTCCCAAGTAGCTGGGACTACAGACATGTACCACCATGTCTGGCTGAATAATAGCACCTTAAAATGCTATTCATCTTTGGTCGTTCCCCTACTCTTGTTATACGTTGATGAAATTACTTGCTTAATGTTGGTCTTTCTTTCTATCTGGAAAACTTGGTGTCTTTGGAACACAGTATTTTCATTATAGAGACCAACAACAATACAAAACTCTTTAAAGTTTAAAAGCAGGGAGATTTATTATAAAAGGAAACAGGGAAGCTCAGGAAGCCCTGTCACAAGCTGTGCCTTCCAGGAATCTCAAAGTTGTCACTCAAGCACACACTCCCACTTCTCTTCCAACCCACATAGTGTCTCATCCTTGTTTTGCTTTTCTATCTGCTTCATTCTCAACCCTCGAGGGAAGTAGGGCAAGTATTATTACACCAGTTTACAAATGTCTAAGGTCAGATAACTGCTAAATTTAGAACTTAGATGTTGTTAATTGAAACTTTATGCTCCTATTTTGACCCCATAGCAGTGTTCAAAATGTGATGGAGAATGCTTTAGGAATTGCTATCAGCCAAGAGTTAACTATAGTAATGAAAAAACAGTGGTTGTGCATGCTAGTGATTGCAATTCCAATTCTGCTGGCTGAGGGGTGTGTCTCTTAACCCCAACAAGCTTCAGTTTTCTCATCTGTGAAATTATGGAAAATAACACCTGCCTTCTATACACCAAAGTTTGGCATTATCAAAAAAATACGAAAGTATTTTAAATTAATAAGTCTAGATAAACATAAACTATTACCTATTTGTATTCTGTTTTATAAAAGAGGTAACATTTCACAATTCTTTGCTATTATATCTTTCACTGGCTTTTTGAAATCCTTGTACCTTTCTTCATCCACCCACCCATCTCCCTATCCCAAATCTGGAGGAGAAAGAAAAAAACTTTTTCTGCATGTGTTTTCTACCTAACATGTTTCTACCTAAAATATGGCTTAGCAGTAGTCCCTCACTGTAATATTTGTAAAGAATAGATGATGAGAAGTGAATTGCGTTTCACTGAATTCTTGTCCATTCAAAGGATGGAAAATTTAACTGCTACTTTCACAAGTCTGTACTCTTGATTACTAATCCCTAGAATGGTGATTAACACCTTAGAGGTCAAGAGAGATAGTAATAATGGCTTGTTAATTACCTGCAGATTTTCAGAATGCCTAACTAAAATCACACTTGCATGTATGCCAAAACTATTGCCATAGGCTAATTGTCAAATATTATTGTTTATAAGGAATTACATTAAATGGTAACTGGTTAATTCCATGATAAATTTAATTGTGATTTATTCAATACACAATTTTTAAAAAGAACATGAGGCTGATTGGGCAGCGTAGGGGTGGGAGTGGTGGTGGATGAAAGCATCCCCTAACAGTGCAAACTTAGACAAACTCTGCATTCTGGTTTAAAAAATAAATTTGTTCTTAGCTGAAGTGAGAGTACCCTGAGAGGAGGGAACTTACATTCAGAAACATGTTACTCTAGAGGTTCACACTACGGAAGCAACCAAATAGTGAAATGTTACCTGCAAACTGCTTCTTCAGTAAAATGCTCATTGTATAAGGGCAAGAAATGGGAAGCTAAATGTGAATACACCCCAAAGCAAGGTGGGAATGAGTCTATGTTAAATAGTGACTCCCCCACCACCCAATTTATGTCTTCTCAGAACTCAGAACATGACTTTGTTTGAAAGTAGAATCTTTGCATATGTAATCAGCAAAGACAAGGTCATGATGAATTAGGGTGGGCCCTAAATCCAATGACTTACAGGAGAGAAATCTGGAGAGACATAGAGGAGAAAGATATGCAAAGACCCAGGGAATAAGGCCATGTGACAACGGAGGTAGAGATTGGAGTTATACATCTACAAGCCAAGGAATGACAAGGGTTCCTGGCAACCACCAGAAGCTGCCAACAGACAGTAAAGGATTCTTCCTTAGAGCATTCAGAGAGAGCATGGCCCTGCTGACACTTTTATTTCATACTTCTAGCCTCTATAATTTTGAGAGAATAAATTTTTATTGGTTTAAGCTACCCAGTTTGTGGTATTATGAAAGTCCTAGGAAACTAAAATAGAAGGTTGAAGGATTTTTTGAAGATAATTATGTCTACCAATTAAAAAGCCTTATCTCCTTTACTGAGACCCATGAATGCAGAGCAAATGTACTCCTCTGGAATCTTTGCTTACTGCCTATCTTAAATTTTCCAGTCGAGCAGTGAATTACTAATTCAGCACATAAATTGAATTTAGTTGCCCAAACATGATAGTGCAATTTTCCAAAGTATTTAATTTACTTGGCTCCTTGATTTGTTTATACTCAGAGCATCTGAGTCATTTAGTTGTGTAAGTAAAGCGATGTATTTACACACAACTCTTTGTGTATATGCATATATGCATAATTTGCAGAGGAATATGATTTATTTTTTCCAGATTCAACACTATTCTAATGCATTAGAGTCTCCGATAAGACAGCAACCATCAGTTATACAAGCCATTAAGCAGAGAAGAATTAACTTAAGCAAAAATTTACTGATGTGCAGAATACTTAAAAACATTATCTGTTGCATATATGCCATAACATAGTTCATGATTTTATGCCAGCCAAAAAAGGTTTTGGTGATAACTTGTTTACAAGAGAGGGAATATGCCCTCATAAGATCATAAAGTTGTTGACTGATTTTCACTTGTGAAGGAGAGAATTTTATAGCAAAACATCTTAGTATTTCACTGTACTCTCTCAGAAGTCCTCTACATTTATTGTCTAAGTTTATGTTATAAGAAACTAACTTCTCTATGCGTAATTTTATATTTGGTTCAGTAATATCCTTTTTCTTCCCAAATACTGGTGAAAATGATGATGCGACACATTTATCCAAATAATTAAAATACAGTTATTTCTTCTTTTTAAGAATACAATAAGATTGAGAAAATGTTAGAGCTTTATGAATCCATCACTATCCACAGGTTAAAAAATAAAAATCATATGATCATATTTATGCAGGAAAACATTGGACAAAATCCAACACCCATTCATGATAAAAACTCTAAGAAAATAAGAATAGAGGAGAAATTCCTCAACTTAATAAGTAGCACCTACAAAAAGCCAACAGACAATATCATGCTTAGTGAAAGGTGTGAAAGATTGAATCCTTTTCCCCTAAGACTGAGAGAAAAACAAGTATATCCACACTCACCACTCTTATTCAACAAAATGCTGGAAGTTCTACCTGGCACAATAAGTCAAGAAAAGAAAACAAGAATGCCTAGATTAAAACAGAAGAAATAAAATTGTCCTTATTTGTAGAAAACATGGTTGGCTACACAGAAAATCCCAGCTAACTCACAAAAACCTCTTAAAACTAGTAAGTATGTTCAGAAATGTCACAGGACACAAGATAATACACATAAACAAAAATTAATCAGATTTTTCTATACCAAAAATGAACATGTGGAAACAGAAATTTAATACACCATACAAATTACAATTGCTTCAAATAAGATAATTAAGCAAAAATCTAATAAAACCTATGCAGGATCTATATCTTAAAAATATAGACATATGCAGGATCTATATCTTAAAAATTCAGACATTAATGAAGGAAAGCCCAGGAAGATCTAAATAAATGGAGAGACATACTATATTCATGAATTGTAAGGCTCAACATTGTAAAGATGTCAATGCTACTTAAATGGATTTATAGGATTAATACAATTTCCATAAAAACCCTAATAAAACTTTGTAGAAATGGACAAACTTATTCTCATATGTATATGGAAAGACACAAAGCCTAGAGCAGATAAAATAATTTTGATAAAGCAGAATGAAATGGAATGAATGAATCTAATTGATTTCAAGACTTATAAAGCTACAGTCATCAAGATAATATAGTATTAGAGAAGGGATACAGATTTAATACAAGAGACACAGACTTATGGATCAAAGACTTAAATGCAAATAAGACATCAATAGGACGGAATAGAGAACCCAGCAAAAGCACATAGAATAGGTCCAACTGATTTTTGACAAAGGTGCAAAAGTGATTCAATAGAGGAAGGATAGTTTCTTCGACAATTGGTGCTGAAGCAATTGCACATCAATAGGCAAAAATTAACTCAAAATAAAGCACAGGCCTAAATGCAAAGTGTAAGACTATAAAACTCTCAAATATACATATTATAATCCAATCTTTGAGGAGCTAGGAACAGGCAAAATATTTTTAAACTTGACATCAAGAGCATGACTCATAAGAGGAAAAATCATAAATTTGATCTCACTTTAAAAATTATTTTACTTGGCAAAAGACTCTGAGAAGAGTGGTAAAAAAAGTTACAGATATGAAGAAAATATTGCAAACCATATATCTAACAACGGACTAGTGTCTAGAAAATATAAAACATTCTCATACTCAACAGTAACAGACAAACCAATAATCCAATTAGAATATGGAAAGAGGACATAAGACATTTCACTGAAGAAGATATATAGATGGCAAATAAGCACATGTGAAGATACTCAACACCGTTAGCCTTTAGGGAAATGCAAATTAAGAACATAAAGATATCACTACACACCTATCCTAATAGCTAAAATAAAAAATATGAAAAATACCAAATGTTGGTGAGGATATGGAGAAACTGAATCACTCATATGTTGCTAGTGGGAATGTAAAATGGTATAGCCGCTCTGGAAAAGGGTCTGGAAGTTTCTAATAAAAAATAAACATGTTCTTCCTATATAACCCAGTAATTGCACTTGGGCATTTATTACAAAGCAATTAAAACTTATGTTTTCATAAACATGTACACCAATGTTCATAACAGGATTATTCATAGTCATCCCAACTGGAAACAACTCAGTTGTCATTCAATAGGTAAATGGCTACATAAACTGTGCTACTTCCATACCATGAAACACTATTAAGCAACAAAAAGGAATAAAGTATTGATACACACAGCAACTTGGATGAATCTCAATAGCATTATGCTGAGTCAAAAGAAGAAAATGTCAAAAGGTTGCACACTACATGATTCCATTTAATATTTTGAAATTACAAAATTGTAGAGATAGAGAACAGATTACTGATTCCTAGTAGTTTTGGAGTGAGAAGGGAGATATCTGAGGCTATAAAAGGGTAGCAAAAAGGACCCTTGTGAGAGAGTAATTCTGTATCTTGACCTTGGTGGTGGTCACATGATCTACAGATGTGCTCAATTAAACAAAACATATATAAACGCATACACAAATAAATGAGTGTATAAAAACTGTTGAAATGTGAATGAAGTCCACGAATCGCACCAATTTCAATTTCCTGGTTGAGGTATTGCACTGTAGTTATGCAAGATTTTACCTTTGGGGGAAACTGAGTGAAGTGTATATGAGCTCTGTGTTTATTATTTCTAAAACTACAATTAATCTATAATTACATAAAAATTAAAAATTTAAAAAATAAAAGCAAGTGTAAAAATTCATAATTTCTCAACCATTTATCACACTGATTTTGGACATCTATATGCAATAGAAGCCGATGTGGGCTCACTGTTTCTATAGATACCTTAGCCCAGCCTCCACAAACTCTTATGTAGAAGGTCTGCAGTGGGGCACAGAGGCTTTAAATTTTTTTTAATTTTTATTTTTAAGTTCCGGGTTACATGTCCAGGATGTGCAGGTTTGTTACATAGGTAAATGTGTGCCATGGTGGTTTGCTGCACCTGTCAATCCATCACCTAGGAATTAAGCTCAGCATGTATTAGGTATTTTTCCTAATGCTTTCCCTCCCCCATCCCACCCCTCGACAGGCCTCTGTGTGTGTTGTTCCCCTCCCTGTGTCCATGTGTTCTCATTGTTCAGCTCCCACTTATAAGTGAGAACATGCAGTGTTTGGTTTTCTGTTTCTGCATTAGTTTGATGGGGATAACCTGAGTATAAGAATATATATAATATACACAATAGTATTAATAATATATGATATGTAATATTACTATTAATATATGATATGTAATATTATTAATAATAATATATGATATGTCATATTATTAACATATTATATATATAAGAATCATGACTCCCATTATTATTAAGCAGGCTTTCAACAAGTTAGGTCCTCCAGAACCCTGCAGAGAATTTAGATGTAATTGGCAAAGACCTCAGAGGCTTTCGAATACTTATGACAAAGCTCAAGTATGTGTGGCTTACTGGGTTAGGGAGGATCTCAAACTAATATTTAACATGAGTTGACTTTTCCTTTAAAAAGTATTCTTACATTTTTGATGTATTGATTGCTTAGTGCACAAATAATGCAAAAGTAAATAAATCATACTAAGCTAAAAAATTTTTATGCATAACTCCAGATCTCAAATCACAAGAGATATGCACTCTTACTGTATTGCCATCTGACCAAACATGAAAAGTTGTTTTTTTCTAAACAGGAAAACTTTATAAACATATGTAAACAGAGGATCAGAGGGGTTAACTGGATTTTCATGTGGCTAGTAGGGAACAGATTTAGAGCCTGCTGTAGTTGACACAAAGCTTGTGCTTTTCTACAGTATACTTGCTAAGCAAGTATATAATCAACAGAAATGGCTGATGGAGAAGATAGATACATACATGTTTTCTAATACAATTAACCTAGTGACAATGCTGTGTCATAACAAGTTATTATTCTATCTCATATAATCAATGGCCTCATAATATTTTTGATAGTTCTGTAATATAAGCAGAGAAGATATGATTGTTCTCCACTTCATAGATTAGAAAATGTTGATGCTTCTCAGACTAGTGCTCCTTATCCCGTGGTTTTTAACCTTCTACAAGTATTGTAATCACTGAAAGCTTACTCAAATACATATTTCTGCGTAGTAGAAGTCCTAAATCAGATGGTATGGGATGCAAGCTGGGTGTTGAGATTTTTTTAAGCTCCCAGATGATGCTGATGCTGTTGGTCCACAGAACACACTTTGAGGACCAATGTTTTGTATCATTGTTTCTTCTTCTCATCCCACTTTTCATAGTGCAGCATATGGTATCATCTTGGCATTCCCATCCAACACCCATGAGTTCAATTCTGCAGAGTTACTAGAGAGCATGTTTTGCATGTGACCATTTAAAACTTAACCAATACAAAAATTTACAATCTACTTGTGAGAATCAATTTGTAGGAATCTGGCTGACTCACCAGCACTGTACCTACATGAAATTTTGAGAGTCCCTGCTTCTCAACCATCTGTTTGGATAGCTGATCTAATAAAATGAACTTTCAAATTGTAATTTTTTGGAGGAACAAAATAATTTAATTTGATTGACAGTTGAATGATCTGTCAATTTATATTGGTTGAGTCTCACTGGAAACAGATGACTCTTGTGTGATTCAAGAGAAAACTAAAAGCCTAAAAAGTATTTGAAAATTAAGAGTTTTCAGTGTCCTCAGGACACCTGCCTACAGCAGGGTTTTCCAACCTTGGGATTGTTGACTTTTGGGGTCAATGGTTCTTGGTTGGTTGTGAGGGCTGTCCTGCACATGTAGAATGTTTAGCAGTGTCCCTGGCCCCTATCTATGAGGGGTCAATAGCAGCCGCTTAGTTCTGACAACAAAAAATGTCTCCACAAATTGCTAAATGACCCCTGGGAGGTAAAATTGTTCTGGACTGAGAACCACTGACCTTGAGAAAGTCAGCTTCCACTCATTCTCTTCCTCCTCCTTCCCTGAGTAATTTAGTCCAAGAGGCATTTGGTGAGGCTCCATAATGTACGCGACTGTGTGTTAGAGGTGGATGAGGTGATAGGGAAGTGCAGTAGCCCAGAGCAGTACATGTGAGCATGAGTCGGAAGGGCATCCACACAGGGTTTGGAAAATGAGTCCAGGGTGTCTGAGCCTGTGATGAGTGAGGAGAAATTTTTGTGCAAGGGAGATAGTCTGGGACAGGCTTTCCCAGACTGAGTGGGATGAAGACTGTTTCAGTATATGAGGGTGGCCAACACAGGATGTCAGAAAATAAGCAGGGTGAGGAGGATGTCCATCTAGAAAGGAGGACAGTGTGGGGACATATGAAGATTGAAGAAAGCATCCATACAGTTGGGCAACCTGGCTCTGGTTGTGACAGCCAGGGTGAGGTAAGCATGTGACCCCATTAGGGAGAAGTAGACAGCAGTGATGGGAAATTGGACACACTCATGGGAATTGATCCCGTAAGTAATCACATTAAGGATAATGGAAATAATATTTTTCACTATCAAAGAAAAAGAGTTACAAATGAAAGGGGAAAAACCAGGTGTTGGATTAGAATTGGAAATTTTGATATAACTCATGACACATATATAAGAAGTCTATAATAAGAGGTTTATTGAAAGGAATTGGCTTATGTGATTGTGGGGTCTATCTAGGTAAGTCTGAAATCTGTAGGGTAGGCCATCAAAAAGGGCA
Organism: Homo sapiens; assembly: GCF_000001405.40. Taxonomy (NCBI): domain Eukaryota; kingdom Metazoa; phylum Chordata; class Mammalia; order Primates; family Hominidae; genus Homo; species Homo sapiens. Next base: position 27,305,748 of record NC_000018.10, on the reverse strand, counting down.
GGCTGGAATTCTCAGGCACAGGCTGAAGCTGCTTTTCAGAAGCAAAACTTTTTCAAGAAAGGCTTAGTTCCACATTTGAGGTCTTTTAATTGAGTCAATCAGGGAAATTCAATATCTGGGATAATCTGTGCATTACTTAAAGTCCATTCATTGTAAACTCTAATTATTTCTACTATCTTCACAGCAACACCAAGACCAGAGTTTTTTGTTTTGAATTTTTTACTTTTTAGTTTTTGTGGGTGAACTAGTCTTTGAATAATTGGTTATTGTACCTTAGTCCTCTTCACATGTCAAAAGGTCATCACAACACACATAAATATTAATGTGTCCCCTACTTATATCCCCAGAAAGGTCCTGGGAGTGATGATACCTCAGTAGCAACAAGCACATCTGACGCCCACATCTAAATGACATTGTATATTGAAACAAGAGTTTCCTGGAGCAATGGATGGATCCAGGGCTGTGGCAGAAAAAAGTACAAGGTGATTCTGGAACAGTTTATTGTACCACAAGTTAAGTGCTCACAGAATTATGGAGATATGTCAAAAGGACACAGCAGCCAAACTGAGGAGGCTCCTACTGGTGAAATCCTAGACTATTTGAGCACCAAAGTAAATAGTAAAATATTATAGTGCATTGGCTATGCTAACAGTGCATTAGTCTACAGTAATATAAAATAAATAGGCCGGGCATGGTGGCTCACCCCTGTAATCTCAGCACTTTGGGAGGCCAAGGCAGGCAGATCACCTGAGGTCAGGAGTTTGCCACCAGCCTGGCCAACATGGTGAAACCCCATCTCTACTAAAAATATAAAAAAATTAGCCAGGCATGGTGTCGGGTGCCTATAATCCCAGATACTCGGGAGACTGAGGCACAAGAGTCACTTGAACCTGGGAGGCGGAGGTTGCAGTGAGCCGAGATCATGCCACTGCACTCCAGCCTGGGCGACAGAGCAAAACTCCATCTCAAAAAAAAATAAATTAATAAATAAATAAGTAATAGATAGATAGATGACAGATAGTTTGATGAGAAATTTATATTTATATATTCTCAAAGTACTTCCCCAAAAAATATTTATTAATTAACAGCAAAGGGTCATTTCACTGAGAAGAACCCTGGTAGACACCACCATAATAAAGTCATCAAATTTAACATGAGCAAAAATGAGACATACAGAAACCATGTTCCACCTGATAGAATGCAATAAGAGGAACACAGCATCACTTGCGTGATATTCCTTTTGAATATTCAAACATTGAATCTAATCATGAGAAAATATCAAACAAACCCAATTTAAGGGACATCACACAAAATAACTAGACCTGTAGTTATTCCAGAAAGTCAAGATAATGAAAGCCAAGGAAAGAGGAACAGATCTACAATGATGAGGACTAAGGAGATGTGACAACTAAATGCAAAACATAATTCTGGACTGGGGCCTTTTGCTGTAATGAACATTATTGGGATAATTGGAGAAATGTGAATTTGGTTTGGGCATTATATAGTAGTAATGTTACTTTCCTAATTTTCATCATTGGGCTATAGATTATGTTATATAAGAGAATGACCTAATTTGTCATTATTAGGGAGACAAAAGTATTCGTCTTTCCACAACAAATGATAAAACATCATGTTGATAACTAACCCTCAAATGGTTCAGGTAAAAACTTTCTACACTTGAAACTTTTTTGTGAATTTGATATTTTTAAGAAAAAACAAAACTACTGTATTATTTCTGAGAATACAGATAATGATAAGGTAGATATTTTGCTTAGATACTCAGAATACATTGGTCTAGGATCGGGTCCTGAGTTCTGTAGACCAAATAAAGCAATTCGTAAATGTGTTCAGAAGTGATGCTTGTATGGAAAAGGCTAATTCATGTTAGTCAAATTCACAAGAGAAGGCAGTATAAATCCCAATATAAAATTGTTTAATAACAATTTTTAAATATATAATGTCCAAGGGAATCAACCATACAAAATCACTGGGGGAATATTCTCTCCATGCAAGGAAAATATTTAATGTTAGTTCTAAGTAAATCAGAAAGGTATGTTTAATAAACATGGAGCAAGAGTTGAAGGATGGTTAACAGCTAATGTCATCAAGTTATTATATATATATAATATAATATATATAATATAATACATATATACACACACATTATGTGAAAGTAGAGGGCTTTGAAATAAAAGAGACCTAGATTCAAATTCTGGCTCCCAGCTTTATTTATGTAATCTTGAGCAAATTCATTAAACTGCTTAGCTTCAGTTTCTTCCCTCAAGAAGTGGGAATAGTAACGCTGCAAGACTGATTTGAGGATTAAATACACTAGCAGAAGTAGCACACAGCTTATACTAAATAAATGTTAGCTTGTGGTTACTATAATTATTTTGCCAGAAGGTAGGCTAAAAGGTAGAAGCCCCTTCTTTTCTAGACAGCCTTGGCAATGTACTGTTAAATTCTTAATTTCTTAACATTTCTCGTCTCTCCAATAACTTTCTGCTTTGGGTTAACAGTATTTCTGCAGATTGGGTGCAATGCTATGGTAGGCTAGAACTTTAAAGAAGTAATACAACCATTCTTTTATACGATGCCTAACCAAATGCTTGAGACATACTGTGGGTTTAATGAATGTTTGATTAATGAATAACTACATGAATAGATAATAGCTATAATTAGAATATGAGTGGCTTTAAATGTCTTCAGTCTCACAAATCATCAATGAGATAGATTATTTTTTATAATAGTTATCTAACCTTAGTCATCATAGAGGTTTTTTTTTCCCTAATTTCATTCTCAAACTATAATCTTAGCTAAAAGTATTAGTGATACCTTGAAGGTGTGAGATACTTTTTGGAAAAACAGTGGTAAACTTAGCCAAAAAAAAAAAAAAAAAAAAAAATATATATATATATACATATATATATATCTATCTTCTGGCGAATTCATTCTCTGATGATTCCAATGCATAAGTTGTTACTCTACTAAAATGTAAACTTAATGCATAAAACAACATTGCATATGCCTACAAACTGCTATTTCCAGGAATGGCCAAATTATTCCCTAGGTTGTTCATCACATGTACACTGCATTGTAAATTTCATGTAGGGTGTAGTATCATGGCTAATTGAAGTTTATAGATTCTATTGTGACTAACATGCATCCATAATAACAAAGAATAAAGAGAGCATTGTGATAAAGAAACAGCTCATATGCAAATGTCTGGGGGTTTTGGAAGAGTTTAAAGAGTTAAACTAGTTCACTTTTAAATGCTTTAAAATATAGCTGATATCTACAGCAAATATGATTTTAAACTACCATCTTTTATTCCTGTTTAAAAATGCCCCATTTTTCCTCTTGAGAAATTGGTGTCAGATCCCTAAGCTTCTCATTCTGTGCCTCAATCCTATTACTTTGTGAGCTAAAAGGAAAGAAGGCAAGAAGGTCATGTCAGAGAGTCCGTTGATGATAAGTTTTCTGAGCGATTGGACATAGCTAATTTGTACCTCATTGTTCTTGGGGCCACACACTCAACAATGCATCTTTAGAGTGTGCCCTGAAATCACCTCATCAATGAGATGAGCGGTTTAGCACTAAAATTCTACACCTGGTAGGTTTAGTTCAGTCTCCCATCAAACCACTTTTCATTTCCTCAGAAATCCTAATGAGGCTTCTGGACTTAAAAGCAGTGTATCTTTTGCTTTCTAAATGACCACCTTTTTTTAAGAGGGGAAAAAAATATCCCTTTTTCTCTCACACAAATAAGAACATCTATAAATAGATGCCCAGTGTCTGTCAAGAGAAATGATATCGCAGTTCTTTTGACCCATTTTCAGCCACTTTACATCATGTAAATAGCAGTTGTTTATCACCTCACTGACACCCATACACGAAGTTTCATGATGTTAATTAATATCACCACAGGCAACCCCTAAGCTCTGTGCTTTGCAATTAGTATTGGCTGGGGGCAGAAAAGCAACATCTGCCAGGGAATATTTATTTATTCAATAGGTTTTCTAGAACCCATCACTATAATCCCTTCCCACAAAAGTGAAAACCTCCAATAGCATAAATCATTTGCAGTCTGTGACACTAAATTGAACAATTGCTAGTACTCCCAAAATAGCAGTTGCCTTATTATTGGAATGGGCTTAAAGTGAAAAAGCAAAACAGAGACTCCCTCTTCTCCTACTCCTGATGCATACCTTCTGCCAGAATACACACAAAACATCAAATCCCTTATAGTTTCAAATCATAAATCTAATATGGTCCAATTGTGCTTTAGCCTAGTACACCCAACACTTGTCATTGGCCCAAAAGGAGTAGGCATTAATTAATTATAAATAAATAAATAAAATGCCATAAGTTGAATATTAACTAAATGATTCATTTTTCTTCAGTTTTTAGATATTTCCTCCCCCTCTGCAGTCTACTTCAATAATTTTCAGCTATGAATATTTCATGTCCTTCTCCAGTTAATTATTTATGTTGATGAAATATAGCACTTACTATGCCCTTCTAGAATTCCAGGTTGAACACAGCTCCCAGCTATTGCACAAAGAGGAAATAGAGCTCATAGAAGGTTTTGGTTTGTGAAAAAATATTTTAGAGGTTTTCTTAAAAAAAATTAAATATTTCCCAACCCAGTGTATTCCTACAAAGTAATTCCATTTGTTACTTCCGTTCCTGATTGCTGAATATCGCATCATATATTCTTAACAATTTCTAGGCTGGGCGTGGTGGCTTATGTCTATAATCCCAACACTTTGAGAGGCTGAAGTAGGGGGATCCCTTGAGTCCAGGAGTTCAAGACCAGCCTGGGCAACAAAGCGAGACCGTTGTCTCAATTAAAATAAAAAAAAATTGCAACCTCTTACAAAAGAGACTACCAGTCAAATTTCAGAAGTCGGGATAATGCTATAGCTACTTCCCAAATTATAATAAATGATGCAAGACTAAAAAAATTAAACATTTAAGAATCTTTTTGTTTTCAGTATTAAGCTGTTTTCAATCAGAATCTCTAGTTATCAGTTATAGTCCTACCAGAAGTAGTCTTCCTAAAATCCTGGACCAGACTTAGAGAAAAGGAATCTAGTTCTTTACTTAGTGGGGGAGGAAATCTGGGGTAAACAAGTTTAGAAGACTTTTGCTTTCATGGCTTTTCTTCTTAGTGTATCTATTAACAAACAGCTAAATTGATTTCTGGAGAATCTGAGGCCTCATTTTCTGAAATAATACAATAAAGAAAGAAATCACTAAAAATTAGCTCCAATTTAAAAAGAGGAAAATAAACTAGAAGCATGAATATTCCACTCATTGTAAACTGTTTCCAGACGTTATAGGAATTACTGATAGGGCAGATGGCTTGGGTGTCTCCTTAAGAAAAAGAATACAAAATTAGGAAGCTAATGTTACTTAGAATAAGAAAAATGCACAAGAAAGTATAAATTTCTAAAAGTCAACAAATAAACATTCCACAAAAACAACAATACAACATTTTATAAATTAATGACCTACTATACTTCTTTCATGTTTTTATTTCTCACATTTTTTGGCTACATGCTCTTTGATCACCTTTTTATACAACATTGATTTGTTAATAGATTGTTTTTCCTCTAACATGAGTAATGAATTTTTTTAAATTATTGATCATTTGGAAATGTTTCTTCCAGATTCAAATTTGTTTTTGGTACTTTTGATGTAAACTTTTGTGATTGTCATCAAATTTGGAACAAATTCTAATAAATATCATATATACACTTTTTTTTCAAATCAGATATAGATATAGATATACTGTAAGAGTTGGAAGATTTTTTCATGGGTAATCTGCTTTTGCTTCAGCTCATTTTAAACCTTGTTTCTCCTCTGTATTCATCAGGGTTCTCCAGAGAGACAGAACCAACAGGATATATACAGAGAGAGATGAGAGAGAATTTATTAGGAGAATTGGCTTATGTGATTATGGAGGCTGCGAAGTGTCAGGACAGGCCATCTGCAAGCTAGAGACCCAGGGAAGCTGGTAGCATGGCTCAGTCCAAGTCCAAAGCCCTCAGGAACTGTGAAGCCAATGGTGTAAATTCAGTTCAAGGCAAGAGAGCCCAGGGGTCACTTGTGTAAGTCCTGGAGTCCAAAAGCCAGAGAGCCTGCAGTTCTGATGTCCAAGAATAAGAGAAAAGTATACCCCAGCTCCAAAAAAAGAGAGAAAAATCACCTTTTTATTCTATCAAGGCCCCTAGCTGATTGAATAGTGCCTTCCTACATTTAGGGCATATCTTCCCCACTCAGTCCACTGACTCACACTTCAATCCCCTCTGGAAATGCCCTCACAGATATACCCAGAAATAATTCTTTACCAGTTCTCCAGGTAATCCTTAATCCAGTAAAGCTGACACTGAAAATTGACCACCACATCCTCTGTTACCCAAATACTTCTGCTGCGGGGTATCTTCTGCTACATATCTGAGGGTAGGGCTGTTACTATGAGAGTCTGTGAATCACCTAAATACATCCCATAAAAGGGTCCTCAACTCAACTTTTATTTAGCAAGACTTCATAAATGTCCATGGTCACTACAATGACACTCCATTGAAAGTAAATGACTCTGAAGCTCCACTTCATTATTAGCTTTGGGATAAATGATGATTCCCCTATTATTGCCTGGAAAAGAAAGAAAAATATCAACATAATGGAATAGTGACATAATATTAACAAAATGGAAACACTTTACTATGAGCATAACCTTCCAGAGGACAAATATAGGGGATGCTACTATATTCAATATTTGAAATCCAATCAATGCTACATAAATAATGGAAGATAAAGAATATTTTGGATATATTGTGTTAAGCCATAATTAAAAATCTGATGCCACATTGACTACTTTGGTATTTTCAGGTGACCTATCAATTTATTTAATCAATCTAAGGGATCGCCTAAATTATCTCAATGTTATGTTTAGGTTGATAAATGTGAGAAACAGAACAAGTTGAGAAGCAATTTATTTTTGCAAGCAATGAGAATAATGTTTCATCTCATACTATCTGTTTCTCATATGAGGGGTAATTTTGAGAGAGCCAGTTCCTAGAGGAACTCTCCCAGTGTTTTTAAACTTAGTTCCTTTGTACTCTAGATGGAGCACTTCACCTTCTGCTTTCACTGTTTGTTTCATCAAGACTGAGTTACAGTCATGGAGCATTTTGAAAAGGTTTCATTAGAAGGCTTTATTGGTGGTCTTCAAAAATAATGAAGAAATTTCAACTATTCCATACAAAATGGCTCCTCCTATCCATGCCGCCACGCTTATGTGTTTTAATGATTGCATTCCCAAAGCACATTTGACCTTTCGGTTTCTGGTTCACAGCATAAGAAATGAGTGTGTTGCTTAGTTCCTCATTATTTAAGTGGTCCAAGAACATTTCTTTAGAGATTGAAAAATAAAACCAACAATTGGGATTGAAGTTGGCAAGCCTTGTCATGATTAACCCACTCAGTTGGTGTACGCTTGTGCTTGTGGCAATGTCTACATTGGTACTAAATTTAATATCAAAGCTGAATGTTCCAGGAGCAATAGTTTTCAGTAGTTTTGCAGTGTTTTCATTCATTTTCTTTCTTTCTTTCTTTCTTTTAAATTGGATTTAAGTATCCTATAAATTCCCAGTGATAATATGGTTTCTTGTTTCCGGACACATTGAATTAAAAAAAAGTCAGAGCAGAATGATCTTAATATTTTGAATTAGCAAGCAAACTAGCACTATAAAAACACACAGCTTTTTAAATTCAAAACTATAAAGACTCTATATAACTAACGACCCATTTTACTGGACAAAAATAAAATATCTTTTTTTAAAAAGAGGATTCCTATGGCCATACTATAAAGTAACCTAGGATTTATGGGACTTAAAAATAATTATTAATGCTTAGACTAAATTTGTCAGCTTTTTATGTGTTTTGTGCTGAAAGAGTGATTTATTTCCTAAATAAAAGTGAGACGGAAACTTTCCCTGGTGCATTTCTTTTGTGATCCAGGGCACAGGCTAGCTTCACATGCAATAAATTACAGGGGTAAGTACTAGGATTTATTCGGCTCAGCTATATAAAATAGACCAACACCCTTTTCCAAATGGGACTAAGATGCAGCAAAATAGCCGTAATCAGTGCATTCTGCGGCTCCCCAAAATAAAATAGCCATGAGATTGAAAAATAAGCTTCTGTCTTCCAGCTTTCAAAGAAGCCAGGTTTGCCCTGAGTGTTTTCTATAAGGCATGAATGCATTTATCTGAAGTAACTCTTTGGCTGAGGTCAACTAGAATACAATGTCTTTTAAATAAATTGGTCAATACTAGAAAAGCTGAATGCCTTCTGTGATGCCCAAGGCATTGAAACTCACCCTTTGCGCTCCTTTTTTTTTTTTTGAGACGGAGTCTCACACTGTCGCCCTGGTTGGAGGGTTGGAGCGCAATGGCTCAATCTCGGCTCACTGCAACCTCCGCCTCCTGGGTTCAAGCGATTCTCCTGCCTCCGCCTCCTGAGTAGCTGGGATTACAGGAGCCCACCACCATGCCTGGCTAATTTTTTGTATTTTTAGTAGAAACGGGGTTTCACCATATTGGCCAGGCTGGTCTTGAACTCCTGACCTTGTGATCCACCTGCCTTGACCTCCCAAAGTGCTGAGATTACAGGCCCAAGCATTTTCACATCATAATGCTTAATACTCAGTACAGGCATACCTTATTTTATTGCATTTTGATTTATTGTGTTTCACAGATGTTAAACTTTTTACACATTAAAGGTTTTTGACAACCCTGAATGGAGGAAGTCTGTTGGTGCCACTTTTCCAATAGCATGTGCTCAATTAGTGTCTCTGTGACACATTTTGATAATTCTAGCAGTATTTTAAACTTTTATTATTATATCTGTTATGGTTATCTGTGATCAGTAATCTTTGATGTTACTACTGTAATTGTTTTGTGGCACCATGAACAGTCCCCATATAAGACAGTGAACTTAATCAATACATGTTGTGTGTGTTCTGATACCTCCAACGACTTGCCTTTTTTCCATCTTTCTCCCTCTCCTTAGGCCTCCCTATTCTCTGAGCCACAACAATATTGAAACGAGGTTACTTAATAACACAACGATGGCCTCTAAGTGTTCAAGTGAAAGGAAGAGTCACACATTTCTCACTTCCAGTCAAAAGCATTTCTATGATTAAGCTTAGCATGTTGAAAGCTGAGATAGGCCTCTTACATGAAAGAGTTAGCCCAGCTTTAAGTTGACAGTAAAAGATTTGAAGGAACTTAAAAGTGACTACTTGGATGATAAGAAAGTAAAGCAGCCTTATTGTTGATAGGGAGAAAGTTTGAGTGGTCTGGAGAGAAGATCAAATCAGCCACAAAGCCTAAGATTAAACCAGCCACAAAGCCTAAGCCTTAAGCCAAAGCCTAATCCAGAGCAAGGCTCAAACTCTCTTCAAGTCTATGAAAGCTGAGAGAGGTGAGGAAATTAGCAGAGGTTGGTTCATGAAGTTTAAGGAAAGAAGCTGTCTCTAGAACATAGAAGTGCAGAATGAAGCAGCAAGTGCTGGTGTACAAGTTTCAGCAACTTATCCAGAAGATCTGACTAAGATAATCGAGGAAGGTGGCCCGCTATACAACAGATTTTCAATGTAGACAAAACAGTCTTCTATTGGAAGAAGATGCCAGATAGGACTTTCATGGATAAAGAGGAGAAGTCATGCCTGGTTTCAAAGCTTCAGAGGACAGGCTGACTCTCTTGTTAAGGACTAGTGCATCTGATGACTTTAAGTTGAAGCCAGTGCTCATTTATCATTCCAAAAATCCTTAAAACATTCAGGCTATTAAAAATTATGATAAATATACTCTGCCTGTACTCTATAAATGGAACAACAAAGCCTGAATGGCAGCACATCTGCTTAAAGCATGGTTTACTGAATATTTTAAGCCATGGTCGAGACCTACTGCTCAGAAAAAAAGATTCCTTTCAAAATATTACTGCTCATTAACAATGCACCTAGTCACCTGCGAGCTCTGATGGACATGTGCAAGGAGATTAATGTAGTTTTCATGCCTGCTAACATGACATCCATTCTACAGCTGATGGATCAAGGAGTTATTTCAACGTTTGAGTCTTACTGATTAAAAAATAAAATTTGTAAAGTGACAGCTGCCATAGACAGTGATTTCTCTGGGCAAAGTAAATTTAAAATCTTTTGGAAAATATTTACCTTTCTGTATACCATTAAAAGCATTCATGATTCATGGGAGGAGGTAAAAGTACCAACATGAACATGAGTTTTGAAGAAGTTGATTCCAGCCCTCATGGATGACTGAGAAGTTTGAGACTTCAGTGGAGGAAGCAACTGCAGATGTGGTAGAAATAGCAAGAGAATTATATTTCAAAGTAGAGCCTAAAAATGTGACTGAATTGCTGCAAATTCATGATAAACTTGAAAGGATAAAGAATTAGTTTTTATGGGTGAGCAAAGAAAGTGGTTTCTTGAGCTAGAATCTACTTCTCGTAAAGATGCTGAAAATGCTGAAATGACGTTGCTGAAATGACAACAAAGAGTGTAGACTATTACATAAACTTAGTTGATAAAGCATCAGCAGGATTTCAGAGGGTGACTTCAATTTTGAAAGAAGCTCCACTGTAGGTAAATACTATCAAACAGCATTGCAGGCTACATGGACATTTTTTTGTAAAAGGAAGAGTCAGTTGATGCGGCAAACTTTATTGTTGTCTTATTTTAAGGAATTGCCACCACCACCCCAAACGTCAGCAGCCGCCATCTTGATCAGTCAGCAGGCTTCAACATCAAGACAAGGCCCTCCACCAGCAAAGACTACTACTTACTGAAGGCTCAGATGATCGTTAGCAATTTTTAGCAAGAAAGCATTTTTTAATTAAAGAATATGTATATTGTTTTTAGACATGATGCTACTGCACACTTAATAGACTACAGTATAATGTAAACATTACTTTTATATGCTCTGGGAAATGAAAAATTTGTGCAGCTTCTTTCATTGAGATACTTGCTTTATTGCACTGGTCTGGAACTGAACTTGCAGTATCTGTGAGTTATGCCTGTATTGTAATTGCCCGTTTACCTCTCTGTCTCTCACTGGTCCCACCATAGAGATCATCAAAAGCAGATAATGTGTCTTGTTTATCTTTATTTCACCAGTGCAAAGCCTGTGGAAGGCACTCATTAAATATCTATTGGATGAGTGGATGGATAAAGAACAGAGGGATGAATAAAAGTAAAACCATCCAGAGATAGTCTAGGTTTCAAAACCAAGTAATATTCATCTTTTCATAGACAGAGCTGCACACATATTTAAACAGTGATAAACAACTCCCAAAGTGCTTAAAAACTTGTATCTAAAACCAAAAAGAAATTTCTGAAGTTTCTACTGCCAGAAAAGATCACTTTGAGAAAAGGAAATACAAAACAATAGTTATAAATTCTGCTACAAATAACAACTAGGTAAATTCTACTAAGCCCACAACAGTTGTGAGTCTCCCATATTATTATTAATAATAATGTATTATTAATTTTTCTCATACATTTATTTTTCACAACTCTTACATACTTATTTACTAAAGGAAAACTGAGGTGACAGAAAAGTTCTGTAACTTTCTAAGGTCACAGAGTAAGTGGGAGAGTTAGGGCTTGAATTCAGACACTATGACAAGAGTTTATGTGCTTAATCACTAGACAATATTATTCTCTTTAGGTAGAGAAACTAAAAAAGAAGTATTATCAAATTTGACTCACAAAGGATTTTCTGAGTGGGAGCCTGAATTACTGACAATAAAAGGAAAATTATTTTAGAAAAAGAAAAAAGCATCAGTTTCAATTATTTTTATTCATTGAAAAATGAACTTGTTGAAATACTGTGATATCACTTGATATTACTTTATAGCAACACATGGAATAGATTTGTCCAACTGAAGTTACAGATTGTAATTGCTGTGCAAATAGAGGACATTTTAGGCCAAGGATGACAAATGAGTTCCAACTTTTGTGCCAATATGGTAACTTCTAGAGATGATCGCTAAAGACTAATCTGGAGAAAACCCACAGTCAATTAGCACTGCCTGCTGTGAACACACGAACCCTTCTGCTGGACAAGCACTAGCCACATGCTCTCCTTCTCTCAGGAATATTGTGGGGATACATTCCTAGCACACTAGTTCTTCAATCAGATTGTACATCAGAATAACCCGTGGAGTTTTCATAAAATACATGTAACAGGGAAAGACAATCTTTGATTTCTATAGGCTTACAGTACTGAGAGGTAAAGCGATAGAAGCACCTTGTAGTGCACAGCTGAAAACAAAAATAAATCTTCCCATGTCTTCACGAATTAGGTAGTCTTAGTCCATTTGTGCTGCTGTAACAAAATACCCAAGACTGGGTAATTTATAAAGGACAGAAATGTATTTGTCACAGTTCTCAAAGCCAGGAAGTTCAAGATCAAGGCACCAGCAGGTTTGACGTCTGATGTGGGCCCCTTCCATCCATGGTGTTTTCTCTCAGCAGCATCCTCACATGGTGAAAGAGGGAAGGGCAAAATGGGGTGAATGCAGGGTGAAGCCTTTCTTATACGGCAGTAATCCCATACAGGAGGGAGGAGCCCTTAGGATGTTATCACCTCACCTCAGCCCACCTCTTAATACTAGCACATTGGTGATTAAGTTTCAAAATACTAATTTAGGGAGACACATTCAGACCATAGCACACCTCCGGAGTAAAAACTGAAAAATATTTCTAATTGACGTCATATATGCCTATGCAATTAAATATTTTACCTACTTCAAGCAAAAATGCAGCATGTAATTTGATAGAAACATAAACATAGGGAGAGTAATACATGTTGTACGTAATAAGTTAATTCTTAGAAGATATTATTTTAATATATAAATTATTAGCAAGTAGAAAGTAAAATCAAGATAGGAAGGAAGCAAAACAGGATATACGGTCCTTTATGGTGGCCAGTGATTTCTCAGAAATCTTTCTAAAGTCCAGTTGTTGTTTAACCACAGTTGAAGGGATAAAACAACGCAGTGGAAACAGTAAACTCTATTTTACATTTCCATTTCAAATGGCAAAAACTCAATATTTTCCCTAGTGTAACATTATGAATGAAAGCTCTTTCAATAACTACAGAAGCACTGAAAGAATTTTAGTTACATGAAAGATGCTTTTGAGGATAAGAAAAGAATACTGAAGACTCTTGAAAGTTACTTTTCCTTTACCAATCCACCAAAATAATAGATTTGTGAAATATTAGCATGTGAAGGGTAATCTCTGAGACCTTTTGCCACCTCCTAAAATGAAGAAAGGTTGCATACATTTTTTTTCTTGCTGCTATGAATAATAAGAAGCCATGGGATTCCTTGTAGCAGTCCTGGAATAATTATGAAATAGCTGATTAAGTTTAAAGTTAGTATGGAAATCTGTTCCCTTAAAAGTCTTTCATAATCTATCTCTGGAGAGAGATAATTCTATCAAATTTGAATTAATCCATAGATAATGGCAAGACTATTGCCCACCATTATGTGTCTGTATATGGGAAATGAATACTGCATGGATCCTCAGATTTACCATCAAAATAACTCAGGGCCAGATTACAGAAGGGATTAATTGTAAACAGTAAGAGTTACGGCAATCATCTCAAGAAAGGGATTAATCAACTTCAAACACATAACTTGACCTAATAATCATAGCCTAACCACAGATAATTCTTTGGAGAGTAGATTTTTTTTTAATGCAGGTCACACAATGATCCTTTCATAGATCCAATAAAACATTTTAAAAATTACCTTATCTGGTGTCATTATAAAGTATAATCAGGTCCTGTATTATCATCACTACTGAAGCCTTTAGTAAAATTAATTGTTCTTCATTTCAAGTCAAAAATAGGCTTTTTATCAGGCAACCTAAATTAAAGTTTTCTAAGAAGTTCCCATTTTGAATAGTTAAGCACATTGTTAGTCGTGGGGATGTAAACACTTATTCACTTTATCTTTTGTTCATGGCCAATTCCTTCTTTGAGTTTTGAATCCGTATGTGTACCATATACACAGCCAAAGCTGCACAACATAAGTGGGGTTTTCTGTGTATTAGGATACACAGTGTTCAAAGGCTATGAAAAACTGATAATAAAATAGATTTATACTTTATATAGAATAACTGAATTAAGTGGGACAGTTAATGGGCATGAAAATATAGTTAGATAAAATGAGTAAGATCTAGTATTTGATTGCACAAAGGGTGACTACAGTTAACAATAATTTATTGTGTATTTTTAAATAACTAAAACAGTGGAATTAAAATCTTTTCTCTAACACAAGGAAATGATAAATATTTGTGGTGATGGATACCTCAATTACTCTGATTTGATTATTACATTATGTGCCTGTATCAAAACATCACATGCACCCCATAAATATATAAACTTATTATGTACCCATAATAATTAAAAACAAACTTAAAAAAACTGAGTTAAATTGTTTTACTTGTTTTTAAACTGTGGTAAAATATACATAAAATTTACCAATGTAATCATTTTTAAATGTACATTTCAGTAGCATTAAGTACGTTCACACAATTGTGGAGCCAATTTCCAAAACTATTTTCATCTTGTTAAACTGAAACTCTATATCCATTAAACAACAATTTCCGATTCTCCCCTCCTCCTATTCCCTGGCAGTAACTGTTCTACTTTCTGTCTCTATGAATTTGACTATTCTAGGTACTTCATATAAATGAAATAATACAGTGTGTGTCTTTTTTTGTGACTGGCTTATTTCACTTAGCATAATGGCCTCAAAATTCATCCATGTTGTGCCATATGTCAGACCTGCCTTCCTTTTTGAGACAGAATAATATTTCGTTGTTATGTATATACCACATTTTGTTCATTTATTCATGAAGGAACACTGAGTTGCTTCCTCCTTTTGGCCATTATAAATAATGTAGCTATAAACATGGGTGTAAAAATACCTCTTTGAGACGCTACTCGCAATTATTTTGTGTGTATACCCAGAAGTGGAAATGCTGGATCATATATGGTTTTTCTATTTTAATTACTTGAGGAATCTCCATATCGTTTTCCACAGCAGCTGCACCATTTTACATTTCTACCAATAATGAGACTGCACAAGTTTCCAGTTTCTCCACATCATCACCAACACTTGTTATTATTTTCTGTTTTTTAAAAACTATGAATTAAGATTTTTAACTAGCAACCTTAAATCTAAAGTTTCGAAATTAGGAAATCTCCAATTATAATTTTTCAAATGGTCTATCTAATAAACTTGTTGGGGGTGAAATCTGAGCTTTTTTCTTTCTAGAGAAGGTTGTTAAGGGTTAAGGTAAAGAGAATAAAACTTTTCTAACAATGTGGATAACAGGCATGCCTTCCCAGCCTCCCCTGGGCACCCCCCAAATACCTAATATAACGCTTTTCACACAGCATGTACTTGGAAAATATTTTTTAAAATAAGGGAGATAAAGAGTTTCAACTCACAGTTTTAAAATTCAAAGTGAATTTCAAGATTCTTCAGGGTGAAGAATCTTTTAGGTTTTTATTCTTTTAGGTTTTTATTCTACCTTCATTGAAATAATGAACATTACCTCATTTGCTCATTGTGGGGATTAAATAAATGATCCATGTAATGCACCTAGAACTGCTCATTATAAATGTAATAAGTGAGATTTTTTATCATTATTTGGATATTATAAAAATTAATCAATAAGCAAGTATTATTAAATGCCTAACAATGTCCTTAGCAGTACCTTCAGCACAGTGTTGAACACTGTTAAAGTAACAATAACAACTGTTGCCCTAACAATATAGAAACATATTTTTATTTTAAAAGGAAAACAGATAAGCCCAAAACATGTAAAATATAATGCAGGACGGGACTAAAATCCCCCCTTTTGAAAGTCCCTTTCTTTAGCATCCTGATTTTGTAGAATTCTTGCTCTCTTAATACTTCTTCCTCCTTTTTCCCCACTCCCCATTCAGAAATGGTTTTGGTCTGAGTCCTCTAGTCTTCTCTTTCTATATGTTCTCTCCCTTGGTGATTTTGTCTACTCCCATTTCACCATCTCAAGGATGATCGCGTCCTGGATCACATCATCTTTCTCAATATTGCTGATTCAATGACCTCATGAACAATGAACTAGCAGTGGCATTCTGAAAGCAGATCTAAAACTCAAGTTCCTGTTTTAATTGTTGTTATTGCTGCTGCTTAATAAAATGCTGTAAAATCCTGTAATTATTCTCCCTTACCTAGAGATAAGGGAGAACAAAACCTGGAAAACTTAGTCGGTGACTTTACTTTGTAAGTTTTTTTCTAAGTTTCTAAATCTTTAGAAGTTTTTCAGTTTTATCTTCCCTACATATACTCTAAACTAATAAAAGCAAACTATGTGTACTTGTCCTTAAAGAACATGCTATTTTTTCCTCATGCCTCGAAATGTATTATTTCATCTCTGAATTGCTCTTTTCTTCATCTCCACTGGTTGAAATCCCATTCAGACACCAAGATCCAGCTCAAACTCAGCTTCCTACACCCCAACCTGAAGGAATGTCTCTCCTTTCTGGGCTGCATAGTTCCCAGTGTGTAATCTACGTATATTTTGAGGTATCTTGTTTCTAGCTATATGTGAATATGCACTAGACTGCCAGTCCCTGACAATGACTTCTTTGCCTTTGATTCTCCAAAATAAATGAATAAATGAAAAACAAATGAATAGCTGAGCGATTAGCTAAATAAATGAATACAAGTAAATGTATATGTTTTAAAGGAAAATTAATTTTGTAGCAGCATGGATACAGAAGAATCCACATTCAGGAAGTCACCATGAAGACTGTTGCATCATTATAAACATAAAATCCAAGTTGGAACTGCCATAGCAGAGTGGATAAGTAATTGATTTAAACCACTTCGAAGACTTTTTTTTATTGATATCTCACAAGGTACTTTTATTATATTCAACTATCTTTGCACATTTCATTTCAAAAATTAGCTATATGATGGGTATCTTAGTCTGCTCAGGCTGCCATAACAAATTACCATAAACTGAGTGGTTTAACTAACAGAAATGGATTTTCCCATAGTTCTGGAGGCTGGAAATCCAAGACTGAGGTCTTGCAGGGTTCATTTCCTGATGAGGGCTCTCTTCTTGGCCTATAGACCACAACCTTCTTGTATTCTCTTGTGGCAGAGAGAGAGAAAAGGAGGCAAGTTTTCTGATGTCTCTTCTTAAAAGGCCACTAATTCCATCATGAAAGCCCCATTCATGACCTCATGTAACTCTAATTACCCTACAAAGGCCCCACCTCCAAATATCATCACACTAGGGATTAGTGCTTCCACATATGAAACTGGGGAGGGGGGCGGGCAGGACACAATTTAGTCCATAGCAGTTGAATAAGTGAGGAGATATTTTACCTTTCTAACATAGAGGCATTGGCCTGAGAATTCCAGAACAAATTACCCCTTTTTTCTATTCAAATTTCTATGACTTCACTTGTACATCTACAGGAATATATATAGATACAAACACACACACATACATGCATATAGAAATAGAAACACATGCCTATATTTCTAGGAAGGAAGAAAATAGGGACCTAGGGATCATGTCTGCCATGACTCTTGTACAACACACAGTCTCTACCAGTGACCCTGGATACTGTCCGAAAGAGCTGATCCCTAAGTAAAAAGTTATGACATCCTTACTGGCATAATTTGAGGTTCATACAGTTCTAGATTTATGAAATTCCCACTCTGTAAGTTAATACTTTAACTACTACATCTTGAAACTTCCTATTAAAATTTAATTATTTATTTATTTGTTTATTTTTGAGATGGAGTCTCACTCTGTTGCCCAGACTGAAATGCAGGGCACAATCTTGGCTCACTGCAGCCTCCGCCTCCCAGGTTCAAGCAATTCTCCTGCCTCAGCCTCCCAAGTAGCTGGGATTACAGGCGCCCACCACCATGCTCAGCTAATTTTTGTCTTTTTAATAGAGACAGGGTATCGCCATGTTTTCTAGGCTGGTCTCGAGCTCCTGTCCTCAGGTGATCTGCCTGCCTCGGCCTCCCTAAGTGCTGGGATTACAGGCAGGAGCCACTGCACCAAGCCCAAAATTTTAATTCTTACCCAAGAGCAGAAACAGGTTTATTATGAAGCTAAATATACTTTTGTTAAATGTCCCTTCATTTTCATAGGTTACTAGGAGGAGTATTAGAAATGTGATAACATGGTCTGTTTTTATGAATGTTACAAAAATGAGATTTTTGAGAAATTCTTTTACTTAAAGATAGCCCCTAAAATATGTAAGTTTGAAGTGTCAAATCATCTTGATGAACCTCTGCTTGGGAAGTGTCAAATAACTAGAAAAAGTAGAATCAGACGAACTAAACATCAAAAGATGTTCTGAGATGGCAAAACTACCTTGTGAGGCTACCAATACCAAACACCCAGAAGAGACTGCTATCACATAGGCCCTTCAAAACTCCACCTTGCTCATCTGATCCCAGGCACTGTGGATGCTCTGTTCTAACATTTTACTTTGTCCCTAAGGATGTATTTCCTCACTGATACTTACTTGGATTTGGTTTCCTAATCAGAGCCCTTCTTCTAAATCCATCCCAATCCTTGGTTTCCTCATTTATAAAATGAGAATGGAGATACTACCTATTTCATGGTGCTATTATAAACATAAAATGATATAATGTACATATAAATGTTTTGTTAGCTATTTATTCTATACCTATTTAAGGCCCTCCATGAACGAGTCCCATATGAATTTTCCATTCCTGTATTCCGTTAGACCCTCTTATGTATGATATGTTCTGCCCAAACTTGGCTACTCTTCCATCTCTGAACCAATTTGCAATTTTTGTTAGATCAGTAACCATAGCAGAATAATATGCTCTGTATGGATTACTTCAAACAAACAAACAAAACCTCAGGATTAGATTATTTTGCCTACTAATTATGTTAAAATCTTAAGTAACAGAATTTTTTTTTTTGCTTTCTGAATAGTTAACATCATTTTTTAAATCTTTTAAGAGACATCAATGTATTAAATGAAGCTAGCAAAACCAGAACACAAAAATATGTCAATCTTATTAAAATAAAAACAGACAATTGAAACATTTTTATTAGGTTAATTTCACTTTTTACGTTACTACAACAATAACAAAAATACCAATACCATTGAATACAATTAAGAAGTTTACTTAAATCATATTCCTCAAAATTTGGTGTGCATCATCACATGTGTTAGAATCATGGGAGCAAGGGCAGAGGGTTACTTCTAAATATTCAAATTCTCAGCCTCCCCCAGACAAACTGAATCAGAATTTCTAAGAATGTTGCCATAGAATCTGCATTTTAGCATTTCTTTCCAAGTGATTTTTATGCAAACCAAAATTAAAAATACTGCATTGACATTTTCCGTCCCAGTCTTCTGAAGATTGAAAGTTAACAGCAGGGTTGGGGTGGGCTGGGGTAGGACAAGGTCATGGGAAATAGCAGCCCAGGAAGCATCAGCACTGTCATCCTCACTGAGGTTTGGATGAAGTGCCTTTTCAATAAGCTCTTCTGTATCTCTTGATAAACAGTTACATGGTAATGAAACTTTTCAAGGTTATTTCCTTGAGAATACAGCTAAGGCAGCTTCTTGTGTCTTTCCAGACAGAATGTTCTGATATTATTATTAATCTTTATCTTGTCTTGTTCTGAAAACAATTTGAGCTATCTTATGAAATTCATAGTCTATATTAGTTTAAGAAGTAGATGAGAAAATAAGCTCAGGAAAATAAACCTATGGGTAAGAGAGAGAGAGAGAGTGTGTGTGTGTGTGTGTGTGTGTGTGTGTGTGTGTGTGTGTGTGTAAGAGAGACAGAGAGAAGAAAGAGAAGGTAACTTAGAGATTAAAAAATACTTCTTTTAAAAATAGGAGTTATTTGAATTTTAGTTTTTAATTCAGCCTAAACCTTCTCTCTGTAGGGTTTCACAATTTTAAAAAAGTATGTCTTGTAATTTAACAAAATGCAAACATGTATCTCTGCTAGTGGAGAAGGTAGTGAAAATCTTTTTTTTTTTTTAAGTTTTTTTTTCTTTTATTATTATACTTTAAGTTTTAGGGTACATGTGCACATTGTGCAGGTTAGTTACATATCTATACATGTGCCATGCTGGTGCACTGCACCCACTAACTTGTCATCTAGCGTTAGGTATATCTCCCAATGCTATCCCTCCCCCCTCCCCCCACCCCACAACAGTCCCCAGAGTGTGATGTTCCCCTTCCTGTGTCCATGTGATCTCATTGTTCAATTCCCACCTATGAGTGAGAATATGCGGTGTTTGGTTTTTTGTTCTTGCGATAGTTTACTGAGAATGATGATTTCCAATTTCATCCATGTCCCTACAAAGGACATGAACTCATCATTTTTTATGGCTGCATAGTATTCCATGGTGTATATGTGCCACATTTTCTTAATCCAGTCTATCATTGTTGGACATTCGGGTTGGTTCCAAGTCTTTGCTATTGTGAATAATGCCACAATAAACATAAATGTGCATGTGTCTTTATAGCAGCATGATTTATAATCCTTTGGGTATATACCCAGTAGTGGGATGGCTGGGTCAAATGGTATTTCTAGTTCTACATCCCTGAGGAATCGCCACACTGACTTCCACAATGGTTGAACTACTTTACAGTCCCACCAACAGTGTAAAAGTGTTCCTGTTTCTCCACATCCTCTCCAGCACCTGTTGTTTCCTGACTTTTTAATGATTGCCATTCTAACTGGTGTGAGATGATATCTCATTGTGGTTTTGATTTGCATTTCTCTGATGGCCAGTGATGATGAGCATTTTTTCATGTGTTTTTTGGCTGCATAAATGTCTTCTTTTGAGAAGTGTCTGTTCATGTCCTTCGCCCACTTTTTGATGGGGTTGTTTGTTTTTTTCTTGTAAATTTGTTTGAGTTCATTGTAGATTCTGGATATTAGCCCTTTGTCAGATGAGTAGGTTGCGAAAATTTTCTCCCATTTTGTAGGTTGCCTGTTCACTCTGATGGTAGTTTCTTTTGCTGTGCAGAAGCTCTTTAGTTTAATTAGATCCCATTTGTCAATTTTGGCTTTTGTTGCCATTGCTTTTGGTGTTTTGGACATGAAGTCCTTGCCAATGCCTATGTCCTGAATGGTAATGCCTAGGTTTTCTTCTAGGGTTTTTATGGTTTTAGGTCTAACATTTAAGTCTTTAATCCACCTTGAATTGATTTTTGTATAAGGTGTAAGGAAGGGATCCAGTTTCAGCTTTCTACATATGGCTAGCCAGTTTTCCCAGCACCATTTATTAAATAGGGAATCCTTTCCCCATTGCTTGTTTTTCTCAGGTTCGTCAAAGATCAGATAGTTGTAGATATGTGGCGTTATTTCTGAGGGCTCTGTTCTGTTCCGTTGATCTATATCTCTGTTTTGGTACCAGTACCATGCTGTTTTGGTTACTGTAGTCTTGTAGTATAGTTTGAAGTCAGGTAGTGTGATGCCTCCAGCTTTGTTCTTTTGGCTTAGGATTGACTTGGTGATGCGGGCTCGTTTTTGGTTCCATATGAACTTTAAAGTAGTTTTTTCCAATTCTGTGAAGAAAGGCATTGGTAGCTTGATGGGGATGGCATTGAATCTGTAAATTACCTTGGGCAGTATGGCCATTTTCACGATATTGATTCTTTCTAGCCATGAGCATGGAATGTTCTTCCATTTGTTTGTACCCTCTTTTATTTCCTTGAGCAGTGGTTTGTAGTTCTCCTTGAAGAGGTCCTTCACATCCCTTGTAAGTTGGATTCCTAGGTATTTTATTGTCTTTGAAGCAATTGTGAATGGGAGTTCACTCATGATTTGGCTCTCTGTTTGTCTGTTGTTGGTGTATAAGAATGCTTGTGATTTTTGTACATTGATTTTGTATTCTGAGACTTTGCTGAAGTTGCTTATCAGCTTAAGGAGATTTTGGGCTGAGACAATGGGGTTTTCTAGATAAACAATCATGTCATCTGCAAACAGGGACAATTTGACTTCCTCTTTTCCTAATTGAATATCCTTTATTTCCTTCTCCTGCCTAATTGCCCTGGCCAGAACTTCCAACACTATGTTGAATAGGAGCGGTGAGAGAGGGCATCCCTGTCTTGTGCCAGTTTTCAAAGGGAATGCTTCCAGTATTTGCCCATTCAGTATGATATTGGCTGTGGGTCTGTCATAGACAGCTCTTATTATTTTGAAATACGTCCCATCAATACCTAATTTATTGAGAGTTTTTAGCATGAAGGGTTGTTGAATTTTGTCAAAGGCTTTTTCTGCATCTATTGAGATAATCATGTGGTTTTTGTCTTTGGCTCTGTTTATATGCTGGATTACATTTATTGATTTGTGTATATTGAACCAGCCTTGCATCCCAGGGATGAAGCCCACTTGATCATGGTGGATAAGCTTTCTGATGTGCTGCTGGATTCGGTTTGCCAGTATTTTATTGAGGATTTTTGCATCAATGTTCATCAAGGATATTGGTCTAAAATTCTCTTTTTTGGTTGTGTCTCTGCCCGGCTTTGGTATCAGAATGATGCTGGCCTCATAAAATGAGTTAGGGAGGGTTCCCTCTTTTTCTATTGATTGGAATAGTTTCAGAAGGAATGGTACCAGTTCCTCCTTGTACCTGTGGTAGAATTCGGCTGTGAATCCATCTGGTCCTGGACTCTTTTTGGTTGGTAAACTATTGATTATTGCCACAATTTCAGCTCCTGTTATTGGTCTATTCAGAGATTCAACTTCTTCCTGGTTTAGTCTTGGGAGAGTGTACATGTCGAGGAATGTATCCATTTCTTCTAGATTTTCTAGTTTATTTGCGTAGAGGTGTTTGTAGTATTCTCTGATGGTAGTTTGTATTTCTGTGGGATCAGTGGTGATATCCCCTTTATCATTTTTTATTGTGTCTATTTGATTCTTCTCTCTTTTTTTCTTTATTAGTCTTGCTAGCGGTCTATCAATTTTGTTGATCCTTTCAAAAAACCAGCTCCTGGATTCATTAATTTTTTGAAGGGTTTTTTGTGTCTCTATTTCCTTCAGTTCTGCTCTGATTTTAGTTATATCTTGCCTTCTGCTAGCTTTTGAATGTGTTTGATCTTGCTTTTCTAGTTCTTTTAATTGTGATGTTAGGGTGTCAATTTTGGATCTTTCCTGCTTTCTCTTGTGGGCATTTAGTGCTATAAATTTCCCTCTACACACTGCTTTGAATGCGTCCCAGAGATTCTGGTATGTTGTGTCTTTGTTCTCGTTGGTTTCAAAGAACATCTTTATTTCTGCCTTCATTTTGTTATGTACCCAGTAGTCATTCAGGAGCAGGTTGTTCAGTTTCCATGTAGTTGAGCGGCTTTGAGTGAGATTCTTAATCCTGAGTTCTAGTTTGATTGCACTGTGGTCTGAGAGATAGTTTGTTATAATTTCTGTTCTTTTACATTTGCTGAGGAGAGCTTTACTTCCAAGTATGTGGTCAATTTTGGAATAGGTGTGGTGTGGTGCTGAAAAAAATGTATATTCTGTTGATTTGGGGTGGAGAGTTCTGTAGATGTCTATTAGGTCCGCTTGGTACAGAGCTGAGTTCAATTCCTGGGTATCCTTGTTGACTTTCTGTCTCGTTGATCTGTCTAATGTTAACAGTGGGGTGTTAAAGTCTCCCATTATTAATGTGTGGGAGTCTAAGTCTCTTTGTAGGTCACTCAGGACTTGCTTTATGAATCTGGGTGCTCCTGTATTGGGTGCATATATATTTAGGATAGTTAGCTCCTCTTGTTGAATTGATCCCTTTACCATTATGTAATGGCCTTCTTTGTCTCTTTTGATCTTTGTTGGTTTCAAGTCTGTTTTATCAGAGACTAGGATTGCAACCCCTGCCTTTTTTTGGTTTCCATTTGCTTGGTAGATCTTCCTCCATCCTTTTATTTTGAGCCTATGTGTGTCTCTGCACATGAGATGGGTTTCCTGAATACAGCACACTGATGGGTCTTGACTCTTTATCCAACTTGCCAGTCTGTGTCTTTTAATTGGAGCATTTAGTCCATTTACATTTAAAGTTAATATTGTTATGTGTGAATTTGATCCTATCATTATGATGTTAGCTGGTGATTTTGCTCGTTAGTTGATGCAGTTTCTTCCTAGTCTCGATGGTCTTTACATTTTGGCATGATTTTGCAGCGGCTGGTACCGGTTGTTCCTTTCCATGTTTAGTGCTTCCTTCAGGAGCTCTTTTAGGGCAGGCCTGGTGGTGACAAAATCTCTCAGCATTTGCTTGTCTGTAAAGGATTTTATTTCTCCTTCACTTATGAAGCTTAGTTTGGCTGGATATGAAATTCTGGGTTGAAAATTCTTTCTTTAAGAATGTTGAATATTGGCCCCCACTCTCTTCTGGCTTGTAAAATTTCTACCGAGAGATCCGCTGTTAGTCTGATGGGCTTCCCTTTGAGGGTAACCTGACCTTTCTCTCTGGCTGCCCTTAACATTTTTTCCTTCATTTCAACTTTGGTGAATCTGACAATTATGTGTCTTGGAGTTGCTCTTCTTGAGGAGTATCTTTGTGGCGTTCTCTGTATTTCCTGAATCTGAACGTTGGCCTGCCTTGCTAGATTGGGGAAGTTCTCCTGGATAATATCCTGTAGAGTGTTTTCCAACTTGGTTCCATTCTCCGCATCACTTTCAGGTACACCAATCAGATGTAGATTTGGTCTTTTCACATAGTCCCATATTTCTTGGAGGCTTTGCTCATTTCTTTTTATTCTTTTTGCTCTAACTTTCCCTTCTCGCTTCATTTCATTCATTTCATCTTCCATTGCTGATACCCTTTCTTCCAGTTGATCACATCGGCTCCTGAGGCTTCTGCATTCTTCACATAGTTCTCGAGCCTTGGTTTTCAGCTCCATCAGCTCCTTTAAGCACTTCTCTGTATTGGTTATTCTAGTTATACATTCTTCTAAATTTTTTTCAAAGTTTTCAACTTCTTTGCCTTTGGTTTGAATGTCCTCCCGTAGCTCAGAGTAATTTGATCATCTGAAGCCTTCTTCTCTCAGCTCGTCAAAGTCATTCTCCATCCAGCTTTGTTCCGTTGCTGGTGAGGAACTGCGTTCCTTTGGAGGAGGAGAGGCGCTCTGCATTTTAGAGTTTCCAGTTTTTCTGTTCTGTTTTTTCCCCATCTTTGTGGTTTTATCTACTTTTGGTCTTGATGATGGTGATGTACAGATGGGTTTTTGGTGTGGATGTCCTTTCTGTTTGTTAGTTTTCCTTCTAACAGACAGGACCCTCAGCTGCAGGTCTGTTGGAATACCCTGCCGTGTGAGGTGTCAGTGTGCCCCTGCTGGGGGGTGCCTCCCAGTTAGGCTGCTCGGGGGTCAGGGGTCAGGGACCCACTTGAGGAGGCAGTCTGCCCATTCTCAGATCTCCAGCTGCCTGCTGGGAGAACCACTCTTCTCTTCAAAGCTGTCAGACAGGGACATTTAAGTCTGCAGAGGTTACTGCTGTCTTTTTGTTTGTCTGTGCCCTGCCCCCAGAGGTGGAGCCTACAGAGGCAGGCAGGCCTCCTTGAGCTGTGGTGGGCTCCACCCAGTTGGAGCTTCCCGGCTGCTTTGTTTACCTAAGCAAGCCTGGGCAATGGCGGGCGCCCCTCCCCCAGCCTCGCTGCTGCCTTGCAGTTTGATCTCAGACTGCTGTGCTAGGAATCAGCGAGACTCCATGGGGTAGGACCCTCCGAGCCAGGTGCGGGATATAATCTCATGGTGCGCCGTTTTTTAAGCCCGTCGGAAAAGCGCAGTATTCGGGTGGGAGTGGCCTGATTTTCCAGGTGCCGTCCGTCACCCCTTTCTTTGACTAGGAAAGGGAACTCCCTGACCCCTTGCGCTTCCTGAGTGAGGCAATGCCTCACCCTGCTTCGGCTCACACACGGTGCGCGCACCCACTGACCTGCGCCCACTGTCTGGCACTCCCTAGTGAGATGAACCCGGTACCTCAGATGGAAATGCAGAAATCACCTGTTTTCTGCATCGCTCACGCTGGGAGCTGTAGACCAGAGCTGTTCCTATTCAGCCATCTTGGCTCCTCCGAAAATCTTCTCTTGAGAAAAGTGAATGGACAAATAAAGATTTCTCATTTCCGACAAAAGAAAATAACCTAGGAATAGAGCCTAAAAAAAGAGAAGATTCCAAGGAGAGAGATGGAAAATAATGCCAAGAGGCAAACACATAAAAAAGATTTACAGATCTGACTAATTAAAAATTTAAAAGCTTTATTTGTCAAAAACATCATAAACAACCCAAATGTTTTAGATAGAGGACAGGCTGAAACAGTCTAACTGCATTTGCTGTGTAGGTGGGAATTTGCTGAGCTAGGGCTGTCTTTGGCAGACTAAGGTTAAGGATCCAGTTCAAGGTTATCCAGCTATTAACTGGTAGAGCCAAGATGTGAGCTGACATTTCTTAGCCCCACTGTACATGCTTCTAACCATCATTTCCTATTTTTTAGATTTACTTGGGATTTATCTATTTCATTCTCTTTTAAAGATTTATTATTTCTATTCTGTATTATTTCTATAGCTTTTGTTTTGTTTTTATATTCAATGTATTATTCAGTTGTTCAGTGATTTTGTTGCTATTTCATTGTTTGTGGAATAAATAAATGATTCAAACTGGTGATTTTGGTAAATAGACTTTTTTGATGTTTCAAAGCTATGTTACATTCTTACTTCATGAGTTTTTTTGTATATTCTCTTGGATTTTTAATCAATCGAATAATAGTTTTGGGAAACAATTGTTTCCCTTTTTCCAAGAATTAAGCTTCCTTTTTGCATCCCATTTCTTAATGTCTACACCAGAACTTTAGAACAATGTTAAGTCACACAGGAGACTTTTGATACCCTTGTTTAGTCCATTAATAAAAATGCTGCTAATGTTTTTCTGTTAAAAATATGCTAATGTTATTATATTTTTCTGTTTTAGAATGCTGCATTAAAGTGATTATTCTCTACCATTTTAGCACGTATCCTTTTATTCTTGATTTTATGATTTTTTAAAATAGGAATAGTTGAATTTTATAGACTGCATTTTTTAGCATGTATCTTGCAGATTTTTCCCTCTTTTTGTGTGTGGGTATTATTGAAGTAAATGTTTACTTCATCAGATGTCTTGATGTTGACCATTTCTTTCATTTCTGGTTGCTACAAACACTAAATGCTTATGTTTACATAATCAGATAATGTCAACACAGTATTTTTTACTTTGGTTTTAAGACACTCACGACAATCCCATGAGGTAGGAAAACCGGCTCAGGAAGGTTAAATGACTTGCCTAAGACCACATTGCTCATAAGTGACAGAGCTGGAACTTGAAACCACAACTGTCTGCTTCCAAAATTTGTGCTCTTATTGATTCCCAACCTTTTTCTGCAAGTATTCTTTTGGGCATTAGCATAGGGTCTGGTATCTGAGCACTTAATACCTGCTGGCTAATACATTCACCACCTGCGGCCCAAAAAAATGTGCTCCAAAAATTTGTGCTCTTATTGATTCATGACCTTTTGCTGCAAGTATTTTTTAATAGGGCTAGAGAGGTAGGAAGTTGAGGGAGTCGTGTCTAAAAGTCTCAATGGTCTTTCTAGAAGCCATTGGCTGTGGAACAGGGAAGTAGCCTCAAGGAACGGGTGCAAATTTGGAATATGTGCTGTGGGGATGGAGAAAAGTTGGCCAGTCTCACCGACCACATTCATGGATGCAGTGGACTGCATGCCAATAATGAAGCACCATGCACTTGCAGTGTACTTAGACCCCAGTGTCAGATTTAGCTCAGCTTAAGAGTTTACTTAGCTCAGGAAAAGGCAACCGAGCCAGAACAGATGGGTGTTCTCAGCTGAGCTCCCTCAGGTTCTTGGAGACCTGTTGGTTGTCATAGATACTCTGAAGAGCCTGAACAGGTCTGAGTAAGCCAAAAGCTCTGAATATTCCCCACTGCCAAATGCGGTCACATACACCCTCCTGCTGTGCAAGGCTCAGGGCTACCCTAACAAGACCCTTCAGGTAACAGGATGCACATTCATACTAACAATACATACTTCCAACTTATATTTCCAGTCTCAGGATCACTGCCTTATGGGGCCAGCAGCGGTCCAAGTTTTCCTGCACATGAACTCTGCTATTCTAAGAACACACAAAAATAGTGGCTAAGAATTATACCAATTACCATAGGGATAGCAACAAACTGAAAACTTCACATTCTTCTACCAAAATGTCTACCAAAATGTCAACTTTAAAGGAATAGAATTGGAGAACTGTGAATAAATGATTACCTTGCATAAGAAAGAGAAAGAATGTGAATGCTTAAAAGACCATAAAAGTTAGTCTCAAACAGAACTTTAATACGAGTGACTTGATGCCAGCATGGAATCTTAAAACTGAAAACACAGACACAGAGCTTAGCCAGGGTCTGGTACCTGAGCACTTAATACCTGCTGGCTAATACATTCACCACCTGCGGCAACAGCGTCTGTCCATATAATCTCACCCCTCCTGAATCAGATAACGAGATGCCTCTGGCCAATGTTCTTCCCTCCCTATGTGCCTGGAGCCAATCCTCTCCCTCATGTAGTCAGTGATCCCCTATGGCTCATCACGTGCATCAACTTCCTTCTCTGCATGACCCCTCTCCTTTGGGCTTACAAACTTGTGCTAGACTCTTCATCGGTGAACAAATACATAAAACAAGCAAGCAACAAAATCTTTCCTTGGCACTTTCTCTAGTCTTGGTATGCTTTCTCCTACCCATTACAGCCAAGCCACTTGAAACAGCTGGGCAAGTATGCATCACAGTCTCTATTTTCTTAACTTTTATTTCCTTCCAACCCAATCTGCCTTCTGCTGTCACCACTCCACTACAGTTGTCCTGCTAACTACAAAGGTTACAGTTAACTGACCTGTAGTTAACACTACAAAGGTTAGTCTGGTAAATTGGCTAGTTACCAAATTTGTTGTTTTCAGTCATTACTGGACCTGTTTTTTCTGTGGCACTTGCGACACCCGTTTGAGATGTTCTGTTCCTCTGCTGTACTTCCAGCCTGGTTTTCCTCTTCTCTCTTAACCACCTCCCCCACTTTTTTTTTTTTGCAATCATTAGGCCACTTCCTCTCTACATAGCCCTTAAATGTTACACTGGTCCAGCCCTGAGCTCACATCCTTTCTCACTTTTCACGTACTTCCTGTGTGATCTCACCTACACACATATCACCAAACCACTGAACAGTAAAGTGCCCAAATTTTGTCCAGATGGATTCTCCTAATGGCCAATCAATGTTTGCAGTTATCCAATGCACATATGCATGTGGATGTCTCTGGTACCTCAATATCCCTTAGTATCTGTCCTGAATGTGCTTCCCTTCTTCAAGTCTCCCTTGCTGCATGACACACCATCACTTACAAAGAGCCCCACCCCAAGTAACTTCTACTCATTCATTCCTTAGATCTCAGCTCCAGCATCACTTCCTCAGTAAAGCCTTTCTTAACTACAAGTCTAACTCAAATTCCTTATGCTCTAATTTTAAAAAGGTAGAAAGTAAAATGAATGTTTCTTCAGTTGCCATTTACATTAAATAGGGTGATTATTTAATTAATAAAAATCTCCGAGTTATAAAATTGATGATAAAAATCATGTATATTTTCACCAAACATTGTAGTCCAATGACTTAACATGGTGATCAGCATATTTCAGCAGCTGCATATGCAATGAATAAATGATTCAATCCAGGGATCCAAGAGTTATCCTAGATTCAAGCATCATACTCACTCCTGATATCCTATTAGCTACAATGTCCCCCTGATTGTATGCCCTAAATATTACTCAATATCTTTCTTATTTTTCCTATTTTATTTTCAAATATTTTTTTCTTAAGTTCATATTATTTTGCATCAATTAATAGCCCCTTCATAATATAATAGTGTTGTGTTTAATTCCATGGATTCTACATCCAGACTGCCAGCTTTTATTGTTATTACCATTTCTCCTCCTGGTGTTGCCATCTCCAGAATAACCTCAACAGGATACTGAAGACCCCAGAATATGCCAATAGTGGACCTGAACGTTCTTCGAATGTTCTCAGGCCCATAGCCTGAGAATGAGCTTGTATGTTGAGGACCATGAAGACTCTGGCCCGTGCTTACTTCTCTAGACTGCTCTTGTTGCACTTTTCGGGCTCATACGTCTATTTTTCAGCATCATGGAACTACCTGAATCTTGAAATCTACATTTCAGCATTATGGAATTACCTGAATTTTACCAAATAGCCCATACTTTTAATATTTAGATACTTTTTGTATTATCTCTCTCTGGAATTATTATCTCGTGTGTGTCCATTTGTTAATGTACGACTTAAGTTTTAAAATTAGCTCAGGCATCTTCTCCTTGAAGCTGCCTGCCTCTATCTTGGCAAAATTTGGCATTCTTCCTCTCTACTGAAACCATTACTACACTGACAACAATTGTCTTGAGGTGATTTGCTGACTTGGATACACCCTTTACCAGCTGTGAATTCCTTGCGGTCAGGAATGTATATATTCAGTTGTTCAGATTTTGAATATGCCTATCTCATAAATAGCACTCAATAAATGTTTACTAAATGAATGAATCATTAAATGAATAACTATTTCAAGTTTTACTAGGGAAATTGACTATATTATATACATGCCATTTCCTACACTTATAACAGAAATAGTAGATGACCACCTCTTTAGGTTGGTGAACAGATTACCTACTTTTCATGTAAGGACCTGGATGCAACCAGATCATGCAAACATTTTAAATGTTCATTTGTTTCTCTCCTCTTTATATTCTCATTTTTCTTTTATTAAGAAAAAATAAGCAGAATTTCTCTCTCACACTGCATATCTCTATTTTCACTTACCGTGTCACTCCTTCCTAGTTTATCGCTGATGTCTTCCATAGAGTCACCTTCCTGTCTGTCTCTGAGAAAGATAATGCAGGCTTCCATTCTTCCACATGGGCTTTTCCCAAATATATTCACCAACTTAGTCAACAGACTAGTTGTGGGTAACACAGAGTATCTCTGTAGGTTATCTCCAGGTGAATGCTTAGTGTTGGAGTCTGAGAGGAGAAGAAGCAAATTCACTTGAAAGTTGACATCTCATACCAAATACCCCCATAAAAATTTACCCACTCCACAAGCACATTTTTTTCACACATCACATTCAATTCTCATATTTCCTTAGATTAAAATCTTATAGTGCATTTTTATATTGCTTAATTACTTTTGGTGGTTATAAAGTTTTAATGTATATTTATAACATTTTATGTCAAATTTATAACACTGTAAGTACTTTAACTATTTCAATATCCTCTCTATAAAACCATTGTCATCAAATCAGATAAATGCCCCAAAAGCTGAGGTGAGACAACTTTAACTCTGCTTTCAAACTGCAGTAAGTTCTTTTAAACATTGTTTTAAAGGTTACACTGCACTAAGGAATATAGTCTCTAACTGTGACAGTTTTTAACATTGCAGTGCTACTAAAGAAAATTTAATGAAAAACACTATCTTTGCAACAATAACAACATAAAGATACCCAGATTTGAGGGGATATTAAACTTATCATAAGAAAATAATAAATAGGTAAAAGAATAAGTAGTTTGGCCCCATGGAATCTTTCTTCTGATTCAAAAAGATCAGCATGAGTTTCTCTTCAGATAACCTAGGAGGAATGATATCTTTTACTTTTTTTCTCTTTGAAACAGAGCAATCACATGCTAAAAATTAATAAGAGAGTTATGAAATTATGCTGTTTTTATATATTTATATTTTTATTTGGAGATATCTATTTCATTGATGTGTACCATTTAAATAGAAGTCTGCTTTAAAAATCATTTAACAGAAAGCAACAGTCTGATTGTACCAGTGGGATAAAACACAACCTTTCCATTTTGTCATGTTGACAACAGCTGATATACCAGAAGAAGAACCATCTCCCCTCTCTGGGTAAGAGCTTACCTGAATGAAAACAAAGTAATAGCAAGGAAATAAGAAGCCCCTTGTGTGTGTGAACTTAGAAATCTAACCTATGAAGTGATAACAGTCAGAATTATTTATGTCCCTGATTTTCAACAATTTTCACTGCTCTTTCTCTTTCTTGCTTGCTTTTCAACAATGCTTTGCAGATTGAAGCAGTACATTAATGATTCCATTTGTCAGCCTCTATTGTTGCTAATCCTTTTTATTCATTTTCATCTTTTCTGAGTTTTCAGCGCATTATTTTCATCTTGTTATATTGTTATATTTATTGATGCACTGCTTTCAATGTTCCACCAAATGTTTCTTTTTATTTTTATTTTACTCACTTGATTTCTTTCTTATGGAATTGGAGTTTTTAAATTTAGGAGTTCTAAACAGATTTTAAGGCTCTTACTTGAACATAGCTCACAAACAGGAATCCTTTAAGGAAATAAGGTGAAATGATAAATATGTGATCTATGGAAGAAGACAAGGAGCAACAGATACTTAACTACTCTGAGCTTCAATTTTCTTATTTTAAAATGTAGATAATAATACCTATATTGCAGTCTTATTTTAAGAATTAAAATTCCAGAATGTCAACTGCCTCACATACAAAAAAATGGCAGCACTATTATTATTATTATTATTATCTACTATTTCATTGCACTAGTAATGAAAAGATTCTATGTGGATCCAAATGTTAAAGGTAAAACTTAAAGGCTTCTAAAGGAAAGCAAAGGAAAATATTTTCAGAACCTTGGATAGAAAACACAAGAAGCACTAACTTAAAAGACAAGATCAATGTGTTAGACTTAATTAAAATTAAAATCTTTTATACATAAAAAATTAGGAGACCGAAACCATAGGGCTTATGCCTGCAACATATTAATATAATGTAATATGAATTTTTAACATTAAGAACTAATAGACACTAATAGAAAGATTGGCAAAAGATGCCGGGTGTGGCGGCTCACGCCTGTAATCCCAGCACTTTGGGAGACTGAGGCAGGTGGATCACAAGGTCAGGAGATGGAGACCATCCTGGCTAACATGGTGAAACCCCGTCTCTACTAAAAATACAAAAAAATTAGCCAGGCATGGTGGCGGGCACCTGTAGTCCCAGCTACCTGGGAGGCTGAGGCAGGAGAATGGCATGAACCCAGGAGGCGGAGCTTGCAGTGAGCCGAGATCGTGCTGCTGCACTCCAGCCTGGGTGATAGAGTGAGACTCCATCCCAAAAAAAAAAAAAAAAAAGATTGGCAAAAGACTTCATAGAGAGAATATACAAATGGTGAATAAGCATACAACAAAATAATCAACTTTATTAGCCCTATCAAGAAAATGCAAATTAAAGCCACAATGGGATACCATACCTACCAACCAGAATGACTCGAATTAAAAGACTGAGAGAAACAAGTGTTAAGTATGATTGATGAACAACTGAAATTCCCACACTGCTAATAGGAGTATAAATTAGTCCAATCATTTTGGGAAACTGGCAGTATCTATTAAAATTGTACATATATATCTCCAATGATCCATCAGCCTCACTCCTATATGGGAAGTAAAAGATTTGTACAAGAATGTTCAAAGTTATGTTACTTATAATATCCCAATACTAGAAAATCCAACATACTGAACAGTACTTGAATTGGGTAAAATAAAGTGCAGTGTATTTATACAATGAAATACCATTCAGAAATGGAAATGAATGAATTACTGCTGCATACCACATACAAGGAGTCTTCAAAACGTTCATAGGAAATGCATATTATGAAAAAACTATGCATGGATTTCAAAAACTTGTTGCACCAAAATGAACTCACACTAACTTGTTATAACAGATCTGAACAGAGTCTACTTTGAGACACTAAGAAGGATACTGTCAGTTTAAAATAACTCCTATCAGAGCAACATAAATTCTACTAAAATTGAAGCAAGAACAAACTTCAAATTTTTGGTGAAGCTTGAGTAGAGGAATGGTAAGATTATTCATGCTTTATGAAAAGTTGAGGGGGACAATGGCCCAAAGCAATCCACCATATAAATGGATAACTCATTTTAAGAAGGGACAAGATGAGGTTGAAGGTAAAGTACAAGCAGTAGTCCATACACATCAATTTGCAAGGATAAATTAATCTTGTTCATATCCAAATTGAAAAGGACTGACAATTAATAGCAGAACTAATAGCCCAAACTATAAACATTTCAACTGGTTTAGCTTACACAATTCTGACTGAAAAATTAAAGCTGAGCAAGCTTTCCACTTGATGAATG
Organism: Homo sapiens; assembly: GCF_000001405.40. Classification (NCBI taxonomy): domain Eukaryota; kingdom Metazoa; phylum Chordata; class Mammalia; order Primates; family Hominidae; genus Homo; species Homo sapiens. The sequence goes on along the minus strand of NC_000018.10, from coordinate 27,271,332 downwards.
CCAAAACTGTTGATCCCACATCATCTGCAGATAAAAGCAGAGCTTTCAATGGAAATTTTAAACAAGTAAGATCAAGATCCTGAAGACTTTCTTCAAAGAATTGTACCAGGAGAAGAAACATGGCTTTACCAGTACAATCCTGAAGACAAGGCACAATCAAAGCAATGGCTACCAAGAGGCGGGAGTGGCCCAGTCAAAGCAAAAGTGGACCAGTCAAGAGCAAATGTCATAGCAATCGTTTTTTGGGATGATCAAGGCATTTTTTTTGTTGACTTTCTGGAAGGCCAAAAAATGGTAAGATCTGCTTACTATGAGAGTGTTTGGAGAAAGCTAGTCAATTCGTTAGCAGAAAAATGCCCAAGAGACTTCACCAGAGAGTCCTTCTCTCCCACAACAACACTTGCTTATTTATCTCATCAGACAAGGATAATTTTTTGAAAGTTTGGATGGAAAATCACTAGGCTACCATACAGTCTTGATTTGGCTCCTTCTGACTTCTTTTTGTTTTCTAATCTTAAAAAAATCTTTAAAATGCACTCACTTTTCTTCGGTTAGTCACGTAAAAAAAGACTGCATTGACATGTTTAAATTCCCAAGACATTCAGCTCTTTAACAATGGACTAAATTGCTGATATCATCACTTACAAAAGTATCTTGAACTAGATGGAGCTTCTGTTGAAAAATAAAGTTGATATATTTATTTTTATCTTTTAATTCCATTTTCCATGAACTGTTTGAAGTCCTCTTTATAACATTGAGCAGAATAAGCCAGCTACAAAAGCATACAAACTGTATCTTTTATAAAAAGTTCAAGAATAAGCAAAACTAGGCTATGATATTTGATATTCAAAGTTATGATGGTAGCCACCTTTGCTGTGGAAGGAAATGGCGATTTGAATGGACATGGGGAGTCAGGTGTTAAGAATGTTCTATTGCTTGATGAGGACATTGTTACCCAGGTATATTCACTTTGTGATAGTTCTAATGAATACTCAGGATGTGTGTGCTTTTCTACCTTGTTGCTCTTTTTCAATAAGCAAGTTTACCCCAACAATTATTGCATTATTTAGGCAAAACTGTATGTTTTTGTTTGTCAAGGGGGTTGATTCATCAAGATGTCATCCCCAAAATAAGTTGTATTTTGACAGGAGTAAGAACAAGCTCAATTTTGGAACTGAAAATGGAAATTAATTCTGCTATCTTTTTAAAAAATAAATACTCCATTTGTTGATTTTACCAAACTCCCCAAGTCTCCAAAGAAAGGAATAGATGTCCAGAAAACAAAGCCCCAGCCCTACAAAAGACATGAATTTTTATCAGCGAATCACCTTTATAAGCACTTTGTAAGCAGAATCTAATTTCTTCAAAAACATAAACAATTTGATGCATTTACTGAACATTGAATCAGTCATATTGGGTCTCTGGGAAATGTAGAAACCTTCTTTATTTTTACATCATTCTTTTAGAGAAGCCTTTTATCAGTTTCACTGACTTGTGCTTTAGTGTTATAAAGTCTGCCTTAATTAAGGAGTATATAAGGAACACGTAAGAATGACTATTTAGGTTAGTGCCAGTGGCAAAACCATGATTACTTTTGGCACCTACCTAATATTTAAAAACCTCTACTGGATGTGCTGATGTCGATGTTGAGGCTATTGCTTATTAATTTGTTCAGGGTCCCCACAAAATGCTTCTGTGATAGAAATTTATTATAAAAATTAGGCCCAGGAAATCATTTAATCCCCCTGAAAGACCAATGTGCTTTCTTCAATGTAAATTAGATGACTGCCTAAATTTCCCTTTCCTTGGGCTACCAGGATAAGCAGAGTAAAAAAAATTTATTTCCTTTGCATTTTAGTTTCTGAACTGTTCACTACTTTTCATTTTAGGTTTTTCTGTTTCTAATTTCATGTTTATTTTATTTTTATTTTCTATAAGTTGCCTCCAAGGTGGAAACAAGAAGACACAAGACTTATTTTCAAACAAATAAATATATAAGTGTTTTTGTTTGTATTTGTTGCAAAAAAAAAAAAAAATGTATTGGCTGGGCGCGGTGGCTCTCACCTGTAATCCTAGCACTTTGGGAGACCGAGGTGAGTGGATTGCCTGAGCTCATGAGCTCGAGACCAGCCTGGGCAACAGGGTGAAACCCTGTCTCTACTAAAATACAAAAAAATTAGCCGGGTATGTCGGCGTGTACCTGTAGTCCCAGCTAGTCGGGAGGCTGAGGCAGGAGAATTGCTTGAACCCAGGAGGTGGAGGTTGCAGTGAACTGAGATCACGCCACTGCACTCCAGCCTGGGCCACAGAGCAAGACTCCATCTCTAGTTAAAAAAAAATAAAAAGTGTTGCATTTAATAGAAAGTACTCTGCAATGAATACCCACATCAACAATAGACAGTAAATATCGAATAAATGAAATAGACAATAAAAGCTGTTAGTTTAAAAAATGAAGACTTCACAAGTGCGATGAAGTTTGTGAAGAAATTTGACCTGAGATCTCAAGGGTTTCTACAAAGCACATAAGCAAGAAAGATTTAATATTACACTGAATGAATTTATTACTTTTGCAGTTACACTTTAAATGTTAACTACAATTATTGAATGAAAGATATGAAATACACTGTTTTATGTTGACAAACTATAAGTTCAAATGAAACATTTAGGAAACAGCTTAGCACTACCACAACTAAATACATTTAAATAAATGCTAGCTACTACTAAAACTGTAACAATTACAACTATTATTATAATCAGTAACTTGATGGGAGAAGTATTTGTAGTTAAACATCCTAATGCAACTAAAGTCACTCTTGCATGGACAGTTGCCTGTCCCACCAGTAACTTAGCACAGGATGAAAATACATTTTGTCTTTGTCTTTTCCAACTGCACTAAATCAGAATAGATAACTGGAAAATTGGTCAAGACGATTGAGCTAAAGAGGAAAAAGCAATAAATAAGTTTGAATCAAATTAGGGCCACTTAAAATCCAGTGACCTGGGACAAGTAAATAATTTATAATGAGACTATTAATTTCTGTCTGTGGGTTTTGTAGAATAATTACAAATGATCATATAGATGAAAGTGCTAGTGAATGAATAAGAATCTCACTGTCCAATGTACCATAGTTAGATCCCAAATAGTCCTTTACAAATTCCAAGACCAAGTAAATAAAACTGCTGCATACATGAAGAGGCTAATAAAATAGTCCCTGGTGAGACAGACCCTTTTCTGCTGAGTTTAAATGTTCCAAAACTCGATAACAATGGATACACCACTTGAACTTCGATAATTTCTTACTTGACTCTTCTTGGTTTCTTTGACCTATTCTTCGACCTTTCTACTCACCCCAAATTTGGGCTCTCAGATTATGGACTTTACCTGCTGACTGCTTGAGGAAAGCTGGCATAACCTTTTGCTTTTATTCACTCAACAAGCATTTATTATCTAGTATATGTCAGGCACTGTTCTAGACTCTGAGTTTATAGCAAAGAACAAAACAAAATCCTCCTCATATAGAGTGTACTTTCCAAGGGGTGTAATTTTAATGAGGAAAATATTTTGTTCACACAATGCCAAGGATGATTACAATAATAAAGCAATTTAAGAGACATGAATAAATAGCACAACAATATTTGAATACAATTAGATTTGAAATAAGCAGATTCATTATAGTTGGATGTGGAGGAATCATTGAAGGCAATTTCAATAGATGTGAAAAATACTGTCATAATGAAATGTGGCAGATTATATCTTCTAAAGATGGCTGCATCAATATATATTTTATTCCTCATGTACTTCATTTTTTTTAGACAGGGTCTCACTCTGTTGCCCAGGCTGGAGTGCAGTGGCACAATCATGGCTCACTGCAGCCTCAACCTCAAAGGCTCAATTAATCCTCCCACCTCAGCCTCCCAAGTAGCTGGGACTACAAACACATGCCACCACACCCAGTTAATTTTTGTATTTTTTGTAGAGATGGGTTTCAACATGTTGTCTAGGCAAGCCCTGAACTCCTGGGCTCAAGCAATCTGCCCACCTTAGTCTCCCGAACTGCTGAGATTACAGGCATGACCTGACCCCATGTACTTCTTTTCTTTTTAATTTTTTATTTCCATATGTTGTTGGGGAACAAGTGGTGTTTGGCTGCATGAGTAAGTCCTTTAGTGGTGATTTGTGAGATTTTGGTGCACCCATCACCCAAGCAGTATACACTGCACCCAATTTGTAGTCTTTTATCCTTCACCCTCCTCCCACTCCTTCCCCAAGACCCTAAAGTCCATTGTGTCATTCTTGTGCCTTTGCATCCTCATAGCTTAGCTCCCACTTATGAGTGAAAACATATGTTTGGTTCAATTCCTGAGTTAATTCACTTAGAAGAATAGTCTCCAATCTCATCTAGGTCACTGCAAATGCCATTAATTCATTCCTTTTTATGACTGAGTAGTATGACTGAGTAGTATGCCACAGTTTCTTAATCCACTCATTGACTGATAGGCATTTGGTTGGTTCCACATTTTTGCACAACACAATTGTGAATTGTGAATTGCGTTGCTATAAACATGCATGTGCAAGTATCTTTTTTGTATAATGACTTCTTTTCCTCTGGGTAGATACCCAGTAGTGGGATTGCTGGATCAAATGGTAGTTCCACTTTTAGTTCTTTAAGGAATCTCCATAGTGGTTGTACTAGTTTACATTCCCACCAGCAGTGTAGAAGTGTTCCTTGTTCACCACATCCATGCCAACATGTATTTTTTTTTTAGTTTTTGATTATAGACCCCCATGACCCATATACTTACAGTGACATTGATCCTCAAATCTGGAGGGACCTGTGTAACTGTCTTAATCAAAATAGTGTGATGAAAGGGATGCTATGAGTCTTCCAATAATTACAGGGGACAAAAGGCCAAAAAGCAATCTTCATCCCCAATTTCACAGCCCAATCTATGCACACACAAACATATGACCTGAAGTCATTATTCAGTCACTCTCTTGAGGATTTGTTGTTAAAGCTGATTTGGATCACCATTACATTGGTTTGGTTAAGCCCCATGTGTATCTTCACTGAGTAACTGTAGCCTTGATAATCACACGTGGCACAACTTAAGGCCACTCAGCATCAGGAGAATCACATAATCAGTCAGATTGAAACAGGTTGTGTTTGTAAATGTTGTGTTTGGAAGCTACTGTTGATGGCATCAGGCACAGCAGAATAGGTCAAGGCCTGTCATGTTCGCCTGAGTTTTATTTCATTTTTATAGCATGTCAACAGAGATGACAAACTCAGCCTCAGTTTAGATTGTCAGATGAAGCTGTGGCTTGACTCAGGAAGCAGTGCTGGATCTAGAAGATAGAGTGGGTTTAATCATTTCTTTTCCCGTATACCTCTGGGATCTAAGTTCCCTCCCTGGTTGCCGGGTTTTTTTTCTCTCCTTCTACTACCATAAAATTAATGCATCCAATCCCGGAGTAATTACAACTTTATCTTTTCTCCAATTATCTTATATTCATATGTATAATTTTTTTCCTGATCATTACCTGGAAAGTTGTTGAAATGATAAAATCCCTTTCTGGGCACAACCTTATTCACACTCTTACTGAGGTGTGTGGATCAGGAGGAGGTGAGGGAAGTAAAGTCAGAAGTCTTCCCAAGCTCAACAATACCCAAAATTTATAAATAGTAGGGGGCATGGAATGTCCATCCAATACTTTGGTCATTGTCCCATCACTGATAACGTTTGTGACAAAAAGGACATCACTGTCAGATCGTAGAAGGTTCAAAAAGCAAAAAACATGGCACAGATTAGTTTTAATGGCCCAAGTGTTATGGACTGGACCACAGTACCATAACCTGAAAAAGTGTCAAAAGTACTGAGGCATCATTGATAACCTTAAGGAAGTAAGGAAGATCCCAGGTAGTCAATCTGCCAAGAGAAGACAGGATCACCAATTCCTGCAATGTGTCCTCCTTCATCTTGAGACAAACAAGTATTTATTGGCAGGAATCACAGATCTAGTATGCAGTGATTGCTTCTGTATCAGACACAGAACCTCAAAGCCTGATGGTGATATATTGCCATATTTTGATGTGATGACAGATCCCGATGGAGAGGCAGCAATTTCAGCATTGCAGGTGTGAGCAGCAGCTTGGCTTCAGTCAGTGAATAGAGCCTTCCTGTAGACATTTAGGTTAAGTAATGTGAGGTCACATGGTCCATGTGAGTGACCCAGACCACCATAACAGCAGCCACAATTTGTTTCCAGTTTGTGGCCCTAAGGAGGAGTATCTTTACTCTGCCCATCTGTGGTCTTTCAAGTGACAATCCAAATGACTAGACCAGCACACGACTCAGTAAAAATATCAACGGATGTATTGGCCTGAGCTATGAAAACAACCTTTAGTTTTGCCTACTGAGTGGAGTCACCATGCACATTTTCAGTTATTTGTAGCTGGGGCTGAGGCTAAACAGCCACAGCAATCCCAGTGGACAACATTAAGTTTTGACTTTGTTGAATCATCAGTCAACCAGGCCCAGGAATTGAGGGGAGCTTCTCTGAATTGGGGGCCCCACTGAATCGGAACTTTGCTTCAGGCAGCAGAGGGGGAGATAAGTTTTCCCTAAAGAAGTAGCTTCCACCCATCATTAAAAAAAATGAGGTGAAGCTGAGTCCAGGTTAGCTGATTCCGTGAACACGTTGTTTTCATTTGACAAGTAAGACTGTTTAGAGAGGCATATATTGTCTACAATATTTAAAGAATCCAATAAAGGGTTAGGACTTTTTTTTGGTGATAGTGGGACCAAAAAAGACAGCAGTTTTTGATCCATTGTTAGAAGAATTGAACATTGTATTAATAAACCCACTCACACAGTCCTAAGAAACTGTTCTTGGAACGCAGTTCCAAAATTGTGCTGGGGTTTATTAACCACCTCTGCCGGATGAGGTATGATAGCATTACAGCCAGGCCAATTGAGACTGAAGCTTCGGATTTGCCAATCATCAGGACATCACCTATATAGGGAAAAATCTGGACATCAGAGGAGTGAGGCACTCCTGCTGAATGCTGACTACCCCACCAGTTTGCAAATAGCAGGGTACTTTGTTGCTCTAGTGTTTTTTTAAAGGCCTAAAGCACATAATATTTTCTGATACTTTATGAACACTTACAGCACATGTTATATATTTTCATAACAAAGTACGTTGAGTTGACCCAGAGGGCTTCATTCATAAGGTCACTTTAATGTTGTTTTTTTTTTAACTGTACATTTTGCTCAAGCGCTATTTAAATTTGGACACTTTCCCTCCACACCATGGGAACACACACCAAGGAGTTTAACAACTATACTTTAGGGACAGCTACCAGGAGATAATGTCATTTCCTAGCAAGGAGCCTGGGGAGTGCAGAAGGATGGTGGAGACTGGCCTGCAGGGATGGCTGGAGTATACAAGGAAGCATTTTTTTCTCCCCTGGCTTCTTGCCCGAAGGTCAGTGCTACATCCTCCCCTGTGCACCTCCAGCATCTGAGGCCTGCCAAAAACAGGCGCTCTTTCTTCTTGCACCCTCACATTTCACTGCAGCTTCTACCTGAAATGTTCAGCAGCATTCTGCCACCCTTGTACCCAGAATCCCCTATCCACACAGAGCCAGCCAGGGGATGATTTGGACTTCCACATCCTATACCACCATAAAAGTGTGAGTAACGTCCCTGTCTGAAGTTTTCTAGCACATTGGCTTTTAGTAAAGCAGCTGAGGATGTGGTAGAGGGCAAAAAAAGGCATCAGGGGCTGCTGGAGAAAGAAGCACTCAGTGCCAATAAGCAAGGCTTTGCATCTACTTTCAGTTTTGAGCAGCTGACTTCTCAGTTTTAACAACAACAACAACAACAAAAACCTCCAGATGTTTAAAGGTAACCAAAGCTCTATATCCTTGTTGCTGATGCCATGAGGGATCCTCTAGCAGCCATGATACCTTTTGGCTAAGGACCTACCTGAGGCTTGCTGCCCCCATTGCCATCATAACATCCCTTCCTTCTACCATTTAGTAGAGAATGAACCTAAGCAGCATTCAGGAGGCTGGTTTTAATCTTACCTCTCACCATAAAGCCTCTAAACATCCATTAATAGGTAGAACATTGGGAAGATGCTTACTGCCTCCACCCTACCACTGGGGCAAGAGCATTCACTACCAGATCCTGGGGAGTGAGTTTTCACATAACCCCTAGCCCAGCCTATAGAAAACCTCATCCTTTCTATTCCAGAAATCCATGCCTCTGTTAGCACACCATACTCATTGCCAAAATTAAAAAACTGTACAGAGTCTAGTCTTGTTACCCTACTTTTAAATAACAAGTAATATGCTGTTTCAAGATTTACAGTGCTGGAAGAAGACAAAAGACTCCTGGATCAGAGACAAAGGTCTGTATTATTCATGTTAAAAACAGGAGCCAGGACGTCAGATTGATTTGCATCAGTTTTCCAGAGGCAAACAAAAGGACTCATTATGGATTCCAGCACTTACAATGGGTTGTGTTACAGGAAATAAAAAAGTAAAATAACTGAAATAAATAATTGACTAGAAGGGCTCAACAGCAGATCTGAGCTGACAGAAGAATCAGTGAACTTGAAGAAAGGTCAATTGAGATTATCCAGTCTGAGGAATAGCAAGTAAAGAATAAGGAAAAAAGAACAGAGTCTTAGACACATGTGAGATATCATTAAGCAAATCAGTGTCCAAATAAATTGAAGACATAAAATGAGAGAAGATAAAAGATGGAGCAGAAAATATTTGAAGAAACTGTGACTGAGAACTTCCCCAAATTGAAGGAAAGCATTAATCAAACTTCAAGTAAAATAAGCTCAGAGAGATCCATAACTGAAAATTTCATGGTCAAACTGTCAAAAGACAAAGAGAGAGAGATCTTGAAAGAACCAAGACAAATATGACTCATCATAGAGAAGAGATCCAAAATAAGATTAACATTGGACTTCTTACCAGAAACTGTGGATGCCAGAAGGCAATGGGATGCCATTTTCAAGATGCAGAAAGAAACAATCAACCAAAACTGTTGACCAAAACTATCCTCCAAAAATGTAAGAGATATAAAGGTGTTCCCAGATAAAAACTGAATGAATTGGTTGATAGCAGACTTATTCTATAAGAAATACTAAAGAGTCCTTCAAATTGAAATGAAAGAGCACTAAACATAACTGAAATCCACATGAAAAAATAAAGAACACTAGTAAAGATAATTGCAAGGCTAAATATTAAGGAAAGAATAACTGTATCTCTGTAACTAATTTTTCTTTCTGTTTTATCTAAACAATAACATCATAAAGCAATAATTATAAAATTGCTGAATGGACTTAAAATATTAAAAGATGTAATTTGTATGTTTTATGACAGTAATAGAACAAAGGCAAGATAGGAAAGAATAATATTGTAGACAAGTTTCATATACTATTGAAATTAAATTCATATTAATTTGAAATACATTATTTTAAAATGTTAATGTTAATTGGGAATTTCAGGGCCACAACTAAGAAAAAAACTCAGAAAATATAGTACAAGAATATGGTACATTTTAATCAAAAGAGGACTAACAAAAATACCTATTTAACAACAACAAAAAAGAAAGTAATGGAGAAATAGAGTAACAAAATGACATAAGACATGCAGAAAACAAACAGCTAAATGGCAGATGTAAATTCTACCTTATAAGATATTCATTAAACACTGGTAATCAGACATTCTAATCAAAAGGCAGAAACTAACAGATTATCTGAATGACCCAATTATATGTCACCTATAAGGATATACTTTAGATTCAAAGACACAAATAGGTTGAAAGTAAAGGATGAAAAAAACATGATGCAAGTGGTAACCAAAACAAATAAACAAATAAAAACTGAAATGGCTATAGTAGTATAAGACAAAATAGACTTTAACACAAAAATTGTCACTAGAGACAAAGAAGGGCATTTTATAATGATAAAAATGTCAAGCAAAAAGACGTAATTAAAAATATGTATGCACCAAACAAGAGAGTTCAAAAATACATAAAGCAAAACAGAGAGAACTGAAGGGAAAAACAGACAAATCAACATTAGAGCTGGAAACTTCAATACCCCAATTTCAATAATGGATAGAACAACAAGGCAGAAGAACAACAAAGAAATGGAAGGTTTAAAAATACTATAAATCAATTAGATTTAACAGACATGTAAAGAAAACATCACTCAACAACAGTAGAGTACACATTCTTTTAAAATACACATGAACCATTCTCCAGGATAAGCCATATTAGGCCAGAAAACAAGTCTCAATAAATTTAAAAGGATAAAGTCAGGCAAAGTATATTCTCGGCTCTCATTGAAATGAAACTAGAAATCAGTAATAAGATAAAATTTTAGAAATTAACAAATACGTAAAAATAAATGACACACTCCTAAATAATCAACAGATCAAAGTGAAAATCACAAAGACACACACCAAATATTTTGAGATAAATGGAAATGAACACTAAATTTTATGGGATATATACCAAAACTCATGAGGTGCAGATAAAGCAGCACTTAGAGGGAAATACATACTATTAAACCCCAATATTTTAAAAAGAAATAAAATCCCAAAACAATAACCCAAACTTATACCCTAAGAAACTGTAAAGAAAAGAGCAAATATAATCCAAAGCAGAAAATAAAACACCTTTAACAGAAACATCCAGGTACATGCATTGGGACTAATCAAGAAAACAACTGGACTGACTGAGAACAAACAAAAGCAGGGCAGGATGACAGCCCACCTGGGTGTCACACAGAGCCGGGGGGAGCCTCCCCTGCTCTGCTCACTCACTGAAGCAGTGAGTGAATGTGCAACCTGAGGAATCCACACTTCTTCCATGGATCTTTGCAACCCTCAGGTCAAGAGATCCCCTTGAGAACCCACTCCACCAGGACCTTCAGTCTGACATACAGAGAGCTATGTGGAGTCTTGGCTGAGCAGCCACTCAGGCACATGTGAAGGCCCAGGAGCCTTAGATACATTGGCTTTCTGGGCTTCCCAGCAAAAGCAGCTGCAACTTCAGCAAAATAGGAGGTTAGACCCCCCTGTACAGGCCCCTAGGAAAGGGGCTGAATCCAGAGGGCTGAGCAGCAACAGTCTGCAGGCCCTGCTTTTACAGTGTCTCACAGGATAATTGGCATGGAACTCCAGCTAGCCACAGGTAGCAGCTTGTGCCTCCCTTAGGTGGAGCTCCCAGGGGGAGGGGTGGGCTGCCATCTTTGCTGTTTGGGCAACTTAGCTGTTCCGGCCTTTGGGCTGGAGGCAACCAGGGGCTGAAGTGGACCCCCAGTACAGAGCAGCTGTCCTACAAAAATGTGGCCAGATTGTTGTTTTAAGCAGGTCCCCAGTCTTGTTTCTTCTCACTGGGTGGGACCTCCCAACTGGGGACTCTAGCTAGCACCACCAGTGTTTTCCAGCCAACAGAGGTTTCAAGCCTCCCTGCAACAGAAAGAAGAAATTGTGAGGCAGGCCACCATCTTTGTTGTTTGGGCAACTTAGCCATTCTGCCCTTCAGGCTTTGGCGAGTCCAAGACAATCAGGTGTTGTAGTGGACCCCCAGAACACAACCGCTCTACAAAAACATGACCAAATGGCCTTTTAATGCAGGTTTCCAAATTCCATTCCTCCTCACCGGGCAGAATCTCTCAGTTGGGATCTCCAGCCACCTCCTGCAGGTGTGTTCAGGCTGGCAACAGATAAGAACCACCCTGGGATGGAGCTTGCAGAGGGAGGGGCAGGCTGCCATTTTTGCTGTTTTGCAGCCTTCACTGTTGATACCTCCAGGTACTGGAAAATTCATGGTGACTAGGGACTAGAGTGGATCCCCTGTATACTGCAGCAGCCCTACAGAAAAGTGGTGCCTGTTCCCATATCTCCTTACCAGGCAAGTCCTCCAGGCCTAGGTCTCCAGCCACCCCTGCCAGAGCTATTCAGCCAGTAGTAGCTCTGCAACCCTGGACAGGGACAACTGAAAGCCTTTCTGCCACTGCCTCTGCAGTGGGACTGCCCTTGCTATCCTCAGACTAATGAAGGAGCAAAGACCCTCAGTGCCTTATTGACACCTCCAACAAGCTGCAGTCAATCCAAGGAGAGGAGGCCAGTCCATCTCCCATGGATCCCACCCACATCCCCTACTCATTACCAGACAGGGAACCCCCAGCTTGGGCCCACGGCACACCCTTTCCATTCTGGGCTGATTGCACTGAGCAATTGCTGACCTGCATCTCTCAGGGGTGGAGCCCCCAGGAAACAAGCAAAACACCCTTGGTCACAGCCACTACTAAAGTTCTGTCCTCTGCTGCCTTCAAGTTGGGGAAGGAACATAAACACACATGCACACCTATGTTCACCGCAGCACTACTCACAATAGCAAAGACATGGAATCAACCTAAATGCCCATCGATAGTAGACTGGATAAAGAAAATATGGTACATATGCACCATGGAATACTGTGCAGCCATAAAAAAGAAAGATATCATGTCATTTGCAGGAACATGGATGGAGCCAGAGGCTGTTATCCTTAGCAAACTAACACAGGAACAGAAAGCCAAATACCACACATTCTCACTTGTAAGTGGGAGCTACATGGTGAGACCTCATGAACACAAAGAGGGAAACAACAGACATTGGGGTCTACTTGAGGGTGGAGGGTGGGAGGAGGGAGAGGATCAGGAAAAATAACTCATGAGTACTAGTCTTAATGCCTAGAAGATGAAATAATCTGTACAACAAACCCCCATGACATGAGTTTACCTATATAACAAACCTTCACGTATACCCCTGAACCTAAAATAAAAGGCTAAAGAAAAAAAATCCAAAGCAAGCAGAAAAAATATAGTGGATATAAATGAAATAAAAATGAAAAACAATAGAGAAAATTAACCAGTAAAAATTTGGTTCTTTGGAAAGATCAGAAAAATTACTAAGCATTTATTTAGACAGCTCACAAAAAAAGAGAAAAGATTCAAATCACCTAAACCAGGAATGAAGGAAAACATAGCAATATCCACCCTGTAGAAATGAAAAGAATTATAAAGAAATACTACAAAAAAGTGTTTGCCAACAAATTAGATAACCTAGACAAAAGGAAAGAATTGTAGAAAAACATAAACTACCAAAACTGACTCATGGTAAAATACAAAATATTCATTGACTTCCTACAAAGAAAATCCCAAGTTCAGATGGCTTCACTGGTGAATTCTAAAACACACTTAAAGAATAATTAACAATTTGTCTGAGATTCTTCCAGAAAATGAAAGAGGAAGGAACATTTCTCAATGTATTCTATGAGACCAGTTTTATACTGAGGCCAAAACTAGCAAAAACATCACGAGTAGAGAAAATTACAGACAATGTTCCTTAAGAATAAAGATCAAATATCCTTAACAAAATAGTTATAAATCAAATCCAGGTACATATAAACAGGATTATGCACCATGACAAAGTGTGATTTACGCCAGGAATCCAAGGTTATTTAAACATCTGAAATTCAATGCAATATACTATATCAATAGAATAAAGGAAGGACAAAAACCATATGATCATCTCAATAGATACAGAAAGGACATTTGTCAAATCCACACTTTTATTATTAAAACCCCTCAATAAATTGGGAATTGAAAGAAACTGCTTCTAGATGCTAAACAGTTCCCATGAAAAATCCATAATTAACATCATATTTAATAGTGAAAGACTGAATGCTTTCCCCTTAAAATTAGGAACAAAACAAGTTATCCACTTCTTCCACTTCTATTCAACATTGTACTAGAGGTTTTACTCAACACAATGAGGAAAGAAAGAGAAATAAAAGACATCCAGACTGGAAAAGAAAGAGTAAAAATATTTCTATCTAAAGAAGACATAATTTTCAATATGGAAAATTCTAAGGAATACACAAACACACACACAACCTATTAGAACTAATAAACCAGTTCAGCAACGTTGCAAGATATTAATGTAAGATCAAAATACAAAACTCAAATGAAGTTTTATGAAACAGCAATGAACAATCCCAAAATGAAATTAATGAGACAATTCCATTTACAACGACATCAAAAACAATAAAATTATTAGGAACAAATTTAACAAAAGAAGTGCAAGATATGTACACTAATAAATACAAAATACTCTTGAAAAATGTAGAGAAGACTTAATAAATGGAAAGACACACTATGTTCATAGACTGGAAGATAATGATGTTAAAATGGTAGTACTCTCTGCATTGATCTACAGGGTCAATACAGTCTCAAACTCCCAGATGCCGTTCTGCAGAAATTTAAAAACCAGCACTAAAATTCATGTGAATATGAAAGGCATCCAAAATCACCAAAACAATCTTGAAAAAGATGAACACAATCAGAAGACTCACATTTCCTGATTTAAAAACTCACTACCAACCTACTGTAACCAAAACAGCATTGTACTCGCGTAAAGATAAACATGTAGCTCAATAGAATAGAATTGACATCCCAGAAACCCTCACAGTTATGGTCAATTGATTTTAACAATTCTGCCAAGGCAATTCAATGAGAGAAAAAAGTCTTTAACCACTTACAAATAAAAAGACAACTCATTTTAAAAATAGGCCAATAATTTGAATAGTTACTTTTCTAAAGAAGATAAACAAATGATCAATAAGCTCATGAATAGATGCTCGACATCATTAGTTATTGGGGAAAGCAAACCAAAACCACAATGAAAGCAAAAAACAGAAACAGTATCCACTAGGATGATTAAAATAAAAAAGAAAATGAATAGTGGTTATATAGACAAATAGAAGCCTTCATGTATTGTTGGTGAGAAAGTGGTGCAGCCGCTTTGCAATACAGCTTAATCATTTCTCAAAACATTAAACACAGAGTTACTATATTACCCAGCAACTCCACTCCTAAATATGTGGGCTTGAAGGTGTCCACACAAACAATTTGTCCACAAATGCTTATAGCAGCATTATTCCTAACAGCCAAAAAATGTAAACAACCCAATGTTCAGCAACTCATGAATAGATAAGTAAAATACGGTATATGTATACAAGGAAATATTATTTGTAAATTAAAAGGAATGAAGTACTAATACATGCTACAGCATGGATGAACCTTGAAAACTTTATGCCAAATGAAAGAAGCCAGACACAAAGGTCACATATTATATTATTTCATTTATATGAAATTTCCAGAACAGGCAAATCCATGGAGGCAGGAAGTAAACTAGCAGTTTCCTGGTACTAGAGGAGTTGGGAAGAATGGGAGTTGACTGCAGGTGGGGTTTTATTTGGTGATGATGAAAATGTTCTGAAATCAGATGGCTGCGATGGTCGTACCACTCTATGAATAAACTAAAAAACACTGGATTGTATGCTTTAAAAGAGTGATTCTGTTGTGTAAGTTGTCTTTTTTTTTTTTTTTTCTGAGACAGAGTCTCACTCTGTCTCCAGGCTATAGTGTAGTGGCACGATCTCGGCTCACTGCAACCTCCACCTCCTGGATTCAAGTGATTCTCGTGCCTCAGCCTCCCAAGTAGCTGGGATTACAGGCACGCGCCACTACGCCCAGCTGATTTTTTTATATTTTTGGTAGAGACGGGGTTTCACCATGTTGGCCAGGATGGTCTTGATCTCCTGACCTCGTGATCTCCCTGCCTCTGCCTCCCAAAGTGCTGGGATTACAGGCGTGAGCCACTGCGCCTGGCTCTAAGTTATATCTTAATAAACTGTTGAAAAAACGAACAAACAAAAAACCAACCAGCTCCTGAAATGCTACTAGGCTATGATAGAAACAGAGCTTTGGCCCATCGGACAGCAGGTTACCATGTGGTCAGAAGTCACTCTGATGGCCATCAAGTAATAAGGTCAAATGTGCTCAGCAGCAATCCATAGCACCAAATATGGGCTCTACAGTAAGTCCTAACTCTCACTCAGGCTAATCTAGCTACTGTCACAGCTGAATGTCTGCCCTGCCAGCAACAGAGACCAAGGTTGAGCCTCCAAACCATCCCGTCCCTCAAGGATACCACTTGGCCTCTTGGTGGCAGGTTGAGGATCTGTTTTGCACTCAAGTGATCAACTGGAATAGCTCCTGGTACTCCCACATCCAGTTTTAACTAAGTGGGTATGCACAGAAACCATAAGCTGATAAATCATGCTAAACTGGGCTTATGTTCCTCAGAGATGATGATATGAGTCAACCCACCAGACAATCCACCTAAACCAGCAAATGTGCTCACTGAGGGGAGGAGAATCTAGAATTGGTGAAGAAGCAGTGAAATGATGCATATCAGTTACTGCAGGGTTTCCCAATTTCAGCAATATTGACCTTTACACTGAATAATTATTGCTGTGGGGGCTGTTCTGTGCATTGCAGGACATAATGCCCATAGCAACCTCCAGATATGGCACACAAAAATTTCTCCAGACGTTGCCAAATATCCTTTGGGGGACAAAATCTTCCCTGATTGAAAACTACTGAGTTACAACCTCAGGAACAATGCATCAGCAAGGGTTTCAGTTTGTCTGAGTAACCCTCTTCTCTTTTAAGTTTTCCCAAAATGTGTGACCAATCAAAATACTGGAGAAGCTGCACCTGGGCGGATGAACTTGGAGTGAGAAGCAAATGGATCTGAATAATGCCAAGGATAGACTCTAGTGGGCACTGTTGGTGTCAAATCAAGACCAGCTTACTAACAGGTGCACATCCCCTCTCCCCACCCAATGCCCACCCACTCCCATGTTACTAGTTTTGTATGATAGCAACTCAAAGCTGCAACCTTCTCTTGAGAATTGACCTCTGCCAAAAATGAGACCTCCCATGCTGGAGAGGACACTCCTGCACACTCCTGCCTCCCTTTAAATGGGACTGATGCTAATGCAATTTGAGCTGCAGAGCTTCCCCAGGAAATCAAACTGAAGCTAGTTTCCAGGCAAAACTCTATGAGCTTATTTCCTCTGCCCACGCTCCTACATCCCTCTCTCCTCCTAAAAGTACTTAACCATGAACCTCTTGACCAAGAGTCTTCATCTTAGGCTCTGCTTCCCAGGACAAAAACAAGCACTTATTTAATGCCTATTATACTCAAGCATTTAACTAAGATTTTTTCTTACTTGATCTCATTTAATCCTCTGGGTAAGAGGTGGATGTTATTAATCCAGATTTATCCTGTTTTACAAATGAGGAAAGAGCCTCTAAGAAGTGAGAGGTGTCTAAGGTTTCACCCAAAAATTGCAGAGCCACCACTGGAATCCAGTCTGTGGTACTGGATACACTAGCATCTCTTTTCAGTTGAAAGATACTAAAGATAATATTTATAGTCCTTCTCTTAGAGGGACTGCTCCTGTTCTTGCCAGAGGATCTCCACAGTGTGTAAAAGACTGTTGCTTTCCATTTTATGACTCAGTTCACACAAGTTTAGTGTTGGAGACATTCATTAAATTTTGAGAGCTCCATTTCTTAGTATCAAATGATATGTCCTCAGGCAAGAGAGTATTTCTCAATTCCTGTAAGAGCTCATATGCTCTCTGGTTCTCAAGTGAGGAAAGGGAGTATGACATTCAGTATTAGCTTCTATTTTGAGGAATAGGGGGAGGATAATATGTGAAATTGCTCTCAAATGACTCTTATCATGGAAAATAAAAATAAATAAATGATCGTAAATTGTGTCAACATCTGATATTACAATCTCTTTTACTTAATTATGTAAATAAGAACTTGAAAACAATACGCATTGTGCATAAATCCTCTGGCAATTGAATGAGAGTCAAGTGAATTGTAAACTTGAAAACATAAGTTCTATGAGATTATCTCTAGGCTATTTAGGTGTTTTGATGTTGATGAATATAGTTATTTTAGCTAAAGAGTATTGTAACACACTTTTGCTTTAGTGAGAATGTGTGTCTTATTGTACATTTAAAGCAAAGACAGGCTAGTAAATATTATCATACTACTTTGGGGGTAGCTTTGCATTTTGATTGAAAAGCCACCAAGAGATATAATTTCTTCAAGTAGAAGGATATTTTGTTATTGGTGGCAGTGTTTTGGATCTTTTTAACTAATTTATGATGTGGTAACTATTTTTAGCATTAGATGAAATATAATTGGTGAGGTATTATAGAGCAGAAAATCCAGGTCAGTACAGGTTTTCCCCAATTCTAAGACCAATTTGTTTTGAGTAAGGTGTTTTTTTTTTTTTTGGAGTAGCAATTTTCCAGATTTTTCCATATTTTCTTGCTAGATAACAGGTACTTTTTCCATGGGCCACTGTACAGGCCTATGAGACCAAACACTAATGTAATATATATAATATGGTTTGGCTGTGTCTCCACCCAAACCTCATCTTTAATTGTAGCTCCCACAATTCCCATAGGTCATGGGAGGGACCCAGTGGGAGATAATTGAATCATGGGGTTGGGTCTTTCCCATGCTGTTCTTGTGAGAGTGAATAAGTCTCACAAGATCTGGTTTTATAAGGGGGAGTTTCCCTGAACAAATTCTCTCTCTTGCCTGCCACCAATGTAAGACATGCCTTTCACCTTTCACCACAATTGTGAGGTCTCCCCAGCCATGTGGAACTGTGAGTCCATTAAACCTCTTTTGCTGTATAAATTACCCAGTCTTGGGTACATCTTTATCAGCAGTGTGAAAACAGACAAATACAATATATAATCACAATAGTGGAGGGAAAGGCTTAATTTCAGGTAAAAAATAATTTTTAAACAGCCAATTTCTACTTGGCTGGAGGTTTCTCAATGTCCTTCCTCCTCCTCTTTCCCCCCTCCTCCCAGTTTACCACGCACACCTCAGAGTTACTGCTATCAGACATCACAATGTTCAGTTAGTGTCTTCCTATCCCTGCTGGCTACAAGAATTTCCAAACCCTCATCCATGAAAAATAAAAACCCCATCAACAGCCAACAAGACTTGAAAATATGAAAGGGTGACCCATACTCCTTCCAGAATTCCTGATAATTTGAATGAAAAAGCAAATAAATAAGTTAGATCTGTAAACAATTTGAAACTTTTAGATTAATGCATTATAAGGTATGGTTGTACGTAGAAAATGGAGGATGATAGAGTGGGAAAGAAAATACACAAAACTAGTTTAACTTGAGGAAGTTGGTCTAGGAGACTAGATACCTCGTCAAAACCACCTATTTTAACTTATTTCTCCTCATAATGTGTGACATTTTTACCAGCACCTCCCTTTTCCCAATGGCTGAACCTGAAACTGCATTAGTTAATTGGCACCAAGAGTACCTCAAAAAAATTTTGAGAATATTTTTGATATCTTAAATCATGGCTCTGTAATTTACTAACTATATTCTTAGAGCAAAGTCTTTAAAGAATTTGAGCTCCGATGTTCTCCATAAAACAGTTTTTTGTAGAGATGTGAGATAATAGAACTAGTAAGCCTAACACAGTTCCAGACAAATTGTAGTTTCAATGAGTTTTGTCTGTCTGAAGTGCGTGTTTGCTTTAAATCATTCATACCTTATTGTGAATTAATTTAATCAGAATGCTTTCTTCTCTAATGTGTACCTTTATTGAATAAATAAGAGTTTTGAGTGCATGAGGGGGAAGCTTAATGTGCCCAGAACAGCAGGGTATCAGTATCAGTATTTATGCCTGAAGGGTAGAGGAGAGTTGCCCACAGAAACAGGGAGGTAGGCAGAATGGAGTTACAGGGCAGCTATGGGAAATTACACTATTTTTGACTTTTGAGACTAGAAAGGGAGAGCAAATACATTCCTTCTATTCTCTCCCCACTTAAAATCCTCCTGCAACCAGAATCTAATATTTGGACATCTCATTGGTATCATTCTTCAGATACATTATACAACTTTTTCTGAGCAATTTGGTAATGACTTACCATCTGAAATGTTCTTTTGATAGAAAACAAAAGCATTCTTTCTTACAAATATTTGTTTCCCTAATGAAGTTTCGATGCACAACCTGTTTGTAATTGGAGACCGCAATTAAAATAGCACCTGATTAATATCTGTAATCTCCAATGCTGATCCCATTCAGTGATACTCTCTGCCTTGCACATTAATAGATTAGTTCTACTTTGAAAGAGTGCAGGCCTTCCATTGATCACTTTTGAGATTAGTTTTGACTTAGATTTTCTAGAACTCATTTCTAAACCATGAAGATATTTGGTTACACTCAATGGCTTCCATCTGTTTTTAAAATTATTGACTCTGCCTTCAGAATCTGAGTGCTAGAAAAAGTGGTCCAAATCTGACCACCAACATGGCTTCAGGAATATTCGAGAAAATTAAAACAAATAAAGTCACCACTCCTCATTTTTTCTAAGGCCAAAACTAAAGAAAAAGGAGTAAGCAGATTCCATGTCTTTATAACTGCTTTATTTCTGGGGAGAATCTTTACTCCTTACGTCATCCACCAACACGTTGAGAATAAGAGTTCAATATTTCAGGCTCACTGTCCATCCTCTCCATCACAGATTATCGTATGATAGGGTGTTATATGAAATCATCAGTATCTGACAACTCATTTCAATTTAGAGATGTTGTCTTTGAAATTCCTCCCTGTGTAAGGTTTTCCTCTTTGCTCCTTCTGTGTTTCTGTCAAGAATCCATTTATATGAAGAATATTTGACAGTGTTCATGTAATGTTGCAAATTCATTTGTTAATGGCACAACTTTAATGGAGAAACTACCAGAAAAACAAGCAAAGTGCAATCATTTAGTGTAATTGCAGTGATAAGATCCATGGAGTGTAAAAAGGAAAAATAATCATTGCACCAAGCCCATCAGAACACTGAGTGAGACTCCTTGAGACTCTGCAGAGCAAGAGTACAATAATGGGTCACAGTCATGGTCAATGGAAACATTCTCTTCCCCTGGGGGTGACTGAACATCACATAAATTTGGACATGCTATTTTTTCAAATATAAAATAAACTTGAAGAAACTTTGATATTTTCTTTGTTTCCTTAAGCACTAAAAACTATGCAAAATAGGAATATCAGAGATTAGTATAGCAATTCTGATTTTTGAAAGGATTTTTAAAAGGATAGCCCATGGAATATACTAAATAGAAAATGATAATGATGATATGAATTTATTTTTATTTTCCACAAGAAAATATTTTAAACAGGATGCCTAGTAGCTTGGCATGCTGCCAATATTTGACAAAGTGACAAACCAAATGGCACTAATAGGTAGAAATTTCAGAATCTTATACTAGAGGAAAATAGCTCTGAAAAAATAAGGCCCTGTAAGTGAAAACGGGGAACATGAGCAAAAAATAAAAGAGCCCTTAGAAAAACAAGTACTGGAAAATATAGGTATAAATCTTGCCTAAGCCCAAAGCAAACAGCCTCAATCTGAAAAAAAATCAGTTCCATACTTTAGAGCAGCATCAGAAGGAAAAAGTCTGATGTGGAGCACATTATTAGCACTCAGATCCTGCTCTGTTGCCTCTTAGTTCTGCTTTGGTCCTAAACAAAACAACTCTATTTGTTCATTCGTCCATTTATTCAGTTGCCATCTGTTTATCTATCAGGCATTGTATTAGACACCAAGAATGCTGTTGTAAGTAAGAAAAAATACAACAGTGAAAGAAACAAATAGGGAGATGCAAGACTGGTCGCTCATGCTACACTGGGAATAAATATATGATGCTATGGTAGATCATAGAAGGAGTACAAACCCTAGGCTTGGGCTGTCAGAACTTTTTTTAAAGAAAAATCAGAAAGAATAGTCCAAGCGTATAAAAACACATGTGTAAAGGTCCAAGGATGGAGACGGAGGTAGAGATAGAGATAGAGGTAGAAAGAGCTGGAGAGATAGGCAGAGAGATGAAAGAAGTGTATAATGGCCAGAGTTTTGCATTTCATAATAGAGAGTCGCAGAAAAGGCAATAGAAACAAGCCGTGACAGGATAGTTTGGAATACTTTAATTGTAAATCTCAGAAACCAATTTCAAACCAACTTAAGCAAGAAAGGAAAAAGAGGAATTATTGGAAGTATGTCGGTATATCTCATGCATAAATTGTACAAGCATACTATGGGAAGAGAAGGAATATACCTGGGTCTCAAACAACTAAAAGGAGAATTAAATATCATCAAAACTATCTTTTGCTCTCAGCTCTGCTTTTAAGGTCTGCTGGCTTCATTATTCTCATGGCTTTGGCCCAGTCACAGAAAACAGGCACCAATAGCTCTTGAGTTTTATATCTAGGATTCAACCTCTAGAGAATGAAATAGATTATCTTTCTTAGTTTCAGCTTCAGAAATTTGAGGAAAGGGCCGGGCGTGGTGGCTCACACCTGTAATCCCAGCACCTTGGGAGGCTGAGATGGGCAGATCACGAGGTCAGCAGATTGAGACCAGCCTGGCCAACATGGTGAAACCCTGTCCCTACTAAAATACAAAAATTATCTGGGTGTGGTGGTGCATGCCTGTAATCCCAGCTCCTTGGGAGGCTGAGGCAGGAGAATCGCTTGAACCGGGAAGTGGAGGTTGCAGTGAGCCAAGATCCTGCCACTGCATTCCAGCCTGGGTGACAGAACAAGACTCTGTCTCAAAAAAAAAAAAAAAAAAAAAAAAAACAAATTAATAAATAAATTTGAGGAAAGTATGCTAATACAATTATTGTTTCTCTTCTTTAGTTCAACTCTTCTATGTGCCAGGCATTATTTGATGTGCTGGGTACATGTGATGAACAAGACAGGTAAACCTATGCTCTCATGGAGTCCACATACTAGTAGGATAAAAGAGGCAGTAAACAAGCAAACAAATTAACGCATGAGCAACACAATTGTACGTAGTGCTAAGTGTCAATAAAGAAATAAAACAGAAAGCTGATAAAATGATTGTGTGAATAAGAGAGGGGAAAATTGATGGGTATCACCAAGGAGGTGATATTTGAAACGAGCTCCAGTCAGCTTGAGATAATTTCAAGGAGCAGAGAGTTTAGGGAAAGGAAGCAGCAAATGTTAAACTCTGATAGAGAAAACAGATTTCACATGTTCAAGAAACAAAAAGGTCAGTAAAGTCCAGTGAATGAAGAGAATGGTGGTCGGAAATTGGGCTGAGACAAAATCAGGAACCAGAAGATGTACAATCTATGAGCCTTGTAAAATCAATTTTATTCTAAGTGAAGAAAGTCAAAACAGGGATACCAGTTATAAAGCTCCGGCAGTGATTTCGGCAAAAGACACGGGTGACTTGGACTATAACAGCAGTGGAAGTGGGGAGAAGTGGGATGGATCTGGAAAATATTTTGGGGATAAGACCGAAAGAGCTTGGTGATGGATTGGATATAAGAAAGTAAAGAAGAGAGAAAATTCCTAGGTTTGGAGCTTAAGTAAGCAACTGGATGGTTAATGAGACCATTTACTAAGATGGAAAACTCCAGAAGAACAAGGTAATGTTTAGAGAGTGGGCTGCATGAGCCGGCGTGAAGAGGCAGGAATTATTTTTGGCTATGTTAGGTTAGGTTGTAATACCCATTACACATTCAAGACAGTTATTAAAAATTCAGATAGATACACCCCTGGGAGATAACACTTGTAAGCATTCACATTTTCCTACTCTTCTTATGTCTCAATGGATAGTAACTATATCAGTTGGGGTAAAGCGGGGCAACAATTTTCAGAAGGATAGGAAGATGGCAGATACACATGCCAAGTACAAATGTATACATACACACAAACACACACACATGCACATGCGCATATATTGTGGCTATATAGCTATCTGTATCTATGTATATGTATATAAATTCAGTTTGGGCAGGAAAATAGCTCATGGTGGAAGCAAAAGGAGAGGCTGCACACAATAGAGTAAGGGAAGTGTGTGACTGGGTTGCGCTACATGCCCCTTCTAACAGCATTGGAGTCAACAATTCATCCTTAACTCAGAAGCTATCAGCAGTAATGGGGGGAAGGATTAGATGAAATAAATATGTATTGAACACATACTATGAGCTCAACTGGATGCACACCCTTATCCACGCAACTATAGGTAACTGAGTTTAAAAGTTCAGTCTCTACTGAACTTTTAAAATATCTCCTCTCATCCAAAAAAAACACAAAAAACAACTTGCCGAAAAAGATGGTTACCATTTCAAATCCTGAGGACTTGTCAGGAATGTCCTACACAGTCAACTCTTTCTGCCTCATCCACCAAGGACATTCATAATTCCGACAAGATGTCTCTGTCTTTCAGAACATCCCTGCAGGAGGTTGTCAACTTTTAAAAATGGTGCCCTAAATAGAAGGCGGGAGAGTAGTTAATGTGCTTGTTTTCATGGATTAAAGTTCATGGAAAAACTCTGGACTCCTCCCCAAACATTACTGAGAACTGGTGTGACATGCAATTCATCCTGGCTCCTGTTATTTTCAAAAACATTGCTCTTCCTTAGAAATCTCTTTAATGAATGCTTGCTCCTGGGCTGATTATCCTCTCCCTTGGCAATCCTTTTTGCATTTGTGTAATTTAGTTAATGGACATATGTTAACTATCTACATTTGTGCTTAATACGTAATAGATGTTCAGTTGACAGAAGCAAATTGGGAAACTTGTGTAGTTAGTGTCATTTTCTTAGATTTTAAAATGTGAGTTTTATAAAAGCTGATTCCCTAATTACATATCGTATGCTCTATGCTATGTCATAAATGTTGGCAATTTATCCTTTCTGCCTATTTTGTTAATCACTTTTTCCAAAGCTTTCCTGAAACAGCCCATGGTGGTAAGCCACATACATCTATTTTGCAGACAGTAATCCCCACTACCTCGTTCAATACCGTACCAAAGATGGTGCTGAAGTTATCTTTTTACCTGAAAGGAGCCAGGAAAAAATTAGTTATTTCCTTTAAAAATTTTGTAAGAAGTGGCCGGGCATGGTGGCTCATGCCTGTAATCCCAGCACTTTGGGAGGCCGAGGCAGGCGGATTGTGAGGTCAGGAGTTCAGGACCAGGCTGACCAACATGGTGAAACCCCGTCTCTACTAAAAATACAAAAATTAGCCAGGCATGGTGTCACATGCCTGTAATCCCAGCTACTCTGGAGGCTAAGGCAGGAGAATTGTTTGAACCTGGGAGGCAGAGGTTGCAGTGAGCTGAGATCATGCATCTGCACTCCATCCTGGGTGACAGAATGAGACTCTGTCTCAAAATAAAATAAAATAAAATAAAATTGTAAGAAGTATTTTTTTCTTATAGTAAAAATATGATTTCTAGTCATATTTTAGAATAGAATTCTATCATTTCCATTTACAGGAGCTTTTATCAGTATAAGAATAATAGATTACCACCATAAGAAACATGGAAAACATAAAGCAATAAAACCTGGAGTCAACTGTATATCAGCCCTCTTCTTTTTGAGGCATGGAGCCCAGTTCTCCTGGCCCCTACCCTTAAGAGTGAGCAAACTCATCAAAGCACCTCAGGACATAGCATAGCCTGTCTTTTGACAGATGGGTGCCTGAGAAACTTGTACTTTTAAAGCTGTATTTACATTACAAAGCCATAACTTGTTTTTGACAGCCAGGTTTTGTAGCAGTTCACTTTAGTTGTCACATTAGGAGTTCATTTTTGACCCGACAGTCTGTGCCAATATTTGCTTTTGTCAAATTTGACTTGTCAAAGTGGAAACTATATCAAAACTCCATAACACAAGTGACAGTAATTAAACCAACTAAAAAAATAATTTCAACTTGTAATGCATTTTGCTCATATAAATGTGTATAAATAAAATATCCTTTGAAAAAATAGTCAGATAATAATGAATAAAGTGGGATTTAGCAAGATTCAGGCATAGAAAGGATCAACCAGGTATATTATATACGTATTTCCAAAATAACAATTCCTTGAATACATTAAATGGCCAGCTGATTGAAAGATATTTTAAAGAATTTTGCTACTTGGATTTGTGCATATTTATAATAATAAACACATTTAATTTGTGTGAATTCCATGCATCTAGACTTATGGCAAATCTACATCAAGAGTTTGCACTCCACCACAAAAAACAAACAACTGAGAAATCTATAGCCATAGTTGTAGACATGTTTTAAGGAAGCAGTAATAATATATTTAACTTTTCACTTTAATACACAAGTTACTATTTAGTGACCCATCTATAAATTTGTCAGTGATATGGTTTGGTTTTGTGTCCCCACCCAAATCTCACCTTGAATTGTAGTAATCCCCACATGTCAAGGGCAGGACAAGGTGCAGGTAATTGAATCATGGGGGTGGTTTCCCCCATGCTGTTCCCATAACAGTGAGTGAGTTATCACAAGATCTGATGCTTTTATAAGGGGCTTCACCCTTCACTCAGCACTCATTCTCTCTCCTGCCACCCTGTGAAGAGATGCCTTCCACCATGATTGTAAGTTTCCTAAGGCCTCCCCAGCCATTCAGAACTGTGAGTCAATTAGAGCTCTTTTCTATACAAATTACCCAGTCTCAGGTATTTATTCATAGCAGTGTGAGAACAGACTAATATAATCAGCCTATAAACTCCAGGAAAAATTTCATTCTGCAGCATTTGAATTAGGTGCTTCTGCTGATAAGTGGCTTCTCTTACAGGGAATGAAAATGGAATGAGCTCTGGAATCATAACCATGATTCATAACCATGATTTGCTCACAGATAAGCAAAAACAACCAAGTTGCTTTTATAATTAGGCCACTAGGTAAGACAGTATTTGAGGATTAAGACTGAAAGCTCATAGAAGACAGGAGCCAGGTCTCCTTCCTTTATAGAATGAATTTGAATGAGTAGTTAACAAATACGTAAATGCTATGTAGATATGCTGTTTTTCTTGCTTTTGTTTTCTCTAGATAGCTTTCATTCTTAGATGAGCATGGGTAACAATAACTTCCTAAATTTTCTTTGACCAACCATTACTGGTCTTCACCAAGGACACAAAGAGGGAAATTAACTCAAAGAATGTTAATTAAATTTGGTCATTCCGAATTTATGCATCAAAAACAGACAATCGATATGCCAAAAACAGGAATGGAATCACAAATTATAGGCGTGCAGCAATTGAGAATTGACATAACCCTGAGAAAGGCTAATTATCAGCAAAAGCAGCTAATTCAAATACTGCAGAATGACACTTTTCCTATAGTTTATAGACTGGCACATTTATGTTATGAGTCACCAAAAAATAACGTGTTTATTAAAGTAAAAAGTTAAATATATTATTACAGAGTCCTTAAGACAATGATTTGGTAACTATGACTTACATATTTATATAGCTTGGATATAATGAAAAAAGAGAATGCATTTCATATATTTATGTAGGAAAAACTGTTAAAACAATTAGAATTAAGTGTAAAAAAGAAAGGAACAGTCTAAGAGAAAAATGGCCATTGTAGAAGTCTATTCAATTACATAGAATTTTATTCTATTTTATGATACATATGTATTCTATTACAATCTCATTTTATATAAGTGGGTTTCAAAACATGCCATAAGTTTTTCTCTTATGTCATAGAATGAATATACTCCAATGTGAGATACATACTATCCCAACACACAATCTCTAGGCCCTGGGTCATACTGCGTTGCATCTGAGTGTGCTTTGAAATTACACAGTTTGGGTCCAAATCCTGATTCTGCTACTTACCTTGTACAACTTTGGACAATGTCCTTAAAACTCTCTGTACTTGATTTCTTTTATCTGTAAAAGGGGAATAATAATATTACATACCTCACAGCATTGTTGGGGAGGTTAAATCATTGAGAACAGACATTAAGTGCTCAATGATTGCCATTGTGTTACAGAAATGATTGGGTGTTATTTTCATAGAATAAAGGAATGGCTAAAAATTTTAATGTACATGTATGTAATGCCTGGAAACACAGCTTATGTCACAATCCTTTTGGTAATATTTGGTCAGTTTTTTTATGATAGCTTCACACTATAACTCTTTAATTAGACACTGTGGAAAGCAATATATGACTGGTTATTTCTGCCTATGTTTTTTAGAGTCCTAAGCATAAAAGCGCCCTGCAGAAATTCCTCCTTTGTTTAGTAGAGGTATCAGTAGAAAGGAAAAAGTCCCTGTGTTAAAACACAATTAATAATCCTTTAAGAGATACATGGGTCATACTAGTCACAAAATAATTCTAAAGTGTCAGGTTCAGAAATCAGATGGAACCCCTTAATTTTATAAACGAGGAAAAAGAATCAGAGAGATTAAATAGCTTGCCCAGAGTTACTCAGCTGGTTAGTTGGAGGCAGTGTGTCACAGTTTATTAGGAACATTTTATCACTAACCGGGTGACCTCCAGCAAATTATTCAACTTCCCTGAGTCCCCTTGTCTTCATTGGTATAATGAGTAAAACCAACCGATATGGTTGTTGGAAAGATTAGAATAATATACTACACAGGTAACATTCAAGCAAGCTTCCATGCAGCCCCATGCCCTCCTGTGACCCAGAGAGGAAAAGAGGAGTGTGCTCTGCCAGATAGAGAAATAAATGAGTGCACATTATCGTAATTGCAGAAAAGGAATGCTGCAAGCTGTCAGTAAAGAACTGGGAGGTAGAGTTGCTCTAGTAGTTTAGAGATCACCAAAAAACGAGACCTTTTTGTAGCCTTTCAATAGATATTTATTGGGCACTTACTTCCAGGTGCCAGCTACTGTTCCAGGCACTGGTAATACAGCAGTGAAGAAAACAAAAATTCTGCCCTATGGAGCTTGCACTTTAGCGGGGGAGGAGATAGAGATCATAAGCAAATAAGAATTAGATAATGTGTTAAATTGTGATAAGTGCTCTGGAAAAACAAGGCAAAGAAAGGGGTTAAAAAGTTACTGTGTATAGGGAGGAGGGTGTGATGAACTCTAAATGAGATGGTCAAGGATGAGTGAAGAACAAAAGTTTCTTGAGTAAAACCACTTTAGAAGTCATTGCTTCACAGTATAGGGAAAATATCTCAGGAAGATGTAAAAAGCTCTGATTTCTGATGTATTTAGAGTTTTATCGATAAAGATATTTATCCAAGCTTTGTTTTATGATAGCAAGACATGTAAATAACACAAAGCCACAACTGAAGAGTTTGATTCTTCATAACACCATGTTAATGTTTTTAGATTATGTCATGTTTAAATTAGATATGTATCCTTTCTGTCTTATTGAAGGCATTTGGAAGAGTTCTGGTTTCTGGGAATTTTTTTTTTTCTTTCTTTTTTTTTTTTTTTTGAGAGAGTCTTCCTCTGTCTCCCAGGCTGGAGTGCAGTGGTGTGATCTCAGCTCACTACAAACTCTGCCTCCCGGGTTCAAGCAATTATCCTGCCTCAGCCTCCCGAGTAGCTGGGATTACAGGCACCCACCACCACACCTGGCTAATTTTTGTATTTTTAGTAGAGATGGTGTTTCACCATGTTGGCCAGGCTGGTCTCAAACTCCTGACCTCAAGTGATCCGCCTGCCTCGGCTTCCCGTAGTGGTGGGATTATAGGTGTAAGCCACCGCACCCAGCCTAGAACTTTTCAGTCTAATATTTTAAATATTTTAATTTTAATAACTTAACTTCAAAACAATACTCGTTTCTGGTAGAAAATGTAAGAAAATAATGCAAGTGTTTTTAAACAACCAAAGTACGTATGAAAAAAAATTACACAACCTTTTAGTGTTGTGTGATCGAAGAATAACACATGGTTATGTGCCCCATCCATAGATTTGAAGCCATATATAACGTACACTCCTGAGTTCTTAAGTACGCTTTTCTCAAATTAGAAAAGAACAGAATGGTATTCCGTAAAATGTTAAAATGTTGATAGCATTTCTGTTATGAAGGTGTGACAGAGGTTTTTATTTTTTTAAAAAATTTTATCTTCTTACATTTTTCTACCAGAAAGAAGTATTGTTTTGAGGTGAAAAAAAAGTTATTACAATTAAAATGTTAAATTGCAAAGTTCCAGACACCAAAACCCTTCCAAATGCCTTGGATAAGACCTAAACATGAAGTATATCTAAACCTGACATAACCTAAAAAGAACATTAGCCCAGTGTTATGAAGAATCAACAATTTAAAATTATGTTGACAGGTCAGAAGAAGGGCTAAAGGCATCAAGATGAATGTTATTAAAAATTACTGTAGGATGGGTGCCGTGGCTCACGCCTGTAATCCCAGCACTTTGGGAGGCTAAGGCGAGTGGATTGCCTGAGGTCAGGAGTTCGAGACCAGTCTGGCCAACATGGTGAAACTCTGTCTCTACTAAAAATACAAAAAAAATTAGCCAGACATGGTGGCATGGGCCTGTAATCCCAGCTACTTGGGAGGCTGAGGCAGAGGAATTGCTTGAACCAGGGAGGTGGAGGTTGCAGTGAGCCAAGATCGTGCCACTGCACTCCAGCCTGGGTAACAAAGCGAGACTCAGTCTCTAAAAAAAAAAAAAAAAAAAAAAAAAATATATATATATATATACACACACACAAACACACACACACACACACATATATATATATAAATCTAAAACCCCATTTGGATTTTTTAAAAAATCAATTAGAGAATTACAAAGCCAAGGATTCCATCTTGACAACAGTACATGCAAAGAAAAACCTGAGGGTATTAACGACCACAAGCTGAACGTGAGTTTCTAGTGTGATGCAGTTGCCTGGGAGCTAATGAATACTTACATTCATTAATAGGATTCTGGTGCCAGCACAGCAGACATAATTGTCCTACTGTGGTCTATACTGGCCAGATAAAATTGGGTCCCCAAAGAGGCGCAACACACTGTAAGTTGCTTTTCTCTTTCACAGCACTAGTCACAGTTGCAAATCATTAATTTATGTGACAGCTTGCTTAACACCTTTTCTCTCTGCAGGTCTGGAAGTTCCCTGAGGGCTGGGACTGTGCCTTTATTGTTTACTGTTTTATCTCCAGTGTCTAGCATAGGCTGTCATAAACTATTGCAGTTTGTTGTTTTGAGTATTGTTCAGTTCCAGTAGCCTCATCATTTATTCTATTTAACAACACTTACATGGTGTTTATATGTGCCAAGCATGAGTCTAAGTCCTATAGCTATTGACTCATTACTCTTCACTGCAACTATGTGAGGCAGGTAGAAGAGATCACTGCGATACAGAGGGATTAAAAACTGTATCCAAGCTGATCAGCGTTGGAAGTAAAAATCTGAACCTAGGCACTCCACACTCTGCTTACACTCCAAAACAAAACTTTAAAAACTAGATTCCACCTATATGAGGCTGGCCAGAAAAAGACTGAGAAATATCATATTTGAAATGTTTGAAATAAATGGACATATTTGGCTAAAAGCAAACCAAAAACAGAGATAATATGGTCATTTGACTTCAAATTTAGAAAAGCTTCCACGTAAAACAGAAATGACTAAAATTAATGAAGTCTCCCGTGTTCAGTCTGAACCTGCATGCTGATTGCTGAATCAGTCGCAGTTTGTGCCTACTGTTGCAACACAATTGTTAATAGCACCCTCTTTCGTTCATAAGAATGTTCTAATTTGGATAATCAATTATTATATGGTCACCAAATTCATGGCTTAAAAGATTACACATTTTTAGCACATCTGACCATCACAGAAGTCCTGTGTAGTTGGTATTAATATTATTATACTATTCTCCATTCTTTAGCCTAAAAAAATATAGACTTGTTCCAAAATTCTTCCACCAATGAGTGGCGGAGCTGTGACTTGAATCCTGATACGCTGGTCCAAACTATTCTCTGGCTACTCTGCTGGGTAATTTGACCAGTTCTGCCTTGCTACAGAGTGCCAAGCTAGGATAAATGGCTGGAAATTCCAGAGAGTAAGATTTATCTGCAATGAAGCACCATATGTAATGAGTTTTTACGTTTAAAAAATTGACTTAATGAGTGCTCTTGCCTGGCCAAAAATCCCCTGACCATTTTCTGGATGGACAGGTGACAAGGGTTTTACCCAGGGACCTCTTGCACCAATTGTGACTTGCATCACTACCTCTGAGCTTCTCAGAATGTGGAACATACATTGCTAATGGTAAATGAACTATTAGAGTGTCATGAAATGATTTTTAGAACTCCACAGATGCAGCATTCAAAATCACTGACCTTCCTAATGAGACTTTTCAATTCCCTTTTTAATTATAGTTTCACTCCCTCCATTACGGCCTAAGGGAAAGCCTCAGATTGGTGCCATAATACTTTTCAAACATGCTAACCTACCTTTCAACCAAGAGAGCAACAGGTTCTAGAATGCAGGGGGCAATAATATCCAGTTAACCAGATCTGATACTCTTGTTCTACTTTCAAAGAATTTATTCTAATTTTAGTTTCCCATTTATAGCAATGATAAAAATTTCTGTAAATAAGTCAACTTACATCAAAATATTTCATACCTTATATTAGAAGATGTGGAAGGAAAAAAATGCTCCCCACCCCAGGATGTCCACATCCTAATCCCCAGATCCTGTGAATATGTTATCGTACATGACAAAAGGGATCTTGCAGATGGGATTAAGGTTAAGAACCTTTGACATGGGGAGATTATTTTGGATTACCTAAATGTGCCTGTTGTGATCATATGAGTTTTGAAAAGTGGAAAACCGTTCTCAGCTGTTGTTAGAAAAATATGTGACGACCAAAGAGTCATCAAGATGCAATGTTGTTGGCTCTGAAGATGGAGAAAGAGGGCCACCAGCCAAAGAATGTGGGTGGCCTCGAGAAGATAAGGCCAGGAAACCTATTCTCTCCTATGGCCTCTAGAAAGGAACAAAGCCCTGCCAACACTGTGATTTTAGCCCATAAGATCCATGTCCAACTTTTGACTTATAGAATTACAAGACAGTAATTCCATGTTGCATAAGCTACCAAATTTATGACAATTTGTTAGGCAGCAGTAGGAAACTTATGAAGAAGGGTATAGGCACTACCCATTATATCCATGTAACAAAACTGCACTTGTAACCCCTAAATTTATACAAATGAAAAAAGACAGGTATAGAGATAGGTGAAGTTATGAGGGTGGTGTTTAAATGATTGAAGTTTGGAAAATAATTATTCTAGATGATTCATAATGTCCCTTCAAGTTTAGAGATGCTCTGATCATGTTCCATCATCTGTCAGACTTCCGTTCCTCCCAATAGCTAGTTGTGTTTCTTGTGCTTTCATAGATGTTCCAAAAAGTCATTTTAAAACAGTGAGACTTATTCACAGGAAACTTGATCTTGTTTGAAAAAGTAGATTGTTTTTCAGGGATGCAGTGTTGGCAATGTATACGCGGCAGTCTTATTTCCAATTACACAATTTTTATATAGATTTTCTTATGTTAGATTTATCTATTTGCCTCAAATTAGTGAGTTTTATTGTCCACACATCACAATATTTGTTAAAAGTGCAAAACTATGCTCCTGGATTCTGGAGATTCTCAATTTCTGTGTTAATCTAAGAAATTTCTACTCTGATTGTTTGAAAAGCAATCAAAGTTTACCAATAAAATGGAAGTTGGTTCTGATAGTATTTGGTTTGTCAGCGTTACATTGTAGGAAAAAAAATTAGGTTTAACCAAGTCTATTTTCTCCACCTTGTTTTGTTCTGCCATTTTGAAAATTCACAGCCTACAAACTCACGTTGATTATATTAATACCTGAGAACACCTGGGTTTATGTTAGAATTAACCATTCACCATTCATCACTTTCTGCTTTGATTTCATTACCCATGTTGAGAAATGTGAAAAGAAAGGTTAATCAGTGAGAGGAAAATGTGTGCCCTCCACATTGTGTGATTATACCTTACACATGTAATCTGTAGACCAATAAAGCAGAACACACAAATAGCCAGTGAATACATAATCAAATTCATTAAGATAGAGCCTGTCATCTTATAATGTTAGTCAAATGCTATTCGACCAATTTGTCTAAAGCAGCTAATGGGGCAAATTGATGTTAGCTGATCTTGAATCTAAAGAGAGGCAATATTCTACAATTAGAGGATTAAAAAAATTTTTTTTCATCATTCTTACATTTAATTCATTTATCTTGAACAAATGTATTTTAATGCTAATGCCACTGAAATAATACCTGAAAGCAGATTTGAAAATGGCAAGCTGTAATTTATGGTGACTCTGGAGGGGTGGAATGGCTACAAGATCTCCAAAAATGCCTGCTAACAAATGGTCAGAAAAGTGTTGACCAGAACACCACACTGATTCATTGTGTTCAGAGCACTAAAGTGCCATACCTCACTCACACACTACAAATTGTAATAAGAATAGAAAATTGATCTTTTCCCCTGGAGGAAAAAAAAAAACAAACCTGAAGTCAATCAATTTTCACCTCAGTTTTAAGAAGAAAATGTCAGACTCCTTTAGTCAAGAGTGACTGGACTATGTATTATCCTTGATCCATATTATTAGGAAATATATATTCTGGCTCTCTAACAACTGAACTATCCACATGATACAAGGTTAATTTTCAATTATCAGACTTTCACCACTGAGAAGAATGTAAAATATCCTTTTGCTTTTCTTTTTAATATGTGTTATTCCTGTCATAAGTAGTAAGTCCTTTGAAACCATTTGGCATTTGTTTTAGAGCAGAGCTAATATTACCAGAATCCTGGGTTCTAGCACATCATTAATTAGTTGATAATTAATATAGGATTTGTGGCAGTAATCTTACAGATTAATTACTTCTAAATTCTCTTTGATATGTTGAACTTTATAAAATGTATTTTTATGGCCATTGCCTCTTCCTAACATATCCCCAGTTTCAGAGAGAACTAAGAGAAACCTAATAAAATTACCTAACACTGCCCATCTTCACCCGGTTTATGTTGCATTATAATATTAGATTTTCATTCCCAGGAAGCAAGAGCTTTCTGTTTAGACTTATACGATAGGGCTTGTGTTTCTTGTTTCACTGGATATCCTCAGTGGATAGTGTTAAAGAAACTATACACATACAGTTATATACGCCTACTTTAAAAACACCTGAGAAAGCTGTTTATTTTATATTTAAAGAAAGAAAATGAGTTGACTTAAAAGTGAGCAGGTAAACGTCTTCTCAAGACCACTGCTTTTGTTTCAAAGACTGAAATTCAGTTTGCCTAGACAGTCTCTTTTCTGCATCTGTAAAACATCCTTAGTTCCAGGAGTTGTGCTGTATTAGTTGGTTTGAGGAAAAGCTGATCCAATTATATTTGTGTCTTTAAACATGAAATTGAAAAATATCTTAAGGGTTGAGGTGCTCGCTAGAGTCAGGGGACACTATATTAACTTCTAATTACTTTATGGTTCGTACACTTGCCTAGATAATCAAGTTTTTTGATGAGAATACACAAATACTTAAACATAAGCATATATATTATTTGATTTTTCTATTATGTCAGTTTGAAGTGCTGGAAGCCTTTTCCAGAAAAAAAAATTCTCAAAGATGGTTCTTAGTAATATATTTGATAGAAACACTAAATAACTCCAATAAGCCTTAGAGATACGTACTTATTTATGGTTTGTTTAGTATAAATCAATAGTTATGTTTTCAGTGAGGATAAGATACTAGATGCATGCTACATTTATAAACTATTAGCACTGTTTTAAAAAGGCAATAAACTCACAGCTGCTTCCAAGACAGTATATAATTAGATGTTAATATTTAACTTAGTTTGCTCACCAGCATTGATTTGCTATTGCTGTTGTTATGACTGCTTCCAGGTGGTTGTCTGCTTTAAAGAAATACACAGTTAAATTAGTAAGAAATACACAGTTAAATTAGTTCAGGAATGATCTATGCCTAAATTATATTTGTACTTTTATTTTTATTTTGAAGTGCCCTGAAGTGAATCATTTCATTTGGCACCTGAAAGTAATAGCATGGCTTCTCCTTGCCATGTGTCTCATTTCTCAAAATATCAGTCAACAGAGAAAGCAATGTGATGATCGAACCTCTCCAATAGAGATGGCTCTTGCACAAATGTTCTCCTACACAGATTGCCAAACTGAAGCCTGGCACATTATTATCAAAAACAATGCATTTTTGGCCTTCTTTGTGACGTCTTCTCCAATTTTAATATACAGAATCCTTTCTTATAACCGGAAATATCCTATGAAGCAAAAGGGACAGGCTTTATCATTGGGGTAATTTAACATTATGCTTCTTACATGGATTTTTGACAGATTTTTACTCAGACTTAAGGTGAACATTCCAAAACTCAGTATTCTTTCAAGTATTTCACATCTCTAAGGGTCATTCCACAATTCTGCACAATGCATTCTTTTTGAATCCCAAAACTCTTAACCCAGCTCAGTTTAGAACCCATGAGCAATTTACCTTTGGATCTGCTCTGTTCCTGTGCACCTCTTCTTGGAATATAAATTTCTGAGCCTCAATGTGCCCTGATGCTGTTCTCTTCTAGAAGAAAGAAAACATTACTATGATGAAGCTAAAACTTACAGGAGTTAGATGATCGTATATTGCCGCTTCTTAAATTCCTTGCTTTGGTTTGTTTTACAGGTTTTGTCCATTTGGGTACTGACTACATAGACCATATTTATGGGACTAGCCTGGTTCATAGTCTGAACAGGTAACATCCTAAAAGGTGTGACTGCAGGACCCAAAGATGGCCACCCTCCCATCACCAAGAGACCCTTTTCCTTACCCTCCCTACCCAACCTCTTCACTGCTGCCTGGAATGCCTGTTAGCAAAGGATGAATTTATTTTCAGTGCACAATGAATGCCAGGTTGAAAATCCAAATAGTCTTGCAAAGAATCACAAACACCGTAAAAATTAGATGTGCAGCCAAGCGTGGTGGCTCACGCCTGTAATCCCTGCACTTTGGGAGGCCGAGGTAGGTGGATGGCTTGAGCTCAGAGGTTTCAGACCAGCCTAGGCAAAATGGCAAAACCCTCTCCACAAAAAATTAGCTGGGTGTTGTGGCAAGGGCCTGTAGGAGACTAAGGTGGGAGGATTGCTTGAGCCCAGGAGGTTGAGGCTGCAATGACCCATGATAGTGCCACTGCACTCTAGCCTGGGTGACAAAGTGAGACCCTGTCTCAAACAAATAAAAAGAAATTAGATAATTAGATGTGCTCTTGTGTGTAGATTTTACTAAGAGACAAGATGTGAGGACATAGAATGCTTGTTACTTCAGATGAGAGAAACTGGCATTAGGTAAGACAAAAGAGAGACTGAGTGTGAAACAGCCTGCTCTTCCAGCTTTTGCTTATGGTCTGTCCTTGTAATTTTTATTATCCCAAAAAAAGCAACACTTGCTATAAAATATTCCATACTACCTGTACAAAACTCTTGATTTTCCTCTTTGGTGGATAATTTTTGAGAGCATGTGGAAACATTTTGACATTGGAGTTTCTATGTTCTGTTATAGTTTAAAGTCTATCTTGCTTTTCATATCATGGTCTCATTAGTATCCCCTCTAGTAGTTGTACATATATCCTTAAATAATTTAGATGTCAATGAAAGGATTGCTTTACATTGGATTCTAATATACATATAATCTCAAATAACTATAACTTGTAAATTCATTAGTGTTACTATTGTTACTGAGTTATACAATATAGACTAATTAACATTTATTGAACCTCAGCAGTACAAGTAAAAATAAACATATCCATTGAATTTTCTGAGCAGGTACCTTATTCATTTTGAGTCTAACATTCAGAAAACATATTATCAGCATGTGAACCATTTTTCAATCAAAATTTCACTTTTACTTGTCTATTTATTATAATGAACTACGAAAAATTAAGCATAGTTAATTTTTCCCTCATGAACTTAATACTTTTATATGATGGCATTTACATTATTGAACAACTAATCAGATTACTGCAGACTGGAAGTCAGCAAATTATGGCCTATGGGTCAAATCCAGCTGCTGGCTGTTTTTGCAACTAAAGTTTTATTGGAACACAGCCACACTCATTCATTTACACGTTGTCTGTGGCTGCGCTGCCACAGAAGAGTTGTGAAACTGTAACAGAGGTCATGTAGTCCACAAAGTACAAAATATTTATTATCGGCCGGGCGCGGTGGCTGACGCCTGTAATCCCAGCACTTTGGGACGCTGAGGCGGGCGGATCACGAGGTCAGGAGATCAAGAACATCCTGGCTAACACAGTGAAACCCCGTCTCTACTAAAAATACAAAAAAATTAGCCAGGCATGGTAGCGGGCACCTGTAGTCCCAGCTACTCAGGAGGCTGAGGCAGGAGAATGGCGTGAACCCAGGAGGCAGAGCTTGCAGTGAATGGAGATCGCGCCACTGCACTCCAGCCTGGGTGACAGAGGGAGACTCCATCTCAAAAAAAAAAAAAAAAAAAAAAAAATTATTATCTAACCCTTCACAGGGAAAGTTTGCCAACTTCTGCTATGCACTGTGAATACTTCAGCATTTGAAAATTCTTGATAACTGTGTAAATTATTTTCCTGTTATTAAAGAAACAGTAAAAGTGATACCTTCATTAAAATATAACCAAAGATCAAATGTTTGCCTAATCCAACATAATGCTGAAAAGATAGAAAAATCCCATGGTGGAATTTTAGGCAATACCACAGTTAATTTATTTCACTTGGATTTTCTGAAAGCTACTTTTTAATCTCTTAGGTGGTTTCATGCGCGTCCATGTGAAGAGACCACCAAACAGGCTTTGTGTGAGCAATAAAGCTTTTAATCACCTGGGTGCAGGCATGCTGAGTCCAAAAAGAGAGTCAGCGAAGGGAGATAGGGGTGGGGCCGTTTTATAAGATTTGGGTACCTAAAGGAAAATTACAGTCAAAGAGGGTTTGTTCTCTGGCAGGCAGGAGTGGGGGGGTCGCAAGGTGCTCAGTGGGGGAGCTTTTAGAGCCAGGATGAGCCAGGAAAAGGACTTTCACAAGGTAATGTCATCACTTAAGGCAAGGACCGGCCATTTTCACTTCTTTTGTGGTGGAATGTCATCAGTTAAGGCAGGGCATTTTCACTTCTTTTGTGATTCTTCAGTTACTTCAGGCCATCTGGGCATATATGTGCAAGTCACAGGGGATGCGATGTCTTGGCTTGGGCTCAGAGGCCTGACAGGTGGATTATTTGGTGACTATAATTTTTCTCTTTTAAAAAATGTGATTGTAAAAAGTAAAGTAGAGGTTCCTCTTCAAAGACTTTTTCCCCATCTAATTAGGAATAAATAGTAACTTCTCTTAGAAGCAAAATTTATTCAAAGACCTGTGCTAACATTCTTAAATATCTGCTAGCTGTAATAAGGAAATTGTCAGGCCTCTGAGCCCAAGCCTGCATGTATTCATCCAGATGGCCTGAAGTAACTGAAGAATCACAAAAGTAGTGAAAATGGCCTGTTCCTGCCTTAACTGATGACATTACCTTGTGAAATTCCTTCTCCTGGTTCATCCTGGCTCAAAAGTTCCCCCACTGAGCACCTTGTGACCCCCACCCGTGCCTGCCAGAGAACAACCCCCTTTGATTGTAATTTTCCACTACCTACCAAAATCCTATACCCCCACCCCATCTGCCTCCCCTGACTCTCTTTTCGGACTCAGCCCGCCTGCACCCAGGTGAAATAAACAGCCTTGTTGCTCACACAAAGCCTGTTTGGTGGTCTCTTCACACGGACGCAAGTGAAAGAAATCAACGAACTTTACATTCTTAGCTCCCACAATTTAGCCTAAATATTTGCCCTGACATGCTTATACTGGTCCAAGCAAACGTTAGATCATAGCCTGTTCCTCTTCCTTATTTAAAAGTGTTTTTACCTTTCTTAGCATTCCACAAGTTACTTCCTCCTTCCTTTGTTCTCCTCTACCTTTGCCTCTTTTAAAAAGTTCTAAGTTGCTAGCCAACCGGGACAAATACAAATATAAGGTCCCATTCCAGCCAGTGGAAACCAGACACATCAGTAGGGTGGATGCATCAGGTGATAAGTGATCCTGTCTCCTTTGTTCGCTGTACTCTTGTGGCAAAACTGCTGGAGAGTGTACCCGTTCTGCAGGAAGGAAAAATGGCCTTACTAAATAAACTTATGTTCAAGCGGTATTTCTTTATGGCACTGGGGAAGAAGCATTTCCAACAGTGATAATGAAACTACTAGACAGTGTAGGACATTAATTTCACATTTACACGATTATGTCTGATCCAAACACATAAGAATGATAAAATACAAAGATAAAGCAAATATATATAAATATGATCAAAACGAAGGTAAATATTAGTAAGGACTAGAAACAGAAGGCAACACTCATTCATAATAAAAATCATTTCCAAGCTAATATTTTCATGCACGTCTGTGTGAAGAGACCACCAAACAGGCTTTGTGTGAGCAACATGGCTGTTTATTTCACCTGGGTGCAGGCGGGCTGAGTCCGAAAAGAGAGTCAGCGAAGGGTGGTGGATTATCATTAGTTCTTATAGGTTTTGGGATAGGCGGTGAAGTTAAGAGCAATGTTTTGCGGGCAGGGGTGGATCTCACAAAGTACATTCTCAAGGGTGGGGAGAATTACAAAGAACCTTCTTAAGAGTAGGGGAGATTACAAAGTACCCTCTTAAGGGTGGGGGAGATTACAAAGTACATTGATCAGTTAGGGTGGGGCAGAAACAAATCACAATGGTGGAATGTCATCAGTTAAGGCTATTTTTACTTCTTTTGTG
The DNA here is from genome assembly GCF_000001405.40 of Homo sapiens. NCBI lineage: Eukaryota > Metazoa > Chordata > Mammalia > Primates > Hominidae > Homo > Homo sapiens. Next base: position 27,230,677 of record NC_000018.10, on the reverse strand, counting down.
GATCTTCAGTTACTTCAGGCCATCTGGATGTATACGTGCAAGTCACAGGGGATGCGATGGCTTGACTTGGGTTCAGAGGCCTTACAAATATAAAGTTATTTTAAGAAATAATGATCTATTACAAACGTAATAGTGGTTAAACTTTAGAAGTATTCCAGTAAGAGTTCAGAAGACAAAGATTTACCTTATATCAATTTCTATTAAATATTGTAATATATTTCTGAGATAATAAGACAAGTGATTAGAAAGAAATATGAGGTATAAATATTAGAAGGAAAGGTACAATTTGTTTTTTAAAAGATATAACTGTTTATAGAGAAAAATCCATGAGAATTAAAAAAAAAAAACCCTAGTAGAACTTATAAGAAAATTCATCAGCTGGGCACCATGGCTCATGCCTGTAATCCCAGCACTTTGGGAGGCCGAGGCTGGTGGATCACGAAGTCAGGAGATCAAGACCATCCTGGCTAACATAGTGAAACCCCATCTCTACTAAAAATACAAAAAATTAGCCAGGCGCGGTAGTGGGCGCCTGTAGTCCCAGCTACTCCAGAGGCTGAGGCAGGAGAATGGCGTGAACCCAGGAGGCGGAGCTTGCAGTGAGCCAAGATCGCGCCACTACACTCTGCACTGCCACCTGGGTGATGGAGTGAGATTCCATCTCAGAAAAACATAAAAGGAAAGAAAATTAGTCAAGATTGCTAGAAATAAGATCACCATGTAAAATTAATACTATTTCTATACTCTATTAGAATATCAGAATATGGGTGAGGCGCGGTGGCTCACTGCCTGTAATCCCAGCACTCTGGGAGGCCGAGGCAGGCAGATCACGAGGTCAGCAGATCAAGACTATCCTGGCTAACACGGTGAAAACCCGTCTCTACTAAAAAACACAAAAAATTAACTGGGCGTAGTGGCGGGCACCTGTAGTCCCAGCTACTCGTGAGGCTGATGCAGGAGAAAGGCGTGAACCCGGGAGGCAGAGCTTGCAGTGAGCCGAGATAACGCCACTGCACTCCAGCCTGGGCCACAGAGCGAGACTCCCTCTCAAAAAAAAAGAATATCAGAATATGTAATCAGTTGACATTTCCAATCATAATAGCAACAAAATCATAAGAACTTGGAAATAAATTTAACAAAAAAATACAGGAACATTTTTGAGCAAATTATAAGATTGTCAAATGATATAGAAGAAGATCTGGCAAGACACAGCATACATGGATTAGAAGATTTGAATTTTAAATATACGATTTTCCCTAAATTAATCTATAAGTTTAAGGCAAACTATAAGGTTAAGTTCAATCAAAGTGTCCAGACAGTCTTTTGCAAACTAGATAAGCTAATCATAAAATTAATAGGGAAGAGTAAAGGATCAAGCACACAAACTTGAAAATTTTAAACGTCTAAAGAGGAGGACAGCACAATTGTGTGGTGTGGGAGGTGGAAGGAGAGTTTTCCCTAGAAGATGGGCAAGATATATTACCCCTCCCCACCAAGCTAGAGGAAGTTAGACTGTGTGATAGTGTCAAAGGACAGCTAACCCCATGGAACAGCATAGAAAGCCAGGAATAGACCCATGTGTATAAGGAAACTTGAAGTATGATATAGATGGCATTACAGATCAGTGGGGAAAGGAAAAGCTATTCAATAAACACAGTTGGTACAATTGTTTATCCAAATGGAAAATAAAATTAGATTTTTACCTCACATCCTGTGAAAACCTGCTTTTATTTTTTTCAAGTACGATAAAGCCCTAAAGATAAAGATATTTAAAACTTTTAGGGAAAAAATAAAGGAGAATATTTTGTGACCTCGGGCCAAGAAAGACTTTCTTGAATAAGACAAAAATATCACAACCATAAAGAAAAAGATTGACAACTGTGACTATATTGGAGAAGAATAAGACTATTCAAAAGGGCACTATAAATGAAGTAATGACTGAACAAAACAAAACAAATCAGCCACAGACTCGAAGAAGATATTTGCAAGACACATTACCAACAAAGGATTTATATTTGAATTGTGTTAACAAAACACAGCTCCTACACACTCATCAGGAAAAGGCCAACAGGCCAGGTGTGGTGACTCACGCCTATAATCTCAGAATTTTGGAAGGCCAAGACAGGCAGATCACTTGAGCCCAGGAGTTCAAGACCAGCCTGGGCAACTTGGCAAAACCCCGTCACTACAAAAAAATATTGGAGTCGGCCGGGCGCAGAGTCTCATGCCTGTAATCCCAACACTTTGGGAGGTTGAGGTGGGTGGATCACGAGGTCAGGGGTTCGAGACCAGCCTGACCAACGTGGTGAAACCCTGTCTCTACTAAAAATACAAAAATTAGCTGGGCATGGTGGCGGGCGCCTGTAATCCCAGCTACTCAGGAAGCTGAGGCAGGAGAATTGCTTGACCCCGGGAGGTGGAGGTTGCAGTGAGCCGAGATGGCACCACTGCACTCCAGCCTGGGTGACAGAGCAAGACTCCATCCCCCAAAAAAATTGGAGTCTGTGCCTTCAAACACCATATCATTAAAACCACTTTGCAAAAATGATAGCAGTAAGAAAATTATGGCATGGGAGAAATCTGATCTAGCCAACCCCTGTCTTGCTCTTAGGCTTCAAAGCTGTCCTTAATTATTCCTTGGTTTAAGACAAGCTAACTTTGGGAGACATGTAGCTTGCAGTTTTAATGATAATAGCCCTTCCCCAAAACTCTTTGGTGAAGCTTTGTAAAGCTAATGAGCCACCACCAGGTTAGGAGGATGGAGGAGCCTGAATTCTGCTCTGGTGTAGAGGTAACCTTAAGGGATCACCAGCCATTATTCCGCAGGTCAGAAGATATGCAACTACACACAATTACTGCTGCAGATAATGTCACCATTGAAGAGCTAAGATTGGGCTTTTGAGATCTCTTTTCAGGTTTTTTGCATGTCTGACTACCTATGGCTCCACCTGGACCTGCCAAAGGCCCCTGTGGCCCCACCGAGAACAACTCAGCACAAGAGGACAGCTTCAATCTCCTATGATTTCATATCCAACCCACCCAATCAGCACTCCCCATGCCCTAGCTCCCTGCCTACCAAAGTATCTTTGAAAAACCCCTAACCACTGAACTTTCGATGAGATTGATTTGAGTAATAACTCCATCTTTCCCATGGTGTGGCTGGCCTCGCTTCAGTTAAACTCTCTCATGGCAATGCCGTGGTGTCTGCGAATTCATTTTGTTTGTGCAGTGGGCAGAAAGAATCCATTGGGCACTTATGCTATACACCCTTACTCGTTTGCAAATATGGGAAAATCCTGATATTTGATAGAGGTGGAGAACATGTTTTCTTAAAAACTATGTTACATTGTAATAATTTTATTACACAGTAAACATTTTAGTTGGAAGAAAGTATATTAATATGCTAAAAGAATGGTATTTATAAGAATAACGCTTCGCAATGATTCAATTCCAACCATTTTAATCAATAATAATAACCTTAATAATCATGAAAATAAGGGATTTTCAATTTTCCCTTATTTCATAAGCATTCAATTTTTGTCTTCAATATTCCTAAGCAGAATTCTTTAAAAATAGAACTCAGTACTACCATTATGTGGAAACCAAATTCAGTTATTATTTGCTCATGAAGGGACGCCATTATGCTATTTATGTAGTTATAATATCTTAATCACCACTATGGCATTCAGAATTCTCTGCAGGAATGTACCAGAGCAGCTATGAGAAGATTTTTGTGTGTAGTGAATTATAAATAAATATATTCAATAACGGAGAAAGCAAAAGAAGGAAATTGCCTAGATTCCCTTCGTTTGTGGTAACACTTGCTTTCCCTATACCAAAAGCTACTTCACCGAGTTCATGAGCTCTCTTAAAAACAACTAAGATGTAAATTCTATCCTGTTTGCCTAAGATCTTTGTGGAGATAAACAGACAATGGCAACTTTGTTCAGTGCTCTGAGTCTTGAAGTATGGAAATGAGCTGGCCCTCCAAAGATATTTTAGGTGATCGGCAAGAGGAAGGAGGTGGGGAGAAAATCAGACAATAACAATTGCTGGAACTGACTACCAAATTGAGAATGAATCAGGTTTTCTTCCATGGACACCATTGCTCTTCTTCCTAGGGGCTAAGCATGTGTTTCATTCTTAAAGAATTTTTTTAGGTTAGCCATCAACAGATCCATGTCTTAGAAACATGGTTGAATTCTTGATCCAAAAAATACATTTCATGGTCCTAAATTCTAGCCTCAAAATCCAACGAATAAAGCACCAGTGGCAAGAGAAATAATAGTGCCAAGGCAGGGAGGGAGTATGGGCTGATGAGACCTCAGGCTCCTAGAGTCTATGCATGTGCCCATTCAGAGTTGTATGTGCCAGTTTGGTTTTGACCATTCTCCCTGTCCCATCTGACTAGGTAAATATTTAAAGGGTGAAGGTAGTAACAGCCAAACAAGTGATGCTGCAGGTTTATCTACAAATTCAAAAGGAGTCAAGGGTTTCAACATTAGATGTGTAAAGTCCTTGTATTGGTTCGAACCCCGAGAGCACACCAACAAATAACACGAGGCGGTATGGAGCAACATGCTGTTTTAATGAGTGCCTGGGTGCAGGCGGGCTGAGGCCTAAAATGGCATCAGCACCAAGTGAGGATGGGGCAAAGGTTTTATAGTCTCCTGTAAACAGGAAGTGTCCTAGTCTGACCTAACTGCTACGTTGTACCTGGATAGCCTCTTTCTTGATCTTCAGAGGTACATGTCTTCCGGCTGGCTCTCTTCCTGCTTCTGCTATCTTGCTGGCGCACGCTGCTGCTGCAAGTAGCTTTGCACCTTGGTACCAGGCCTGAGAAGGGAGGAGTTATTCATCTCCTTAAGCTTTCAGGCCTGGGGAAGAACCTTAAAAGATGTACCTGTGAAGCTCTTGCTTCCTACACATCAAGAAGAGAAGCACTTCTCTAACTTTTTAGTTACCTGAGCCTTATTTCCTGTTTGTTTGTTTGTTTGTTTTGAGGGCGAAGTAAATGTGACGTGCTTTTGATATCTATGCCATCGTACTAATGCCAAATTGAAATTATTATGGTGATGACTTACGTGTAGATGCTATTTCATGTTGTTATTATTTTTTATATTAAAAACCATTGGATTCTGGCCAGGTGCAGTGGCTCACACCTGTAATCCCAGCACTTAAGGAGGCCAAGGTGGGTAGATCACCTCAGGTCAGGAGTTTAAGACCAGCCTGGCCAACATGGCAAAACCCTGTCTCTACTAAAAATACAATAATTAGCCAGGTGTGGTGGTGAGAGGTGAAGCCAGCTGGACTTCCTGGGTCGAGTGGGGACTTGGAGAAGTTTTCTGTCTAGCTAGAGGATTGTAAATGCATCAATCAGTGCTCTGTGTCTAGCTAAAGGATTGTAAACACAACAATCAGCACTCTGTAAAAATGCACCAATCAGCACTCTGTGTCTAGCTAAAGGTTTGTAAATGCACCAGTCAGCACTCTGTAAAATGGAGCAATCAGTGCTCTGTAAAATGGACCAATCAGCAGGACGTGGGCAGGGCCAAATAAGGGAATCAAAGCTGGCCACCTGAGCCAGCAGTGGCAACCCACTGGGTCCCCTTCCACACTGTGGAAGCTTTGTTCTTTCGCTCTTCGCAATAAATCTTGCTGCTGCTCACTCTTTGGGTCTGCACTACCTTTATGAGCTGTAACACTCACCTCAAGGGTCTGCGGCTTCATTCCTGAAGTCAGCGAGACCACAAACCCACCGGGAGGAACAAACAACTCCGGACACGCCACCTTTAAGAGCTGGAACACTGACTGCGAAGGTCTGAGGCTTCACTCCTGAAGTCAGCGAGACCACCAACCCACTGGAAGGACGAAACTCTAGACACATCTGAACATCTGAAGGAATAAACTCTGGACATACCATCTTTAAGAACTGTAACATTCATGACGAGGGTCCACGGCTTCATTCTTGAAGACAGCAAGACCAAGAACCCACCAGAAGGAACCAATTCTGGACACAGGGGCACATGACTGTAATCCCAGCTACTCGGGAGGCTGAGACAGGAGAATTGCTTGAACCTGGGAGACAGAGGTTGCAGTGAGCCAAGATTGTACCACTGCTCTCCAGCCTGGGTGTCAGAGCAAGACTCTGTCTCAAACAAACAAACAAAAAACATCAGATTCTCCTTCCTATTTAAAAACAAACAAGCAAGCAAACAAACAAACAAAAAAAACTTTAAAGCACAGTATTACTTTTACTAGCATGTAAAAGATGAACTGTATAAAAATGTAGACAGACCGGGAAAAAATGGCAGATAGGAAGCAGGACTAACTTGCAGTTCCCACTTGAACAGACAAAGCAGCATTTGGAGACTCACACTGTGAAATTTTGCCCCAAGAACTACCATAGGAACATACCAAAAAAGCTGAAAGAATCCACAGACACTTTAAAGGGGGTGGATTGCTGCTGCAGGCTGCATGGGACAGCCAAGGAACTGTGAGTCTGCTTGCTTTCTCAGCTGGGAGGCTTGTAGCCTGGGGCAATTTCTCAGCCCTGCTCACTGCCTGCCTGGAAATAAACTCGGTGCTTCGGTGCTGTTGTGGGGGCACAGTGGGAATGAGGCTGGCCTTTCAAGCTGCAGGCTGCAGGCTCCATGGGAGCTGGGTGAGGCTTGTGGCTGCTGGCTTTCTCCCACTTCCTTGGCAACCTATGTGACACAGCAGAGGTAGCCATAATTTCCCAGGAACATAATTCAACTGGACTGGAAACAACATCCCATCCCCCACAGCAGCCACGGCAAGCCCCACCCAAGGAGAGTCTGAGCTCAGACATGCCTAACCCTGCCCCCACCTGATGGTCTTTCTCTACCTGCCCTGGTAGCCAATGACAAAGGACATAACCTCTTGGGAGCTCTATGGACCTGCCCACCACCTGAGAATCCTGAATACTTATCCAAAGGCAACTCTAGGGAAAGCTTGTATCCTCCATATACTACTGCAGCTGATGCACTCTTGAAGGCTCCACCTCCTGGCTGAAGGCCAACCAACACAAAATCAGGGCATTCAACAAAAATACAACCAAGTACCCTCCCAGAGTCCAATTGACTCCCCTGCTACCTCCATCAGAGCAGGTGCTGGTATCCGTGGCTGAGAGACCTGAAGACAGATCACATCACAGGACACTTTGCAGGCACTCCCCAGTACCAGCTCAGAACCCAGTAGCTCTGCTGAGTGGCTAGATCCAGAAGAGAAATAACAATCACTGCAGTTCAGCTCTCAGGAAGCCCTATCCCTAGGCAAGGGGGAGAGCAACACATCAAGGGAGCAGCCCAGGGACAAAAGAATCTGAACAGCAACCCTTTAGTTCCAGATTTTCCCTCTGACATAGTGTACTCAAATAAAAAGGAATAAAAAAAACAATTCTGGTAATATAACAAAACAAGGTTCTTTGACACCTCCAAAAGACCACACTAGCTCCCCAGCAATGAATCCAAACCAAGAAGAAATATATGAATTGCCAAAAAAAGAATTCAGAAGGTTGGTTATTAAGCTAATCAAGAAGGCACCAGAGAAAGGTGAAGTCCAACTTAAAGAAATCAAAAAAATGATACAGGATAGGAATGGAAAAATCTCCAGTGAAATAGATAGCATAGATAAAAAAACAATCACAACCTCTGCAAATCAAGAACACACTTGGAGAAATGCAAAATGCACTGGAAAGCCTCAGCAATAGAATTGAACAAATAGAAGACAGAACTTCAGAGCTTGAAGACCAGCCTTCTGAATTAACCCAATCTAATAAAGACAAAGAAAAAAGAACTTAAAAAAATGAACATAACCTCCAAGAAGTTTGGGATTATGTTAAACAATCAAACACAAGAATAATTGGTGTTCCCAAGGAAGAAGAAAAATCTAAAAGTTTGGAACACATATTTGAGGGAATAATTGAGGAAAATGTCCCCATGATTGCTAGAGATCTAGACATCCAAATACAAGAAGCTCAAATAACACCTGGGGAATTTCATTTCAAAAAGATCGTCACCTAGGCACATAGACATCAGGTTATCTAAAGTCAAGATGAAGGAAAGAATCTTAACAGCTGTGAGGCAAAAGCATCAGGTAGCCTATAAAGGAAACCCTATCCGATTAACAGCAGATTTATCAGTAGAAACCCTACAAGATAGAAGGGATTGCTTCCCATTTTTAACCTCCTTAAACAAAACAATTATCAGCCAAAAATTTTGTACCCAGTGAAACTAAGCTTCATAAATAAAAATACAGTCTTTATTCAGACAAACAAGTGCTACCAAGCCAGCACTACAAGAACTGCTAAAAGGAGCTCTAACTCTTGAAACAAGTCCTCAAAATACACCAAAATAGAATATCCTTAAAGCATAAATCTCACAAGACCAACAAAACAATAACACAATGCCAAAAAAAAAGGTATTCAGGCAAGAAATAACACAATGAATAAAATAGTACCTCACATCTCAATACTAACGATGAATATAAATGCCCCAAATGTTCCACTTAAAAGATACAGAATTGCAGAATGGACTCACTAACCAAGCATCTGCCATCTTCAAGGGACGACTCACCTGACACATAAGGACTCACATAAACTTAATGTAAAGGGGTGAAAAAAGATATTCCATGTAAATGGACACCAAAAGCAAGCAGGAGTAGCTATTCTTATATTAGACAAAGCAAACTTTAAAGCAGCAGCAGTTAAAAAAGACAAAGAGGAACATTATATAATGATAAAAGGACTAGTCAAACAGGAAAATATCACAATCCTAAATATATATGCACCAAACACTGGGGCTCTCAAATTTTATAAAGCAATTACTGCTAGAGCTAAGAAATGAGATATATGGCAACACAATAATATTGGGGAACTTCAACACTCCACTGACAGCACTAGACAGGTCATCAAGACAGAAAGTCAACAAACAATGGACTTGTACTATACCCTAGAACAAATGGATTTAACACATATCTACAGAACATTCTACCCAACAACTGAACAACTGCAGAACATACGTTCTATTCATTAGCACATGGAACTTTCTCCAAGATAGACCATATGACAGGCCACAAAACAAGCCTCAACAAATTTGAGAAAATAAAAATTACAGCAAGTACTCTCTCAGATCACAGGGAAATAAAATTGGAAATCAACAACAACAACAAAAAACCCTCAAAACTATGCAAATATATGGAAATTAAATAACATGCTCCTGAATGATTGTTGGTTCAACAATGGAATCTGGATCCAATTGTTCTCATTGCATTTAAATTTTGTAGTTGAGTGACTGCAGTTTCCGCTGTTAAATCTGGCGTAAAGAGAAGATCAATCACAGAGCTCTTCAAGGATGTAGGTGCCCCCCTCACAAATCTATTTTGCAAGGTATTGTTGAAAGGTATGTCTTCTGGACCTTATCAGTTGGGATGAGTAGGCCTAAGGTAACTAATCTATTCTAGCATTTCAATCTCCCTAAGCCTTTGGATCCCTTCCTCTACACTAAACCAAGGGAGATCAGGTATTTCCAGCTCACTCACAGTGGGCCACCTTTTGATCCATGTTTCAGCTAAGCAAGCAAATAAACTATTAGAACATTTTTTAACTCCCTGAGTTGCAACATTAAAAGCAGAATCGTTGTTTACTGGGTCCAGATAAATAAATTCAGCCTTATCCAACTCTATGTTCCTTCCACTATCATCTGACATCCTTAATATCCATTCCCATGCCTGTTCTCCAGATTTCTGCTTATATAAATTAGAAAACTCAAGCAGTTCTTTTTGAGTGTAGTGCACCTCCTCATAGGTCACATTCTGAACTTCACCTCTAGGGGTCTGCTGGTACTTTGGTCTAGTTATAAGTCTAGAAGCAAACAGGGGTGTTGGGGGTGGCTCCTGAGGAGAATAATCATTATCTTGTCTGGAGCTGCCTCAAGGGAGGCCATCACTGTTGTCTTAGGCAGCGCAGGGTTTATCTCCTCAGACAAAGGTGGAATGGCTGATGGCAGTGTGGGTCAGGGAAGGGATGTTGCCACTACTGGGGATGGGGAAGCTGTTTCTTCTGGTAAGAAAGTTTCATCAGAGTTTACAAGCTCAGTGTCCCCAGCTTCAATAGGGTCCTCCTACTTGTCCCTATTCCAAATTGCAGGGTTCCATTCTTTTCCAATCAATGCCCTCACTTTAACAGTAGACACCTGGCGAGGCTGTGCATGCACCTTTGGTTGCAGGTCAGCCACTCACATGAGAAGATCCTGTGTCTGATTTTGCACAATTTCATCTTTTTCTCTACAAGAGATGACTCTCACTCAGGGTGATCTTAGCAGATTTGAGGCTCAGTATCTGCTCCTGAAGCTGGGAGTTAGAATCCTTGAGTTCATCATTTTCTTTCATCACTTCATCCAGTGAACTTAGAAGAAACAAACCAACTACACTATGTTCCTTGATTCTCCACATATAGTCAAATTTAGTATGTATAGAGTCACTAAACTCCTGGCCTCTCACAAGCGGTGAATCAGAAGTGTCAAATGCATTTATTTTGCATAACTCTCTAAACAGTTCATGCCAAGGACTATCAGTGTTCTTCATACTATTAGAAGTAGAGTCCTTAGCATTTTGTGGTCCAGTCATATTAAGCAGCCAACTCCAGAAACCCCAAAACCAACAAAAGAACTCCATCCTTAATGGAGTGGTTCATCTAGAACCACTCCTGGTACCAAAATCTGTATTGGTCAGGGTGCTCTAGAGGGACAGACCTAGTAGGAGATATATATATATATATATATATATATATATATATATATATATATATATATATGTAAAGGGGAGTTGATTAAGGAGTATTAACTCACACAATCACAAGATCCCACAATAGGCCATCTGCGAGCTGAGGAGCAAGGAAGGAAGTATATGTCCCAAAGCTGAAGAACTTGGAGTTTGACATTCAAGGGCAGGAAACATCCAGCACAGGGGAAAGATGTAGGCTGGAAGGCTAAGCCAGTCTTAGTCTTTTCATGTTCTTCTGTCTGCTTTTTATTCTGCCCACGCTGGCAGCTGATTAGATTGTGCCTACACCGATTAAGAGTGGGTCTGCCTTTCCCAGCCCACTGACTCAAATGTTAAACTCTCTCCTTTGGCAACACCCTCACAGACACACTCTGGATCAATACTTTGCATCCTTCGATCCAATCAAGTTGACATTCAGTATTAACTGTCATAACCACTATGGAAAACAGTGTGGAGATTCCTTAAAGAACTGAAAGTAGATCTACCTTTTGATCCACCAATCCCACTCCTGGGTATCTACCCAGAGGAAAAAAGAATCGTTATGTGAAAAAGATACTTGCACACTCGTGTTTACAGCAGCACAATTCACAACTGCAAAAATGTGGAACCAGCCCAAATGCCCATCAATAAAAAAGTGGATAAAGAAAATGTGGTGTATATATACCATGGAATGCTACTCAGCCATAAAAATAAATGAAATAATGGCATTCCCAGCAATCTGAGTGGAATTGGAGACCATTATTATAAGTGAAGCAACTGAGGAATGGAAAATCAAACATTGTATGTTCTCATTCATAAGTTGGAGCTAAGCTATGAGAATGCAAAGGTATAAGAATGATACAATGGGCTGGGCATGGTGGCTCGTGCTTGTAATTCCAGCACTTTGGGAGGCCAAGGCAGGCAGATCACCTAAGGTCAAGAGTTCGAGACCAGCCTGGCCAACATGAGGAAACCCTGTCTCTACTAAAAATACAAAAATCAGCCAGGCGTGCTGACGGGTGCCTGTAATCCCAGCTACTCCGGAGGCTGAGGCAGAAGAATCATTTGAACGTGGGAGGTGGAGGTTGCAGTGAGCTGAGATCGCACCACTGCACTCCAGCCTGGGGAACAAGAGCGAGACTCCATCTCAAAAAAAAAAAAAAAAAAAAAAAAAAGGTCAATGGACTTTGTGGACTTGAGTAAATGGGTGGGAGGAAGATGATGGGTAAAAGACTACACAATATGTACAGTGTACACTACTCAGGTGATAGGTGCACCAAAAATCTCAGAAATCGCCACTGAAGAACTTACTCATATAATCAAACACCACCAGTTCCCCCAAAATCTATTTTTAAAAAACTTAAAAATATAAAAATATAGAAACTCTTATGCAAATGTGGATTGGAGACAAAGGCCTTAACCCCATCTCCTCACCAGACTTTGACCCTAATTTCATTCAGGAGCCTGTGTAGCTACATAGCTCAAAGCAGGTCACATTATAATGCCCCTTTTTTCTATACAACGAAGTTATTTTCAGTAATAATCATGAAGTAGCACGAACACATTTCTCATATGGACAAAAATTCATACTTACCAAACTAATACACTTTACAATGTTCATTCATTCTGTCACCGTTTTACGTTTTAAACATGAATGGTCACATAGAACTACAGAATTTAAGGCCGGGCACAGTGGCTCACACCTGTAATCCCAGAACTTTGGGAGGCTGAGGCAGGTGGATCACGAGGTCAGGAGATCAAGACCATCCTGGCTAACACAGTGAAACCTCATCTCTACTAAAAATACAAAAAATTAGCCAGACGTGGTGGTGGGCATCTGTAGTCCCAGATACTTGGGAGGCTGAGGCAGGAGAATGGCATGAACCCAGGAGGCGGAGCTTGCAGTGAGCCAAGATTGCACCACTGCACTCCAGCCTGGGCAATAGAGTAAGACTCTGTCTCAAAAAAAAAAAAAAAAAAGAACAACAGAATTTAGTAACTCTGGTTGTTTCTTCTTTATAATCTTCTGTGTGCTAAAATGTTTATTTCAAATCTACTATTTAAATGCAGGAATCTATAACATACCACCAGGACTGGAGATGGAAATTTCTCTTGACACAAGCTCAGATGATTCTGAACTAAATGCATGTAGCTGAGTCTACATATCCAGGGGATGGGGACAAGAGTTGAGTGAATCCATTTTCATGCCAAATACAATGTATATTAAATAATAAATACAAAAACATCAACAATACCCACAGTAATGACTTAGTAGACCAATGACATTGTTTTCAGAGAAGCTTTTTTAGTTGTCTTACATCTTTTTTTAAAAAAGTTAATTGACACATGATAATCATACATATTTTTTTTTTTTTTTTTTTTTTTTTTGAGACGGAGTCTCGCTCTGTCACCCAGGCTGGAGTGCAGTGGCGGGATCTCGGCTCACTGCAAGCTCCGCCTCCCGGGTTCACGCCATTCTCCTGCCTCAGCCTCCCAAGTAGCTGGGACTACAGGCGCCCGCCACTACGCCCGGCTAATTTTTTTTGTATTTTTAGTAGAGACGGGGTTTCACCGTTTTAGCCGGGATGGTCTCGATCTCCTGACCTCGTGATCCGCCCGCCTCGGCCTCCCAAAGTGCTGGGATCACAGGCGTGAGCCACCGCGCCCGGCCGATAATCATACATATTTACGAGGTGCATAGGGATGTTTTGATACATATAATGTACTGTGATCAGATCATGGCAATTAGCATATCCATCATCTCAAATATTTTTCATGTATTTGTGTTTAGAACATTCAATATCCCCTAGCTATTTGAAACTACATAATATACTATTGTTAACTGTAGTCATCCTACAGTGGTATCAAACACTAGAACTTATCCCTCTTATCCAGCTGTAATTTTATGTCTTTTAACAAATCTCTTCCTATTCCCCTTGTCCTCCACCCTTCCCAGCATTTAGTGTCCTCTGTTCTACTTTTTACTTCTATAAGAACTTTTTATTTTTTGTTTCCACCTATGAATGAGAACATGTGTTGTCTAACTTTCTGTCCCTAGCGTTTTTATCTGAACTTAATGTCTTCTAGGTTTTTTTTAACACTAACATTGTTTAGAAATGCTACTATGTAGGATAAAACAAAGCAGGTTAACTTTTGGTCAGTTTTATTACTATTTTTAAATTCTCTATAGCCATTGAACCTTCTTATTCCCAGAAGGTATGTAGACTGTACCCATTGTTCTGACCTTGGTAAGCCACTGGTCCATCCCATTTAGAAATTCTGGAGCCCAGGCCAGTCTCCTGAAGGGCAGAGTGCCAGAAAAAAATTGCTGTCTGAGGAAACTTGTCCTGATTGGCTATGCCTTTACTCTGGTCTTCACACCTACTCACTTTTTTTTTTTTTTTTTTTTTTTTTTTGAGGTAGAGTCTTGCTCTGTCACCCAGGCTGGAGTGCAGTGGCACAATCTCGGCTCACTGCTACCTCCACCTCCCGGGTTTAAGCGATTTCTGCCTTAGCCTCCCGAGTAGCTGGGACTACAGGCACACGCCACCATGCCCGGCTAAGTTTTGTATTTTTAGTAGAGATGGGGTTTCACAATATTGGCCAGGCTGGTCTTGAACTCCTGACCTCGTGATCTGCCCGCCTCGACCTCCCAAAGTGCTGGGATTACAGGTGTGAACCACTGTGCCTGGCCCCTTTTTTTACTCTCATCTTTCTAACAGAAATGCACAAAAATGAGATTGCCTGTCTTGTGGGGGCAATAACCTCCCTAGCTGATGCTTTTGGGGTGAACAGATAGAAACTGTATTTATCGCACCAACCCAGGTGATAAGATAAATCTGTAATAAAGGTCAAACTATTATGTGTAAAAATTGCTGCTCTAGAAAATAAATAGCTAGAAGTAAGTCTGATTAAAGAATATGCTTTTCTCCTCTCCAGTAATGATTAAAGTTCTTTTTGAAAGTCTGACAATTTAAAGCAGATAGAAATAATGCTACATGAGAAAGGGACAAACATTTATTGAGCACTTATTGTATATTAAGCACTCTACTTACTTTATCTCCATTAATCTTCATAATTTCCATTCTTCAGAATGCAGTGGTACAGAACACTAGAACTTATTCCTCCTATCTGGTTTCTGTAGGACTCCCTAACCAGCTGCCCTCAGTGGGGGCTGTGATGGTGTTTTGGGTTCTCTGGTATCAGTTTCATTCAAATGCTATGATATGGTTAGGCTTTGTGTCCCCACCCAAATCTCATCTTGAATTGTAATCCCCATAATCCCCAAGTGTCAAGGGGGAGACCAGGTGGAGGTGATTGAATCATGGAAACAGCTTCCCCCATGCTGTTCTAATGACACTGAGTGAGATCTCATGAGATCTGATGGTTTTATAAGGGGCTCTTCCATCTTCACTTGGCACTTTTCCTTCCTGCTGCCTTGTGAAGAAAGTGCCTTGCTTCCTCTTCCTGTTCCACCATGATTCTAAGTTTCCTGAGGCCTCCCAGCCATGCTGAACCGTGAGTCAATTAAACCTCTTTCTTTTATAAATTACCCAGTCTCAGGCAGTTCTTTATAGCAGTATGAAAATAGAAAAATTGATGTTATATCTAACAGTTTTAAAAGGTTTTGGGTATTTCCTTTTACCTGTGTTCAGGTACTCTGAATATGGTAGCAGCTCCCTTTGAGGAAGAGTTTGGGAAATATTTTCAGGTGACTGCTGTGTTGAGTCAGAGTTTTCCCTAAATTATAAATGTTTTGAAAATTAGAAGAAGGTGTTTACACACAGAGTTAGGGTGAAAGTGTTTACACACGGAGCTAGGGTGAACAGTAAGAGAAAAATTAGCTTTCATTAGGGATACAGTATGTGCTGGGCATGAAAGAACTTGTTTTGAGTAACATTCCAAAAAGACTTGCAAAATACATATTATATTCTCAGAGTACAGAGAATGAAACTTGGTTCAGAGTTTATGATACTCAACTCAGCTCTGAGTGTATGATACTCACCCTTCATTACCATAAAATAAGTTAGTAAGACTCAAACCCAAGACTATCTATATCCCCCTATAAAACCTGCCTAATTTACTACAGTGTGCTTTTTCCTGTGGAAGTAAGCATGGGCTTAAAGCACTAAAAATAAATTAGGCTAGACCCAATGAAAGTGAAGTTCAGAGTCTGACATAAATTTAGTAAATTCTGTGTCCTGATTATAAGAATTGGTGTCTATGGGAAATGTAGATGTATGCTGGCTGCAGACAAATGTTTTGCTATTCTAGCCTAGTAAATGGAGTGGAACAAGGCACGCATGCTTAGAAGAGAAAGAATTGATGTTAACAAACTGACAAGAACCCATGCAGTTATTACACTGTGATTTAGTTTGGTTGCCCCAGAAGCAAGCCCTCACTGAAGGAGTCTAGGGTGAATAATTTATCTGGGAGGTGATCCAGGACATACTGGAAGGGAAGTGGGCAAGAGAGGCAGGGAAAGGGAAGTAGTACTTTGAGGAGGCCATTCGGATTTTCTCTCTGGCTATGTTAGTGGTTGATGTGGTGTATAGGAAAGATTGCTGGATCCCATGATTATGTGCTCTTTGTCACACCTCCTCCCTCATAAAGTGGGTTCATTCATCCAAGCAGCATTATGTGTGATCCCGTGGTAATGCACCATGATTCTGTGAGCTCTCAGAAAGCAGTGCAGGATGATGCACTGTAGAGAGGAAAGACAAACTTATATCCAGAACATGTATCAGTCCAAAGAAGCATGAATTGCTGCCCTACAGGATGACGAGGGCACTATGTAATCAACTTGGCACCAAGTGCAGTATGTGCTGTCTCCAAAATTGGAAGCGGTCTACTAAATTTACTGTGCCTCCTTCTTAGGAGGTGCAAGATGTAACACTTGCCCTGGGAATCTGAATAAACTAGACCTCTTCAAAAACTTCACTCTGTAGCCCGCCTCTTATATCTGAAGGGTTTTCCTTCTAAATTCAGGCGTGAATGTTTCTTATAAGGACGCACGTGTTACTTGTCCATTTCTGCTTCTCAGGTGAAATTAACATGATGTCATCAATGCGTGAAGCAGTGCGATGCTTTAACATTCGGACGATGAAGTTTTCTTTGGACTGTACTGTGAAAGAGAGCGGAAGAGTCAACATAGCCCTGGGATGAGACTTTTAATGTGTACTAGTGTCAATTCTAAGTGAATACAAACTTCCAGTTCTCCTTCTTGGTGGGGATTGAAAAAAACCCAATTACCAGATCAGAAGTAGCATGCTTTTTCTATAAAAAAGAGCCTATCTGTCACTATGGTTGAGGTTGGGGCTAACACTTGGTTAAATTCACAGTAGTCTTTTGTCATTCACCATGAGGCACCACAGGAGGCTGATGAATTCAACAAGGACCTTATGAGGATGGCTAATAAGTTTTGAGGATGGCTCTAATCTCGACTTTTTCTCCCAGTGGGTAGGTTTGTTTCTGATGTCCTTTCCTGGCCAGAAGGGAGGTGGCAGTTTCAGTGGTTTCTACTTGGCCTTTCCTGTCTTTATAGCTCTTACTCCACAGATCAGATGCTCAAGTTGAGGTTTCTGCCACCTGCTAAGCATATCTAATCCAATTACACACTCCCAGTCTAGAGAAATGATCCAGGTGCTGTGTGGGTGTATTAAACCCACTGTGAGACAGACTCAGTCCAGGAATCCATCTTCCCCCTGGTTTCTGTAGGACTCCATACTCACCTCCCTGCTGTGGGAGCCATGATGGTGTTTTGGGTTGTCTGGTATCCGTTTCATTCAAGTGCTATGTCTAGGAGTCCTAAAAGGATTTGGGTATTTCCTTTTACTTGTGTTCAGGTACTCTGGATATCATAGCAGGTCCCTTTGAGGAAGAGTTGGGGGAATGTTTCCTGATGCTTGCTCTGATAATTCAGAGTTTTCCCTAAAAGAATCTGGCCTCCCTTTAGATTAATGGGCTCTTGATATAAGAATTGGCTAGATCTAGAAACTGGGAAAGAAGTCAAAAATTTCAGTTGCAGGAGCTGAAATAACCCACTCTTGATCCTTTCTGGATATCATAGTTAAACGGAACTCTCATTAGCTGCCCATTTATGTTGCTCCGAGGAATACCATGGTCTATTAGCCATTGCTAAAGATCCTTGCTACTCAGAGCCTGGCTGCTAATCCAGCTCTGTTGTCCTTTAACAGAATTTCATTCGTTTTTCCTCCGATGATGAGGGGCAACTACCCATCTCTATTGTTTTGAAATCATTCCATCTTCTGTGACACTATGGAGCCCATTTTATAGTGGCATTTCCTGTCATCAACACTGGCCTATGATACAAATCATCTGGTTTATAAAAAAAAAAACATTTTAGCACACACACACACACACACACACACATTCTGTTAAATTTGAATTTCAGATAACGAGTAATATTTTTAACATAAGAATATCCCAAATATTGTATCCTGTATTTTGCTGGGCATCCTCCACACAGAGAGCAGACACCATTGAAATTCTCAGTGATGCTAATGCCCCCTCAGTAGTGAAGTCTCTACTGCTTTAGAGAAAGGAGTGTTCTCTGGGCCCTCCAAATATATATGGGCAATTGGTGAAAATAGTATCTATTCTAAATTGTATTTGCTTTAGCGTGATCAGCTCTCTTAGCTTTTTGACCAATCCTCAATACTCTGCTAAGGAAGTTCTGGCATCGGCACTTAATTTGTGGTTTGCCAATGTTTTTTCAAAGTTGTGCGAAGACATCTCAGCAGTACAGACATCCTTGTCAGAATATTAAATCCTCAGTCCCAGGAGAGTGCCCCATGGCAATAAACTCTCTTTTAACCAGTCTTACATTCCATTCCCCACTTCAGCCAACATCTTCACAATCCCTTCCCAGGCATGTTCTCCTGGTTCATCCTGGTACCTTTTAACCAGATCCTGTGGCTCTTTGGGTAAATAGTATATTTTTTCCCATAGTAGACCATGCTGTGATGCAGCCCTAGTTATTAGTTCAGAAACAACAAGGAGAGGTGGGAGCAGATCTTGAGGGAGATTAATATCACCTTGAGAGCTATCTGTGTAAGGTGAGGGCTTTGCAAGCTCTTCACACGAGAGGATGCTATTGCTTTCCAGCAAGGGGCAGTGTGCCACTTCTCCTAGCCCTGTGGATTCAATGACACTGGGGTACAGAGTGCTCAAGTGCATCCCTTAATTTCCTCAACCCAGGTCTCAAGGTCCCAATCCTTTCTTATCAGAGTTCTTGTTTGACTGTAGAAGGCCATTAATTTAGCCTTCTGTGTAATGCTACTACTTGTAACATCAGATCCTTGGTTGATTTTGTGGCACAAGCTATTTTCCAACTGCAGACAAGAATCCCTCTAAACACTGCCACAGAGACTTTCTGGATTTCACCATGCCTTGAGATAACAGTTGGTGACCCAAAGCTTCCCTCAGTCCTTCATTTAATCTTAGCAACAATCAACTCCACAATCTGTACAATTATCATTGCCCCTTTATCTCTCAAAATGCTAGAGATATTTCACAAGCCCAGTTTGTCCCCTTGAATCTCTATCCCATTCCACAGGGGAAGTCTCCATATGACGATGCTATGGCACACCAGAAATTACCACTTCACCACTAAAATTCTAGGACCAACTGTCTTAATGTGGGTTCCTCCAGAAATAACCCCTGCAATGAGGACTGGAGTATAAGTAGTTTATTTTGGAAGTAATATCAGGAAGCATCAGTGAAGGAGTGAAGAAGTGATCACGCCTGTAATACCAGCACTTTGGGAGGCCGAGGCAGGCAGATCACGAGGTTAGGAGTTCGATACCAGCCTGGCCAACATAGTGAATCCCTGTCTCTGCTAAAAATACAAAAGATTAGTCGGGCATGGTGTCACGTGCCTGTAATCCCAGCTACTCGGGAGGCTGAGGCCGGAGAATCGCTTGAACCCGGGAAGCAGAGGTTGCAGTGAGCCGAGATCGTGCCTTTGCACTCCAGCCCAGGCAACAGTGTAAGACTCAGTCTCAAAAAAACAAAACAAAACAAACAAACAAACAAAAAGAAGTGAGAGAGAGAAAGGAAGGCAGCCAACAAGGGATGCATGATCAAGCAAGTCACCATGTTCAGCGATATCGCTTAATTCCAGGGTAGAATACAGACCTCACTGCCCAAACTGAGGGATGGGGAACTGGGGTATGGACTGCACCACCCTCTCCAGTGATTGGTTATGGGCTGCTTCTGAGGTAGAAGATTAATTCCCCAGTACTTCTTGCCTGCTCCATAATAAGGTAAAGCAAAGACTGAAGCAGATGCTGATGGTTGAAAGTGGAGGCTCACACTAAAGCCATAAAGGCAGGGGAGATTGGAGCAGGCAGGGACAGCATCTTCCACAAAATATGCCAGAATTATCAAGGACCTAATTCATCCAACAAATCCTGGTCCCCTTACAGGTGATGCGTATATGTTAGTCACCTTTTTTCTTTTATTTTAAAAATTATTTAATTTGTGCCTACTGAAAATATTCACAAGGTCCAAACATAAACATAAAAAATTATAAGTGGGGACAAGAGAAAAGCCTCCCCCCATTCCTTTCTTCAGGAAATAAGATAATGGATTTCCTGATGCTTATTTTCCACCTCACCTCTTACCACTATTATTAAGTGTATTGTTTCAAATATATTTTTCCAGAGATCTTATTTATTTATTTATTTAATTTACTTTTGAGATGGAGTCTCGCTCTGTCACCCAGGCTGGAGTGCAGTGATACGATCTCGGCTCACTGCAACCTCCAACTCCTGGGTTCAAGCGATTCTCCTGCTTCAGCCTCCTGAGTAGCTGGGATTACAGGTACGCACCACCACACCCAGCTAATTTTTTGTATTTTTAGTAGAAACAGGGTTTCACCATGTTGGTCAGGCTGGTCTCAAACTCCTGACCTCGTGATCCACCCACCTTGACCTCCCAAAGTGCTGGGATTACAGGCTTGAGCCACCACGCCCAGCCCAGTGATCATATTAAATATAAATATATATTCTCTCTCCCTCCTTTATTTACATACAAATGGTAACATACAATGTACATTATTCTGTATCATGTTTTTTCTACCCAACAATGTCTTGATAGTCTATGTCAGTACATCAGTATATCTATTGCATAGTAATCCAAAATATAGTTGAAACATACTATGAGAAGTGTACTAAGGAAGAACATTTAGATAGTTTTTGTCATTTGTTATTACAAAGATTCTTCTATAAATAATTTGAAGACAAATCTATTCACATATGTGAAACTATATCTATATGTGTGAGTATACCTATCAAATAAATTTCCACAAGTAGAATTTCTGTTAAAAGCTATATGTACTTTTAATTTTGATAGATATTGCTAAATTGTACTTCTAAGTTCTTTAGTAAATTAAAACTATCTAACATTTTAAATAAATATTCCATTATCTTTCCTCTTTGTGAGAAAATCTTAACTTGTTTAAATTGATGGAACAAATGAGTTAACACTTCCAGAATAAATTCATAGTCTGTAAAATACCCAATGACATTCTGAAATTGTCAGTGGTATTTTTATGCTAAAGGACTGTCCAAAGCAGAGAATAAAATAATTTATTTGCTACTGTGCTTAAATAATTGATAAAGTCCTTAGAAAAAAATTATATTTTTAGAGGATGAATATGGAAAAATTTGACAACTTTTTTTTTTAAATGAATGAAGTCAATTTGGGCATGTCTGTTCTAACAAATTATTTAAGAGTTTGGGGGATAAAACTCATCTGCATGGAACCCTTGCATTTTGAACAACACCAGAAATAAATACTGCAATTAGTAACAATTCTGAACAGACATTTATCAATCAGTATTTGAGGGTGAATTTAACAACAGCAACAAAAAATCACCTGCTATTTTATTGTTGCCAAAAAATCATTTTCCATAAACTTATGCATTCCAGAGGTTTTACTTTATTTCACTGTTGACATCATTGTCAAAATCAATCAAAAAGCATGTGGCAAAAAGAAACTTTAACTGCATTTTCTTTGATTTAGACAAGTTGCTCTCACTATCCTCTTCTGTTGGAAAAGGGAAATTAATTTCTTACACTCTCGTCAGGCTGAAAAGATACTCTATAGCACACACATTGAAATCCTTCTCTTTCCACCTGCAAGATTGATTAATCTATAGCATAAAAAAATGTAAATCTTTGGGGATCTTGTCACTTTTATGGTCTGTAAAAGATGAATTCAAGCAGGATTTCAATATTGCTTGGCCTCTAGTCCCAAAATAATATAGCCATGTCACCAGGGGAAAGTCTGCGGGAACATGCCGTGCTGTAATAGTTTACAGATTCATAAAAATTATTGATCAAGCTTTGTCTCCTGTAGTTCTAAATAGAGTATTAAAGGATTTTATCTTCTTGACTGTAGCAGTCCAATAATGCTAAGCATGACAATGAACAAACACATGAAAATCAAATACAACCAACAAACACAAAACCATCTGGCCTTGTGTTTAACTCTACTATCATCAAGTTAATGGTGCAGTCATGTAAAGCTTCTCCTTTTAATTAAATAATTAGCCCTTTTCTGATGCATAGCTTTATGCTTGGCCACACTGGCTGTTCCTAGAAGCAGAGCTGTCAGGCATGGCATGGCAGAATAATTCATATAGCTTCAACAAGGTTTCAAAAAGCATCTATCCACTTCCTTTTGGATGTAATCTCCTGTCCATTTTTTACAAGTTTTCACTGATGCATTGGGTTATTAGACTATTAGAAACATCAGCATGACAATAGTACTAAAAATTCAACCTGGTTCTGATTCTCAAGTTCAAAAAGACAAGTCTAGACTTTAATTTTCTGAAATAGGCTTGCAACAAATCACAGTAATTTTTACTTATTTTTCTGAAATTGCATCTATGATTTTTTTCCCTAAGTAATGCAATGCAACTTTTAGCACTGACACCAAAGTTCACTGCATGAGTAAGATATTTCTGCTTTCTTGACTGCCCTTTTAATTTTAGATGTTTGTATAGACATTTTTGAAGGGGTAGTGAGAGATCCAGATCAGAATGCTAAAATTCTTTCGTCATCTTGTGATGAGAAAACTTCAGAAAGATGAAATAATACCTGTACCATTATCAGTAAATCCTGTAAATAAATGTATAGTGTGTGCTACTATATATAGGGAAGTCCTGAATTCCCTAGTTCTTTTAATATGGAAGAAAATATAAAGATGTCAGTCTGCTTGCATACATAAACCCTAACACCCACTTATAAAATTTTGCTTCCTAATATGAAAAGAATTCCAAAGAAGAGTGACATTCACATTTTTTCCCCCTTTGCAGGGATTGATTTGTGTGTGTGTGTGGGGGGGTGGGGATGGGGGGGTGGTTCAAGGTACAGGGAATTCTGTAGAAAAGATACATCTTCCATTGTTTTGTCAGTCAAAGATTTAAAACGGAATTGCTAAAATGTTATTTGTGTATATTTTTGCAACACTTATTATTCAATGATGGTTAATGGATATTTAAATGTTTTTCTAATTAAATTGGGAAAACAACTTATCTTTGTTATGAATGACTTTCTTAAAGAGGCTTTCAACAGAGCCTCAGGGTAGTTACTGACAGCATGTTTACCTCTATATATGAGCGAGATACTATTATTTTCAATAGTCATTTTATGATAGATTCAGATTACAGTTCTTATTTTATTGTTGATGAGATCAGGCCTCCTTCTGGATCCGCATGAGAGAATAATTTCCAACCACACTGTTTAGACATTGTATTTTTTATTTTGAATAAACTTTCCATCTAATAATGCACATATTTTTAATAGAAAGTCAATATCTCTTTAAGAAATAAATCTTTTATTCTCAAGGACACATTCTGAGCTTTAGGTAAACAATGAATTAACAACAGCCTTAACTTTACTAATATAAAAAATTACCTTGTAAATGTTCAAACAGTTCAATAATGTGGTATTCAATTACACAAACCCAGTAGAAAAGTATGGCTTTTTTTAAAATAAAATTTTCAACTATTTCCGTGAAAGTCACTACATAAATGAATGTTCTTGAAAAGATAGTGTGTGAATTATATATGGTGCACACACTGTAGAAATAGACATAACCTGGACTAAGTTTCCTCTTCTGTAAAATGAGGAAGTTAAGCTAGAGGTTTCCCAAGATCCTTCTGATTCTATAAGTAATCTCATTACTAGCTGAGACTCATCACAAGAACATGCACTGTTACTGCACTCTGGTCCAGAGGTCATTCACTTGGATATCGCAGGGGAGGCAGTGTAGCTGTGTTTCTATTTCCCTTTTGGTAATCTTAGGAAAATTTTGCCAGGTCGACGTCAGACTGCTAATTCCATAGGGGAATCCCTGATTCCACTGGAAACCTGTCTTCAGGAGGTTCTGCATTTCCCCATACCTTGGAAAGACATCAGTCCAAGGCACAAACATGTAGTAATTTAGGGCCCTAGAGATCCACTTTCCAAGCAGGCCTCTGATTTCTTGCTGTCTCTCCCTTGACTGGGCAGTGAACATTCCTGGAGGAAAGCAGGGAAATTGGATACATGGTTCCTCAGGTATCCATAGTTCTTCAGCTTCTTTTAAAATGTAGTCATCAGTAGTGCATAGAAAAAAAGCTTATCAGTTGATTTCCAAGACTCCTAGGACATGTCTAAAACTAAAAGAAATGCTCTCTACTGTTTCCATGAAATGACAGCAGAAATTGTGCTAAAGGATTAGTAGGCACCAACAACTCCCTTCAATCATGTTCATTTTGATATTTTGATTTATTCTATCTGCTTAGTTAAAATTCCCCTGGCTTAATAAAGAAGAGTTAATTCCATATTTAATTACAGCTATGGTTTGAATGATGGTGTCCCCTTCAAAACTTATGTTGAAACGAAATCCCCAATACTGTTCCTATTAAGAGGGTAGCCTTTGGGAGGTAATTAAGTCATAAAAACTGCACTCTTATTACTGGGATTAGTGACAAAAGGGCTAACCTTATAAAAGGTTAAAGGGAGCACTCTTTTGCCCTTCTGCCTTGTACTATGTGAAGACACAGTGAGAAGGGGCTATCTTGAGAGCAGAGAGCAATCAGCACCAGACACCGCTGCTGGCACCTTAATCTTGGACTTCCCAGCCTCCAGAACTATAAGAAAGAAATATCTGTTCCTTATAAATTACCTAGTCTAAGGGATTTTGTTACAGTAGCACAAATGAACTCAGACAGTTACTAATATTATTACTCAGGTTACTGGGAAGTGCAAACATCTTAGCCTGGGTTAGAAGCCACATCCTTTAAACCAATTTGAATTTCTCTGGAATTTACTTACAAATGCATAGTTACTTTTGTTTCATAACTCCATGACTAGTACATGCTAAAGAAGCATCCTATGGGAAATACTTATCAGTCTCTGTCACTGCCCTCAGCAGCTAAAGTGAAGACAAAAGGGAAATATTTAATATGCTCTTCATGAGTTTGAGATATTAATATCATTTAATAGTAATTTTTTTTTGAGACCGAGTCTCGCTCTGTTGCCCAGGCTGGAGTGCAGTGTGTGATCTTGGCTCAATGTAACCTCTGCCTCCCTTGTTCAAGCGATTCTCATGCCTCAGCCTCCCGAGTAGCTGGGATTACAGGTACACATCACCATATCCAGATAATTGTATTTGTATTCTTAGTAGAGACGGGGTTTTGTCATGTTGGCCAGGCTAGTCTTGAACTCCTGACCTCAGGTGATCCGCCTGCCTCGGCCTCGGAAAGTGCTGGGATTACAGGCGTGAGCCATTGCACCCAGCCCTAGTAGTTTTTCTTTTAATTTTTTCTTTTGCATGAGAAAATCAGTATTTGGTAGATCCAGAAATACATATATGAGAAAAATCAACTTTAAATACTTGTCTGAATAAAATTATGAAAAATTAGAATATAAAACCAAAATAGAATTTTGTAATTGTTTATTCTATTTAATAATTAGAACAAAATAATGATGCAAGATATATAAATATATTTAGAATGCAGAATATACCACAGTGGGAATACTGGAGAGGTTTTTTTTTTAGCATATAAAATATCTTTATTCCCTTCTGAAAGTGGAAGAAAAATTCTAACTCAGAAACATTGCACTGGGTAAACTGGAAAACAAACAGTTAAAAATATGTCAGCTTATATATTCCTAGGAAAAAGATATATGAAAGGCTGAAGAATGATCGATACCATTCAATGGATTATCAAAATCCTGAGGCATTTGTTCCAACACTTTATATACTTGCCAGCCTTTGTCAGTCACAAAGTTTTGTCAATAAATAGACTCCAATGAAATAAGGAGAGAGAGAAAAAGAGACTCTGTGTGAATAAGAATAAAAGCTTGGTTTATTTTGTTTTATTTTCCTCCTTTACTGGAATTTTAATTTCATGAGCAAATGTTCCTCCCTTGTTTTTAGCCCTTATAAAAGCTACTTAGATGTCTGTTCTCTCTGAGCACCTGTATCTCTGGGGTTAAGTGATGATTGAGCCCCCAGAGGTCACATTATCTTCCAAGATAAACTTGCTTGATATGTTATGAATACATTAAAAGAAATAGTTGTCGGAAATTCAGCTTGCACTATACACCATATAATTCACTCTTCAACTAAACAAAACATAACCAGTGCCAGAACTTGGAAGAAAACAGTAAGATGCTCCCAGAACATGGGGATAGATAGAAAATGTGTAGCTGAGGAGATGTGGGAAACAACTTATCTAATACCCATAAGTGTATCTATAATTTATGAACAAGATCAATTGGTAAAACAGGTTGCTGGAGCTTAATCAATGATGTTAATCTATCTATAATAAAGGATGCGTCAGTAAAAGAAGGTGGTATGCCTAGAATTCAGGGGGAAGATACAGTGGTGATGGATGAGGAGATGGGGAAGAGAAAAAAAATAAAATTTGTGTCTGTGTCTATAATAATTTGTTTCCCAGTTTAGGAAAGAGGGCATCCTGATAAACTCTAGTCTGTGATTCAGGCTATTTGTCAGGCTGATGTGTTTGTGTTACGGATGGATACATTGCCTCTCCCAGCACCGTGTACCCTAGCCATAGGGAGAGTTAGTATGTAAATATATCCTTTTGTTTCTTTTCATAGTTACTAAATAACTCTCTGAAAATCATATGAATTACCTTTTATACTTTTCCGAGCTTTCTGTCCTACTCTACATGGACAGCTCTATTTCTTGTTAAAATACATACAGTAGCATTCTAGTTTTTACAAGTACACGCTCTTATTGGCGCTAGATGCACTAAAAAAAATGAAACGTCTAGTGTAAGCTCAGGACTGGTACCACCACTGTGATGGTCATTTCACATAATGTCATTCTGAGAAGTGCTGTCTGATTTTATACATTTGGCCTATAAAATATATGTAGTTTTAAAAGCCACATTGTTCTTCCTCACGTATACTCTGGATCTCTTTGAAGCTCATACCACATACCATCCATCACTACCTCCCTTCCTCTAGCTCTTCTCATTACTGCCTCCACCTGATCTTTTAGACACTTGGTGTTTGACCAATAGCCTCTTTTTACCATGCACTCTGCCACACCCTGCCACAGCTCTTTTTGGATAAGAGCTAGGCCAAAATGATGATTCAGGCTCAGTTTAGGGCTCAGAGGAACTTTGATTAAAACAACAACAAAAATTGTAAAACCCCAAACCAAACAGTACAGAAACTAGAGTTTAGAAAGACAGGCCAAATGACCTGGGTACCTGATGCAGGGGCTGAGAAAACTGCCAGGTCAGAGGCATGGCAGCCCTGAATTGGCTGGTTTTTAGGCTGCTTGGCTGAAGGAAAGAACAAGTCAGTAATCGCTCTGCCCCAGGGAAGGCTGAGTGGGCACTGAGGTGTTCTATTACCCAGCATATAAGCAGGAGAGCAGCAGCAGCCATGGCTTACCAGTGAATCCCATCTGACTGCCACTTCCTTTCTAAATTGAACAACAGCCAAGAAAAGTACAGCTTGAGATTCTCCTCTCACTCATGTTCTATTTTCCTTAGTCCTAGCCAGAGATCTTCTATTCAGATGCCTCATTGCAAGCTGGACTCCTCTTTTCCGCAGCTGCAGCCTGATTGAGGAGAATGCAGTTCCATTGGCACCTCCAAACATGAATTAACGTAATCATGTTAACCAATATCCCCTGAGTCCCAATTTTCCAAAGGTTAATAAAATACACAAGGACCTTGATGTATCAACCAAACACCCTAAACATTGAGAATTAAATTCAAATTTACTTATTCCAAGCTGGAAAACTGCATATATATAACTTAGACCCACACTGCTATTGTCAGTCATGCTACTAGAAGAATGAGATCACCTAAGTGGCCAAAAAACCAAATCTTTTGTGGTTCACCTTATTCAAATACCAGCAAATCTAGGGCACTTACACCAAATCCCTTAGACCTGTGAGGAGCCAATGATTTGGAATTCCCACTTACTGCATGATTAGGATTGCCTTTCTGTAGACATTATTTTTTGTTTTTGTGTGTGTGTGTGTGTTTTTTTGGTTTTTGTTTGTTTTTGTTTTTTGAGACAGAGTCTCCCTCTGTCACTGAGGCTGGAGTGCAGTGGCATGATCTCGGCTCACTGCAACCTCCACCTCCTGGGTTCAAGCAATTCTCCTGTCTCAGGCTCCCCAGTAGCTGGGATTACAGGCTCCCATCACCACACCCAGCTAATTTTTGTATTTTCAGTAGAGATGGAGTTTCACCATGTTGGTCAGGCTGGTCTCGAACTCCTGACTTCAGGTGATCCACCCGCCTCGGCCTCCCAAAGTGCTGGGATTACAGGCGTGAGCCACTCGTGCCCAGCTGACATTGTTTTAATCCATTTCATGTTTTGTACCGAATAGTAGGCATCTCATTGTATTTTGTATCTCAGCCATTGGCCTATGCCCCTGATGATCTCCCTCAATAAATCAGTCTTGTTACTGTTACCAAAGTGACATAATTGTTTAACATTCTCAACCTCTGTCTGAAGTGCTAGAAGTTTGGACTGTAAAGTTCCACATCTGAATCATGCATATTCCTATAGGCTCTAACTATTCCTTTTAGGATTTCCTGCCTCAAAATCTGGAATTTCAGCTTGTGCAGCTCTTCTCCAAAATATGTTTTACAAAAATACCTGTAGCATTTCTACAAACAGCCTGTAAGATCTGAAGACTTTATAGACCACCCTGAGCTCCCTGAATGTTAGCGGAGAGAGAAATATCTTCCAGGCTTAGTGTTCTCCTTCCCAATTTACTTTATTACTTTGGAGTCCTGTATTATCTGGTTACTCTTTTGATAATGTCACAGCTCACAAAAATACAATCAGTTTGGAGAAATTTGGGTTGAAAACAACAATCAATCACCTTTACTGTTCAAATGTTTCTTATCTAGCCACTAGCTGTTCAACATTTCAGTCTATTTGCTGTTTGTGGGAAGCAGAATTCTAAGACAGCTCACAAGATTCTCAGCCCCTTGTATATGCGCACTGTGTTCCAGTTATTCAATGAAACACTAATTGAGGTGTTGCTGTTGAAAAGATCCTGCAGATGCAATTAGTTCCAAAATCCATTGACCTTCAGATAGGGAAATATCTGGGCAGGCCTGACCTAATCACATGAGCCCTTTAAATGTGGGTTCAGGGGTCAGAGAGAGAGAGAGAGAGAGAAGTCAGAGAGATTTGAGGTGTGATGAAGAATTAACGATGACTTTGGGGTTGCTCATGCCTATAATCCAAGCACTTTGGGAGGCCGAGGCAGGCAGATTGCTTGAGTCCGGGAGTTCAAGACCAGCCTGGGCAACATGGTGACACCCCGTCTTTACAAAAACTACAAAAATTAGTAGAATGAGATGGTGCATGCCTGTAATCCCATCTACTTGGGAGGCTGAGGCAGGAGGACCATTTGAGCCTGTGATGCAGAGGTTTCAGTGAGCCAAGATCACGCCATTGCACTCAGCTTGGGCGACAGAGTAAAACCCTCTCTCTCTCTCTCACACACACACACACAGACACACACAACTAACAATGACTTTGGAAATGGAGGGGGCCTCTTGGCAAAGAAGTGCTTGGTTTTTAGGAGCTGAAAATATCCCCCAGTTGACAGCCAGCAGAGAAATGGAACTCTCAGTTCTACAACCACAAGGAACAGATTTCTGCCTCTGGAAAGTGGATCCTGAGCTTCAGATGAGAACACAGCCTGATCAACACCTTGATTTCAGCATGTGGGACCCTGAGCAGAGGACCCAAACAGGCTGTGCTTGGACTTCTGACTTACTGATCTTTTATCTAATACCTGGATGTTGTAGTAACAGTATTCTGTAGCAACGGAATACATTCAACTATTTCTTACCTAGCCATTTATCATGCAAGTTTTATAGAGTTTGCCTTCCAGACTACTTTTTAAGGCTATTGCCCAGAATTTGAATCCATAATTGAACTTTACATATAGAAGACAGCAGTAGGGTGAGAATGTAAGGAGCATAATGTAAGGAGCATATCTGAGTCCATGATGTTTCCATATAAGGCCTTATAGCACTTGTAATGATCCATCAAGACTTCCTTTTTAAAAGAAGAGAAATCATGACTTTGTCTACTACCCAGATGTTCAATATAAACCAGTTTTTCATTTATCAAATGCATAAAAGCTTTCACTGACAGCTTTGGAATAAAACATATTTCCTTCACAAATTCCATTGTATGTATACAGCCATATATCACTTAACAATTGGTTCTGAGAAACATGTCATTGGCTGATTTCATCATTGTGTGAGCATCATAGAGTGTACTTACACAAACCTAGATGGTATAGCCTACTACACACCTAGCTATATAATATACCCTATTGCTCCTAGGCTACAAACCTGTATAGATGTCACTGCATTGAATACTGTAGGCAACTGTAATACAATGATAAGTATTAGTGTATCAAACATGCTAAACATAGAAAAGGTATAGTAAAATTACAGTATTATAATCTTACGAGAACACAGTTATATGTGTGGCCTGTCTTTGAAATGTCATTACATGGCATGTGACTCTCTCTCTCTATATATATATGTGTATACCCATACATACACACACACACATATATACATTTGAGAACTTTTTAAGCTGTGTATTTTATTTTCTAAAATTGATATATTAACTATAATTTTGTATTACATGTAGATTTCAGGTTATAATTAGTCATAGTGAAAAAATTCAGCAATATTTTAATTCAGTACATAATATCATTTATTGTTGAAACTACTCAACTCAACAGGAAATGTTTTAGATACCAATGTGGGTGAGAGGATACATAAAGGAAAACTGATATTTTCAAGAATTAAGACAATAATGAGTTAGTACTCCCAGGATATAAGTATTTAAGGTATAAACGTTCACTGAAAAAGAAAAATGAGAAAAAAAAAAGTCAAGAATAATAAGTGGTTTTCTTTTCTAGCACATGGAAAAAATAAATATGTCTTACCAGTGTATTATGATAGTAAAAAATAAGGAGAAAAATGTCATCAAGGACGACAACATGTTATCCACTGATTAAACCTCTCTAGGGACCTAGGGGCACACAAAGATGACCCAGAATAGGCTTGAGAGAGAGAAACTGTGGATGGAAATATAATAACCACCCACAAACATTTGAACATTACACCAGAAATGGAACTATATATCATTTCATGCCAGCTACAACTGAAAGTGATAACAGAAATTTACAAAGAGGTCAGTTTAGCTTAATCTTATATAAAAGTTCTCAGTAGTAATCCATTATCTTTGGGGTTTGGGAAGACTAATAATTTGATGCGGTGGATGTGCTTTGTCAGAATAAATTCATGACCCAGGTCAAATTTAAGTGTTTTATTTTTTTAAAGTTTTTACTACTGTCACATTTTAAAACATCTTTATATTTTTTATTTCCCCAAATACCTTTTATCTAAAAAATATTTTTGATGATTATTTGTATTTATAGTAACTCTGTTTCAGACATTTCTGAAAACTGGAGACTTTTTTTCAACTCACCAAGGTGATAATCAGTGCAAAATCAGTGTAAAAACTTAGTAAACTAGCAAGTGATATTACTTTGTCCTAAAAAGGATAATAATTTTTTTATATTGAGCAAAGCATTTTGCTGACTAAAATATAATATGTCTTACTCATAGTTCAATGCAGGCTAGACTGTCTTAAAATATAGATAAGGAAAGACATATTTAGGTGCTGAGAATCATAAAGATAGCATTTGTAAAAATTTTTAATTTTTAAAAAAGAGTAGTTCTGTGAAGACTTGTTGAATGCATTACTGAAACAATATTCCCACCACAAACAGCTGTTGTAATTTTTTTTAAATATTATGTAATGTATTTCATTCTTGCTTAAGACTAATATTTACCCAGAAAGATAATGGAAAGCTGCAAAACACATAAGAAAAATCTATAATCACTAAAGACATATTATAAACATAGTTTTAAGAAAGGACAGCTGATTAATTCACCCATGAAATATTTACTTGGGGCAGACTGTATTGATGGCCCTGGTTCAAACTGCAATAAAGTCAACAACAGTAGTCTTAACAAAGGCTATTTTAGCAATAATGAAAATGCTTGACTGAAATTCTTGAAAGGCTATGAAAAGTTTGAAGTTCAGCTTTAACACCGATAAGCAGAGCTATGTGTATTCTAAAGTTCAGTTTGATATAGTATTACCTGTGTTGCCAGCGGCAAGTTTCCTATAGATTACATCTCTCCATTCTCTCCACTTTTTTCCCATTCCGACTGCTAAGACATTTGTCCAGGCCACTATCATCTCTTGCCTAGATTAATGTGTCAGTTTCCTCACTCATTCTCTGCCTCCAGCCTTGCGCAGTCACCTCTCTGCCTGCAGCCTTGCACAGTTTCCATGCTGCAGACAGCATGAGCTTTCTGAAGTGTTAATCCCTTGTTTATTACCTCATTCTCCCCATTGATTTTGGAATAAAGTTCACACTCTTAAAACAACATGCAAGACCCTTGGTACCATTTGCAACCTCATATTACTCACTCCATCAGGGTCTATGCTGCAGCCATGCTAAGCTGCTCTTTGTTCTCCAAATATGCCATGTTCTCTCTCTCACCCCTGGAACTGGATAAATATTTTTCTCGCTGACCAGAAAGTCCACTTTCCTTCTCATCCCCTCTCTTTGTTTCCTATCCCCTCCCTTCATGCTTGAAATTAATTGCTCCTTGTAGAAACTATCTTTGATTCTCCTTAACTGCTACCCCAAGGTTAAGTGGTCCTCCTGGTTTCTTCCGAGGCATTGCCTTGAATGAATACTCAGTACCTTGAGACCCACTGACCTTATATTCCCAACACCAAACATACACCCAGACCACAGTAGACAATAAATATGTTAAATTAAATAAATGGTTAAATACATGTATCAGGATGAGACCCTGTACTACATTTTTTTTTTTTTTTTTAAGACAGGGTCTTACTCTGTTACCAAGGCTGGAGTGCAGTGTTTTAATCATAGCTCCCTATAGCCTTGAACTCCTGGACCCAGGTGATCCTCCCACCTCAGTCTCCTAAGTAGGTAAGACGACAGGTACATGCTACCACACTGGTTACTTTTTAAAAGCTTTTTGAAGAAATGAGGGTCTCACTGTGTTGCCCAGGCTGGTCTTGAACTCCTGGCCTCAGGCAATCCTCCCACCTTAGCCTCTTAAAGTGCATTTATTAAATGATGTGATTGAACTGAAAATATATTTATTCTTTGGTCTGTAGAACCCATCTTTATGACTTCTATTTAGCAAACAGAGGAGTCCAACATTGAGAAAAGTTTAATAAATGGGCTATTTGCAAAGATGTGGGTGAGTTTTAAGGAAATCACCCAGGAATAGTGTAGAATCTCGGGGTTTATTGAAGGGAATTGAAGGTGGTGCAGAGTTAGTACTCTTAGTCCTGGGAAAGGAGGGAGTGTGGTTCCAGGACCCAGCACTGGT
Organism: Homo sapiens; assembly: GCF_000001405.40. Taxonomy (NCBI): domain Eukaryota; kingdom Metazoa; phylum Chordata; class Mammalia; order Primates; family Hominidae; genus Homo; species Homo sapiens. The sequence goes on along the minus strand of NC_000018.10, from coordinate 27,196,887 downwards.
AGCCAGCTATTGAAAATACCTTTGGAAAAGCATCTCAGCTCTCTGTCCTAACCCCTAACCCCACCCCTCTCCAACAACTTGGGAAACTGGGAGCCAAGGGAATAAATATCTCTCTTCTCTTTTCTCTTGTTCTCTGACCTCCAACTCCACCATTCCTGTTAGCAAAACCCAACCAGAAGCCAGAAGGCAAGGAAATCTGTGAATAGAGTCCATGCAGATTTGTGCTCCAACAAAGGGCAGGGTGGGGAGGGTACCGTCTGGGTGTGGAGAGGCAAACAGAAAAAAATCATCACAGTGATCTAGTATTTCAAGAATTAGAAAACTGTAACAATTTTTCAACATTACACCAAGACAAATGCCTAAGTTAAGAGAAACACGTCCTAACACCAACTTGGAACTAGTCTTATAATCAGCATGTTTCAATGAATTAAAATAACCTAATCTTCTAATGAAATGGTTAAAATTACTTTGCCTCATATGCTCCTTTCTCCTATGTTCCCAATCTTCTCATTTCTGATAGAAACATCACATAGTAATGTCATTCATCACCTTTGAAGTCTCCTTTCTTAAAGCCATTGCTTTAAGAAATTTTAAGCCCTTACATTAGGGATAAAAGAAGGTATCTTGGCATTGCAAACTTTATTTAAATGAGTAGAAGAAACTAGAGATGTTTGAGTAGGGCAGTTCAGTGTGGGTAGAAGGTGAGAGTTTGAAAGTCTAGGTGACATCAGAATTGTGAGTTTCAGAGTTGAGCGAGTTTCAGTGAGGTCCAGTCTGCACAAATACATTTTAACTATCTTTCCTCTGATTTTTTTTTTTTTTTTTTTTTGCATTTCTTACCCCCATCATATCTCCTGCAATTTTAAGCCTACAAATTTTCTGTATAACTCTAGGACACATTTTCTCTCCTGACTTATGTTGCCTCCAAGGATTTTGGACAGCCCACAATTTTAGAACATGATTAAAACAATAACAGCAAAACAGTGAAAAAAATTCCAAATACGGTGGAACACAACCAGCATCCACCGGGCAGTGGGATGAGGGCCTGTTGTTTCCTGTCATCAGAGAACAGTCTGTGGGCTCCACTTTGTGAGTGTGCAGCTCAAGCTGGAACTTTTCTTTAATAAACCTTAAAACCAAGCAAGTCTCTGAGATTACTGTTGTTTCAAGGTGTAAAAGTCTAAAGAGGTCAACAATTTTAGTGGAAATACCAATGATAAAAATGGAAAGAGACACTAAGAGATCTTCAATCTGCAGACCACTTTTTAGCCACAGGAAATATCTATTCATCACATATGAAAAGCTCACCAGAATTAATTATAGGACTGATCCTGAATTTCATGATGAACCAATGGTGTGATTTATGATTTTCATTAAAAATGTACACTAGAAACAGAAGTAATTGACTTGCTATATTGTATGAGTGTATGTATGTGTGTATGCATAATGCAGGCATAAGGGGGCCCACATTATGATTAACAACATAATTATTTACACACACCTAGGGATAGGCCCAAATATGGAACATTCTTCAAGGAGAAAATTTTCTATTTTAAAAGATCTTTAAAAGATGGTTGCTCATGCCTGTAATCCCAGAACTTTGGGAGGATGAGGTAGGAGGATCACTTGAGTCCAGAGTTCAAGACCTGCCTGAGCAACATAGGGAGACCATGTCTCTACAAAAATATCAAAATAAAAAATTAGCCAGGCAGGATGACATGCACTTGTAGTTCCAGCTACCTGGGAGGCTGAAGTGGGAGGATCGCTTGAGCCCAGGAGCTCAAGGCTGCAGTGAGCTATGATTGCATCACTGCATTCCAGCTTGGGTGACAGAGCGATATCCTGTCTTAAAAAATATGTATATATAAAATCTATATTAACTCAACTATTGTCTACTGACATCCACTATCAAGAAATACAAATCTGACTATCTCTATTTAAAATCTTCTGGAGGCTTCCCCTACACATAAAATGAAGTGTGGATGACCTGTCCTGTCCCAACCACCCTCATAGCTGGGCCCCTTCCATGTCTTTAACCTCAGCTCAAGGTGTCTCGCCTTGCCACAGTACTTGGCTTCCTTTCTTTTCTTTAAATAAGCCAAACTCTCTCACAACTCAGAATCTTCACACATGCTGATTCTTCTGTCTGAAACTCCATTCCCTAGGCTGTTGGCTTAGTTTACTCCTTCTCATCTTTAAGGACTCTGCTCAAACAGCACCTTCTTTCTTGCACTACTACCTCAGTATCCTCTCCCCCTATTAACTATTGTAGAACCCTGGTTATTTCCTTCATTAAAATTTTAGTCTTTATTTCTCTTGTTTATTTATTTGTATGTTTATTTAGTATTCTTTTCCGGCTAGAATTAATCAACATGAAGGTGATTTTCTTGCTTATGTGGCAATCTTCAAAGGTCACTGTAGACATGGAGAAGCTCAATAAATATTTGTTAAACAAATGAACAAAAGAAATGGCTTCTCATATATATATGTACATATATATACACTTACATATATAACATATATGTCATAGTATATAGTACTTGGTGCTTTACATTTTAGCCCATTTCTTTTTTTACAGTAATTACTAACTATGGCTTTTTTTATTTGAATTTTTATTTCAGTAGGTTATAGGTGGTTCTTGGTTACACAGATAAATTATTTAGTGGTGATTTCTGAGATTGTAGTGCACCCATCACCTAAGCAGTATACACTGTACCTGATATGTAGTCTTTTATTCCTCATCCCTCACTCAACCTTCCCCTTTCCTGAGTCCCCAAAGTTCATTATATTATTCTTGTGCCTTTGCATCCTCGTAGCTTAGCTCCCACTTATAAGTAAGAGTATACGATATTTGGTTTTCCATTCCTAAATTACTTCAATAAGAGTAATGGCCTCTAGCTCCATCCAAGTTGCTGAAAAAGACATTATTCCTTTTAATAACCAAGTAGCATTCCATGGTGTGTATGGACCACATTTTCTCTATCCACTTGTTGGTTGATGTAGCTTATTTTCTTTAAGATATTTTTCTTTTCTAAATCTTGAAGACAGCTTAAAAATGCTAGATTATTTGGTCTTTTCCATGGATCTTATTTTAAATTCTTTTTTTTCTTCTTTTTTTCTTTTTGAGACAAGGTCTCACTGTCACCTAGGCTGGAGTGCAGCAGCACAATCACGGCTCACTGCAGCCTTGGCCTCTCAGGCTCAGCAATTCTCCCAACCTCAACCTCCCAAGTAGCTGACACTACATGTGTGCACCACAATGCCTGGCTAATTTTTGTATTTTTTTGTCAAGATGAAGTTTTTCCATGTTGCCCGGGCTGGTCTTGAACTCCTGAGCTCAAGCAATCCACCCACCTTGGCCTCCCAGAGTGCTGGGATTACAGGTGTGAGCCACCGCATCAGGCTTACAATTTAAATTTTAAAACAAATGCTTACCAGAGGCCATGTTTATTTTGATAAAGTGACAGACTACCTAAGGTAGCCATGGTATCTATAAATATTTACTAGTTCTTTTCATCAACAGACATGCTTCAAAATATTCAAATAATAATAACAAACACGAGCTTTTCTTTAACCTCCCTAACTTGATGTTTTTTCGTTACTCATTAAGGTCACTTCTTTGCTGCTTTCTGTTTCATCCTATGTGATATAGTCGTTTGTGTATGCAGCACCTGTGATAACTCATTATCGTTAAAAGTAATGCCATTTTGTTGTATTTAATCTGAAGGGTGATTTAAAAGTTTATTCATGGCTAACTAGTGGCTGTTGAACATTCCATTTTCATGCTTTAATTCCTGATACCACATTTACAATAAAGTTGTCAACTGGGGCATATTTGTTTCTAGATTTTTTTTTTTTTTTTTGAGACAGAGTCTCACTCTGTCACCAGGCTGGAGAGCAGTGGTGTGATATCTCGGCTCACTGCAAGCTCCACCTCCTGGGTTCAAGTGATTTTCCTACCTCAGCCTCCCGAGTAGCTGGGACTTTAGGGGTGCGCCACCATGCCCAGCTAATTTTTGTATTTTTAGTAGAAACAGGGTTTCACCATGTTGGCCAGATGGTCTTTATCTCTTGACCTCCTGATCCGCCCGCCTTGGCCTCCCAAAGTGCTGGGATTACAGGCATGAGCCACGGCGCCTGGCCTGTTTCTAGATTTCTTATGCGATACCTTTGCTTTCCTTCTTGCTACTTCTTCACATTGAAACACATTTTATTTTTCTCTGCTATTAAAATCTTTAGTCAGCATAACCACAGACAAGGGTCAGCTCCTGTGCTGGGAAAAATATTTGCACACCTAACCCAGAAGTATAAACAGTGTTCAGAGGTAATAGGTATTTAATTCATTTGCTTTTAGTTGTGGTTGAAAAAAGATAGCACAAGAATTCTATAGTTTCTGGGCAAATAATGTAGAAGTGAGTTAGTACTCCATAAAATGCAGTCCCATGTGTCTAAACAACGGAGATTGGATATCTTTTTTTTTTTTTTTTTGAGACGGAGTCTCGCTCTGTCGCCCAGGCTGGAGTGCGTTGGCGCCATCTCCGCTCACTGCAAGCTCCGCCTCCTGGCTTCACGCCATTCTCCTGCCTCAGCCTCCCGAGTAGCTGGGGCTGGGACTGCAGGCGCCCGCCACCATGCCCAGCTAATTTTTTGTATTTTTAGTAGGGATGGGGTTTCTCTGGGTTAGCCAGGATGGTCTCGATCTCCTGACCTCATGATCCGCCCATCTTGGCCTCCCAAAGTTCTGGGATTACAGGCGTGAGCCACCGCGCCCGGCTGGAGATTGGATATCTATGTGCAGATTTGTTAAACAGTCCCTCTAATCAAGATGAAAAAGCAAGCTTGAAAGATGTATCAAATGTGATATTGTGAAAGCTTATAAAATTTGTGACCCAACATAAAAAATTAGACTGTATAGCAATGTAACTAATAGAAGAGCTTCTGTGCATGGAGATTTTTTTACAAAATAAGATTGATATTTGAAAATCAAGAATTAAAGTGCCCAGAGCAATGGCTAGCTACTACATAGAACATGAAGCAACAAGATAGAGAGAAGAAGAAACGGAGACTTATCAGTGTAATAGTGATGCCATTTCATTGAGCTATTTTAATTAATTCAAAAATTAATTCATAAATGCCTAAATCTATGATTTCCCATAAGCTGAAATATGAAAACTTTCCAAGGTAATTGCATTAGGACACATTCCTCCTTGGAAATTTTATTCTTAGATGTTACCATGTGTATTAAGAAATGTATTGAAGAATAGACTTTAGCAAGAGATTGTATCTTGAACTTGTTTATTTTTACCTTAGTAATTAAGGTTCAGGTTACATTCACAATTATTAGCCAGAAATAGCATCTTTGTTTTCCCTCTAAAACAAGGCAGTCTTTCAAGTTCTAAGTTCCACTGTTTTACCCCTCACAAGTACAAGATATAAATATCTAATAGATACTTTCCTTCTTTTCTAAATATTAGGAGATAATTTAAAAACATTTTTATTACAAGAGGGGAAAAAGACTTTTAAATAGACCAAATATCCAAATGTTATTTAGAATAGCTATATGTAGACATAGATTCAGATGTAAATAACTAGCTAAATAAAAGCATAAGCTTAATAATACTAAGCTGAATTGGTTTCATTATCAGCTCACTTTAAGTATTAACATTAGAAATAATATTTGTAGCACACTGCTAATATTATACTTATTTTATGATGCTACTGAGTATAAATTTTCTTTTACACTAATTTTTCATCACAGGTATTAGTCTTCAAAAATCATTATTTACCTTTATTTGAAAAAAAATCCTCCCATTAAGGACAACACATTTTGAACAGTCAACAAAATCCCTTCCCTCAAAAAGGCTAAGTCAGTCACCATGCTCTGTGTCCCTCTGGGCTGAAATGATATTAGATTTAGTGAGGTGAGCCGTATATCACAAGTACTCCCAGTGCTGGACGAGGAAATATTTCATTGCATGGGATTGGAGGTGGATTTAGAATTACTCTGTGCCCTCAAATTCTATATTTTTTCTTAGGATACATCATTGACATATTCTCTATTTCATCAAATTTCTTACCAGCTTGCCTGTTGCCTGCATTCTCTCTCTCTTTCAAGTACACGTACACACACACACACACACACACACACACACACGCACATGCACACCATTGATAGAAATCACAAAGCCATTTTTTCTTTTTCCTTTTATTCACTCCCAGCAGATCTTTCTTTTTCCTGTAAGCTTACCACTTCTAAATTTAATATGTGTTTTGAGCTCATTATTTAAAGGAATCACATCTTGCTAATCACATCCAAGGCACCGGAACATAGTGTCTATACTGACTGAACAGGCCAAGCTTCGTGAGTTAATTAATAAAATATTTGGTAAGAAACGGTCCATCATTATCTTATCACTTGAGATGACAATGTTGAAACTTACAGGATGGAAGGCATCTCATTAATTCAGACCATTTCAAATCAATTTTATTTTGACTTACAGTCTTGAAATAACATATCATTATCTTTGGCCATATCAAAAACTGAACCCAGTTGGAAAATATTTATATGTCCAAATATTGGTTTAGAGGAAAGTATAGCATTTTTTTGGTAAATTGTTCACACAGAATTTTCCCTATTCCAACCACCTATCAAAAACCATCAAAGATATAAAATATAATTTCTTTCTACAGAAGCACATTTATATTTCCACATTTTATCTATTTCCAATTTAGGTTTTGCTATATATAAACATTATCTTATAAAAGATTTCATTGTTTAGGATTTAGAGGTAACTGTTAGGAAAGGTTTTGTTTTATATTGTTTCAAAAGGAAATTTATACTTGCTTAGTTTAAGAAATTACATGCATAACTTCCCAAGCAACTTTGATTTTCCTAAAATAACTGCAAGCATTTCTTATTCAATCAACCAATCAATATATATTTATTGACCTGCTCTATTTACCAAGACTATTAGGTGCTGACCATTCTAAGTTATTTGACCTTGAATTATTGCTTTACTGGGGCAGCTGATATATAATAATAATGGCAACACATCTTGTTTCATTTTTATTTACTTACAATTATCTCTTAGTTTTTCTGTTTTACCAATATTATTTTTCATACAATTTAAAATTTATAATTCTTTAGGAGTCATAGTTCTTCCTCATTTACTATTAATCCTATGCTCTTTCCATAAGGCATTTTTCCTTTTGCATTCTGCTTTTTCTCCCCAATATTCTTCTGAACACTTAATTTGTGCTTTAGTTATAGATATTTGGTCCTTGATTTGTTCTTGATTTTTAAGAAAATAATTCCTTCCTTAAAAAAGGTTAGAGACAGAGTCAAATCTTTTTTTAATTATGTCTTCGTCACACAATAATTTTGATCAACCCCAAATCATAAAATTTGCTATACCATGCTTGCTATGGCAGGAGGTAAATCATTATGTTTCCAGATCTCTCCTTGACTGGAAAATCTTAATGCTTTCTCCTTTTTCCTGTTTATTCCTGATGTTACAATGATTTCTTCTTAAATTTTAGAAAGGAATTTCTACTTTGTACAATGCCACATTCTGTATCCTATAGATCGACTTCTGGTAATCAGGCCTTTGTTTCTCTCTTGTATTCACATTTTTTTATTGTCAATTTCTTCTACTGAAGAAATCAGCCTTTTATTTCCTGATTAGAATTCACTTTAAATGTCACTACACAGATAAATCAATATGTGAAGGTGAAAATGACTTGAAGAGCTTTGTCAAGGTAAGTGTTCTATATCAGACGTTATGGGATTTTTGAAACCAGAAGGATCCTTAGGGCTTATGGAGTTCAATGACCTCATGCACTGCAGATGAGGAAACTGAGCCCAGGAAGAGAAGACTTGCCCAACTTAACGTGAACAAATCCTGTTCTCCAAGACTCTTTCTATTTCATAGCACTAATGCAAGGAAGCTTTCTAAAAGTGATTTTAAATTTTTAATAGTTGTTTTTATTTTTCTTCCCAGCAATATCTGGATACGGTGGGTTTTATCTTCTCTTTCAAGAGTTCTATTACTCTTTTCTTCTGGTTCAGTGGGCCGGCTTGTGTTCACTTGACCAGGAATCAACATAAATCGCATTCTATCATTTTTTTCTAGTTTTACTCGTATGCTGCAAAATAAAAGCAAGATAAGATAAAGGGAAACTACTGTAGCTACTGGACTATCCTCTATTGACTTGTGTAAAAATATCTCTTCCCAGATAAATAAAACCCTGCTTTCCCTCAAAAAATAGTTGGAGGCATAAATAAGAAGGTTCAGAGGTATTTGCAACACCCACATGACCTGGCATATTGTGCTAAATGCATTTCTGCTGAATTTTGACTTTGGCCATTAATTAAGCCAAGTCATCATTAACACCGGCATAATTAGAGAAAAGCATAAACTCAAAAATAGCAAGAAGTATCCCTTAGCAGTGTCATGCTGATACCTTAAATTAGTTTTGTTTTGTTTTGTTTTGTTTTTGTTTGTTTGTTTGTTTTTGGTACATAAGGAAACCAGGAAAATATCCTTTCTTACTCTTTTCCTACCTCTCTACCCCAGGTCACCTTACACACATTTTTCATCTCTATGAGCAGCTCACTGAAGTCATTCTTTATACTACTAGTTATACTTTCAAAGTTAAGTTTAACTTTATTGTTGTGCTTAGCCTAGCGGTATCAGCATTGTATGCCTTTTCCAAATAAACCTGAGAATGATGAAGTCTTCCTTCTATGAAGGCACTTTTGCTATTGAATGTACCTTGAGATTTGATGCAGAAACCACGTTTATGGACCATAATTGTTACCAACCTATTCATTAAAGGATCAACAATACATAAGCTTCACACTTGCCCAGAAACAGTCAATAGTTAAACATTTTAAGAAATTGAAAGAACTAAACAAAATTAATAGACTGGAGAGTTTAGAAACATGCTGTTAATCAATGTTTTAGAAATAATTCACTGTGTAAAATTAAATTAGTTTAACTACAAAATTAAAAGGTAATATTTTCACATAACAATATAACTCCCAATCAAATGGCATGAGAACATGCATCTTATACTGGTGCTTGGTATACATTTTAGGTAATTTTTTGATCCTTTATTCATCAACCTTGGATATTAACAATATTCAATTTTCTATAATAGTAATTCTTCAAATTTTTAAAATCAGTTTTAAACAGAGGTCTAGGAATGAAAGACAGCCACAGTTCTAAATATTTGATTTGCTGTGATAGATAAGTGAATAAAATAGATTCTAAAGACTGGAAACCCCATAATGGACTAGCAATGCCTAGTAGCTCATCAATCAAGCAAATTCAATAAGTTGATCTGATCATGCCCAATTCCCCCGTTAGCTACTAAAACTTTTCAATTTATGCCCATTTTAAGCATAGAACTATATTCAAATACAGTTCTAATGATATTCTTGCTCAACTTCTGAAAGGCACAGGCTAAAAAATTTGCATGTTTTGCAACAGCCTAGAAGTAGAGTTCATGTATTATCAGGTTGGCCTGAATTTCCTCACTGCTGTGATATAATGGATAGTACCAACTCCAAGAATTCATAGAACATGGATGGATACACAGGGAACCAAACCAAGAGCGAGTAAGTTAAATGGTTAGTTCATTCAAGGAGCGCTCATCAATTGCCTACCAGGCATGTGTCAGTTAAATACAGCTCAGGGAACACTAGCTTGTTTCTTTCAACTCAGGAAACATTTATTCTATTGGAGAATGAGGATTTTCCCCATATGAAGGACTGACTCTGGGTTAAAAGTTAATAACAAATCAGCAAGTTGTATTACAATGGTTTGCTTGTGGAATGATTTGTTTACTCTTTTTCAATTTTCCAAATTTTCAATAGTGTGTTTATATGGCATTGATAACTTTAAAACTCCTTTACAATTAAGCTGAAATAAAAAGAAATCTATAAAACAAAAAAACCCCAGCAAATATACAAATTTTAAAAATTAAACTCTTATGTCTATTCAAGTCCTTTGCCCATTTGTATCAGGTTATTTGACTTTTTGTTGCTGAGTTATAGGAGCTCTTTATATATTCTGGATATTAATCATATCAGAGATCTAACATTGTCAAATTCATAGAAGCAAAAGGTAGGATGGTAATTACCAAGTGCTAGAGGGGAGAGGAAAAGGGGGAGCTGTTTGATGGACAAAGTTTCAGGTTTGCAAGATGAAGAAATTCTGAAGATCTATTTTAAAGCAATGTGACTGTATGTTAACACTACTGAACTGTACATTAAAAATGATAAAAATGTGGTGTTTACCCCAATTTTTAAAAATGCATGAAAATAAAACACTTGTGACAGAATAATAAATCAGCTTCTGTTTAAAAAGAAACCTGCATCAGGCAAACAAGTCCTATAATGGTAATTCTTCAAAGAACCAAAGTTCACTACTACCAGATGTGTTATTACTAAACCATTAATAAGAATAAGACCTACTGGAAGTGCATAAGGCTAATATTTCAGTTTCAGCAAAAGCAACAACAAAATTCTAATGTCGTAATAAGGTAGGTTTAACTAGTTAATGCTTTTAAAAAAATAGTTGAGTTTTTCTTTGTTAATTTATAGAAATCATCTGAATGCAAAATAAGCAATCAAGGATTCATTTATTTTTATTTGCCCTAGTTTGGTCAAATTGTTGATAGAATAATGTTTAGAACTAATTTTTAAACCTGAATGAACCATTTTTATTTTTTCTTTTCTCTCTCTTTCTTTCTTTCAAGACAAGGTCTTGCTCTGTTGCCCAGGCTGGAGGGCAGTGGCAGGATCAGAGCTCACTGCAGCCTTTTACTCCTAGCTTCAAGTGATCCTCCCGCCTGGGCCTCCCAAAGCCTGGTGTTTCCTTTAATGATTTAAAAATGTTATTCTAGTGTTGGTCTTTGCAAAGCCCTTTAAAACCGCCAACTTCAGCTTGTTCGATTTTGAAATGCGTGGCCTGAGAAATCTCCTAGGTCTTGAACATTATAAATGGGTACTATGCTCATTTTGAGGGAGCCCTGGTTTACACAAACCTGCTGCTGAACTTAGCCGTACTTACAACAAGCACTTTATTGATCTATTATAATTGATGTATTAAAATAAACAAACGAACATCACCTCCTGTCTGTAAAGCAAAACACATTTTGACTTTGGAGTTAACGTTTGCGACAGCCTTCTAACCTATGGACGTGTTCCTCAGAACTGGGTTTCTAGAAAAGCTAGGAGAAGACCCCAGCGCAGGGGAGAGGAGAGGGCGAATTGGGAAAGAACTGCTAGGGTAATCACTTCCTCGACTGGGCATGGGGTGGCACCTGAGCCCTGGCACGCGGGGCTGGGAGGGCGAGTCGCCAGCGGAGGCGAGGCCAGAAAGTCAGAGGAAAGAGGGGACCAGAGAGCCACAAAGGCAGAGCTGGAGAAGGCAGGGCGGGCAGCGGGGGCGAGGGAGAGAAAAAGAGGGAGGCGGAGCTGCCCGGGCGGGCGGGGGCGGGGGCGCGGGCGGGAGCGGGCGCGGAGGCGGCGCCGCAGCCCCAGCCGGGCCGGACGCGGGAGGGTCAGGGCCAGGGTGAGCGCCCGACTCCGAGCTGTCCCCGCTCCCGGCGCGGCGCTCCGCTCTCAGCCACCTCACGGCTGCCAGGAGTGCGCGGGAGTTTGCCCCGGAGCGCGGGGAAGTTTCCTCCGAAGCTGCGCTCCTGGAACAGCAGCACCTGCAAGCGCCCGGCAGCGGCCCGCGAGGTAACCGCGCTGGGGCTGGGGTTGGGGCTGGGGGGCACTGGAGGGGCAGAGATGATGGCGCGCTGCTGGGTACCCGCGCCGGGAGCGGGCTCTGGTGGGCGGGGACGTGCGCCCTCACCTTTCCAGGTGCTTCGCCGCTGGAGATGCGGGAGGCTTCTTCCTTTTTCTATCTCCCCTACCTCCAGTATTCCAACCCACTTCCCTTCACTTCAGTGGACGCATGGCGGGAGGTGGGGGGCGGGAGCAGGAGGGGATCCTGACTTTGAGGGGGCGCTGGAGAAGGACGGCCGCCTGAACTTGTCAGCTACCTGAGTTTCCTTCCTGCGCCCCGGCGGGGCACCCTGGACTCCAGGATTCCGGGGTCAGACCCCTCTTGGGGCATGCAGAGGTTGGAAAGAGGACGGCAGGAACAGTCTTTAGTTTCTGCTGCCAGTCTGTCGGGTCCTCCAGGGTGTGTGGCAGAAAGACGAGCATCTCTGCTGCGGGGGTGCCTCCTTTGCGTCAGTCTCAAACTCCGCGACCTGGCTCAGGCTCAGGCGCAGGCTGCGGGAGAGGTGGGAGGGAAGTTAGGGGGACCGGGAGGCCAGGTGCGATCGTGGCCAGAGCAGAGGGGTTGGGAGGGGCGATCTGAGGAGGGGCTCCAAGTGGGTTGCGGGGAGAAGGAATGGTGTGTTTGTTTCTGCTGCTGTTACTTTCACAGGGTTGCCTGCTCCCTCTTCTGCCCCGTTTGAACATCCTGCCTATCAGCATGTTTCTGTTAGAAGGTGTTATGGTTGATGTCTGTCAGGAGTTATTTCCAACTAAGTTCACAGGTGCTAAGTCTAGAGCTGCAGGCCTTCCTCCTTTCTCTCTCTCTGCGGTCCACCCCCAGCTCCCTCCCACAAACATACTGTGCCTGAATAATCCCCAGCGTTTTGAAAGCGATGGCAAGTGAATAATACACAATGTGTGTGTGTGACTTTTTTCTCCCTATTATGCTATCAGATCCAAATCAAAACGCCGTGGATGCTTAACAGGACTCCCTTTTCGCAGTTTTTCTGATAATTGAGAGTATTACCAATGTTTATTTTTCTTCGCTTTAACCTCAGAATTGCATTAATCTATCTTTGTACAATTTTATTTACATTGTTATTATTCCTCTCGGTTTGAAGGACAGGGGCCTCTTTTCAACTCACATATACACATCCAAATGCATTGTGACCATATTTAGTATTTATCTGTCTTCTGATTCAGTTGGCTGGCACCTGTTAATTCCAGTACCTAATCATAACACCATATGCCTGCCAACCAACGTGAGGATAAGGTGAATGCTATTGTTTTTCATGGGCAAGAGCACCCTGAACTACCACTTTTTATTATTGCTCAAAGGGTGTAAGAGCTTCAATCAAAGTGAATCAAATTTACAAAACAATATTACAATTCTACACCATACGATCAAACAGTATGATTCCTAGGCACTTACAGCTGACTAGTAATTGAGGAAAAATTAAAATCCTCTCATCATATGGAAAACATTTAGATTGCATATCGTCAATAAGAAATAGCACACACTGAATGCCCCCAGAAAACGAGAAGAATGTTCCTCTTACCTCATTTGGTTTTTATCCCCTTCATTACAGTACCGTCCTCCAGAAAATGAGCACCTTGCATATAGATGTTGGTATGTACTAACTAAACACCATATTTTTTAATACAGAGGCTTGGTGATAGTCCAAAAACATAAATGTTTTAAATCATTACCAACCATCTGTTCTCTCCCACTCACTTACAGCACAATGTTTTATTTTCACAGGTATCAAAACGTACTTACTCATTTCATACATTCCCATGACTATCCTGAAAGCTGTAATGGTATCCAATGTTGACTCAAGTTCAGTAACTGTTGTGTTTGGCTTATTACACCATAAGCTCTGCTTCTTTTATTTTCAATGAAAGAAGACATTCTAAAAGTTTCAAAGCACTTGGCCAAGGCTGGTGTATACTCCAGTAAAAATCTGATTGCTTTCCCCCCACCCCCCACCTTTTTGTTAACAGAGAGAAGCTAGAAATTAGTGCAGCTGCAGGGCCCTCCTGATGACCTTCTTTTCCTTTCTTCCTGGTCACAAGGGTAGCATTTGATGCTCTGAAGAAGTGCATTAAAAAGCCCTGTGACTTCAGAAACTTAGTATGGTTTCCAGGAGAATGTAACATCTTCCAAGGAAGAATTTACAAAATAAGAGACTAACTTACTCTTACAAATTCCAAATTCAGTAAACCTAAGAAATACACATTGTTTCCCACATCAGTATTGCATATGAATAGCATAGGATGTGAGATAGGATATGAATAACATGTTTACCTGTTATTATATACTTTATATTTGTATTTGGGAATCTGGATGAGTTGGGATGTAATCAGCAGATAGATTCACACTCTTTGTTTGGTTGATGTCATCAATAAAGCAAGATTTGAGATATTCAGTTCCCTATCCAAGAAAGATTTCCCATTTAGGGGTGTTTGCTCTAATTAGAGCTTCAATATTACGGTATTTTATCATTCCAAATTAAGTTACATAATACATCCTTTGTTCCTTTAGCCTAGCCAGCACATTAGGAAAATTCTTTTCACTCAAATATGGGTGCAATGTCCCAAAGCATTTTCATATTTTTTGAGGAAAAAGATAGTGATGATCTTTTTCACACTTTGCAAATAATTGATGTGTACTTGAAGATTATCAGGAACCAAGAAAAAGTGGGCCATTATCACCAGCTACAGTGTTCTATACTGCTCTTTTCCCTGAAAGCGTTAAGATTCTCCTAACTTAGAAGAATGGCTTTGGACAGAATAAACCCAAACTACAGATAATTTTGAAAGTAAAGTTGCCTTTAAAAATATAGTCTAATTAAAACCTTTGGATATTACATAAGAACATGTTACATCTTATTTTTCTGTATCCTAAAAATGAATTATTGAGGAGAAACAGTTTCACCATGTATAGTAAATACTCTGAATTATTCATGTTAATGAGAAAAATAGAGGCAAAGATAATGTAAAATCATGGTTATTTAAAAAGTCATTTGTGTTTGTCTTTGGAATGTATTGCATGTTTGGTTTAAAAAAGATTTTCATTGTTATTGTGGGCAAGTTGCCTTTCTAATTATTTTCTTGTGTTTAGGTTAATTTTTAAATGAGTTTTCATGCCTCAAACACGAAAACCCATTTGTGGGGAGGTGGGGAAGATGGGCAGACTGCCCAGAAATGAGCTGGGTGGCAGAAGTGAGCAAACCTGGTATGAAAACTTTGCAGGAAATCATATGTAATTCAAAGAAAGATAAGCAAGACTTGATTGTATGCCTGTTTAATGAATATGTGTTAAGGATTAGATATGTTCCCAGCAAAAATAAAAGTCTTATAGTCAAAGTTTGAGAAATTCAATCCCACTTTACATGTAACAGAGGTGGTTAATATATTTTAAGAAGTGATAATAGGTTGCTCCTGAAAATCAAATAAGAATGTGTTAATGTATGCATCTTACTATTAATACACTGCATTTTTAAGTGTTTTCCTAAAGCATATGTATGTCTTTGACGTTAAATGGCATTCCTAGGCCTTATATATTAATATGTCCTTTCCAAGAGAAGGAATAGCAAGAAGCCATCTAAATAAGGGGTTTGGTCCATTTCATCTCTGTACCTATGCTCCAAATCAAAAACACATTTCATCAAAGAGAACCTCTCAATTATTGTTACAGTGGACCAAGCTAGATAAAATAGTTGAAGTTCAGCAAGACTGCCAATTTAACAGATTTCTATTGTGTTTTTCAAAAGCTCTAGGGCAAAATGGGTTGTAGATGAGTTACTTCAGCAAGAAGCTGATTCATACCATAGCATGAAATATCTTGTTTATAGTCAGTTTTTAGTTGGACATAGATTTTGTTGAATTGTTAGTTCTGTGGACTGTTAGAATTTAGAAAACCTCTGTGTGGAAGGTTAGAACTGCCAAAAATATATGATGGGAAAAGCAGATAAGATCATTTTTATTTCAAATATTCACAGCCAAACTGTAACTTTTATGGAAGTAAGGAGAATGGTGATAGAAAAGTAGATGTACCCTTCAGAATAGAGACTATGTTCTCATCATAAATGTGCTCACTACATAAAGTGTAGGGATGCTTTTTTTTTAAGGAAACATTTTCATTTTTTGTAAGGCATGACATTTTTTAAAGACTTGACTAGACTGAATATTTTAAAAGAAATATTGTGGTTGGAAATATAATTGAGACCCACAGGATAAATTTTATATACACTTATTAAAGGAATCCGTTTCTTCTTATCAATGCCTAAGTCTTAGGATCAAGATTATGCATTTTTTAATAGAGCTGGAAAGAATCTTAAAAGTAATTTATTCCTGTGTCCTCATTTTACAGTTGCAGAAATAATGGGGACCTACAGTGATCATGATGAACTGCTAAAGGCCACACTGGTAGTGGCAGAGCAGAAACTAGAAACCTGGTCTCCTGACTCCTCATCCAGCTACCTCTTAGAAAGTTAGATTAGTTAGGTAGGGGAGTTAACTCTTTCTGGCCATCACGGTATCAACTAATATGTGATAGTCACAGAATGAAGCAGTACAGAGGTAAATGTAGAAGGCTTGTGATTTGCTGTCTTCTTTCATGCATTGAGTAGTCATCGTGGACCAGACTGTGATCCTTGACCCTCTCAGACTCTGTCCTCTTTTTTAAAAACAAATATTTTGTTACCCCCTTATTATCCTCAAAAGTCATTTATAAATAATTACAGAATATAGTTGTAATTTTTAAAAACTAATAAAATAAAAGTAATGTGTATTTCACTACTAACGCTCAGGGATAACTTCACTAGACACATAGTAAAGTCAGCGCTTGTATGAATATATGATGAATAAATTTGAATTTAAGACAAATAAAACATTAGAAGACATCCCGTGCAAGAAGTGCACGAAAGTGAAAGAATGAGGGTAGACTTAAACTAGTGTTGAGATACTAACAACCCAGACTTATTTGTAGATGAAAACCGGAAGAAGAAAGTTAATGGTATAGGGAAAATTTGCCAAGTCAAATGTAGACTCTTGGAGTGGAGAAAATTTTAAAGTATGATATTTTGCAAATGAGAGAGTAAATACCATTGATATACTTCCACTAAAATCCCAAAAGTACTTTCTGGAACATTTCCATGTTGTTAACTAATGTTAATTCTATTTCAAGAGATGAAGGTTACTCACCGTATTGTCAATAAGTAAAATACTTGAAAATAAAAATTACTGATTTGGTGCTGAGTTGGTCTTAAGTTTAATTTCTATCAACATTATAGTCTATCAGTTCTAGAGTTAGAAGATAGAGTACATGAAATAACTAAACTATTTTTGTAAATTGCTCGGCTTTTGGTGGGAATGTAAATAAAATTCTTAATTGTAATTATGTACCAGGTTATACAGTTTGATATGCATAACATTTAGCTAAATAGGACACATAAACTTTATATGGAATATTTTTAGAAAAACTCTTCATTAAATTGGGCTGCCTCCCCCATATACACTAAAAGCCAATAGCACACCACCACTACCACCACCAATAATTTGTGACAACCCTGAACATACCCAGTCCTACCTAAAATATTCTGTAGGTGTGTCACTTGCCATTATGAGAGCCATAGAGCTAGATAACCAAGATTTTTATGTAGGCGTGGATTATTTTTCATGCCCCTACCTATCTATCTTTACTTCTTTTAAGTAGGACCATCCCATTTGTTCACTGATACACTGGCTCTAATGGATCAGAACCACAGACTTCACTGCCCTCAAGCAGGTCATGTTCTAATCTTTTTCTGTCGCTGTCACCTTGGTAAAAATTCACTTCTTCTGGTCCTTATTTCTCTTAGGAATCTATCTTTTTTGGGTGACAATAAGTGGTGACAAACTGAAGTACATGCTGGGTAATATTTTAGTGGTCTTAGGCCTTAACTGCTTAAATGTATATCTCCATAAAGCACTGAAAGTTTTCATATATATATATATAGAGAGAGAGAGAGAGAGAGAGAGAGACATTATCACACACATGTATGCATGTACGTATATGTATATATGTGCATATTTATGAAAGCATATATGTATACACACATAATTTTAGGCTTTGAAAAAACAGGAAAGGAGGTATTATTAAGGCTTATATTTTTAATGCCCTTGAAACATGCTTATGCAAAAAAGAACTGCACTAGTCCAATACTGGAATTTATACCACAAAACTACGTGCTATGAAGTATGCTTATAGTAAAAGCCCAAAAGCTATTTCCAACCCAAATAAACTGCTGTATTAGAATTTTGTTATATTGCTTGTGGTAGATGAATCCTGTGCAGCATATTAGAAGTTGAGGGTAAGGGGTGTGGTCAGTTTTGTCTGTTTCAGAGGTATTTAACCTGTGCACTCTTGACATCCTAAAAGCACACCAACATCTCTTCTCTTTGTGCAATATACAGTATTTGCAGAGAGATTAGAGGGTTTTGAAGATTACTCATATATACAACATACAGGAGGGTGTAGGATCCCAGAAGCAAGGAGGAAATTGAGAGTGAAATTCAAACTTTCTTACTTCTGTCTACTGGACTGTAACTTAAGATCTGCTCTTGAAAATGAAGAGTTAATATGAAATGTAATTTGAGTGTTAGCTACACCATCTTGAATTTATCAAATTGTGAGATATTTTTTCTTAGATTTCTTCCCAGTCAGGGTCCACGTTACATATTTTTAGGCCATTGTATATATTATTCTTTTTAAAGAAAGAAGCTTTTTAATGTAAGCGCAGCACTTGAGATTGAAGTCAATAATATGTGTGTGTGGTGTGTATGTGTGTGAATAACCAATTGCTTTGACACAATCACAAAATTCTCTGCATAGAAGGACATGTTTTACCAAATCAAGAGAGGCAGCTTTTCCGACAAAGAGGATGCAGCAATTGTACAGAACACAATTTGATCTGTGATTGTTTTCTGTGTATTGTTCATTCTTACTGGAAGCTTCTTGGTCTGTTGAATGGCCCAACATTCAACCTCAGACTGACCCCTAACTTTATTCGGTCTACTTTTGTTACAATTTCTAATGCGAGTATAGTGGTGCAATGGGGATTCAGAGAAGATGAAATTGAAGTTGTTGGATTGGGGAGGCGATAAGGAAAATAAGGTGTTTCTTTCATTTGAACAGCACAAAGATCTATATAGGCAGTGAAATTTTATTGGAATATCTGCCTTTTACTCTGCTTTTTATTTTTGTATGGAATAGAGGGAAAGATTGTGGAAGTAAAACCCTCCTTCCTCTTTGTACTGTTAACTCTGCTATACAAGAGAAAACCTTCTTTGTCAGAGTAAACAGATATGGCACATTCCACTCCCATTGTTCAGAGTGCCTCCTTTTGCTATAGTACTTCAATGCTACCCTAAACTGAACTCTATAACACTAAAGAATATGGTTAAGAAAAGGAAAAATATACCCAGCTAATGTGGTAAAAGAAATTTCAGAAGGCTCTGTTAGATTTATGTGAAAATGGGAAAACCAAATAAGATGACACCGTCAATTCAAATGAAGAAACGATACTTACTTTTCCATTAATTTCAGTACCAAGAAGCCCAAAATTCCACTTAGTTTTGCGGTCATTTCTATTGTTTTCTTTCTTTTTTTTTTCTTTTCACAGATGGAATTAAAGTGGTGACCTATAGGTCCAGCTTACTTTAAGCAAATATAGTCTGTAAGGATTTAGGTAAAATAGTGATGTTGATTATATACTTTAATGAATACATTTAAAAATTAAATAGGCACAGTTTTAAAGAAATTATCATCTAAATTAATTTAGTTTTTTACAGGATTCTTTGAACAGTCGATTAGAAGGAGGGTAATTTTTTTCCCCAAAAGATCGATTTCTCAAGTTATTAAAAAAAATGCTTAGGTGTTAGTGACATTTTTTGGACAAAAAGCAGTAACTATCAACACCCTTTTACCTTCTAACATTTGCACTCTATTTTCAATTAGGAATTTTTATTATCAGAGAATGAGATTTTATTACTCCAGCAGGGCTGGCATTCAGCTAGATGCACTGGTATAGTCTTACTGGTTATTTGTAGCTGGAGTCCAAATTGTGCTGATTGTTAAATAATTTAAATACTAATCCTCCTCTTGCATGATCACTTTTGTAACTTCAACCTATAAATATACCACTTGCTACTTGCTAAAAGTCTAGCAAAGTCATTTTTTCAGATTTTGCAGATCAGGGAATTAGAACAGCATTTAGAATAGAAATGAATTTGAAAATCACTGAAATCCCAGGTACCAGAGCTTGTTCATCTAATACCTCAGACCTTTGATTCACCTTGGGATT
This sequence comes from Homo sapiens, assembly GCF_000001405.40. Lineage (NCBI taxonomy): Eukaryota > Metazoa > Chordata > Mammalia > Primates > Hominidae > Homo > Homo sapiens. The sequence goes on along the minus strand of NC_000018.10, from coordinate 27,176,757 downwards.
TCTCAACATACATATACCAAGTACTAACCAGTAAGAATGGCTTGAGATTATTGATATATATTTAATGCAGAACACTCTATAAAACATAATCGCAGCTCAGAAAGTCCCTCTACATTGCCCACTTGTAGATACAGCTCATACACCTGGCATTTCTTCTTGTCTATCTTAAAGAAACATCAAATGAAACATGTCAAAATCAAACTCCTGATCTCTGCTCATCTCACCTCAAGGGTGCAGGGTTCCCATAGTCCAATCTGGTTTTAATCTTGACATTACTTCTCCTTCAATTCCATTACCAAGGCTTTGATTTTGACCTCCAAAATTAATTACAAAAATCTGCCTCTGCCGTCACACAAGTGTAAGCATTCACCATCCTTTGTGTAGAAAAACAACAATGTCTCCATGACTGATCTCCTGGCATTGTTCCCCACCCCCAAATTCATCCTCCAATGGGATACCAGATATTATATTTGCATTCAAAATGCAAATATGAAAACTATCACCTTGCAACCACGGATAACACTTAAATGAATTACCATTGCTTTGCTTAAGATAAAGACCAAAACTCAGCACCTGATTTTTGTAGCCCAGCAAGGACAGCCTCCTCCACTTTTATCTCTTTAGATGCTCCCATTCTTCCCTCAGCTTCAGCTGCCTGGCTTTCTTCAAGCTGCCTTAACATTCCAGCTCTCTCCCATCCCCCCATCCCCTAAAAACACAAACTCAAGCATTCTCTAGTTAACTCTTAGTTAACACTTTGAAAATATCAACTCAAATGTCACTTCCTCAAATGAACCATCTCTTACCCCTAAATTGAATTAAATCCCTTTATAAAATACATATAAGTATATACACATTTATGTATCTGTATCCATTGTGCTTAGAAGAGTTGCAAATTCACATTTATTTGTATAATTATTTAATTAACCGCTAAGATAGGGATCCATCTGGTTTTGATGGTCCTTGTATTCCTAACAAATACTACAACGCCTGCTTCAGAGAGGAAGTGTAATAAATATTTGTTGAATAAATGTTGAGTGAACATCTCTAACTCCACATGTACAAAGTTATACACATGTGCCATATGCAAACACACACATGTATCCACCCTCACATTCTAATAAAAAATACACAAATAAGTAAATAAAATAAAGTTTGTAAGCTATGATGCCCCACTTTTTTCTTTGTGACCTCTCCAAATATCATACTCCTCGTTCTATTTCTCTTTCCTCTCCATAATTTAGATGTGGTTTGGGTGTTGCTACATTTATTTAGAAAGTAGGGCAGGGCTGTTGAATTTCTTACACCCCCCAAAATAAATAAATGCCCAGGCATGCCTTTATATTACTTCCTCTGACATGTGGAATCCCTTGATAATTTCAGGAATTTTAAAAGGCTTCACTTTATGGGGGTTTTATGCTCTGCTGTTTGTATACATTCCGGCATTAAGAAGTGGTCTAAGATTTTACCATATTGAAGAAAACAAAAATCCTCTGAAAGTTACCTATTCATATGGCCCCTATATGAAAATAAGGAAGATAAAGGAGAACAAAAATTAAAATAAGAAAAAAATAGGTGAAATTGAAAAAGTAATATAAAAGTCTATGTTATAAATTAAAGGTTTATATTTTTAAGAATTGCACAAAAGATTCAAACAAGGTATAAAATAGTTAAGGAAGACCTATATCATACTGATGGGCACTTACTATGTTTTAGATACTATGCTAACATTCGTGACTGAATTCAAAATGCTGCATTAAAACTGAGTTGGGTTAGCACTGTTTTTATTTAAAGCCTTCTTGCTTCAACTAGTTTAGGGGAAACTCTTGAACATTTTGTCCCAGAAAGCAAGGAATTGCTCAAAAACAAATGAGGGCACATCAGAAGGACATAGCCAGATTTAAAAGACTCTCCCTGGCCAAATTTGGGATCTTTTGTATATAAAGAGTAATAATGTATGTAATGGATTAGAGCACATTGACTAAGAAAAGTATCCGTGAACCCAGAGTGTGTGAATGCACAGATTGGGTGGAGAGAAGGAAAGGCTGTGTTTCACTGAAGAATACAAGCTGATAATGAAAAAGAAATAGTAGAGCCACATTTTTGCAACCACCATAACAAGAATAATAAAAAAGTCATCTGCCATTGGGTGAATGGTTGATGGGGACAGGATATTCACATTATCTCTTCATGTCACCCTACAGATTGCTTATTAATTGAAAAGGGGGGACATCCCTTTATGGTTGGTGTCTGACAGATACCAGCTAATCAAATGATCAGACTTGACATCACTAGAAGTAGTACAAATTGAAATCATGTATTTTTTTTATGATACATGAAGAATGACACAAAAGTCTCTTCTGAAGTATTCTGCTAAAAATGTTTAACCTGAGTCTAATCACGAGGAAACAAACGATCAGGCAAATCTAAACTGGTAGATTTTCTTCACTACAACTAACCTGGACACTTCAAAAATGTCAGTGTGATTAACAAAAAAAGCCTGAAATATTGTTCAGGATTAAAGGAGACTAGGAGACCTGGCAACTAATTGCAAGACATCCATCCTTCTTGATTAGATTCTGGATGAAAAAAAATCTATAAAGGATAATATTGGAACAATGGAAGGAATGTGAATTTGGGCTATAGCTCATATAACAGTATTACATCCCCGTTCAATTTCTTGAGTGTGATCATCATATTGGGGTTATATAGAAGGATGTGTCTTTAGGGAGAGGATATATTTGAAAGTATTTAGAAGTGAAATCTCATATCTGCAACTTTCAAATGGTTCAGCAAAAAGAAATGTTTTAAGTGTAAGAAAGGGAGAAATAGGCAAATAATTATGGCAAAATGTTAATAATTTTTACATCTAGATAAAGAGATTATATGCCACTTGTTATATTGCTAATTTCTGTAGGCTAGACATTTTTCAAAATAAAAATTAGAAAAAATATCCTATGATTTTAAGTTAGCTATCCAAAGGATAAAATAATTTTTATATCTTGAAGTGAGCTTAAATGTTTGAAAGTTGTTTAATTAACAGAGTGTCTTCTCTAAAGTATCTAAATATCTTAATTCAACATTCTATAATAATTCCATAATTTATATATAAGCACTAAAGAAAAAATTATCCTTAGAAGAATATGTTTCAGGCAATGTAGGAGACAATACATAATATGATAATATCAGTATGTATTAGATAAAATAATTTTTTTCATTTTTCCAGTTATATATGAGAACTTTTCAACATGAGAAATTTTAAAGGGAAATGAGTCATCTATGGCAATATGTGTTTTATTCTTCCATGTCTTTCCTAAACATTGGTGCTCGCCTACAAAACAAAGTATGAGATTACTGATGATTTTCACTAAAATGTCTACAACCTAGCAGAATGCAGTTTCAGTGTAGAATAGATCTGGCCAGGGCTACAGTGACATTTAGAATCCTGTGTGATTCTCAACTCTGCAACTTCAGGAAGACTGGCAAGCACTGTTAGTGCTAATATATTAGAAGCAGATACTTACAGCCTAATAACACAGGTATACAATTATCAAAAGACAAAGCTCTCGATTTAGTCAACAAATATCCATCAAGTACAGGTTCTATGACAGGGACAAAGTAAATGAGGTTAAATAAAAATATTTATAAATTTGTAAATAAAAATTTATTTCTTCAGGAAAATTTTAACCTCAAAATAAATGTTTAAAATATTCCTCATACTGTAAAAGCATATGATATAATATTTCTAATCAGGTCCCTGTAGGAATACTTTGCATGGTGCTAAGATGATATTTAGGGCTCCTGCAGATATGTGTGGTAACTTAATCAAAGCAAGTAGATTGGTGCCTTTTGGTATATGATAAAAAGAAAACATGTAGCTCTTCTTATATCTTAACATACAATATATCATGTATCTTAATGTACAATATAATAAACCAAAGATAAGAATATGGATAGTTATTTCCACTCATATTTCATATAGTAAGTTGATAAATTATTATAAATAATAGCAAAGAGGGAGAGTTTCGAGTTTCTGAAAAAGTCAGAAAGAACTGGTCTCTTGATACTGCCAGCCTACACTATCTTGAGGTTAAAATTCACTATGATGGAATCTCCTTATTAGGAAAATTACAGTTCATCTTCAGCTTATATTAAGACAAATATATTAGTAATCAGTTTAAACTTGATATTGTTTTAATAAGAAGAAAATAGTAACAAATTGTTGTGGAGATGGAGCATGTTCTTAAGAAGTACTGATTATCTTAAAATAAAGGTAATAATATAACAGCTTTGCTCTTATACCCCTATCCCCCTCCCACTCCCATGCTACTCATATTTATATCAGTGGTAAGACAAAGGACACTCATACCACTAAGAATTTCAACACCCAAGAAAACTGGGTAAAATCACATTTAGTTATCTTATTAAACTGTTAATACATTTTTATTTCAGATATTTTTTAAAAGTTCCAAGACCATGAATAACATAAGTTAAAAGTTGTTTGAATTTATAGCAGTATGAAAGGTGGACTTCCATACAGAATTTGACATTAAAAGAAAATAGCTATGTAAGCAATTTGTGTAGGTAATTATTAGCTGGAAGCTATTTGTACTCTAAGTTTATTGAATATACAAATATGATAATAAGACTTTGCACAAATGGAAACTTTTGATAATAAATCCGTGTAAAAGACTGTGCCTTGGGGAATAATTCTAGATATTATAAGTATATTTGAATTCCCTGCAAACAGAATGCAGACCTCTAGACCAAGTACATAACCATTTTTCATTCATGGTATTTAATAGGTCATTTTACCTAAAGTCTCAGAAAGGACAAGTAAAACAATGGAGAGTGAAGCTGTTTTATTTGTGCATGTATTAAAACATTGCAATTACAGAAGAAATAGCAAAGTAGAACTATAAAACCTATCTTCAGAAGTAAGCAAAATTACACTGAAAATCATAATTATTGGAAATAAATAAATACCTAATCATTACCTGAGAAGTATTCCTGATATTGCATGTAGAACTCAATGATTAACTGTTTTGTTTTTTGTTTTGCCTTTTGTGGTATTTACTGACCAGTTTAGAAAAAACACTTTCGTGGTAAAATAAAATGTAAAACAACCACGTTCTCTTTATGAACCTTGTACATTTACAATACTTCATAGGACTGTATGCTCCCCACCAAGTCAGTTTTACTGTATACTAAGAAAATAAAAATGAAATGTAGAATCTTTCAATTTCCTTTCCTCATTTTAGATTTTGGTTACATTTTTATTATATTATGTTTCGTATTTTCATATTTAAATGTAGTCAGTGCACAAAACCAGTCTTTTCACTCCTCTCTCTTTATTTTAGTTTATTTTGTGAATAAATAGATTTCATGATCAAGGAGTTTCTTCTAGGAGGACTCATGTAATGCTACCTCCTGCATTCTTTTGTGCCTAATCCATGTCCTCCCCATGCCCACCCTTTCCTCTTGCCTGCGCCTCTAGTTCATAAGCCACTTTTTGATTGTTTTCCATTCTTGAAGGGGACTAATGATGTGGAATGGCAGGAGGTGTTGTACACGGGGAGCCTACAGCTCCAGTGTGGGTCTTGTTTAGAATATCCTCTGTCACCAAGTTTATTTCACTTACCCTCAAGTTGGAAACATGCAAAGCCCCTAACACTGTGTTGTGATTTTGTAGTCATGCGCTTTTCTTCTGTTTTCTCCCACAGTACCCTCATCTGGGAGACCACTACATAGCTAATAAAAACGGTAGGAGAGTGTGCTATTTTCTCCAGCCTGATGTCCCCAGTTATTCTGAGTTTCAGTAGGAAAACATACACCTTCTTTATCACCTATTTATGTACCACTGTTCCAGTAAGATTTGCTGGACAGCCTTTTGGGACTAATATTATTTGTACAAAAATCTATATTAAGCTCAAGGTTTGAAGGTAGATGTGTCGATTCTTGTTCTCTTCTCCCTCTAGATTTTACACGATTTAGCAGGTATGCTTGACAGTTAGTGGTTTTTATACTTTGTATTTTTGTTTTCTTTTTTTCAAAAAAAGGAGGCAGAGTAAAAAAGCCTTTACTTCATCAATAGCAGAAGTTTCAGAGTTCTAGTTGCCACTTTTTTGCATTAAATATTTTATTTAATGTTTAAAGTAAAATTACATATATTGACAATTTAAAGAATAATAAAAGATAAATATCCATGTATTCACTATCACACTGAAGGGAAAGAATTTTTCCAGTATCTTTGAAGTGTCCTACTTTTGTCAGGGGAGATTAACTGTTTAATCAGGGGAGATTTGACCAACCAAATATCTCAGGCATTTAATACAATAAAGGCCTGTTTCACATTCATGACACAATTCCGTGAGGATCAATGGAGAAATTCTGCTCCATTAAGTCATTCAGGGACCTAGGTTACTTCCATTTGGCAGTTCTGCCACCTTTCACCACCTCAAGTCATCCCCTGGTTCCTCTGCAGATGAAAGAAAGAGAGATAATGTGAGAATCTTATAGGATGTTTTAAGGGACCAGGCCATGAAGATGTGTGTATGACTTCTGCTCATATCCCACCTATTGTAAGGGGAAATAGAATAAGGAAAATAAAAGGGAATTTAGCATTGTCTCAGCATACCCTCTGTGTTCTCCTCTCATTCTCTCTCTTCAAGAGGTAACCAGCCTCCTGATTTTGGTGTTAAGGATTCTCCTGTTTTGCATATGTACCTGCCTCAAGCAAATCTTGTCTAGTTTTGCCTGTTTTTGACTTTTATAAAAATGGACTCATACTGCTGATATATGTTGCTTGGCTTGGTTTTGCTTCTTGCTGCTTAAAAGAATATATATTTTCTGGCCAGGCGCAGTGGCTCACGCCTGTAATCCCAGCACTTTGGGAGGCCGAGGCGGGAGGATCACGACGTTAGGAGATCGAGACCATCCTGGCTAACACGGTGAAATCCCGTCTCTACTAAAAGTACAAAAAAAATTAGCCGGCATGGTGGTGGGTGCCTGTAGTCCCAGCTGCTCGGGAGGCTGAGGCAGGAGAATGGTGTGAACCTGGGAGGCGGAGCTTGCAGTGAGCCAAGATCGTGCCACTGCACACTCCAGCCTGGGCAATGAGTGAGACTCTGTCTCAAAAAAAAAAAAAAAAAAAAAAAAAGAAGAATATATGTTTTATACATTTTGGAAATAGTGTACTATGTGTGTCCATTACATAAAGTTTTTAAGTCTGTTATTCAAATATTCTTATTTTCTTGCTAATTTTGTCTGAATGTTCTATCAAATACTGAAAGAAGTACATTTAAAAAATGCTGACGATGGATTTAGCCATTTCTTATAGTTCTATCAATTTTTGCCTTATATTTTTTGATGCCATGCTATTAGGTGCATATAAGTTTAGAATTATATTTCTAGTAAATTTAATTTTGTAATCAAAGTGTAGTGATCATCTATATGCTTATGACTTCTAAATTTATGTATTCAGCCTAGACCTCTTGTATTAGTTTTCTATTGCTGTGTGATAAATTACTGTAAATTTAGCAGCTTGAAACAACATACATATATCATGTCAGTTTCTATGAGTTAAGAGTATGGGAACAACTTAAGTGGACTCTCTGCTGAGAATATCACAAGCCTACAGTCAAGCTGTTGACTGGGTTTTATTCTCATCTGAAACTCAGAGTCATCTTCCAAGCTTGAACTTGTGGGCAGAATTCTGTGTTTTGCAGCTATAGGACTGATGACTTCAACTCCTAGAGGACACCCCTCTCCATAGGAAGTTCAAGATGTAGTTTTTTGCTTCTTCAAGGCCAGCAGGAGATCATTTCTAACTTCAGGGAAGTCCTGGACCCTCTTTGAACGGGCTAAACTGATTAGGTCAGCCTCACCCAGGGTAATCTCCCTTTACATTGACTCAAAGTCAACTTATTAAGAACATTAATTATTTCTGTAAAATTTCTTTACCTTTTTTCATGTGCTATTCATTAGAAGTGAATTATAGGTCTTGTTTGCATTCAAGAGGAGGGGATTATAGAGGACTATTGAGGTTTCTCTCATAATTCTATCTACCACAGAGACCTTGTCTTACATATTCAACTCCCTATGTGATACCTCTTACTTGGTTTTCTCATTAATATCTAAAACTCAACAAGATCAAAACTGAACTCTTGATTTGCTCCTTCAAAAATTTCCCTGTATCATAAATGTCATCTCAAAAAATAATTTCAAATTCTGTCACTTCTTTTTATCTCTAGTGGTATTACCCTGGCCAGGTCATCAGCATTATCTGTATTTGTAGATTAAAACAGCCTCCTTCCTAATTAGCTTCTTTGTCTCTCAGTGTATTCCTCCTACAGCAACAGGAATGATCATAAAACATAGGTATAGGCTGGGCGCGGTGGCTCACGCTTGTAATCCCAGCACTTTGGGAGGCTGAGGCGGGCGGATCACGAGGTCAGGGGATCGAGACCATCCTGGCTAACACAGTGAAACCCCGTCTCTACTAAAAATACAAAAAATTAGCCGGGCGTGGTGGTGGGCACCTGTAGTCCCAGCTACTCAAGAGGCCGAGGCCGGAGAATGGCATGAACCCGGGAGGCGGGGCTTGCAGTGAGCCGAGATCATGCCACTGCACTCCAGCCTGCGCGACAGAGCAAGACTCCGTCTCAAAAAAAAAAAAAAATAGGTATAATCTTTTCACTCCTCTGATTATAACCATTCAATGCCTATCTGTTTCCCTTTAGAATTGCCTTCAAGGCCTTGATAGGCTTTTTGCCTATCTTTCTAAGCTCATTCTAGACCACTTTGCTTTCATTCATTAAGCTCCAGCCATACTGTCTTATTTCAGTTCTTAGGATGTGTTAAGTTCTTTTCTGTTTCAGAGCATTTTGATAGGGGATTCACTATTTGGAAACCTCTCTTCCTTCACTACAACTTTGCACATGATTAGATCCTTCCCATACTTCAGATCGCAGCTTAGATATCACCTTCTTAAAGATACTTCCTCTGACCAAAATGTCCAAAGAGGTCTCCTGTGCCCTTTACCCAATATTCTCTACCTTACCCCTTGATTTTAGCACTTGTCACACTTTATAATCATATGTTCAATTTGTTGTAACTTCTTTCTTTTCTCCTGCTCACCTTTGTATCCCAATACCTAAACACTGCCTGTGTAATAATAGGTCCTGAAAATATATTTGATGAATGACAACTAAAGTATTGCTGTTATCATCAGAGTATGCTAGAGTAACTCCAAGAAGACTTTCTGGGGACATCAGCCTTGAGCCATTTGTTTTAGGACTGAGAATCAGAAAAGAAGAAAGTTCTATGACAGATGTAGTGGAGAGCAAAAACAAATTGATGGATATGGAGATGGGCATGGAGGGCCCAGGAGTCAGTACACCAGAAGGGGCAGTTGGACATTAGGTTGCAGAGGTATAGTGACCAATTTATGAAGAACCTAGAAAGGCAGACGTAAGAGTTTTCCACTTTAAATAAGGATCTTGATGGCTTTTTAGGTGAAGAGTTTAAAATAAGCCACTCTGGCAAATTGACTATGGTGAGTTAAAAGCATCTGAAAAGCAGCAGGTGCAAAAAATCACTCTGACCTTTCTTCTGTTTCTCCAAAGCAGGAGATGAAATTCCTAAGAGAAAGATGTCCTCCCTTTACCAGAAGGAAAGCGTCACTCTTACTATCATCAAGAACAGAAGTTGAGGCCCAGGAAAATCTGTGCAAACAAACTTAGACTAATCCTTATGCTCCTAGTCATTTCTCCACTGAATTAAGGACTCTACCCCTAGCTCCTTTGCTGTGTCACATTTTCCTAATTTCCTACTCTTTGTCTAATTCAGTACATATGTTCATCACTGACTGCATCTTCGGGTCTTCATTTCCCTATGAAGGCTCCTGTGCCACGTAAAACTTATATTAAATAAATGTGTATGTTTTTCTCCTGTTGATCTGTCTTAGGCCAATTTAATTATTAGGTCCATCTGAAAAAGAAAAAAGCCCTAAAACAGTAGAGGGAAAATTTTTTCCTCCCCTACATAGGCAAATGAAAAATAGTTAAAAAGCAATGTTTAAGAAAGATTAATGAAGCACCATTATTTCTGTTGAACTGAAGAGACTGTCTAGAGATAGATCATCTACCCAAGAGTCTTTTTGTTTTTTTATTCAATAAATATTTCTGTTCCACTCACTGTGTCTAAGGCACTGTCCTTGGGATGGAGGATTCTGTGAGCATCACTTCAAAGATGAGTTCTAAAGAACAGAGATCAACCCAAGGTTGGTGAAGGATCTTAAAAAGAAAAGAGAGAGTGTTCATGTGTCCAGAGACAAAAAAAGAATGCAGCTAGTTCTTAAGAATTTAAATAGTTTAGTTTTGCTGGAGAGTAGAGTTTGAGGGACAGGTATGAATGATAAAATTAACGAGGTGGTCAACAGCTAGATCAGGAAGAGCCCTGTTTGTGATCATAAGAAATTTGGACAAATTAAGAAGTGTGAGAAATGGTGGAATATACAAATGAAAATGTCTAGTAGGCATTGAGAAATATGAGACCAGAACAGATGAGTTATTGGAACTGGAAATACAGATTGAGATTTCCTGTTTGAGAAATTAGGTCATTTTTTGGAGGACGAAGCAGAGAAGAGAAAGAAGGGGAGAACTCCAAGACAGAAGAAAGAGAAAGGGATGAGTTTGTTAAAGGTTGAAAAAGCAATGATTACCACTGTGGAAGCCAGGATTGTGAAGCCTTTCAAAATAGTCTGCAGGTAAAATGCCACAAAGGGGTCAGGAATTCAGAAGATATATTTTGTGATAGCAAGAACTTGTAGCCGTTAAAAAAGGAAGTTCTATGTGGCTGTGGTATTTCAGTGTGGATGTCCACTTTTGTAAGCACTTAGATGTGGGTTAATGATGAAAAACTATTTGCCAGTGTTAGAAAATACAATGTTTTCTTAAGATAGTAGCACTAAGTTACTTAGGTTATCATTTATTTAATCAACCCCTTTTGTAACTAATAAAAAATTAGCTCCTTTAAAAGAAATTTTTGATACATTTCATAATTTTGGCATCACTACGGAAGTTTTATTAGCAGGGGACACAGAAGCAATGTAATTTGGAGACAGACAAGCCTATGTTTGGATTCTGGCTCTGCTGGTTATGAGTCATGTGAACTTTTATATTTGGTGCTTACTTTTGTCTCTCAACAATATCTATATTGGAACTTGATATTTTAGTTTTAGGCTTTATCTACTGACTTCCCACCATGGGATGAGAGGATTTAGTCATTGTTCCTTCTTCATTCAACCATGCATGTATGTCCTGGTCCTTCCAACCCTCCTATTCTTCCATTATAGTGATGCCATTTTGTTTAGAGTCAGTGCTTTCATTATTATGACAATGTAAATGTTATCCACGATTTAGCTGTGCAGCTTCATCTAATTTTTTCCTTTTCTGCATTTTCTATTTTCCCTGAAGTTAATAGCATCTTACTCTTTCATTTGCTCAAAGTTCTAAGTTTGTATCACTTATCCAAGCAAGCTCTTCATCATTGTCTAAATATTCTGTCTAGATTTTAAAACAAACCATCTTGTCTGCCAGTTTTATCTTTCCACACAGTCTCCCAAGCATCTGTTTTGCTCCAATTTGAAATGCTTGCTCTCTACACCTGTTACACAGCTGTTATCCTGCCAACCAATCGAAATTTTCTTTTCTCTCTCTCCTTTTTCAGATCAGGTTTCTGCATCCCATTTCTTCCGCTCATCTAACTCCCTTGCCTTGTTATGTCCTCTGGTATCTTTCCGAGAGGTAGATATTTTGAGAACTTGTCTGAAAATGTTTATTTTACACACACAACCTTGATTGACACATTGATAGAATTTGGTAGCATTTAATACAATTTTAAGTGATAATTGTTTTCCTTGAGAATTTTGAAGGCATTCTTGCTCCATTGCCTTATTCTAGATTCCAGTGTTGCTACTGACAAGTCTAACACAATTTTGATTCTTGATCCTCCTCATGTGATCTGTTTGTTTTTCTCTGACAACATATATAGAACCTTTTCTTTATTACCAGTGTTCTGAAATGTCAAGACAATGTCCCATAGTGTATTTATTTTTTTATCCATTTTGCTAAGTACTCAGAGTGATCTCTTTAGATCTAGAAACTCATGTTTTTCAGTTCCCTGAAATTTTCTTGAATTATATCATTAATGGTCTTCTTCATTTTGTTTTCTCACTTCTAACTGTCTGAAATTCCTATTACTTAGATGTTGAATCTCTTAAATTAATCCAATTTCCTGGCTTTTTTTCCTCTTCAATTTTCCATCTTTTTTTTTCTTTTTGTTTACTTTCTAAGAATCACCTTAACTTATCTTCCAACTCATATGTTTTTCACTTGGTTATATTTTTCATTTGCAAAAGCGTTTTTTTTTTTTCTTTCTGATTTCTTGTCTTTTTATTAAACATAGGGCCTTTCCTTTTTTGGTGGAACCAATATTTTCTCTTATCTTTCTGAGGCTGTGACATATAGTTATTTTAACTTTTTGGTTTTACTTTGTTTTGTTTTGTTTTGTCCCCACATTCTTTGCCTCACTTTTGTTCTGATAATCTGTTGCCTTCTCTCTTGCCTTCCCTCTTCGGGGCAACCTGGTCAACCTTTCCTGGATTTTATAGCAAACAACATCTTGCTTCTTTCTGGTATCTATGAAAAAACTTTCATTTCAGCTTTTATGATCTTTAAAGTTAGTTATCACTCCTTTGTCTGCATTCCATATTTATAAAACTTTGTGTGAAACAAGGGTGGAGCCAAGATGGCCGAATAGGAACAGCTCCAGTCTACAGCTCCCAGCATGAGCAACACAGAAGACGGGTGATTTCTGCATTTCCAACTGAGGTACAGGGTTCATCTCATTGGGGAGTATCAGAAAGTGGGTGCAGGACATTGGGTGCAGTGCACTGAGCGTGAGCCGAAGCAGGGTGAGGCATGGCCTCACCCGGGAAGTGCAAGGGATCAGGGAATTCCCTTTCCTAGTCAAAGAAAGGGGTGACAGATGGCACCTGGAAATTAGGGTCACTCCCACCCTAATAATGCGCTTTTCCAGTGGTCTTAGCAAACGTCACAGCAGGAGATTATATCCTGCACCTGGCTTGGAGGGTCCTACGCCCACGGAGCCTCGCTCATTGCTAGCACAGCAGTCTGAGATGAAACTGCAAGGCGGCAGTGAGGCTGGGAGAGGGGCGCCCGCCATTGCGGAGGCTTGAGTAGGTAAACAAAGCGGCCAGGAAGCTTGAACTGGGTGGAGCCCACTGCAGCTCAAGGAGGCCTGCCTGCCTCTGTAGACTCCACCTCTAGGGGGCAGGGCACAGCCAAACAAAAGGCAGCAGAATCCTCTGCAGACTTAAATGTCCCTGTCTGACAGCCTTGAAGAGAGTAGCGGTTCTCCTAGCATGCAGCTGGAGATCTGAGAACGGACAGACTGCCTCCTCAAGTGGGTCCCTGACCCCTGAGTAGCCTAACTGGGAGGCACCCCCCAGTAGGGGCAGACTGACACCTCACATGGCCAGGTACTCCTCTGAGACAAAACTTCCAGAGGAACGATCAGGCAGCAACATCTGCTGTTCACCAATATCCACTGTTCTGCAGCCTCCACTGCTGATACCCAGGCAAACAAGTGTCTGGAGTGGACCTCCAGCAAACTCCAACAGACCTGCAGCTGAGGGTCCTGACTGTTAGAAGGAAAACTAACAAACAGAAAGGACATCCACACCAAAACCCCATCTGTACGTCACCATCATCAAAGACCAAAGGTAGATAAAACCACAAAGATGGGGAAAAAACAGAGCAGAAAAACTGGAAACTCTAAAAAGCAGAGCGCCTCTCCTCCTCCAAAGGAACACAGCTCCTCACCAGCAACGGAACAAAGCTGGATGGAGAATGACTTTGACGACTTGAGAGAAGAAGGCTTCAGACGATCAAACTACTCCGAGCTAAAGGAGGAAGTTCGAAGCCATGGCAAAGAAGTTAAAAACCTCGAAAAAAAATTAGACAAATGGCTAACTAGAATAACCAATGCAGAGAAGTCCTTAAAGGATCTAGCAAGGCAGGCCAACTTTCAGTTTCAGGAAATACAGAGAACGCCACAAAGATACTCCTCGAGAAGAGCAACTCCAAGACACATAATTGTCAGATTCACCAAAGTTGAAATGAAGGAAAAAATGTTAAGAGCAGCCAGAGAGAAAGGTTGGGTTACCCACAAAGGGAAGCCCATCAGACTAACAGCGGATCTCTTGGCAGAAACTCTACAAGCCAGAAGAGAGTGGGGGCCAATATTCAACATTCTTAAAGAAAAGAATTTTCAACCCAGAATTTCATATCCAGCCAAACTAAGCTTCATAAGTGAAGGAGAAATAAAATCCTTTACAGACAAGCAAATGCTGAGAGCTTGCCTCACCACCAGGCTTGCCCTAAAAGAGCTCCTGAAGGAAGCACTAAACATGGAAAGGAACAACCAGTAGCAGCCACTGCAAAAACATGCCAAATTGTAAAGACCATCAAGGCTAGGAAGAAACTGCATCAACTAATGAGCAAAATAACCAGCTAACATCATAATTACAGGATCAAATTCACACATAACAATATTAATCTTAAATGTAAATGGGCTAAATGCTCCAACTGAAAGACACAGACTGGCAAATTGGATAAAGAGTCAAGACCCATCAGTGTGCTGTATTCAGGAAACCCATCTCATGTGCAGAGACACACATAGGCTCAAAATAAAGGGATGGAGGAAGATCTACCAAGCAAATGGAAAACAAAAAAAGGCAGGGGTTGCAATCCTAGTCTCTGATAAAACAGACTTTAAACCAACAAAGATCAAAAGAGACAAAGAAGGCCATTACATAATGGTAAAGGGATCAATTCAACAAGAAGAGCTAACTATCCTAAATATATATGCACACAATACAGGAGCACCCAGATTCATAAAGCAAGTCCTTAGAGACCTAGAAAGAGACTTGGACTCCCACACAATAATAACGGGAGATTTTAACACCCCACTGTCAACATTAGACAGATCAACGAGACAGAAAGTTAAGGATATCCAGGAATTGAACTCAGCTCTGCACCAAGTGGGCCTAATAGACATCTACAGAACTCTCCACCCCAAATCAACAGAATATACATTCTTCTCGGCACCACACCACACTTATTCCAAAATTGACCACTTAGTTGAAAGTAAAGCACTTCTCAGCAAATGTAAAAGAATAGAAATTATAACAAACTGTCCCTCAGACCACAGTGCAATCAAACTAGAACTCAGGATCCAGAAACTCGCTCAAAACTGCTCAACTACATGGAAACTGAACAACCTGCTCCTGAATGACTACTGGGTACATAACGAAATGAAGGCAGAAATAAAGATGTTCTTTGAAACAAACAAGAACAAAGACACAACATACCAGAATCTCTGGGACACTATTAAAGCAGTGTGTACAGGGAAATTTATAACACTAAATGCCCACAAGAGAAAGCAGGAAAGATCTAAAATTGACA